>NC_000021.9:29894954-30524877 GCF_000001405.40 Homo sapiens
TTAATATGTTTAGAATGAACAAATGAATGGAAAAGACTGCAAGCAAATATTCAATTAAGATGCTTTTTCCTCCTTAATCCATGAGAATTGATACGGATCTAATAGTGGTGGTGGCAGGGGGCTCAGAAAAGGGATGGGTTCAACAGATATTTAAGTAAGAATATTGACAAGCCTTGGAGTTAGAGGCTGACTTGGAGGCAAAAAGAACTAATCTAGAATGACCTTGAGATTTCAAGTGTGGTCAACTCAGTGGATGATGGTAACATTCACTGGGAGTGAAAACCCAGGGGTAGGTTCACAGATGAAGAGAATGAGTGTATTTCTGGGCATGTCTAGTTCAACGAACCTGCGGATCAAATGAAGGAATGTCTAGGAGGCATGTGGATAGGGAGATCTCGTCAAAATCCTTGAGAATCACACCTTTTAACTCACAGTTCATTGCACTTTCCCCCTTTGTAATGCCTTTTTGAAAGAAAAAACAGGCAAACAACAACTACAAGAATATTAAAGCAATTTGTACATAAAGATTTTTTAATGGTTACAAAATCAAAAGGGATATTTTTCTTGACCATGTGTCTGGAATGCCCTTAGCCCATCCATGTCTCTCGAAAAGATCCAAGGTGAACAGTAACTCCTCCAAGAAATCTTGCCACATCCTCCCAGATGTAATGAACATTCACGCAGCAGTTGATTTTACTTTGTCTATAGCACTTGTTGCAGTGTATTCAGGTCTTCATATTGGTCTTCCTTTAATACATGCAGGACAGTATCATCATTAGTATGGATTTTGGAATCAGACGTATAAGATTTTGAAATTTCAGCTTTGCCACTTAGCTGAATGATCTGGGGAAAGCAGTTTACCTTCTCTTAGCCTCGGGTTTTCACATACGTGAAATTCAGAGGACAGTAGATAATGTGAAGGTTTGAAGGCTTCCACTGACTTCTCATCATACTCAGTGTAGCACTTTCATCTCCTCTCCTTGTTTCCTTTGCTCCAGCCACACTGACCTCTGTGTTGTCCCTGAAATAACCAAGGCACATATTTTCTACCCAGAGTGCCCTCCCCACAACTACCTGCATGGCTATCTCCCTCGCTTTTTTCCAAATATTTTCACTAAACTGATATTCTATCCTATAGCTACAATAGAGAAGAAAATGCTGCTGAGTCTAATATGGAACACCTGCATGCATATTGACAAAGGCTGGAAGCAAATACACTCCAAAGGGAAGTTGTATCAGTGAGGCGAATTGTGTGCAAACTGTTCTCCTGATACATTATTGCTTTTGATGTAGTTTTGTCATTTGAAATGCAATTAAAAACTCAATTTCTCGTGAGCTTTTCCCCTGGGTACCCTAGGTAAAATTTCAGTATCACACTGCAATATTTTCCTTCTCTGCTTCATTCTTTCCCCTTAGCATTTATTGCAACTTAATATGCTACATATTTTACTTATTTTTGTTTGTGTACCAAAAAGGAAAACAAGTTCTTTGAAGATGGGGAATTTTGTCTGTCTTGTTCCCTGCCATATCCCCAGTATCTAGGACAATGCCCAGAATATATAGGCACTCAAAAAATGTATTTTGAATGAATGAATTTTATATATACATTGCTTATCACAGTATCTGACATATAACACATATCTGTCACATAGTAGCTGTTAAGGTTGTGAATTTTGCTAATATTTTGCAGGATCTTTAGAAGTCAGGAAATACACTGTATTCACTATCTTATGACTTCTACTACAGAGGAAGCCTAAGAGATAAAAGAATGAATGAACTGACCAATTCTATGTAAAGATTAGCTACTTGGGTCACTATTGGTGATGTGGTGGCTGCCTCGGAATCAACACTACAGAGCTGGAGAGAGGCTGGAAGCAGAGTGGACTCAGCACAGTGGCTCTGTAAACGTGAGCAACCCCACCTCACCCCATCCAAACTCCCCTCATTTTTAGAAAGGAGCTTATTGTCAAGGGCACTTTGTAGCTCTTGCAGCCTCTGAGTCTGTGGGTTCCAAAAGGTGAGGCAAAAGGCAAAATCTTTTACCCCCTTAACCTAAAAAACTCAAATTTCCTTACAATGAATGAGAAGCGGATTTAAAACAATCAGATTACACAATACTTCATATAGTCCTGTGTGCATGTGTGTGTGCACATACACACAATCTCGACCTGATAATTTTTCATGCCTTTGTCTGAGTGATTTGTAGCAAGTATGAAGGTATTTCCAAAGTGTTATTAATGACTTAGAAAGTGGGAACTGTGTCAAAACCAAGCTTAGCTAGTTCGGTGGCAGGTGGTACCAAGAGGCAGAGTGAATTTCAAGTTGAAATTACAAAGAACCATTGATCCTGACAGTAAAGCATGCCTGCAAATGAAATTGACATGGAATGATCCTGACGTTGAAATATTATCTTAAAATCTTGAAAAGCATGGCAGAGAATTCAATTATATAACTAAGGGGAATTGGAGAAAATGAAGAAATTGGTAGCGATCTTTCCTTCAAACATGTATTTTCCTCTATAGGTCAGGCTCACTTTGCACATAATTAGTTACCCTTGTTTCTCACTTCATTGCTTAATCAATTTCAATAATGATTTAGCTTTATTATTAGAAAATTTTACATTCATGTTAAACCCAAAACAAATTTGAAAAGCTGCAGAAGTAATTTGAGTCCAGGTTATAAAAAATAACGTTAGTCCAGGACTTGGAGTGAATTAATGTGACATCTTAAAAGCTTTGGGTTATAATCTGGGTTCTGCCACAGGCAGCCATAAACCATGGGCAAGTTATTTAATCTCTGATTTTTAGAATCTTTAGCTGTAAAGCACAAGCATAATAATTCCCACTTCATTGTAGCTGTTCTGAAGCACAAATGATATATGTGATTGGGCCAAGTATATAAAACAAGACTGACAAAGTCATTTTGACATATATTTGAATAAAACTGCCATATCTTATCTTATAGACTTGAACAATTGTGTAAAGCCAGGAGGAGGAGAAATATTTGCAGTTATATTTTAGAGATGAGGAAACATGATCAGAAGGATTAAAGTAACTTGCCCTAGTTACCAGGCCGAGTTAAATTTCATGTCTTTAGCTTCTTCGCCTACTGAGTCTTAATTCTACCACTCATACATGTTCTAATAATCTGTTCTTGGGTGAATATCACAAGAATCCTGGTATTAATAGAATTTTCCCCTTTTCTTTCCTAAAGACCTAATTATACTTTAAATTACTTGTTTCTGCAGCAGATACCTTTATTCTACCAGCTGCAAACAGCAGAACAAAAGTCCCTGCCCCATGAAGCTGATATTGTGGTGCAATTCACTCAGCCAACATTCCTAAGTGCTACGATGCCCTCGACACAGTCTGGGAACAAGTCCCCTCCTAACATTGTGGGTGAGGAAATACACCAGGAAAGGCTGACAGAAGGGATGACAGGGCAAAAGGTTCTATGGGCACAGGTCAGGTGAGGGGGTTAGTTCAGCCCTAATGCATCCAGTAAGTCATGCCAGAGACACTGACTAATAAGCTTGGTCTTAGACTATGAGAGGACAATCTAGTTACCTGAAACCAAAGTAGAAGATTCCATCTGGAAAAAGATCTCCCCGTTGCTTTAAAAATTAGTATGTTTGGTTTCGTACCTAAAAAGATAGCATACCTGCTGGGTTATTAGACCATATGCAATAATTAGGCTTCTTAACAAAAAGACAATTAATAGTTCTTTAATATAGTGTGCTTTTTAGTGGATTCAGAAATCATGCTGATAGCATACTTTTCTTATAGAATTTTATGAGAAAAAATGCATATGAAATTGCACATTAGCAGGCAAAGGTATTTTGAGTACACAAATAAGTATTCAAAGTAGATTTTATATATTTCAATTAACATAATAGTTGGCAATGAGATTCGGGAGGCTAAGGCAGGAGAATCGCTTGAACCTGGGAGGTGGAGGTTGCAGTGAGCCGAGATCACGTCATTGCACTCCAGCCTGGGCAACAAGAGTGAAACTCCGTCTCAAAAAAAAAAAATTGTGAAAACATCTACTTATATAATCTAATGGCTTTTTTCATATTCTTATTGTAATACAACATATCTGGGCTTTCTCTAAAAGTCAGTTTTTAACTGGCCTTCTTTTTAAATGATTTACCAAATTGAAATGAGAATTAAATTTTGAAATCAGCTAAATATATACAATATTGCTCAAAGTGTCCTGAAATTACTCTGAAGGACTAGCATTAACAACACCTAAATTTGTGATTAGGTCTGAGGTCATTCAGGGCTTTTTGTTACTTTTGATTGTTTTTTAAGACCTACTACAGTTTAGCTTCGAGTAAGTATGCAGTCCTGGAGCACCTAGGATTTCCTGATACACTTTTGTACAATAATCCTTTCTAAGCTTGGCTATTATTGCTGCCTTCCATGCCTATGCAGGTTTGTCTGACTGGCCTAATGGATGTTTTAAATCCAGTCCTTCAAAGTTTTTCATGCGTCTTTTCATTCTTGCCTTGCTGTCCTGATCAGTCTCTTGTCATAGTCATGTAAGGAAGTATAGTATCTATAGAGTGATAAGGCATGCTGCTTTACCTTTTTTTTTTTTTGGTATGTTTTGCTATTACTTAATAAACATATTTATAAACCACTCCCAGAGCTGATAATCTAGTTCTATTTTTAATCTCTTAGGACAAAATTTAGAGAATAACCTCAAGGGGACTGATTATAGAGATGTCATTTTCAGGTGACCAGAGGGAGGATTTGGGGACATCTTGGTGGCATGTACTCTATGCTCCTTGTGCCAGGGCTGCCCCAGACTGAAGTAGAAGAAAATGATGCAGATGGACTTACTCAGTTGAACTGAGATGGGACAGAAATCGTCAGGTCATGCTGAGGAAGAATTACCTTCCCAAATGTCTCAGACACATGCCCAACTAAATGCTTATTACATATTCAGTACAAAAACACACTGATTCCTTTAGTTAGCAAAGATTCCTTAACTACCTTCTATGTATTAAGCACTGTGCTGGGTACAGAAAACACATGATAAATACATTTTCTATGTAAGGAAAACTCAAAGTGGCAAATGCTGAGAGATTTTGTCACCACCAGGCCTGCCTTATGAGACTCTGTCTCAAAAAAAAAAAAAAAAGAAAATAAAAAGAAAAAGAGCTCCTGAAGGAAGCACTAAATATGGAAAGGAACAACTGGTACCAGCCACTGCAAAAACATGCCAAATTGTAAAGACCATCAATGCTATGAAGAAACTGCATCAATTAATGGGCAAAATAACCAGCTAGCATCATAATGACAGGATCAAATTCACACATAAGAATATTAACCTTAAATGTAAATGGGCTAAATGCCCCAATTAAAAGACACAGACTGGCAAATTGGATAAACAGTCAAGACCCATTGGTGTGCTGTATTCAGGAGACCCATCTCACTTGCAAAGACACACATAGGCTTGAAATAAAGGGATGAAGGAAGATCTACCAAACAAATGGAAAGCAAGAAAAAAAAAAAAAAAAAGCAAGGGTTGCAATCCTGGTCTCTGATAAAACAGACTCTAAACCAACAAAGATCAAAAGAGACAAGGCCATTACATAATGGTAAAGGGATCTATTCAATAAGAGCTAACTACCCTAAATATATATGCACCCAATACAGGAGCACCCAGTTTCATAAAGCAAGTTCTTAGAGACATACAAAGAGACTTAGACTCCCACACAATAATAATGGGAGACTTTAACACTCCACTGTCAATATTAGACAGAGCAACGAGACAGAAAATTAACAAGGATATCCAGGACTTGAACTCAGCTCTGGACCAAGCAGACCTAATAGACATCTACAGAACCCTCTACCCCAAATCAGCAAAATATATATTCTTCTCAGCACCACATCACACTTATTCTAAAATTGACCACGTAATTGGAAGCAAAGCACTCCTCAGCAAATGTAAAAGAACAGAAATCACAACAAACTGTCTCTCAGACCACAGTGCAATCAAATTAGAACTCAGGATTAAGAAACTCACTCAAAACCACATAACTACATGGAAACCGAACAACCTGCTCCTGAATGACTACTGGGTAAATAAAGAAATGAAGGCAGAAATAAAGATGTTCTTTGAAACCAATGAGAACAAAGACACAACGTACCAGAATCTCTGGGACACATTTAAAGCAGTGTGTAGAGGGAAATTTATAGCACTAAATCCCCACAAGAGAAAGCAGGACAAAGCAGGAGAGATCTAAAATTGACATCTTAACATCACAATTAAAAAACTAGAGAAGCAAGAGCAAACAAATACAAAAGCTAGCAGAAGACAAGAAATAACTAAGATCAGAGCAGAACTGAAGGACATAGAGACACAAAATACCCTTCAAAAAATCAACCAATCCAGCAGCTGGTTTTTTGAAAAGATCAACAAAATAGATGGACTGCTAGCAAAACTAATGAAGAAAAGAGAGGAAAATCAAATAGATGCAATAAAAAATGATAAAGGGGATATCACCACCGATCCCACAGAAATACAAACTACCACCAGAGAATACTATAAACACCTCTACACAAATAAACCAGAAAATCTAGAAGAAGTGGATAAATTCCTGGACACATACACCCTCCCAAGACTAAACCAGGAAGAAGTTGAATCTCTGAAAAGGCCAATAACAGATTCTGAAATTGAGCCAATAATTAATAGCCTACCAACCAAAAAAAGTCCAGGACAAGACGGATTCACAGCCGAATTCTACCAGAAGTTCAAAGAGGAGCTGGTACCATTCCTTCTGAAACTATTCCAATCAATAGAAAAAAGAGGGAATCCTCCCAAACTCATTTTATGAGGCCAGCATCATTCTGATACCAAAGCCTGGCAGAGACACAAGAAAAAAAAGGAGAATTTTAGGCCAATAACCCTGATGAACATCGATGCAAAAATCCTCAATAAAATACTGGCAAACCAATCCAGCAGCACATCAAAAAGCTTATCCACCACAATAAGTCAGCTTCATCCCTAGGATGCAAGGCTGGTTCAACATACACAAATTAATAAATGTAACCCATCACATAAACAGATCCAAAGACAAAAACCACATGATTATCTCAATAGATGCAGAAAAAGCCTTTGACAAAATTCAACAGCCTTTCATGCTAAAAACTCTCAATAAACTAGGTGTTGGTGGAATGTATCTCAAAATACTGAGAGCTATTTATGACAAACTCACAGCCAATGTCATACTGAATGGGCAAAACCTGGAAGCATTTCCTTTGAAAACCGGCATAAGACAAGGATGTCCTCTCTTACCACTCCTATTCAGCGTAGTATTGGAAGTTCTGGCCAGGGCAATCAGGCAAGAGAAAGCAATAAAGCGTATTCAAACAGGAAGAGAGGAAGTCAAATTGTCTCTGTTTGCAGATGACATGATTTTATATTTAGAAAACCCCATCATCTCAGCCCAAATTCTCCTTAAGCTGATGAGCAACTTTGGCAAAGTCTCAGGATACAAAATCAATGTGCAAAAATCACAAGCATTCTTATACACCAATAACAGACAGAGAGCCAAATCATGAGTGAACTCTCATTCACAATTGCTACTAAAAGAATCAAATACCTAGGAATACAACTTACAAGAGATGTGAAGGACCTCTTCAAGGAGAACTACAAACCACTACTGAAGTAAATAAGAGAGGACACAAACAAATGGAGAAACATTCCATGCTCATGGATAGGAAGAATCAATATCGTGAAAATGGCCTTACTGTCCAAAGTAATTTATAGACTCAATGCTATCCCCATCAAGCTACCACTGGAAATGGAAAAAACTACTTTAAACTTCATATGGAACCAAAAAAGGGCCCACATAGCCAAGACAATCCTGGGCAAGAAGAACAAAGCTGGAGGCATCACACTACCTGACTTCAAACTACACTACAAGGCTACAGTAACCAAAACAGTATGGTACTGGTACCAAAACAGATATATAGACCAATGGAACAGAATGGAGGCCTCAGAAATAACACCACACATATACAACCATCTGATCTTTGACAAACCTGACACATACAAGCAATGGGGAAAAGATTTCCTATTTAATAAATGATATTGGGAAAACTGGCTAGCCATATGCAGAAAACTGAAACTGGACCCCTTCCTTACACCTTATGCAAAAATTAACTCTAGATGGATCAAAGACTTAAACATAAGACCTAGGACCATACAAATCCTAGAAGAAAACCTGGGCAGTATCATTCAGGATATAAGCATGGGCAAAGACTTCATGTCTAAAACACCAAAAGTGATGGCAACAAAAGCCAAAATTGACAAATGGGATCTAATTAAACTAAAGAGCTTCTGCACAGCAAAAGAAATTATCATCAGAGTGAACAGGCAACTTACAGAATGGGAGAAAATTTTTTCAATCTATCCATCTGACAAAGGGCTAATATCCAGAATCTACAAAGAACTTAAACAAATTTACAAGAAAAAAAGCAAACAACCTCATCAAAAAATGGTCAAAGAATATGAACAGAAACTTCTCAAAAGAAGACATTTATGCAGCCAACAGACATGAAAAAATGCTCATCACCACTGGTCATTAGAGAAATGCAAATCAAAACCACAATGAGATACCATCTCACACCAATTAGAATGGTGATCATTAAAAAGTCAGGAAACAACAGATGCTGGAGAGGTTGTGGAAAAATAGAAACGCTTTTATACTGTTGGTGGAAGTGTAAATTAGTTCAACCATTGTGGAAAACAGTGTGGCGATCATCTAGAACTAGAAATACCATTTGACCCAGCAATCCCAATACTGGGCCTATACCCAAAGGATTATAAATTATTCTATGATAAAGACACATGCACACATATATTTATTGCAACACTATTTACAATAGCAAAGACTTGGAACCAACCCAAATGTCTATCAATGATAAACTGGATCAAGAAAATGTGGCACATATACACCATGGAATACCATGCAGCCATAAAAAAGGATGAGTTCATTTCCTTTGCAGGGACATGGATGAAGCTGGAAACCATCATTCTTAGCAAACTCTCACAAGATCAGAAAATCAAACACTGCATGTTCTCACTCATAAGTGGGAGTTGAACAATGAGAACACATGGACACAGGGAGGGGAACATCACACACCAGGGCCTGTGGGGAATGGGATGCTAGGGGAGGGTTAGCATTAGAAGAAATACCAAATGTAGGTGACAGGCGATGGGTGCCGCAAACCACCATGGCATGTGTATACCTATGTAACAAAACTGCACGTTCTGCACATGTATCCCAGAACTTAAAGTATAATAATCATTAAAAAAAGAAAACTCAAAATATTGTGGACACTTTTTTTTGGGAAAAAAAAGGACTCAAATAACCTAAATTTGTTTTTTTTTAAAACTGAAATTGGAACTATTATGACTATATAGTGTATGAATGAATACTGTGTAAAATCAGCAAGAGCAGGGACTGAGTCTTGCTCACTTTTGTGTTCTTAGCTTAACACAATCCAGCCAGAGAATGAATGAGTCTGCAATGTTTATGGAGCAAATGGATAGACTGATCAGTGCAGGGTGTTCTCTGACTGTTCAGCCCTCAATGACTCACGCTTCTCAGACCTACTGCAATCACTTTCATGGGGTTGCAATGATTTTACATGTGCTAGTCTCTTTTTATCGATCAGCTGTTCTGATTGAAACATGTACTTGTGCAGGGACCAGGATGGGCCCTTCTGAACTCCCCGGAAGCATGTGGCAGAGCTATGGAAAGCACCCTACCAAGGGCTGGAACCAGGAAGTGTTGACCTGAGCCAGAACACTGTCATGTACCCAGCTCTGTTCTAACAGATCAACACTTCTCAGTGGAGTCCTTTGTGTTAGGACTGCTACCCAAGGCCCTTCTCTGGGGAGGGTATCTCAAAATTCCTCCTGCCTCCCACAGCGTTCATGTGGCCACACTCTGGGTTAACCGACATGCTCTGACTTCAGAGTTCCAAAGGGTCACACCGCTATACGTGCTGCAGCAATTATCAGGCCACACGAGGTCCTCTCTGAGCCTCCGAGCGGTCTCATGATCCTAGGCAGTGTGAAACATACTGAAAATTTAGAATCAGAGGGTCAGAGTGCCATTATTTAAACCAACTCATTTTAAACCTGGATCAAAGCCAATGGCTCAGAGCAATTTAGAAACATGATTATTTGCTGACTGAGTGGGGCCAAATTTTGGCTCCTTCCTTACTTGATCATGACAAAGTATTTGGGAATTCAAATCTGAAATCGTCTGTTACCCACACAGAGCACTCCCCTTTGTGTATTAAAGAGCAAGTTATATTAAGTTACACTGACTTCTCCCAGATTCACCAGGAAGGAGGAAGGCTGGGTCCTAGAAGGTCTATAAAATGGACAGTTAAAATGGCCCAAGCAAAGGGCTTTTCAAAACTTATTTTTAAAAATTTTTATATTATATATATTTTAATTTTTATATTATTTATTAATTTATTTGAGACACAGTTTCACTCTTCCACCCAGGCTGGAGTGCAGCAGTGCAATCTTGGCTCTCTGCAACCTCCGTCTCCTGGGTTCAAGTGATTCTCGTGCCTCAACCTCCCTAGTAGCAGGGATTACAAACACGCACCATCATGCCCAGCAAATTTTGTATTTTTTTTTTTTTTTTTTTTTTTTTGAGACGGAGTCTCGCTCTGTCGCCCAGGCTGGAGTGCAGTGGAGGGATCTCGGCTCACTGCAAGCTCCGCCTCCCAGGTTCACGCCATTCTCCTGCCTCAGCCTCCGAAGTAGCTGGGACTACAGGCGCCCGCCACTACGCCCGGCTAATTTTTTGTATTTTTAGTAGAGACGGGATTTTGCCATGTTGGCCAGGCTGGACTTGAACTTCTGACCTCAAGTGATCTCCCGACCTCGGCCTCCCAAAGTGCTGGGATTACAGGCGTGAGCCACCGCACCTGGCCCAAAACTTGTTTTTTTTGTTTGTTTGTTTGTTTGTTTTAAATATCTGTTATTGCCCGGTGGAGTGTGTGTATGCATTTTGGGGTGGTGTAATTTTTTTGAAGCAGATTTTATAAGAAGCAAAGAAATATAGAGGACTATCAGCTGAAAAATATGCTAGATAGGAAATACAGCAATTCGTTTTTTCAATCTTTTTCTCATTAATGGCATGGAATTTCACTGAAAAGGTGTTAGAAAAGGAAAATAATTTCAGCTCATTTTATATATTTGAGTTTCATTGTGTGCTACAACTTATTGCTGAATGCTACAAAACCAGGCTTTGTTCTAATGAAATGTAATCCTCACATGGCTAAAAGAAACAGCTGAGAAAGCTATATATTTTATATCAAATACCTTTACAGATCCAGTTAAATGTTAGAAAACCTCTTTATGAATTATTTTTAAGGTACAATCTAAGAAACTTCAAGCTTCAGAAAAATATAACATACTGATAAAATATTTTATTTCAAAAATTGTTAAGTTGTTTTGTTTTCCATTATGAGCAGTATTTAATTGTTTTTTAAGGTAGATTGACACTTGTTATTTCATCTGTTTACTGAGTTATATTCAATGCCTTATTTATTTTTATTATATGTTTGCTTTACATTTTACATCTATTCATCTAGCTTTTGGTTTATAGGCTGAAGAGGTTTAAGAAATAGTTGAAGGCAACAAACAGAAAAGAAGAAAAGGATAATTCAGGAGGGGAAATAAAATTAAGACAAAAGAGTTAAAATAGTATTTAGAACCAATTATCTTTTCAAAATTTATTTATTTCTGGATGTCACATTTGATAGGCTCATGTTCTTGAATTATTTGGAGCACATTCCTCTGTTTTCTCCCATTTACTCCATTTTAGTAAATTTTATTTCTGAATAAAATAATTCCTTAGGACTAACTACATGAAGGGTTAAACTTTGATTGCAACATATTCAATACTATATGGTGCTTATTGCATTTAAAACTGAACAAACAATAAAATTTGGGGCTTTCGTGAAAAGTAACTTACTACAGACCTGAAATCTTTTGCTTCTCTCTTTGAGATGAATCAATAAAAATAAAAAAAAAAAAGCCAAAGCAAATAAATCTAAAGTTTCTGCAAAGCACACAGCATGCACCTTCAATTCACTTCCTCTAAATTTGTATCAATGGAATGTGGTCATTGCTGCTTTTTTTGTTTTTGTTTTTGTTTTTCTACTCTTACAGAAAAAAAAAAGAATTCAATACAATCTCCCTCAGTGGAAGAATAAATATCAAAAATGAAATTCAGAGTCCCTAAAAATTGCAATGCTTTTACCTGTTACTTTTTGTTTTTTGGTTAATGTTGCAAATTTTGAAAACTCAAGTGTGTGCCATACTGAGAAGAAAACCAAGAAAATTTCAAGATTTTTGTAAAATAATCAATGTTCTAGATCATACAAAAGTATTGGATTCATTACATAATAATTAGATGCTTAATATATTCAAAGAGGTGACAGACGTGTCCCCCGAATCATAGTCTGACAGTCTCCTTCAATGTATTTTGTAATAATTATTTTTACTAGCTGTGAACATAAATAAGTTATATTGTAAAGAGAAATGATTGAGAAGAATCTAAGTTCAGCTAACGCATTTTAATCAATTAAGAAGTTATCACGAATTTCTAGTTTTTAAAATTTATTAGTATAAAAAGAAATAATCAAAAGGCATTCTATATGAATGAAAATAAGAGCTAAACCTGACAAAAACAGAAAGCTGAAGGACAAGATTCATTTTTACCGGTACTACTGCCTACAGGAGTCTCATTCTGTCCATAATATGCTAGTGAATTAAAAAACATAGGTGCAAAAAAGAGCAATTTAGTGTATAATCGTGCTAACTTTTAAATTCTTACTTTATCATTAGAAACTATGTCAGTCCATTCTGTGTTAAAAACCAACAAAATACAGTTAAAATTAATACAGAGCTACAATTTTATTTAAGTTTTACTATTGTTTTGGTGAAAACTGACTTCTATTCATTTTTAAAAATATCTCTCAGGGATGTAGAATCTTCATCTATAAATTAAACAAGTTCAAGCAAGTGGTCCCATTGGTCTTGTTAAATATAATAATAATTAACATTTATTGGGCACTTATTATACACCAGACATTGTTCTAAGGGTTTAAAAATACATTATAAAAGCTTTAACATTTGTTATCCAATTTCTATAGCCGAAAAAAAGAGGAAAAACAGAAATTTTTCTGTTGAGTTATGCAAATCTTACTCTTATAATTTTATTTACACAGAAATGTATATGAAAATAATCATTTTTATAATTTCCCTAATTCTCTAATAACTCAGTTTCCTAGATATCAACCACTTTTCACCATCTTCCATCTTCTACTGTGACCTTTTTCCCCTTGTTCCTCCTTGTCAATCCCCATTTTCTATCTCATCCTGTGTCATGTTGGCTGAATCTACCTTGGTCCAATTTCCTGCTGGTGCTCTTCTTAGAGCTGGCCAAATCTTCAGCACGGTGGAAAGGAAGCCGAACAGCAGAGCGTACCTTCAGGAGTTTTCTACTCACTCCTTCCACAGAAGCAAACAAAAAAATTAACCAGGCATATTCTTCAAAATAGGCCTCCAACATACATTTTCAAAATCAAGCTACCTCACTAGTCGAGACAAGCTGCATCTCAGGCATTTGTATTTCATGATGTCTGGTCAATGTGATTCATTGTAATATAAAATAAAGTATATTTTTCTAGTGTGTTACAAGTAAACAGGTAACCAGTATTATTCACCCATTTATTTAATAGAGATAAACAATTACAACTCGATTTTTCCATTACTCAAATGAGTATAGAAACTTCAACAATGAACAAGATTTCTCTTTTAAGAGTGACACTTTATTTCATTTGACTAATATAATGTTGGTCTGTTCATAAATTATTCAATGAAGTGCTAAAAGCTTCCTTCCTCTCAAGTATTTCCTCTGCAAAATGGCTTTGGTAGATGAATTATTTTCCATATGAACAAACTAAGTAAACTTTCAATTTTGAGTACTGAAAATCTTTGTAAGAATATTTTTAAACACATCACTTTTTAAAATAAATTTATGTTTTATTTTTAAAATCTTCCCGTGTTTGTTACACATTGTATGCCCATTTTCAAAGAAATTTTTATTTAACAAACTATCCAACTTTAGAAAAAAATATTTGTACTCTAATAAATCAAGCCACGAAATTTTTAAATCTAACAATCAGAAAATGGCAAATATAATATTTAACAGGGATCTTTAAGGGCCCTAAAGATAAATGTTTAAAGACTTAAAAACAAGAAAATCATTTTACTGGCTGCTTCATCTCATTTTTCTTTATGGCCCTATAAAATATTTAATCAAATTATTGGCTCCTTTGTGAGGTTTTATAGTAGTTAATGCAAGCAAAACATAAGTAAAATTTCTGAGAGATCTCTGGTCATTAATATGTAATTATGTTACATTATGTTCTACTAATTAAATAGAATATTAAATAAAATAATTAATAGAATATTTAATTAAATAGAATGTTACTAAAATATGGCTTCAAATAAGGCAACTCTATACTCATGAGTTTGATATCTTTCTATGTGTTACTTAAACTCAGCACATTTTAACACATTCAAACTAAAATAGCTTTCATTTACATTGTTGAAACCTAAGCTAAGCAGTAATAATTAGAAAAAAAATAAATGACAGATTACTTTCAAATCAGATGTGGTTTAGTTCTTTAATCCTGAAAATCCTGAGCAGTTGGCAAGGTGCTCAAGAAATCACTTTCTGAAAAATCACATGGGCATTTACCAAGGAATCCGCAGAGAAGCGGAGAGAGCCTGGGCGTCTGGGAATCAGCAATATGGAGCTATCATTTAAAAATCTTTATTGAAATAATTACATGACGAGTATAACTTTTATCCCTCAGAAGACTCAGGGATGAATAATTTTAAAAGACATTTAATTACAGACACATGGACAATATAATACTGTACAATGGCAAGCTGAACCCTCGTCTGAATATGCTCTCAAGAAGCATGATGACCTTGAATAGACCTTTTCCATTAAAGGTGACATTCAGTAATTGCATTGTTTGTAACTCAAAGTATAAATGCTTGAGGGAATTGAAACTCCATTCTCTGTGATATGCTTATTTCACATTGCCTGTATCAAAACATGTCATATATCCCATGAATATATACATTTACTATGTACCCACAAAAAATTTTTAAAATAATTTTAAAAGTTTTTAAAAATGTTGACATTCCAACCCACTGCTTAAAAAGACCTTCGAATAAATTCTTCAGAATTAAACTTCCATGACATGTAATAAACTTGTTTTTTGCCCTTAGTTTTGTCTAAACACGTGGGGATCCTTCCTATCTAGCCTTGTTCACACTTATATCTCAGGAAGTCAATCTCCGTAAAGCAAAAACAGTCTTTAATTGACTTCTGTCATTTGAGAGGCCTGAGAAGGGCAGAAATTAGCAATGTACAAGTGTTTCACTAACCTGAGAGAAAGTAATGACTGATATTCTCCTCTTGTCAAACAAAGTCATGGTAGATTTTTCTTTGACCTTGTGATACTGTGTAATACAGCAAATTCAATTGGGATTATAGGAAATTGATGTCTAAATAGCTAGAGGAGGCACAGGTTTCATACTAGGAAATATTCAATTCAATAAAAATTAACCTTTCTTGTGGCTATGATGTGTAAATGTCTGGCTTACGTAGGCCCTTTCTAACTAATTATAGGACATGTTGTACTGCATCCTATACTGATTTTCACATGAAGTTTTTCATATGCTTGTAGTAATTTTACACGATCTATTTATCCTGAAGGGTCATGGCTACAGTGTAATATAGAATGCTGTTTTTCTCTTGCCTATGAGAAAGCATGATTAAAGAAGACAATTGATTTTTTTTTTTACAAGACTGACTTCGTTAGTTTGGAACAGCTTATCATAAGTCTACACTGGCAGAATATTAATATCCTATATGGCTTTCACATTATTTTGATTATTATTTTAAAACTATATTAAGTGCACTAGTCATCAATAATAACAATAACAACAGCTGTAATAAATACAGATAAGCCTTTCTGTGTGTTAAGTATTGTGCTTGACATATACTAACTCAGTGAATCCTTCTAATACTCTTACATGGGAGTTACTTTTTTATTATTACTGCTACCTTATGTGTTAGAAAAACCCTAAATATAGAGAGATTGAGTAACTTGCCCAAATTCAAAAAGAGAGAAAGTGGCAAAACCGGGCAACAGGACTTCAGAATCTGTGTCATCAACTACTATTTATTTGTGAATATAGGGACAAAATGTTTATTACATCTACATTGAATAATATTCTACAAAACAGCTGATTTTATGCTTCAAAATGGTACTGCGATGAATCATTGAAGGCCTTGGAACTGTTTCAGATTGAGGAAGATTCAGAGGCATGGTGACACTATGCAGCCACGATCCTGGACTGGGAGAAAATTGCTATAAACTATGTTATTGAGATAATTGAGGAAATCTGAGTAAAACCTATAAAGTTGATATCGTTATATTAATATTACATACTCTGATTGCTATAGACTGAATGTGTTCCCTCAAAATTCATGTGTTGAAACCCTAACACGCAGTGGGATGGTACTGGTAGGCGGGGCCTTTGGGAGGTAATATGGTTTAGGTGAGGTCATTAGAGTGGCAGCCCCATAATGAGTGAGATTAGTGCCTTCATAAAAGGGGCCCCAGAGAACTCCCTCCCTCCTCCATCATAGGAAGATGCAATGAAAAGAAGACTATCTATGAACCAGAAAGTGGGCTCTTCCCAGACACCAGTTTCTGCCTGAGCCTTGATCTTGGACTTCCCAGCCTCTAGAACTGAGAGAAATAAATTTCTGTTGTTTATCAGCTACCTGGTCTATGGTCATTTGTTATGGCAGCTCAAATAGACTAACACACTGATTTTATATCATTATATTGTGATTGCTGAATGAATGTTCTTGCTCTTTGATAACACTGAAGTATTTAGAATTAAAGGGGTGTGATGTCCTCAGCTAAGAAATACACATACACACAAACACACATATACACAGAGAGAAAGAAAGAGAGAAAATGATAAAGTGGATATGGTAAAATGATAGCAATTGGTGAACCTAAGTTAAAGGTGACAGAGCAGGAGCATCGCCATCTTGCACAAGCACTGCCATTATAAATTCCCCTTGATCAAAAACTGCCTAAATCCAAAGGGCATCAGCCTAAGGGCTAAGGTCAGCATGACCATAAACCACAAATAACATCTCCAACCATAAATATTCCAAACCCCTCCCTGACCAGAGACATGCCAGCCGCTAGATAACCTCCCCTCTGATCAGAGAGATGTCAGCCCCAAGATAACCTCTCCTCTGACAAGAGACATTCCAACCCCACCATAAACTTCTCCCCTACACAGAAACATTCCAAGCTCTCTCATCAGTAAATACTCTTAGTCTGGAAGAAAGAGCACTCCTAACCAAAAATCGGCCAGAAGCCCCTCTCAGGTTTATTCTCCAAAATAAACCTGTCTTTGACTATTGAGCCACTTTTTGGGTTTCTTTCCTCTTTCAAAAGGTATATGGGAATTCAGAGCACTATTTTTGTGACATTTTTGTAAATTAAGTTATATTTATTCTAAAGCCCTGGATATAGAGAGTGTGATAAAAAATATTTATCCAGAATTTTAATACATCTCAATATGATTTTTCATTGTAGACTCACAGGGTATATTTGTTCCAGGGGTTGAGACCTGGTTGAAAACCATTAGCAAAAGGAGAGATGATGATGATGATACATTTTCTTAGAGAGGGTATGTGAAGAGTTCATTCCCGAAGGTTTTATTTTAGGCAATATCAAGTAATAGCTACTTATCTATACATTTACATTCAAAATATACTTACTTGTTTAAAATAATTAGTATCAAGTTCACTTAGCCAATGGCACAAGAATCCAGAAATAACATTCTTCATTACAAGACATACTTAATAATAACATATTCATTACATGACGTACTTAATACATGCCATGGGTGTTTAATAAGATATTTTTATGCCAGAAAGACACCATATATGGAGGTTACTTTATGAAAGCAATTTTTCCTGTCCTTTCAACATTGAATTCCAGTCCAAAGCACCTGTGTTGCCCTGGCAGTTTGGCAAGAACATGGACTTGAGAGAAAGATGGGTTCGAGCCCCAGCTCTGCCACTAACTAGCTGTATGACTGTGGAAGCTGACTTCACCATTCAAGTTTTCATCACCTCATCTATGAACTGAAGTAATGAAAACCTGTCTTGATGTACTATTGTGAAATAAAAATGGATAACTCTGTAAAGCACTTGACACATGTTAAAGCACAATATATTTCTGTTTTTAAAATTTTACTTACATATACTTATGTACTTTTATGTAAGTGGGAAGAAAGAGCATTTTTAATAGAGTATATGGTAGAAAAAGTATCCACGACTTTATGCTGTTTCCAGATCTAGTCCCTGAATCTAATAACCATTTTTAATATTTAAAGTAACATACATTTCTTATGCTTAAGCATGATAAAAGACTAACTGTAAAGACCTGGAATAGGATATGAGTATCCTTACAACAGTGTAGAAAAGGTGAGATATATAGAATACACAATGTCAAAAGAAAACAGTAGATTTAAATTAAAGAAACACTAAATATATATATATATATATATATTTGTAGATTTGTATGTAGAATTGCCCTGACTTTCAACTAAGGCATCATCAGAAGTGATTAAATCTTATGGCAGTCTGAATATCAATTGGTTTTTCTTGGTTTTTCATATCATTTTATTCTTTATTTCTCTATTTTCTTTTTCAAGTTACACATATACATAAAATTTATGGGTGATAGCTGTCATTCAAATGAAAATACATATTCAGTACTTAGGATATACACTACTGATTATACCACTAACAGCCTTTTTGTATTTTGCTTTTGCTAAAATAATTCAAATTTTGTTCTGGCACACTGTGTCTGGGCTCAAGGGATGGATATTGTTTAGTTTATGGCAGGTTTTCACAATCTTGGCTATTGATAGTTTAGGTAAAATAATTCTTTATTGTGGGGAGTTTTCCTGCATACTATAGGACATTTAACAGCATACCTGGCCTCTTATTTCTAAATGGCAATAGCACCCATCCCCAAGTTGTGACAATAAAAAATGCCACCACACATTGCTGAATGTCCTCTGGGAAGGCATTGGGAGTACAAAATCATTGCCAGTAGAGAACCACTGTTTAAGCCAAGCCTAGTAGCTTCATTCCTCCATGAGAGGAATTATTCTAGGGAACACTATGTGACCAGTGCTAGCTGACAAGATGGAAGGAAAGATCTGCTGGGACTTCCGAGAAAGCTCCCGAAGTAAGGCACATGAAGAGAAATTCTTCCTCCTTCTCCATTTCCTTCCTGCCCCTATGGGGCAGTCATGTGAGAACTTAAGACTTGGGGCAATGGCAGTCATCATGAAGATGTCAGCAATGCCAACTTCAAGCCCTGACTTGACTGAGCTGCTATGCCAATCCTGACCTACTAACCATGGTATTCATTGGCTTGTTTCACAAACAGGCCAGTTTCCTTCCTTTTGGGAACAAGATAGCATTGCATTTCTCTTCCCCCATCTCCCTAGAAGTCAAGTATGCTCATACAACTTGTTTTGTCCAACACAATGTGTGTCACTTTGGGGCAGAACCTTTTGAGATCCTTTCCCTGCCATGTTGAGATAGAGTCTACATCTGCTTGGATCCTTAAGTCCCCATTGTAGGAAACCCTGTAAATTTGTATTGAGTGTTTTGTGGGTGCAAAAAAAATAAGCCCTTGTGGCTGTAAGCCATTGAGATCAGGGTGTTCTTTGTTACGGGAGCATTATTAAACCACACTGACACATCTGCCTTTAAATTACTTGCCAAATAAATAAATCCCTATTGTTAAGCCACTTTCATTTGAATTATTTATATTTTTTATTGTAAGAGAATCCAAAAGGATGAAATATGTTTTTTACATAATTTCTAAAGAAATATAGGTGATGCACCCAAAAGTATCATCAAAAAATGACTGTCAATTAATTAATGAAGACTTTAGTGATAGAAAATTCTTCATGTATATGTGCTCATTTTCAATCCATCTATTCTGTTAATTCTTTTCCACGCTATATACATGAATCCAGACACACACACACACACACACAAACACACACCTTCCTTCCTTATGTGCAACCATAGAGGATCAGCCTATCTGTGTCCAGTGCTCAGAGCTGACTGAATACACTAGAACTTGATCTGGCATATCCAACCAGACCTTGTAAGCAATTAAGATTCACAGTTGCTCTAAACGTACACCAACTATCTAGCGGTTAAATTTAAATTTGATACAACTAAATCATTAATTCATTCATCCAATCATTCATCAATTATTTATTGAGTGCCTATCATGTAATAGGCACAACGCTTTAGTATATTTTCACATATACTGCCCTGCTAGTCTAGTTTCAAACACTAACTCTTTCTCTCACAGGAAGGGAACAATTTCTCTGGATTTCAGGATGGCTGGTTTGGTGTGTGAGTACTGCTGTCCTATGACACTGTTTACTGCGGGAACATGTTGTGATGTAAAGTTAACAACAACAGAAATAAAAACAAATGTCACCACCATAGGATCTGAGTCTCTGCCTGAGTTTAAATCATGGTACAGTTCCACAGAAGCTTATAAGCAAGTTACTTAACCTTTCTGAAATGCAATAGTGTTACCCCCAGTGGCTCTGTGACAATTAAATGTGTCATATATATGAAGTGCCCAGCCCAAAAACCTAGCACAAAATTGTGGTTTAATCCAGATCCCCTCTTTGTTTATCTGTGGATCCTGAAAATTATTTTTCAACATTCTAGCATGTCTTACTCTTTTCAGAGAGAAAGAAAACACTCATTAAAACCTCATGATATATTCCAAGCCCACACCTTAACAGTCCTAAACTGAAAAATAATTTTAGTAAAGTCAAAAACTACTCTGTAAAAGGCCAAGGTGAACTACAAATTGAGTTAATAAAATATGTTCTTATATTTCCTGTTTATTATTGCAATTTTCTTACAGTTATCTAGTTTCTTTTCTTTGAAACATTACTATGAATGCAGTACTTAGAAAATTACACAGAATGCTTGAAACTGAAATTTACACAGAAAAGTAATGTTCAAGATTGGAAAAATATGTTTCAGTATATTAATATCCATATTATAATGTTGTAAGAATGAAATGAGATTATTTATGCAATGTCATACACCCCTGGGCACAGAATAGACACTAAATAAAAGATAGCTTATTTTTGTTATTTTTGCTATTACAACTCAAAGTGGGAGCCAGAGAATAACCTGTTTCTGTAAAAAAAAATTTAAGAAGCAGCAGCATTAGTAAGGAAAGCTAATAACCTAGATTAATGCATCAAGAAATCTATGTAGCAAGTCATTTAATATCCTTATATTTACTTTAAAAATAGAGGATAACACCTTCTAAATTTCCATCCATACACATTTAACTGAAAGGGGCTTGGAGGGAGGGAAAGAAAGATAATAATCGATAATAAAAGAGTCTATTTAATAAAAACAGTGCAATAGCTACAGCAACTATGTAGAGACAAAGCAACAAACAGTTCTCTTGATAGTAATTCATCTTATTGTGACTAAATCTCTTGTAAGAACTCTGTCTCCACTTCAGAAAGCCAAAGTGGATTATGATTTCAAGTCTTAAATATCACTGGGTTTAATACACATAAACCCAATGTTCCTGGTTTGCAGCCTTGTAAAATAAATAGATATAATTGCAGGCAGTTGCATACTAAAAGGAGGATAACACTTCTGTATTCACAGAGATTTGTTTACTGATGACATGAAACATACATGAATATATCTTTTATGTAACATTATAGATACATACACACACAGATTCTACAAACTAAGCTGGTATTAGACATCACAGTCTCAATTCTCTCCAGAAAAAGTAATGACGTTTATGTGTTTTTCTCGAAATCAACATGCTTCTGATGTTTTTCTCATTATGTTCAAACTCATCAAGACTTAAGACATTTCGTTTTCAGTATATCACTTGGCTTGCTTGCGCTTGCACACCTAAATACTTTCCAAATGAAGACTGGATTTTAACATAAGATAGGAAGAAATTCTTTTTGGTGATTTGCCATTTATTTTTCACAAAAGACAGGCACCGCAAAACAGACAAACGTTAAAATATGCTTTTTACTCTAATTTGATGAGGTATGAAGCCCTGTGACTGAAATTGAGAGAAATGAATAATTAAGCATGTCTCACTTCTTGGTCAGGTTTGCACATTGGTATTTACTGTTTCTGCTGCCATTTTACTACGGCATTAGGGAGAAAGGAATGCCAATCTCTGCATCACTGACATTTTAAACATAACAATTTATGCTGTGCCTTTATTTTTATTCAGATGTTAGGAGAACGATCATAGGAAATGACACAATTTAATCCCACAGTGATTTGCTGTAAGCCTACTATGGTGCAAAGCATTTACATTGAAATGTTCTCTTCTTCAATCTAAAACTCTTCAAATGCTTTCCATTGAACTGAGTATAAAACCCTATTGGTCTGTCATTGTTGAGGACAGTGGTCTCTAAGCATTTTTTTCTAACTTGACCCCAAAATAATTGTAAAAACCTAGGTTCTACCCCCACATATTTTAAGCCAGTATTTACATTTTTTCACTGTATAGTTGAAATGTTCTCAAAATACATAGTTTCTGATGTATTTCATCTTATATATGTGATTTATATATTTTAGTTAAATCAGTGAAACCAAAGACATGTTTTTCACTTTTTAACATGTCTTCCTTCTCAAACCATTCAGACAAAACAGACCTAATTTCTGTTAAAAAATAAAATATATGATTTCTTTAAAACACACACACTTTAATATGCCCCCCTGACTAAGAGATTATTTTTAATTCAAACTCTGCATTATATAGAGAAAGATGAACTAATAGATGAGTGGATAAATAGATAGATTAATGGATAAATGATAGATAAATGGTGATGGTTTAGTCACAAACTTGATATGTGAACCTGGTTATATAATTTATTCTCACTCCTAAATTCTCTCAACTCAAAAATGGGCATAATGTTGACAGGAGTTACTACTTAGAATTACTAAGAAAATTTTAAAAATCCAAATTTATTTATGAATCTCAAATAATTACATGCAAATGAAGTAATAGTAACATTAATAATGGCAGTTAACTTTTCTTAAGTATTAACCACATTCCCAAGCACTGTACTAATCGCTTTTCATATACAAGCTCAACTAATCTTTTCAAAAGCCCAGCGAAGTAGACATAACCAATCTCATTTTACAGACAAGAAAATTGATGCTAAGAGAGGCTGTGCAATTTTCCCAGTTCTTACACATACTTAGATATGAAGCGGAGATTTAAAGGTATAGAATGTTCATAATCAGGCTCTTGAATATTTCAATATTCACCAGTATATGTTATATCTCCTTTATCTAAATTGAAAATCTTTAAATGCAACGACCAATTCTCATCTATTTCTGGCATATTTCATAGCACATAATAATGTGAAATGTGTGTGTGTCAATATTTATTTACCAAGCATACTATGCTCTGGTAACTAACAGAAAAATAAGCAAAGCAAATAAATAAATGTTCAGAAACAATGCATATATCACATTATTAAATTGGTATATTACAGAAAACCTAACTGAAATGATTGTGGAAAATACCTGATACACCAACTAAGTTGCACACTTATGTTATCTTTATTATTTTATTGTTTTGTCAAGAGATATTTCAGCCCCAATTGCATCCAGCCTCTGTCTAGGTCAGCATTCTGGCAGAGAGCAGATGGCATATTCATAGAAGGTGACTGTAAGAGTATTTGGAGAAGGTGATAAGTGTACAACAGGCGAAGGGGAAGGCAAGGGATATAACTGAGAGTTAGCAACAGCTCTAAGCTACCAGCAATGTATCAATCCTAGGGGTAAAGGGTCAAGAAGAAGAGGCACTGAGACATCTGCAGCTTTAGGAGAGAGGCACCCAAAATGAGCTAAGACCCTTGGAGGAGGAACTCAGCCACAACATCTCACATGAAATCAATAGAAAGGGAGTCAAGGAGCTCAAAGCCACAAGCTGTTCCTGTCTTCCAAGCTGATGTTGTCTTGCACTGGCCAAAAGCAATATGAAGCCTGAAGGCAAGAGACACTTGTGATGCAACTCCTAAAAGTCCACGGAGGTAAGAGGCTGGTGAAGAGTGGATCTGGAGGGGCAAACAGAGAATATCCATCATAGTCACTGCAGAAAAGTGTCTCTTGTTGGCGGAAGCATGGTTTGAGTGATTTCAGATTAGTGGCTATGCACACAGAGGATGTATTCCAGGCTCTCTGCAAGAAGTATTACAGCAATCTGTAAGTAGAGTGAATCTCAGGGCGGTTCATAAACACACACCTACATAACTTGTTCAGGATAGGTTATACTTTCTTGAGCTTGGGAATATGAGAAACATATTCAAGGCTTTCTTTGTCTTAACTCTTCACTGAGCAAAGGTAGCACTCCCTAAATGACTTACAGGAGAACCAAGAGTTTGCTAGAACAGAGTTTGCTGTCTATCTAGCTACACAGAGTAGATTTAATTATAGAAACAGCCATTTGATTCATTATTAAAACCATATTTTTAAATGACTTCTGTACTTTTACAAAGCATGAGGTTGAATAAACCTACGTAGTGGTTTGAAGAGGTTTAATGTGCTAAAAACAGTCCCTTTTAAGGGGCCAACGTGCTTCAGGATAGTACTTATTTTAAAAATTGATATTAAACAGTGAGGACCTCTTTGTTCCTCCATTTCTTTTATTTGTAAATAAACCAATTAAGTTTTGAATCATTTCTGGCTGACATTCTTTGATTCCCTGTGTTCTTTGACAAGGAATGGGAGCAGGGGAGAGGTTCAGAAAAACCATTACAGGAACAAGGGCTCTCCCTGAGGCAGAATAGAAGAAGAATCAATGAAGATTTAGGCAAAGAGAAATATTTTGAATGTTTTTTTCCCAGAAATTGCCTACTCTGCTTCTTTGCTCACAGTCTCTCAGGGGATAATAAGAACATTCTACTTCATTTCTCTATTTCTTCAAAGAGAAGTTTTAAATTTTATCTTTGGGGGAGATAGCTATTGGTTAAATAACTAGTTCTACATTGTAAATTTAACTTGAGGAATAGTTTCATTTTCCCATTATTAGAAAGGGCTACTATATGTACACACACAGTCTAACAAAAGGTATTAATAAAGAGCTAAATTGTCACTGAGCACACATGCCCTTTGACCTTTGGACGTCTGCATATGCTGTTCCCCTAGTTGGAGTCCTTTCCTTTTTCTTGAAGTCAGTTTCTAGGAATGACTTCTTTTACAGATATAAACTCACAAACTTCTTACCCTGCAAAAGTTTCTTTGACTTTCTTTAACCTTGTCGGTTTTTCCCATTACAGGAGTTCATAGAACCATGACCCTCTCATTAATAATATTTGTCGTAGTTTAGAATTAAATATTTATTTGTGTGATCATTTAATTCACATCCGTGTGCCTTTCCATGAGCTCCATGAAAACAGACAGTCTATCCTGCTCATTCATATGTATCCAGTGGCCTGCCTATAGCAGATACTCATGAAGCTTGGAGAGCCATTGAGTGAAGTGCATTTGCATACATGATTTTGTAACTTGCTGTAGTGTCTGTTTTGTGTTTCAGATGGACATGTTTTCAGAAGAGGCACCATACACACTGGGCAAGGGAAGTGTTATCAAAAGTGTTTTGCCATGAGTCCTCCTGATTCATGGCAAAACACTAACGTGGTATGTGGCTTCCGTTCATACCATCTGAGAATAGATGATTGATGGTTTTATTTATTTTCTTCTGGAGCAGGATTTCCAAAGCATCTACACTAAACCTGCACTAGGTTTGTGTTCATAATCTCCAACCTAAAATTCAACCTCAGCACTGTTGGCATTCTGGGCTGGTTAGTTCCCTGTTGTGGAGGCTACCCTGTGCATTGTATGATGTCTAGTAGCACTCCTGACCTCTAACCACTAAATGCCAGTAGCAGCTTCCACCACTCCCACAGTAGAAACAAACAGAAATGTCCTCAGACATTGCCAAATGTCCCCTGGAAGAAAAAAAAAATGACTCGCAGTTGCATACAACTGTTCTAGAGGAGTTCCTTGACAGATTCAAATCAATATATAAGTGTAATGGAAAGGGTGCTGTTGAAATACTAGTGCAAGGTTTTTCCAATATATTTCACAGTAGAAAAGACCAGTTCAGCATGTTAGTCCTCATTGCAAGGCCCACTAAGATTATTAATTCAAATTGTTGCCATTCTTAATGGTTTTACTCATGGTTAAAAAAGTATCTTAATCTGTAATCATTCTGTAGTAAAAGTTGAGTTTTCATAAATCAAATAAACAAACAAAAAAATACACCAGACTTATAACATCTAGAATTTCACTCAGGTTCCCTTCGTTTTTAATTAAGTCTTTTGAATTTGGTTCTCAAGTAAAAGTTTCAAGAAAAAGTTGAGTTTTCACGAATCAAATAAATAAATAAAAATATAGGCCAGACTTCTAACATCTAAAATTTCACTCAGGTTCCCTTTGTTTTTAATTAAGTCTTTTGAATTTGGTTTTGTTTCTCTGCACATAAGCTCACTTTAATATTGCTATACAAATTAACGTACGCTAAAACTTGACAAATAGAATTGGACAAGGTTCTAGAGGAAATTTAGTTGTAGTAAACTGAAAATTTTGGTTTAAAAATTACCATTGACAATACACTTCTTGCATTTCCTAGGTACTAGGTGCTCATTACTTTAAGACAATCTAAGAATAATTTTGCAGGTAAGTAGATTTACCTTTGCTTTTGATAGCATCCTAAAGTAGTCCTTCTGGGTGATACTATTGTTTTGTAAATAAAGGTAGATGAAAGAAAGGATTAGCAATTATCCCAATCTAGATTATGCAAGCTACTAAGTTGGACAATGTGTTCACAAGATGCCTTTTTCCGCTCTTGGGTTACATGCAAGATCACCATTAATCTGATTCTGTTCATAAACTCTGACTTCAATTTCTACATCAATAAAATGGTTATATTAGATATAACTACCTTCTACTTTGGAGTAACAGTGAAGATATGGTATATAAACCTGTGTATCAAATAAATGACTTATGTCCAATAAAGAATATCTGAATTTTTAAGTAAATCAATAAAACCATTAACATCTTTATTTTTAAAATAAGTTTTCTATATATTTGTTTATTTCTTCAATAAATGCCAAACACTGTTAAAAAATAATTTCTGTGGGTAGAAGAAAACTGATTTTATAATTATCTTAAAACTGCATACCTTTCTATTCTTCATAGCCTTTAATAATTAAATGTACATATATTTTGTCATTATACAGAAATGATTTATTATTTAACAGCATTGGATGGACACTACAAATCTCAGAAAGAAGCAATCTTAGAAAAAAATTATGATCTATATTGGAAGCAACCTAAATGAACTTTTCATTTTTCTTTACTTTCAACTAATTTTCTTAATTCTTGTATGGCAAAAGGTATACTTACTTAAATGATCATTTAAAAATAAATGAAAACAGTTACTTTGCTTAAAAATGACTAAAGTTCAAACTTACAGCTTTTGCTGTTGTATTCCTCGGCCCTTTTACACTTCATTTTCTTTATTGGGTCATGCATTTGTATGCTTCTAAATAAGTTACTTTTTTTAGCAGACTTTTGAGATAAGATACAGACAGAATTGCAGAACCTGTTTTATTTCCTCAGGAAGAATCTCAGATGGGAGTGGTGCATAAGACCAGACTGCAGAACATAAAATGGTTTTCTCAAGTCTACACTAGCTAGAAAGCAATCACCCTTCTTCTTTCTTTTTATTTGACCCGAAAGGACTTGTGTACTGATTTACACAATTCTATGCCATTTGTGTGTGTTTATGTGTATGTGTATGTGTTATGCAAAAATGAGTCTTTCCACAGGGAATTTTGCTGTATTTCCTTTTGACTGAGTATGAATTATGCTGTAGATAGATTTATGAAATATAATGCTAATTTGGATGGTCTCATATTGACTTGTAGGGTGATACTGTCCTCCTTCAAAAGGCCCTAGAGAAGTTCTTTTTTCACTTCTGCATATTACTTTTCAGTCGAAATGTCAGTTGCAAGCTTTTCTCAGGCAGCTATAAAGGAGAATTTGTACTTCTGCATAATATCTAATGTACCACATTCATATTAATGTTTGAAAGAGAGAAAACTAGAGAAACCTAGTAAAACATTGTAATAATAAACATGAAGTAGAAGGAAGCTATCATTAACTCAATTTGTAGCTCAGCATGGCATTTTACAGATGTGACAGAAGTCTTTAATTTGAACTCAAAATAGAGAAGTGTGAGTTTGGAAATGAAATATACCATGGAGTTACAACGAGTGTTTCCTTTCTCTCAGAAAAAAAGGCAAGAAATTGAACAAAAGTTAAAGTCATCTTTTCAGGAACCTCAGACAAAGATCAAAACCTTAAACCAAACACGCCAATGTTTCAGGTTTTGTTTGCTTGTTCTTACATCTTAAGCCCATGGTAGTACTCTAAAATATGGAGTCTAAAGAAAGGTGGGCAAATTTGATGTTCAGAACACAGACTGACAAACAACGTTTAGTTATTTCCCTTCAGCCTTATGTAATCAATAGTCCCGTTAGATAAAATAGGCTTTTCTAAGAGGAGATGATTAGGATTACAGAGGAGTATCTGAAAGGTTCAGAGGGGATAGAAAAGATTTAAGCTTTATTACTGACCAGACCAAGATATGCAAAGTAGACTCTAATAACAAACAAAACAACAAAAACATAGTTAAGCAAGTACCAAATACAAAATCTTAGGAAAACAAGAGTACAAAAAATTGGAAATTATTATCTGAACAGTGGGGAGATATATACTCATATATGAAAGAAGGTTAAGGCCGGGCGCGGTGGCTCATGCCTATAATCCCAGCACTTTGGGAGGCCGAGATGAGTGGATCACGAGGTCAGGAGTTCAAGACCAGCCTGGCCAACGTGGTGAAACGCCATCTCTACTAAATATACAAAAATTAGCCAGGCGTGGTGGCGGGCGCCTGTAATCCCAGCTACTCAGGAGACTGAGGCAGAGAATTGCTTGAACCCGGGAGGTGGACGTTGCAGTGAGCCGAGATCATGCCACTGCACTCCAGCCTGGGCAACACAGTGAGACTGGCTCAAAAAAAAAAAAAAGAAAAAAAAGAAAAAGAAGGTTAGATGGAAGAAGGGTTGTGATGAAGTGATGAACAGATATATATGCAGTTATGAAGCATTGAGCTCATGACATCATGAGCTTTATTCTATGGTTACTGTAAGAAAGGTTAAGAACAACTGCTCTGAAACCCAATCACCATGGTGGGTAGACTATACTGAACACATTATTGGTTTACAGATGCTCCTATATGAGGTCAATGTGCAATTCCCAACCTACCTATCTTAGCATTTACCTGAAAGACATGGTATTTAATCTTAATGTCTCAAAAAATTTTATTCTCCCCCGACCTTTTTTGTTTTTTTCACCTTTTAGTGACTCTTGTCATTATTTAAAACTATTTGCAAGAATTTTCTGAGTAAAACATTGGCTCTGCTTCCAGGCGTCTCATCCTCTTAGAGGTGAGGTGGTCTTCTATTTAACAAGGTACCTTATTTGGGTTTCTTAATTTCATAGAAGGACCTCATTCTTACCTTCTAATGTTTATGGATCTGGCTCTAAGTAGAAATGCACATTTAATCACAACCCCCCTTCCCTCTAACTTTCTGCTGCTCTCCTTCAGGAAAAGCTCAGACTCAAGGAGCAATCATTACGAATGATGATGAGGTGACGTGCAAGCCATCCATTTCCCTAGATACTATAAATTGAAGTCTAGATCAAACCAAACTATTTGACAGTTCCATACCAAGATGTTTTGTAGAAGTGTTCTTATTACTACGTGATGCCTTGTCATAGAGTTGTATTGAGCATTTCATAAGAAACAAATGTATGAAACACACCACTGATTTGATCGTAGGTATGCTATCTATAACATCACATTGTTTCCCCTTATCAGGATCACAGGATAAATTTCTTGCATGGTTTTTAACCTGAAAAACCTATAATTTGTTTAAGCAACCAGACCCTCCCAACTCTGAAGTTTGTTCTGTTTCCCTTCTCAATTCAGCCGCAGATACAATTTTCTCGTCCACTTTTGGCATCTTTTCAGGGAAACGCACCTGCCTTAATCTTGCTTCACCTTCACCTCCATCCTCATTAATGTATTTTATCAGATTATAATATATGTATTTTTATAAGCCTTTAAAATATTTTTAGAATAAGACAAGCTATAAATATAAGAATGAATAAATGAATAGTAAATGACAGAGAGGGTGTGAATACATAAATTAAAACTTCATAGTCTGAAGGGAGAAGAAAAGCTCAAATGTTACTTTGCAAAACCCAGAAGTTGATTTGAAGGATTACTTCACATGAAACAAAAGGCAGGTCAGCCTTCAGGAATAGTACAGCAAACTTAGCATACTCTCCAGGAATTGTTCACCGATTTTGTCTTTTTAAGTAGCATATCAATAATACATTCCACCTCACTTTTTGCATCTGATATAGGAGTGAGACTATGAATCTCAAAGTCCCAAATGGTGGGCTGCCTTCCTGATTTTTTATGACGTTCTCAAAAAGTGAGTGACAGATACCACTCTTTAGTCTTCTTCCCTTGTATGCACATGTACTTAGCCTAACCAAAGTATAACACTCACTTAAATATTTCCAGTTAAATTAGGATAATACAAATTGTAATGGCCGTAGACTCTAATTATTCTAAATTGTTAAGCTATATACCACTCGTTTGTAAATGCTAACTTTATTTTTTTCCAAGAGTGCTTTTAGAGATGAAGACATTCCTGCTCACTCAAGTAACTGTAGGATAAGTTAATCAGAAATACCTAGATCATAAAAAGCTAAAAAAAAAAAAAAAACTTGCAAGGTATGTATAGTTTAACATATTTCTGTTAAGATTTCTTTATTGATATTTTCCCTGGATGTTAAAATTTCCCTAGATTTGAGTATTTACAATAATAATTCCTCTGGCCTCACCTCCGTTTCACATGTGCACTCTCTCATTTAAGACACATCTCAAAATTCTCTACAACGGGCACCCTGATTTAAAGAAACCACAGTGATTAGTCCAGTGCTTTTTGTACTCTAAAGCTTTTATGAATTTTGTTAGTTGATTACTACTTCTCATTCATTCAAATATAGATTTTTAACACCTTTCAAATTAGTTGTATGAGAAAAACAAAGTTGCAAGAAAACAGCACTGAGAAGAAGGTTAAGAATTGTGGCTTGCTTACTGAGTCTTTATTTCAGTTAAGCTTCTGGGGCCTTAGTATTCTCAGTTATGAAATGAAAAAGTTGGACTTTAGGATCTTTAAAGGCTCTGCCTCGTGTTGAACACTATTGTTGTTAATTTATTTATGTATCTTATATAGTTTTTTGTATACATATAAGAAATTATATATATATACACATATATATTTAAGTCTATGTGCCTTCTACAGCTTGTTCAAATAGATTTCTGGGTCTGATTTCTTTCTCTTTACAATTTATTTATCATTATTATTCCAAGAAGAGTATACTGTTTAGGCTAAGCTAATAATGGACAATTATTTATAACAGTTTTGTTGTGTTTTCTATGAAATTATGTTTTTCCCTAAGGAATTTTATTTGTGATATCATACTGCCTATTTTCTCACAAATGTCCCACAGATGTAGCAAATCATCAATCCTTCGAGGTTAATTGGAGCCTGGATGATAGCATGTGTTCCCTGTTGTTCAATCTGACCGAGAGGAATATTCTCATGAGAAGCAGAACAGATATTTCAAACTCAGTTGTATGTAGCCTCAGAACATCCTAAAAGCATAACAAATTGGCATGGTCTGTGTGGGCCTGATGCCTCCCCGCTCCACACCACCAGCACTCACAGACATTGCCTTGCCCAGTTATTCGAAATGCAATAATAACTTTATGTATGATTTGTCTCCAGGTAGAATAGGTAAAAGACAGAGAAAAATGCAAATTGGAATCTTATTATATAAATATGAATTTATCTATGAATACACGTATATTATATATGATATGTAATATATGTTGTACTGTGTGTAATGATATATATGTAATATATAAACTAAAGGATAATTATAATAAATAATACACAACTATATATGTATTTGTATATAGTTATATGTGAATTTATGTATACTATGTAGTATATGTTTTATATTCAGTATTTTGGGCTGTAGTGTGTATAATATATGCAATAAATATGCTTAATAATATGTATATGCAATGCTTATAATATATATATAAATTGAAAAATCTGTAATAAATGCAGCCATATACACACTTATTATATTATATATTATTTATACAAATATATAAAATATGGGTTGGGCATGGTGGCTCACACCTGTAATCCCAGCACTTTGGGAGGCCAAGGCAGGTGGATCATGAGGTCAGGAGATCGAGACCACCCTGGCCAACATGGTGAAACCCCGTCTCTACTAAAAATACAAAAATTAGCCAGGCGTGGTGGCATGTGCCTGTAGTCCCAGCTACTTAGGATGCTGAGGCAGGAGAATCACTTGAACCCGGGAGGTGGAGGTTGCAGTGAGCCAAGATCGCACCACTGCACTCCAGCCTGGGCGACAGAGCAAGACTCCGTCTCAAAAAAAACAAAAACAAACAAACAAACAAAAATATACATATACACACACATATACATATATATACACACATATACATATATACATATATATACGACATAGAGAGAAAGAGACAGAGACACTAGTCCTAAATCCTAGGCCACAGTTGTTCAACCTTTTGGCTTCCCTGGGCCACACTGGAAGACGATGAATTGTCTTGGGCCATACATAAAATACATTAACACTAAGGAGAGTTGATGAGCTAAGAAAAAAGTTTGGGCATAATTTTCATATCTGCCACCACAGATAAGCAAAAACATCCTCACATTCAAAGGGTTGGACATCCATGTCCTAGGCTTTCTGTTGCAAAGCCGAAAACTGAAATTTAAAAAGTTTATTGTTTTTGTTGCTTCTTTCGTTGCTGCTTTAATTTTTAAAAGCATTGCTTTAAATACCACAGCAGTATTTACAGCTTGAACCTGAGGGCTGAGATAGACATGTGATAATACAAGAACTCAGCTCCATCTTTCTTCCCCTTCGAGTTGGGAAACCTGGAGTCATGGTAGGAGGACAATAAAATCCCTTAGATCTGGAGAAAACCTGTGCCCACAGGCAGGTGGGTCTCTGGGAGTGGAGGACCATAGTGTACAATTGGCCATTCAAAGTGCCACCAGGAAAGCCAAGATGAAGGCAGGATATACTTAGACAGAAAGAGCCTGAGATAACCAGCAGGACTTGAAGGTCACTTGGAGTGGGTGTTGCTGTGTGAGCCACAAATTCCACCCCAAAGAGGCGCTGGGTAAGCACCAGCTAAGTGAGAGACCAGATGGAAAATGCGCTGAGTCTTGAAGGATGAGCAGCAGCAGAGTGAGCCACATGGGGCTGCTCAGTCAGGGATTTGGGCAGTGAATGCAGTGCATTAGAGGCTGATACCCAGGACCTAGTGGAACAAGCTACACCCCAGTGGACGTCCTGGAGGAATGACAGCAAATGCCTCTCCTTTCATGTCTTTTATCTCTGTAGGGAGAAGAGAGAAAATAGATTCAAAATAATTTACATTTGAAATAGAAAGCGAGGAAACTCCCACTGGGGCCACATCAAGGTCCTCACTTTGATGTGTGCCAGTTAACATTAATTACAGGGAAACAAACAAAGTTCCACACACTGGATGCTGTGGCTATAAATGTTAAATGTAATACAGCTGCACATCTTCATGCAGCATATCAGTTCATCCCAATGACAATAAAATAAAGCAGATACTGCAGAGGGGATTACAGATATGGAGATCAGCAGACGCACCCATTACCTGCTCACCACTCACTAGTCTCCGATAAAGGGTTGGATTTACTAGGAGGTTATGTGACATGGCCAAGCTAAGAACCACCGGAAGTGGAAGTACTCTCATTCCAGTGCACTTTTCACTATGGCAATCTGCAGGCAAATGTCTGCTTTAATAATCGAGAATCTACAAAATCTTATCCTTAACTAATCGTTGTTAAACTGGACAAAACACATTAATGGGAATAAAAGTGAAAAAAAACTTTCACCCACAATTCTACCATCTTAACAAAACCAATAAACTTCCCTTTTCCACATGAACTAACTGAAAGTTATCATGTATAAGCAAGAATGAACTGTATAAATTCCCAATCCAAAGTATGTAAAACCATACACTATGGTCTATATTATTTTGTGTGCATTTTTTGCTTATTTCTTCTTACGGATCATATTTAATGAATGCTTTATTTCTTAAGTAACCTCACCTCAGTTAGAATGGTTAGAATGGCTATTATCAAAAAAGACAAGAAAAGAAAATTAACAAATGCTGGCGAGGATGTGGTGAAAAGGCAACTCTTACATGCTGTTGGCAGGAATGTAAATTAGTACAATCATTATGGAAAACAGTATGTAGGTTGCTTAAAAAACTAAAAATAAAATTATCATATGCTCCAGCAATCACACTTCTAGGTATATATCCAAGGGAATTGAAATAAGCATGTTGAAGAGATATCTGCACTTCAGTTCATTGCCACGTTATCCACAGTAGCCAAGATGCAGAGTCAACCTAAGTGTCCATCAGCGGATGAATGGATAAAGAAAATGTGGTAAATATACACAATGGAATACTATTCAGCCACAAAACAGAATGAAATCCTGTCATTTGCTGCAACATGAATAAACCTGGATGACATTATACTGTTATTTTCTTAACCATTCTCTCCTGTTGAACATTTAGATGATTCACAATCATTTATAAAGGTTCTTGCCAACTCAGTGGACATGCATGGAAACAGCCTTAGGGTTCAGATTTTTCCTAAGAACAAAAGGAACAGCGCTACCCAGAATTCAAAAGGCAAATATTGCCTTTAGATTTGAAGAATGGCTCTATCTCATTAATCCATTTTTAGGAGAAAAAGTACAGTAACATCTCATACAGTATAAACACAGCCAGTTCATCAGAATGCAACATCTGTTTACGGATTACTAAAGTATGTAATCCAACATTTTAGAAGTTTAAAATTTAGGAAAAAAGAAAACCTTTAAAAGTTATGATTGAGTCCTCACAATGAAAGAAAGTAAGAACACTTGATTTTTACCATCCTTTCCCCAATCTGCATTATGAAGTGTTTTTTTCCCCCTCTGGGAATTAAGTATTGATTTTTAAAGGCATATTTAGACAATTTTGCTAAGAAAAGTAATCTGTGAAAATAGTTTCCTGTGACTTTTCATTTAAAGACATCAGCACTTAAAGCATCTGACAGAATGTTACAATGCTTGCATCAATATTCAACGGTAAATTATATTTAAGTACAAAAAGTATAATAGTTGAAGACCAAGATGCTAATGGATAGGAACAACTAATGTCTGATTTTCTACAAACTCCTTGCAGAATTCTAAAGAAGACGTATGACCATCAGATTAGCAACTGTTATATAAAGCTTATTTCTTCAATGATTTTTTCAACATTAAATATTGTTGTCTTTAAGGACACTCTTAGAAAACCCTCCATGTAGCATGTTGTATGGAATGAACGAGACTTTTTCCTTTTTGTTTCCCTTGATACAGTTGCAGATCTTTATGTACTGCAGAGTAGGTAGAAACAGTAACAGAAGAAACCTTGACATGGGTTGAATCTTTTTAAAATATAGACTTTATTTCTTAGCACAGCTTTAGGTTTACAGAAAAACTGAGAATACAGTACCAAGTTCACATGTACTCCACATCTTCTTTCTCCTGAAATTATTACGTTAGTATGGTACAGCGTTAAAATTAATAAACCAGTATTAATGAATTATTATTAAGTAAAGTCAGTCTTTATTCAGAGTCCTTGGTTTTTACCTAATGTCATTTTCTTGTTGCTGTTTCGGGATTGCATTCAGGATAGCACATTACATTTTTCTCACTAATCTTCTTAGGCTTATCTTGGTTGTGACAGTTTTTCAGATTTTCCTTGTTTTTCATGACTTTGGTGGTTTTGGTCAATATTGGTCAGCTATTTTGCAGAATGCTACTCTGTTGGAATTTGTCTGATATTTTCTCATTAGTAGAGTAGGGCTCTAGGCTTTGGGGAGGAAGACCAGATAGGTAACATACCCTTTGCATCACCTGTTATCAAGCGTGAATACTAGCAGCATAATCTACCACTGCTGATGCTAACCTGGATCCCCTGGCTCTTCTGCTGAGCAGATTTGCCTATTCTCCCTACTTATTTATTTAATCATTTATCTATATCAGTATGCACTCATGGGAGCATTTCTTTACTTTCCAGCACTATAAGATCCTCCAGAATCATCTTATGTATCTCCCTTCCCAGCACCAGAATAATATATATTTTTTCTGAGGAGCTCTAGGTGCCAGGAGTGTTCATTGTTACTGGGGTATCATTGTTCCTAAGCCCTCTCAGCAGACAGAGCAAGGAAATACATGTGTGTGTGTACCAACCCATGTATAGGTTGAGTTTTAATCAATCATTAGATAAAATAGGTGTTTTGCCTTAAGATTGTCTGTGCTCTTTGACTCGTTTGGTGTAAAAAATAATATGTTTTAATATTTTTTTGAATTTTTAAAGGGAAATAGTAAGTTGTAGTGAACTCTTAGTCTCCAAATTGATGATAACTGATGGTAATAATAACAATTAACCATTGGATTTTTGTTAAATGAAAACACACAGGCATAATTCTAATATAAAAATCTGCATTATCACACTTCTCTTGAAACATTAATAAGTAGAAATTTTCAATACAGTTGATAGGCTGTTGTATGATTGCTTTATTTTGTATGTTTGCTTTGCCAGGATACTAGTAAACTGGCAACTAATCAAAAGACACAACATGGCCTAATCTTTCAAATTTAACTGCTCTACTTGACAAATGTGCCAAATAATATTTTTAAAAGCTAAAAGAAAATCTTTTCAAGCTGTGGAAGGTGTTTCTATGAGATTAATTTGTGGCCAGTAGTTTACTTATTATTTAGTCAATATCATTGCTTGTTAATTTCAATTTGTGACTAATCTTACCTTAGATTTCATTATGTACTTTAGAAGATTCCTAAGTTTTTAATAAGAAAAAAGTAAAATATTGTCCAAGTAACTTGGGAAAGTTATTCTAAAGAGTTTAATGTTTTCAGTAGTTCATAACTGAGATTATAAATTAAATATTTTTACTTCTTTCCTTTTTAAAAATTTTCCTCTCCAAGATTAACTATTTTTCTAATTACTTTATTATTTCAAACAATTAATTTAATTATTTTAAATAAATTACTTGGAAAAATAGTGACAGTGCTGTATAATAAGTAGGGAGTTTCCAATTTGATACAACTTGATCTCAGTAGTAAATCAAGATAACAAATTAATACAGTTGATTTAGTTGGAATACATTCCTTTTAATTTGGATGCTTTTGTGTTGCCATGAAAATTTGTCATTTAAAAAATCAGATAAGCATTTTAAAATAAAGAATAGGTTAAATTGTAAATATAGACCTTTAATTTACCACAAATTACATTCCTGGAAAAGATATTTTAAGTCTAATATGAATTTTCAATTTAAAACAATGTTAAAAAGCAAGTCTAGTGTAAAAAAAAAAACGAGAAAAAGAAAAGTAAAATGGCTCCAGATCAAATTTTATGCTAATAAAATGGTAAACCTTTAGAATAGATTATGTGGTTTTAAGAATATTTTCTAAATAAAAGAGGGCAATAAGTATTAAACATCTAAGTATACCTTTTTTAAAGAAAAAATATTTATTAAGCATGCAAAATATCTGCCACCATACTAAGTGTTTTTTTTTATTAATTTGTATTTTTATGTTAAGTTCCGGGTACATGGGCAGTATGTGCAGGTTTTTACATAGGTAACCGTGTGTCATGGTAATCTTAAACCTTTAAGAAAATGTTCTGAAATTGGGAATGGCAGACTCTGGCTTAGAATGAAGCAGCTGCAGGATGTATGGTCATGTGACTTTGGATGTGTGTGCTGAAATTGCAGTGGTGTTACTGGCCCATGTTGCCTCAAGTGTGCTCTGGGGAGCATGAGTTGAGTGGGACATTAATAGCTACGATTCAAATAAGGGTCTTCCAATAATTAAAATGTGAAAGACACTGGGTTAGACAAAAGAAACAGAGTGTTTGTTTGTTTGTTTTGCTGCAGAATTTCAAAAAGCCTTTACTATACAAACGTGCCTCATGAATCTTCAAGTAAGAACATTTCCCCATGCTTACTTGCTCAAATAGGTAATTGTGGAGCACAAAACTCTCACCCTGTTCATTAACATAGAGAGAGAGAGAGAGGGAGAGAGTTATCTTCCTCAAGACTGAAGGTATGCCATGCATTTTACATGTGATATATTTCATCCTTATGATAAACTATAAATTTGTTATTATTATTTTCTCTTCTATAGATAACAAAATGGAGGGTAACAAATTAAATAATCTTCTCAGTTTCAGTCAATTAGAAAAAGGCAGCTGGAAATATGAATCCCCTTCTCCCTGAAGTCCTCCGTTACTCTTTCTTCTAGTCTAAATACCTTTTGGAAAATTTTAGAACATAAATAATATATCCTATGACATATGGATAATTATCAGTGAAACAACAAAACAGAATTGAGATCTCCACTACTCTTTCCTCTAGTCTAAATAGCTTTTGGAAAATTTTAGAATATTTCCTATGTTATATGGATAATTATCAGTGAAACAACGAAAGAGGATTGAGAGATTACCACCACCGCCATCTCCATCAATCCTTCCTCTAAACCCATCCCAGTTAATTGTACACTCTAACAACAAACAGTGTGTTTGCTAGGCATAGGTAGGTAGTGAGGCTTCCTCTCCAACTTGATTGCATTATTTGAACCCTTTCAAAAGAGAAATTCTGGAGAGTCCACTGATAATATCAGTTTTTCTCTTTGCTAGTTGCCTCACATATAAATCACACTCACTTTTAAGTAATTTAGTTACCCTGGATAACCAAGAGCAAGAGGTAATTTCTTATATTCGATTTCCACTTAGTACACACAGTGAAAGGGGAAAGATCTGCTCATTTGCAGAAACATGTTAACGTTAGTCAGGCACTCCCTTTTATGTAACACTATCAGATGCTTTCTCTCTAGATTTTTCCAGCGCCCACTGGAGTTTTCAAGTTCATGTTAGGACAAATACAGTGTATACTAAGCTGAAATCAAATATAAGAGAAATGAACTCTTGCTTTTAGTTATTCCAGGTAACTAAATTACTGAAAGTAAGTGTTATTTATTGTTTGAACACACACTTATACTGTGTGTACTTGGCATACATAAGTCCATATACAATATGGCATAATTTAATGGAAGGAGCTCAAAACCTGAGACCAGAATAGCTAGTTTCAATTTCTGGTATTTCTACCAGTAATAACTGAACTTACGCAAAGTCACTATCTCAATGAAAACCAGAGATCACAAACCTTACAAGAAAAGTAGCTGAAGTTGAGGTCTATGTAATGTTAACATTAGGCCCATAAAATCAATATTAAATGCAAAGATGAATGACACAGGTAAAATTGTTAAGGGAAAAGATCTGCTCATTCTCAGCAACATGTTAATATTAGTCAGGCACTCCCTTTTATATCACACTATCAGATACCTTCTCTTTAGACTTTCCCAGCACCCATTGGAGTTTTCAAGTTCATGTTAGGACCAACATGATTTTGAAGACACAGGTGCCTCTCTCAGTGACTCTACCTCCAGCCACAGAGGTCTTCCTAAACACAGGCAACTCTCCTCTGAGTTTCTTCCAGGTTTGGCATCATGCACCACTCTCCACACTCTATGCACTTGGAAGCTAGAACCTATTCCAAGTTGACTATGCAACTGATGTAATAGATCAGTGGCAGAACATTAACTAAAAACTCTTCAAGAATAGTATTTGAAAAAAATTTTAATGTGTCCACGTGGAAAATCTGATGAAAAACATCAGCAGTATAGATTGCAATTGCCAGAATGCAAACCTCAAGGGGCAGATGCTGTCCATTTTATTCACTGTTGTACATCCTGCAATTTTCTAAGTGTGTCTGGCTCATGCTAGGGAAGTAAGAACTCAAATAATATTTGTTGAATGAAGAATGAATATTAAAATGATGAAAAAACTAAGTGCCTAAAAATAAAGTCATGGGTCTGTACACACTTATGTAAAAATATGAACAACTAAAAACATTACTTGGAACTTTGGGGATCTTTGGGTTAAAATATCCAAAATGATGCTCCAGCCAAGGTAATGATTGGCATAAAATAAATTTGGACCTCTCTCAAGGAAATAAAAGCATGTGAACAATGATATTGTCACTATAGATTTCCACACTATTCATATAAATCTCCATAATATTTCTATTTATGTGATGTACTTAACTACATAATAGTACCATATTTATTTGGTGGTTTTTTGGCAAATTACAGAAATTAGTGTATTTCATCTTCCCTTGTGAAACAGGAAAGGCTGATATGATTACTGCTAGTTCACAGATGAAGAGATTTAGGCTTAAAGATATTAAAGGTCTTATAAAGATACACCAATCAACTGTTAAGACCCTGTTTAGGAAGAAAATGTAAATAATAAAAAAAGTAGTAAAAACAACATAACAATAATAATAATAAAACAAATGTATCCAGATATTACTCAAAGCCCTTTCATATTGAGCTCTTACCAATGACACTGTGAGGTTTGCAATAGTTTTAATTCAATTTATCAGATGCAACAGCAATGGCCTGGTAAGACTAAATAACCCTCACTCACTCATTGATGTATCTAGTAAATCACGGACGTGGGAATCAAACCTATGCTTTCTGACACCAAAACATGCTTCGGAAAGCCTGGCTGCCCACTGCTCAATTCTTAATCCTATTTTCACCATGACCTCTATAATTGTATGTGTTGAGATGATGCACACAAATATATTATCTGTCTTTCTGCAATCCTTATTATAAATATTACACATCTGTCCTAAAATTGCATATGCACTTGGAATATTTTTTTAATTAATGGTGGTGGGCCACGTCTACTAAGTTTACCTAGATCCTGTTCTAACCATTAGTTATAAGTCAGCCACCCAATTAAGGAAGATATTTGTGATTGTGAAGCTCACAGACCAACTAATTACATATGTCAACTAACTGGTTGTTGATATACACTGGTGTATACAGAGAGGCAGGAATGACTCCAGCAGCTCCACACAATTCCCAGCAACCAGCTATATTTCTCTTCTATGCAAGCTGCTGGGAAACTTCTTGAGTGCAGTAATAATGTTAAGGGCACCACTATCCTACCGACCTTCTCTGTCTCTTAACTGTTGCATAAGATTATAAACTTTCCAACAGACATTCACAGTGTATGCTCAAATCACGTGTCTATGTGAACTCAATACCCTCTCAAATATTCAGTATGCATGAATTTTATCTTAGCTTTTATCCTTTTCTCCAAAGCTGAAGCTTAAGCAGACACTTTGACAAGAAAAGTAGACCAGTAATTAATTCATTCAAGCATTTGAGTGCCTTCTCTATATGAGGACCCAGTACTAAGTGCCTAGCGATTTTGCTATACTTTACTTTGAATATTTTAAGTCACTAAAAAACATGCCAGTTAATAATCTAGAGACCCTTTTTATTGGTTGGTTGATTGTTTAGTTGATCGGTCGGTTGCTTGGATGGGTGATGGTTTGTTGGAAAGAAGAATGGGACAGGATATAATAAAGAATACAACTCCCCTTTCTTTTTCCTTACACACACTCATACACACACACATAAACTTTGGCTTAGTCCCCAACCCCTTTTTGTTAATTTTTTGTATTCAATATTGCACTTGACTGACACAAGAAAGTCACTGTAGAGAAACAGGTTTCCTCTGAGGTAAAGCTGGTTTCCACAGTGTGCTAAACTGCTCATTTAAAAGCGTGCATTGGTCCTTAGGTGCATACGGGGCAACAGTGCTCATGTCAGCCACAGGACACTCCAGGCCAGAAGGAGTAACACATTTGTACTGCACATAAACAACACCAGGCCATGCCATGCCATTTTATTTTATGCATTTTGGCTCCCATTTAGAAAAAAGAAAACCTCATTATCTTGTTGCATATATTTGTAAGGTCAGTGAATCATGTTGTTTGTTTTCACCTTGAAAACTACTTTTACGTAGATGATTGTGATTGCTTGGAGCTTAGAAAAATACTGAGATCTGTGAACAAATATGTCTTAAAGCATCCTTTTCCCTTCTCCTCCTGAGTTCCTTTAGATGTGGGGGATATAGGAAAGGAAAATGCTACCTTATATTTGTTATACAGGGATGAGGAACATTGGCTAGCACAGCCATTTCTAGCATCCCTAGATTTGTCTCTTTCAAAAGGTAAAAGACACAAGCAAAACCCCAATTAAGTTAATAAGTATTGGAAATTATAACACACACGCTCATTAGTTACTTTGTATTGTTCAGAATATTTTTTTTTTTTGACCAGGGTGAGTAGAGTTGATTGCATTCCCAAAAACCCAGGATGTTAAACCTAGAACTTATCTCAGATAAAGGATATTTCAGTTATGTATAGTAGTAAGTTTTTTTTTAAAAAAATAAATACTTTGAAACTATTTTAGAAAAGACTCTATCCAATACAATGCACATTAAAATTACCCATAGTCTAGAAAAAACATGTGTGTAGTAAAAGTTAGTATTTGATATCTGCAGCTCAAAGTAGCACATTTCTATTTTTCTTTTAGTGGGCATGTTCAGTGATTAAAAAATAAAACCTAGTATGTTCTGAATTTTTGTAAAGGGGCTGACTAATTGTAGGTCAGAGCTAGTATAGTAACTGAGCAATTTCAACTGCTCAGGAAGCGTCACTATGCCAGTGTCTGGCACTGCTCCTGGCATATTCTGTTAGTTCCTGGAAAGGGGGAGTTAGAAGTCCTCAGAGATCAGGGCTTCACTCTTGCGGTTGAAAGTGGAAGATGGGAGAAACTAAGAGACCCATGTGATGTCACAGCTTCTCCTGTGGCTCCCTCTGTGACCGTGACTCTAAGAAGCCCGATGGGTTGGGAAAGGAGGAGGGCAAATGAGATTCAGCGAACAATAACTGGGTTTAGTTTAAAAGGCGAAGAGCTGTGTCAACCCTCAAAGTTCAGAAATTGCCCTATGCAGCCACAGACCAAACCTTGGTGGTGGGTGCTATACACTTATGGCTGTCAGTCCACGCCCCTTCCACTGTCCTTGCGTTTTGTCATCTTTGGGCTGCCCACATTCAGCTTTCCGGTGTCTTTTTTATCTCATTCGAGATCAGAGCCCTGAATCTCCTAGGAAGCTACCTGGACTGGGAACTGGATCTTGCTCAGTGGCAGGCAAGCGGGCAAATTAGGGAGCAAGTGGGAAACTTAAGTGTCTGCTGATGTTGCTAACTGACCGTCCTTCTCACTCTTCGAATCTTCAGCTCGAAGTCAGATCTGAACTCTGCCCCAATCTAGTGGAACCCGTCAGAGTTGGCAGACTCCATGTGGAAGAATCCAACTTAGGCATAAAAACTTGGAGGCTCTGGGGTAACAGGCTCTAGGATATTCCCACATCCCTAGTGGTCCCTGTATTGTATTCTTGAGATTCGTGCATACTTGCCAGTGCCCAGAGCCCAGGTTGCCAGGCACCGGGACTGCGGATCTGGACTGCCAGACGCCCACCCAGGAGGCTGGGAGAGCTCATTTCTGCGCCCAACTCAAGTGGCTGCAGCGGCTCGCGATCCCTTGCCCAGAGTAGGGGTGCCGGTCCCTGCGAACCTGGATCCCCGCACTCTAGCCCGCGTTCCTGGAGCCCAGATTGAAAAACCCGCCAACTGTACCTCCCGGGGAAGGCCGGCACCCTCCAGGAGGGAAGCAGTGACGCGGCTCCCCCTTTTTTGTGTAGCCTCCCATGAGCACTGACCTCCACCTTCCCCAGCTCCGGCTCCTGCGCCGCCGCGCGCTGCCTCGCCCGGGACCCGCTACACCCGCGTTGGTGCGGCGACCGACCACGTCTCCCGAGCAGGCAGCCTGGGGCTCACTCACCGATCCTGAGTACTTGCGGGGCGGTCTGAGGGAGGATATAGCAGAGGAAATAGAGGAGTGCCCAGCTGGTGTCCCTGGTCCAGAGCCCGGGCTGGGCGAGGAGTGTGCCGTGCTCCATCTTCCTAGCTTCTTAATTCATGCCGAGATACAGCCGCTGCCGGACGCCCGAGAGATGCACCCAACTTGGGCCGGGTCCCCGCCTCATCCTCTCTGGATGCTCCGGTTCCAAGCACGCTGCGCGCTCCCCACGGAGCGAGCTCGAGGGAACCCGCGTGGGACCGCGGAGCTGGCTGGCAAGGCTGAGCTCTCTCGGGGCTCCTCAGTGCTGTCGCTAGCCCATCACGGCTCCTCCTCCTCCTCTTCCATGGGCCGCAGACCGCGGAGGATCAGCGCTCTCTGGCTCCCGGAGCCCAGAGACCAGCTGAGGAAAGTTGCTGCCCCGATCTGCAGGAACGTCTCCCTCATTCGTCCTTTGGTCAGATGCAAAAGTCGGGGGATAGGCACAGACAGAGGAGGGAAAAGGGGGAAAGAAGACTAACGAAGAAGGAGAGAGGGTACAGGGTGAGTTGGTGCAGGGGCTCTGAGCAAGCCTGATGAGCTCCAGCAGGTTAACTGGGAGCGGAGCCACGTTCCGGCTTCTCTGAATCTTTGCTTTCCTCCTCCCCTCGCTGGCCCCACCCTTTATTTACTGCCCGCCCCAACCCCACTGATCAAGATACTCGCGCGCGCGCGCGCACACACACACACAGACACACAGACACACACACAGACACACACACACACACACACGCTCTTTTTTCTCTCCCTCAACTTTGCGCTCTGCTGCTGGGAAGTCGATCGAGTGTTGCATTCTCAAGACAGATCAAATCTAAACTATTGGTCCGAGCAGAGAAAGCCTCTGCTGTCCGCTGTGAGTGGCAAGGAAGCCTTCTTGGTAATGTCCGTGTGCACCTGTTAGGGGGTCTTATAGACAGCCAGCTATGACTCGTCCCATCATTTAATGGAAAATCACCTCCAATATTTTGGAAAATACCGGGGCTCCTGTTTTGACTCTGACGAGGATGATGAACAGGGGAAGGGGGAGAGGAATGAGAAAGCTTCAGTACTCCAAGATTATAGTGGCTTCATTCCTATTTGGACCCAAGATAATCTCTTGCAAATTGCTTCCATTTACACATGCCACTGAGATAGAAGCAGCCTCCAGCGCCGCTACTTTTCTTCATTTCTTTTAACTGTCAGGTCTGAATACTGAAAGATAGGCTATTTTAGCAATGTAGGTTTGGAGACTGTTTCTCTGTAGAAGGACAAGGACACTTCCCTAGGGAAATCAGCATTTGATTATGTTGGATTAATTTCCTTCGAGTTTTGTGGGGAATGTTCTATATATATGTTTGCTAGGTCTATATTAACATCTCTTTTTTTTAACTGGTAAATAGATTTTGAAGAACTGACCAAATCCATATGAAAAGTATGTCCACAGTTGTTATATGAGCCTAGAGTGGGAAACAATTGCAAAAGGAATCTAATATATCTTAAAGTCCATTCGTGTATTAATTAATTAATTCATTCATTATTCAACAAATACCTACTGAGTATTTTGTTTGTGGTGTCAGACACTATACTTTTCACTAAAAACCCTATGGTGGGGAAAATGCATGTTCATTCTCCAAGGGAGGTTAGAACTCCACTGTGGAAAGCTAGTCAGTTCATATCTCAAGTAGTAGGCTTGGTTCTGGACACTTTGGGATGAGAGTTAACAAAGCAGAACATGTCTGCAGATAAGAAGAGGGACTGATAGGGATTTAGGAATGCATTTTTGCGTGGAAAGATTGAGGAAACCAAGAGGAATTAGGAGCACATGCTGGTTATCTTCAGACATTTGAAGAATTCTTGTGTTAAAAGAAAGTAGCCTTATTCAGTGTTAGATATGTGAGAAGAGCTAAGAAAAATAAGATTGTCAGAGGGAAATTGTAGAAGAGTAAATTTTGTCTCATTCGGGGAGCATTTTTAAGACCAGAGAATATCAAACAGCGGCAAGGCTGGGTGTGCTGGCTTACATTGGAGCACTTTGGTGATGTTGAGGAGGGAAGATGACCTAAAACCAGGAGTTCGAGGCCAGCCTTGGAAACATAGCGAGACCCTTCCTGTGCAAATAAAAATTAAGAAAAACAGTAGCATGACCTGCTTCAGAAAAGAGGCAAAGTCAAACTATTCATTTATTTATGCATATTTTTTGAGAGCCCACGTTGTGTGAGGTATTGTGCCAATCTCTGGAGACACAGAGGGATATGATTGCTGCCACTCTGGAACTCATTGGCATTAAAGTATGATGAGCTTTACAAAATGGTGTTATGGAAGTAAAGAAAAAAAGTAGTGTAATCCCATTTAAGAGTTTGGAAAGGGGTTCTTCAGGAAGTGATGCTTCAAAACTCAAAGAATCAGTGGTTTAAAAGGGATTAGTAAGTATTTCTTAAAGTGAGAATGAATGTAAATCTGTTAGAGGGTTTATTTTTAAACCTAAAGGTCTGTGGTAAGCATTTTTAGTCATCTATTTTCTCTGGGTACATCAAAGACCAATACATAGCAGATAGTGAGTGGCTAAAGTTTGAAGACCCAAGGTCTAGAATTAAGTCAGCTTTTGAACAAACTGGGTTTAAATTCTGGTTTTACCAAGTCTATGTTTTTAGCTTTGGTTAAATTTTTATGTCTGCCTGTAGTCCATTGCTGGTGCTTACGTATATCTAGTTTTCCCTTTCTCTGGCTCATGAAAGCCTGTACCTTTTCAATTAGTTGGAATCTACCTTTTCAATTAGTTGGAATCATGTGACCATTTTTGGCCAATAAAATATGAGTGGAAGTGCACTGCTGCCAGGAGAAAAGGAAGACAGTGAAAAAAGATCCTGCATGACTTCCAGGACTCTCTTTCCCTGCCAGAGTAACTCTGAAAGCCACAAGTTCTAGAGGTTAAGATGAAAGCAGCCTCAATCCCTGAGTAATTTTTTGTAAGGGAGTTGCTCTGAATGTTTCTAGAACAGCAACACACTGCTAACAAATCAGTCCCAGCTCAACATTATGTTTTAATCCACTACAATTTTGAGATATTTGTTACTGCAGCATAAGCTTCTCTATACTAACTAATAAACTTTCTATGACTTGATATCTTCATCTGTAAAATGAGGATAATAATAACACTACAGGGCCATTGGAGGATTATATGAGCTACTGCATGTGAAGAATTTCCCAAGGTCCTTGTTACTCAGCATATTTTAGTTTATTTGTGGTCATTACTTTTCTGGTTAAAGGAATCCATGCATATATTTCTAGTAATAATCTGCCCCAGATTGCAGAGACTGAAATATTTTGTTTTTTGGGCAAGAAGTCAACAACACTGGTCCAATTAATTATATGGTAATCATAATTGTTCTGATACTATTTCAGGAGTTTTGCTACTTTTTACCTGTATTGTCTCTGGTTTATGAGGAAACAGTTCATTTTGATAATTAGAGATATTAGAGAGATTTCCTAAAGGAAGTTTCTCGAAAACTAAATGGCACACTGCAGTTATGTTTCTGTATCATCTGTAAAATTCTGTAAAGCTTAAAACTGAAATTTATTTCCTTGTTAAAATGCTTCTCTCCACTGCTCATGTACACAGGCTCATGGTGTTGAGTTACTCATGAGTGATCAGCAGCTGCTGTTAATTTGTTTTGTGCTTTTTAGAAGGACTGTATTTTGTACATATATTCATCCAGTTATTTTTTGCCCGAAATGACTCTGGTAATCACTCTTGATTCACATTTTCTCATAGTGCCCTCTTAAGAATAAACATGTCTAATTGAATGCATGCCGTCTTTTTCCCATTCCCCAAATCTTAAGCTTAAATTGATACACCGTGGTTAACAATAAAACAGTACAATGACATGCAGCATTGTGCTTCCTATGAGAGCTGGTGGCATTACTTAGATACTAATCCATTTTAAATTACTTAATTTTTAGGAGATAACAGATACAAAGAAAAATAGCTTAGAGTAACCTGGGGAATGCGAATGTTATACAGTCTTTTCAAAATGTTGTGAGCATAGTTGAGGAAACTTAAAATGTTACTCATGGCACCAAAAACAAAAGATCAAGTGGCTTTTAGAGCCTGCTGGGACTGTGTAGCTGATGTAGGGTCTAAATCTTGAGTTCTTGACTACTTCTTTATGCTTTTTTCGCTAGGTCATATCATATATTTCTATGATGTTAAATACTACCTTTTAGCCAAAGATTCCCAAATGTTGTCTTTTGCTCAAACCTCCCGATTCATGCAGCCAATTTTAGTGACCATTTCTAAGTGAGCCAACATCTCAAATCCTTGATTCTGTCCCATGTCATTGTCCCGCACTGAATCCTCTCCCAAATTTTCTTATTTCAATATGAACACCACCTTCCACCCAGCCATTAAAACTGGAAAATCAGGAGGTCACCCTTCATTTTTTTCCTTACTTCTTCACCTACTCCCGTATCAGTTTATTTTTATAATGGCTTTACCTCCAGAGTATGTCTTTAGTCAGCTTCTCTATACTCCACTGATATCATACTAGCCTGGGGTTTCTCAACCTCAAAACTATTGATATTTTCGGTTAGAAAATTATTTTTTATGAAGGCAGTTGTCCGGTTCTTTGTAGGACTTTTAGCCACTTCCCAGGGCTCTCTCCACTAGATGTCAGCAGTATCCTCCTCCCAAGGTGGGACAACAAAAATGTCTGCAGACATTGTCAAATAAATGCCCTCCGATGTACAAAATTACCCCTGATTGAGAGCCACGGCACTAGCCTAAATCACCATGATCTTCCATCTTCCATCTGGTCTATTACAATAAACTCTTAATTGTCTCTCTTCTCTCATTTGCCTCTTTCTATCCATTCTGTCTGTTTGATCTAAATTAGCTCCTCCCACTGGCTTTCTTCACAAGGCCCTTCTTAGATCCCTCCTGGTCATTATTAACTCTCTACTTGTTTTATTTATTTTATTACAAATTCTCTGAGAGTGGACTCTTTGTCTGTTCTGTTTGCTTGAAACCTTAGTGTGTAACACTGTGCCTGGTGCTTAGAGGGAGCTTGATTACTACTCACTGAATGAATAAATGAATGAGTGATGCTCTCTCATAAGATGTACAACCTATAAATTATAGCAGCAGATTTGTAAGATTGAGTTGAATAAGGAGACTAATTTCTCTTTTAATTTCATTCAAAGCACCTACATTGATCAGCTTAATGTTTAGTGTTATCCTGAGTTCATGTCTAGGAAAACCAGAGTATAACACTACATGTGCTTCTTCAGATTTCAGCAAAATGCTATATGGAGTAGGGGTTTCTTTTATAATTTCATTTTCAGCAAAGTGGCTATCATTACACATACCTTAACAATTTTACTGTAATTTCTGTACTAACACTGGTCTATCTGCCAAAGCACTGTGGAAAGCAGCTGTAGTGAAATCTTAAAAAAAAAAAAAAAAAAAAAAAAAAAACAAAAGAAAACCTATCTCTGTTATTTATCCCTTCACATCCTATTGTAATAACCTGAGACTCTAAAGAAATTCAGTCACATGGAGGGTCTGAACCTAGTTGGTATTTAGCTAATTTCATACATATGTTGGACTCATCACAGGCTAAAGAAGGAAAGATCCAGGCTGAGTACTCAGGGTATTGGGAGCCAGCCCTGGGCTGACCACTGACTACAGCTCACTGCTCTTGGAGAAGTCACATCACCTCCTCGGACTTTAACTGCCTCAACCATAGCATGAAGTGGTTAGACTCATATTCTCCACTTCCTGTTCCAGACCTAAGAGTCAATATAAATTGTAGAAATTTTGTAAAAGGATGGCTCATATTTTTGCTCTCCTTTGTTTATAAATAGAATGAGCTTTTCCTTAAGATAATGAGCATCTATTTGTATTTATTTTATATGCCAGACGCTGTTCTTCATATTTTTACAGGCGTTAACTTACCTAATACAGCAACCTTAAGAGGTAAGTACTACTGTTATGCACATATCACAGCTAAAGAAACTGAGGCAGAGAGGTGAAGCAGATGTCAGAAATGATAGAGCTGAGTGACAGAATTAGAGCTGGGTCACTATGGTTCTAAAGCCCCAGCTTTTTAAAAAACAAATTGAGATTAAATCCACATAACATGCAATTAACCTTTTCAAAACAAACAATTTAATTCCATTTAGTACATTTACAATGTAGCAAAACCACCAACTCCAGTTAATTCTCCTGTGGTTGGAAAGTCATGAGTGACACAGGAGTAGCAAAGGTGAAATTAGAGAGGCAGCAGGTGCATGCATCTGCTAAGGACTTGTGGGCTGGCATAAGGACTGACTTTTCTTCTGGATGAAATGGGAGTCACTGAAAGCTTTGAATAGAGAAGTGACAGCATGAAGTTTATGTTTTAATTTGTTATCGTTTGTTTCAGGGACTACATTAGTTATCAGAGGCCCAGCCAATAGGTATTGTTCTTGCCTTCATGGGGCTTATGATCATGTAAATAGTCCTGCAAATAGGCCGGGCATGGTGGCTCATGCCTGGTGGGTGGATCGCTTGAGGTCAGGAGTTTGAGACTAGCCTGGCCAACATAGTGAAACCCTGTCTCTACTAAAAATACAAAAATTACCTGGGCGTGGTGGCACGTGCCTGGTAATCCCAGTTACTCCGGAAGCTGAGGCAGGAGAATTGCTTGAACCCAGGAGGTGGAGGTTGCAGTAAGCCAAGATCGCGCCACTGCACTCTGGCCTGTGTGACAGAGCAAAGCTCTGTCTCAAAAATAAAAAGCCTGTTTTGAGACTTAGCGTGAATATATTCTTTTGGGCCTAGCTTCCTTCAAATAATAGCTAATGTTTACAGAGCCCTTACTATATACCAGGCACTACTTTTAGTGCCCTGCAGTCCCAAGTCCCCATGACCCTTTGAGATGGTTACTCATATTAGTTCTTCTCTTTTACAAAAAAAGGACACTGAGGCACAGGGACAGAATGTAGTTTCCATGAAGAAAAGCTAATAGATGTGAGAAGAGATTTTGAAAGTGGAACTTGGCTTCTATTAGGAGCTCAGGAAAGACTGCTCAGAGGAAGGAAGCTTTACACATTGCCTTAAAGGGAACTTGGGAGTGACTGCAAGGGGGACGAGAAGAACATTCCAGGCAGAGAGAAGGCTCTATTACAGAAAGCAGTTCCCAGTGATAGAAAAGGTCTTAAAGCGTATTTGGCTGCTGTGAGCTGGAGAGACTGTAGCACCAGATGAGATGGGAAACGTGGGCAGATTCTAGGTCCCTAGGGATCCTTACAGGCCTCCCTGAGGATTTTAGAATTTCTTCTAAAACTGATGTAAAACCTTGGAGCCAGATGCATCTTTTCCACCTGTACTCATTTGCCATCATTCATCCACCCAGTTACATGCTTCACAAGGAGGAGTTCCCCACCAGCCTGGGCCACAATACCAGCTTCTCCTTGCTTTTGCTTCTGGTGTTCCTCCCCACTCTACTTCTCCAGAATTCTTCCTTCTCATTCGGCTTCAGGGCCACCGGTCCTCTTCTGTTCCCCAGTCATGCCCAACTCCTCATGACAGCACATTTCCCTAAACCGCTCTCAGTCCTTAAGCATCCTTTTTCTCACAGGTTACCTGGTTAAGGATTATTTATTCCTGAGTATCTCATTTCTCAGAGAGGCATTCCTTGGGTCCACAGTGAAAAATAAGTCAACCCAGTTTATTCCTTCTTGGCATGCTGTACTTTTCCTCCTCACCACTTATCTTTAATGTTAACTATTTATTCGTTTGTTTAATGTTTCTCTCTCTCCTTTAGATTTCAAGAACCAGGAGAGCGGGGTTTGTGCGTGCATACGATGCTGTGGCTCTGTGCACGTCCAGAGCCACTCCCGACTTCTGACACATAGTAGGAACTCAATTCGTATTGGCAGACTGATTAGATCTGAATGCTTAGAATGTCAAGAATTCCGTAAGCTATAACAAAGAAATCTCAGTTCAGGCAGGGAGGTATAACATGGTACGTCTCCTGTGTTTCACTAATGTAGTCAATGTTTGATGAAAGTTTGCTTTTACATAGTGTTTCATTAATCATTATTTTCAGCAATCTTATAAGCTCAAATTATTTCAGGGAATGATTAAATAAATGCACAGAAAACTTAAAGTTAGAGAGCTAGAAATTGCCTTTAAAAAGCTAAAATTGAAGCTCACAACCGTTACGACGCTCTAATTTTTATTCAGCCTACCCTTCCTTATGGAATTTCAATTTAAGGCTCCTGACAACAAAACACATTAAACCCCTTCATATTTAAATCATGTAAATTAGCCAAATTTCTAATTATTACATCTGGTTTAATTTCTCTCCTCGTAATCTCATACAGCAAATGTCATCTGTTTTTTAAATTATTATATTTTATTTATCAAAGCAATACATGCATATCATTTTAAAAGTTAAATAGTACTAAATAAAAACATACTGAAGCAGTACCACTTCTCCCTCTTCCTCCAGCTCCTGCTCTCCAATTCTTTCAGCTATTTTGTCCACTATTTATGCATCTTATATTTCTGTTTCTCCGTCGTATACATAAATAGTGTTTGTCGACTTCATCAATTTGAGGTATTATCTACTGACTTCCATTATGTCAATAGATAATATTGACATGATTTTACTCTTTAACACCTTCATCTGATTAAATTGATTTTCTCTTTCTCCTCTTTTTTTTTTTTTGAGAGAGGGTCTCACTCTGTCACCCAGGCTACAGTGTAGTGGCACAATCATTGTTCACTGCAGCCTGGACCTCCGGGGCTGAAGTGATCCTCCCTCCTCGGCCCCCTGAGTAGCTGGGACTACAGGTACATAATGCTATGCCTGGCTAATTTTTATATTCTTATGGAGATGGGGTTTCACCATGTTGCCCAGGCTGGTCTTGAATGCCTGGGATCAAATGATCCTCCCACTTCAGCCTCCCAAAGTGCTCGGACTATAGGCATGAACTACCACGCCCAGTCTCTCCTCTTTTTAAAATACTACAATTTTAGGTTCAATCACTGTTCAGGGTTTATAGTTTACTTTGCTGTCCTATCCCCATCTCCCCACTCTTGTTCTTGTCTCCTTCTTTTTCTCCTTCTTCTCCCTCTTCTACTCCTTCTCCTCCTTCTTTTTGCCTCCATGTCTCTCTGTCTTTATTTCTATCTCTATCTCTCTCCTTCTCTCAGAACATGCTTGAGTAACGTCCTGAGTAAAGGTGCTTAAAATAGCTCTCTTTAAAATTCAATTTATTCCGGTGTTGTATGTATTGCGTTAATTCCTCTCTTTGTCAACTTGTATAACTTTCTGGAATATTTTCTCAACTTTATTGTTCAATTCTTTTATGATTTTTTTCATTTATGCTCTTGTGTTTTTGATTTATTTTTCATCTGACTTTTTAATGTGTTATTTTTGTTTTATAGATGCAACATTATTTTTTAACTCTCTAAGGATATTATTGGGAGACTTTTCCTCCAAATAGTCTCTTGCTTTTAAGTTCCTTTTTTTTTCCATGTATTTTAGTCTCCAACTTTCAAGGTGAAAAACTTCCTTAAATGTCCTTTAACCCTTTGTTGTGTGCTCATGTTTAAGGAAAGGGAACTGGAATGTGGATTGTAAGATCTGAATGCAATAAGCAGGACTTAGGGGGTTCTAAGGTTTTCTAAAGAGGGACCTGGAGTGACATCAGGAAAACTCCGATGTCAGTATATATGTGTTTGAGAGTATGTTTAAGAGTTTTTTCTTGGGCTGATTATATTCCCAAGAGAAGATTCTTCTGGTGCCCTCTGGGAGTCGAGTGAAAGAAAAGAGCTGGCAAACATCAACTCCATGAGACTATGGCCCCTGTTTCATGTGAAAGTTATAGGGAGAGGATGTTATCCAGTAGCGTGAAGTCAATTGTGTCCTAAAGAGCTTTCCAGCAAGCCCTTTCATACTAGTTCTCTGTTTGCTGCAGGTCCTGATGTGATCCAGGCTTCTAGTTCTGAGCAATGAGTTTTCTACTCTGAAGATTAGCTTGATTCTTGCCTTTCGGCAGTACTACTTTAAGATATAGAATTCTTCAGTTGGCCAAGAAAGTTTCCACTTCTCTGATTATCTTCCCATTCCTTGTACTTTAATTGTCATTTTTGTGAGATTTCTGGGGGAAAAGTGTTCAATCCTCCACCTTTATCCAGAAGCACTTATTTTATAACTTTTAATATAAATTGTTATAGCAAGACAAGCATGATGGCTTACACCTATAGTCCCAACTACCTGGGAGGCTGAAGTGGGAGGATCACTAGCAGTTGGGAGATTGAGACCAGCCTGGCATCATAGTGAGACTTCTCTAAAAAAAATTTTTTTTTAATTAGCCATGCATGGTGGTGCCTGCCTGTAGTCCGAGCTACCTGGGAGACTGAGGTGAAAGAATCATTACAGGTCAGGCATTTGAGACAAGCCTAGGCAGAGACTCCATCTCTAAAAAAAATGTTTTTAATAACTTAGCCATGAGTAGTGGTGCATGCCTTTAGTCCCAGCCACTCAGGAGGCTGAGGCAGGAGGATTGCTTGAGTCCAGGAGTCTGAGGTTGCAGTGAGCTATGAGGGTGACAGAATGAGATCCTATCTCTTTAAAAATAAATAAATTAATTAAATTTTAAAATAAATACATTGCTTTAGCAGATGCTCTCAATGCCCCATCCATATGTTCTCAGCAGTTTCCACTATATGTGAACATGGCCTCCTGAATACAGCTGGGACTTTCTGCCTAAGGACTCTTTTCTTTCTTTCTTCCCTGCCTCCCTCTTTCCCTCCTTCCTTCCCTCCCTCCCTCCTTCCCTCCCTCCCTCCTTCCCTCCCTCCCTTCCTCCTTCTTTCCTTCCTTCCTTCCTTCCCTCCTTCCCTCTTCCCCCCATCCTTCCTTCCTTTCTTTTTGACTATGGAAGTTTGCGTTTAGTGCTAGAGAGTCAATGTCACTGGAAGTAATACCCATTGGGAAAACTCCAAGGTATGTTCTATACTTTTTCCGGTTTCCCAAAGGGATTCAGTTCCAGTTGCCTGAGTGATCACTTGCTTGTCGGTGCATCTTTATTGGCTTCCTCTCCTTCCTTGTCCCATATCCTTACTCCTCTACTATTCTTTCCTGGAATTGTCTCTCAAATTAACTAACAACACTCAAATCCTCGTCTGCGTGTCTGCTTCTGAGGAGACCCTAGATATTTCTCAACCTTTTTATACTTTTCACCTACACTGTTCTTTTTTTAGCTAGCTCATAATTGTTAGATAATTACAATTTTTGAAGACTGGGTAATTAATCTTATTCTTAATGTCCTGGTCACAGCAACGTAGGTCACAAGAATTGCATTTGATAATCTCTTTCTTTAAGGCAAACTGTTTCCTACTTTACGAATTTAATGTATCTCCTTCTTTAAGAAGTAAGGCATATTATAAGATATCACTTGATTAAAGTGGCCTGAGTTTTCCCATGGCCAGTAAATTTTAAAAGTATCTCCAAATCTGTGTACTAATTGCCTGTGAATAGGTGAGTAGGTGACCTCAGTCATTAAAAAATAAAAACAAAAAAACCCACTGAATCCCAAGTGTTTAAAAATGGAAATGCATTACTTCTGTGCAGCTCAGACATTTGGGGCAAATGAACTGATCTCCAAAAGCTTGCTACATAATGAGAAGAAAACAAGTAAGAGCCCGGTTAGGTGGATATTTATTCCAGGGCAAGGTAAACAAATTTCCTTCCACCACAGTAAAATTATTGAGCTGAAAATTCACACAGGAAACCAGACCAGTTTATCAACTGACTCTCTATCTTTTTAAATCCTAAAAAAGACAATCTTTTGTAAAATATTATTACAAAGTACCTGTATTCTGTAAAATGACTTGACAATCTTAGAGTAATATTGATTTTTTTCTCATTGAATAGTTCTACAATAATCAATGAGAACAGTTTTTCCCCTCACAGCAGTAGACATTATCAATGTTTTAACTCTCTCTGTTTTTCTTCTGTAACAACCATAATAGGCAATTTAAAACATTGAAGCTGCCTTCTTTCCAGTGGCCAATTCATTGCATTATTTGTCTCTCTTTTTTATATTCTCAACATAAAACAACTTTTTTTTATTGTGTCCTCTACCCGACTGCCACAGACATTTGGAACCATATGCTCCTATCTGGTGCACACCATGGAAGAGTAAAGAATGTTAAAATGTGGCTTACAGTCTCCAGCAATGCCACAGAAAATCCTCCATGACATGCTGTCATACCCAAGACAGCAGTAAAGATGGAAATCTAGCCAGCTGTAGGCAAAGGAGTATCTGAGTACGTACTCTGGCCCCAACTTTGGTCTCTGAAAGTCACCTTGATAATGTCACTTACATTTCTGCCTGTGGCTACAGAATCAGAGCAGCTCCTCTTTATAGCCTTATATAGTTATGCCAGTATTAAGAATAAAATAATTGAAACAAGATATAGATCCAGATACATGTGACTTTACCCTTTTGCTCAGCCCCCTACCACAAATGATATAAAATCTGAGAGATAAGATCTGTGTTATATCATCACAAGCCTTAACCAGCAGCCAAGACAATTTTTGAAATAGATTACACTTTTGCTAGTTGATGTGAGAGGAAACTGAGTGACTAAGAGACTTCAATATTTTTGTTGTAAGTCACAAAGCAGATTTACTCTGCTCCCTTCACCAACTGTGCTATGCTGGTTCCCAACTTAGAGTTTTATTTATCAATCTGTGCATTTACCAAATGTTCCTTCCATTCTGAACAAGATATGATGACTGTCCCTTCTGGGGAATTAAGATGATGTATGTGTTTTTTTAAATGAACCAAAAACTTAAGATCATTAATAGCTTATTTAAATCACATACATACATTATTTATAGATAAAGTAGGATTAAAAATATCAAGTAATTTAGCCTTTTTGTTTGTTCATGGTAGTACAATCTTGGTTTTCCATTTCTCTCTGTCACACTGTCACACTCCTGAAACCTTGTCCTACCTTATAATTTTAGGTATTCCTGCCTCATTCATATTTGATTTTCAAGCCATACTCAGTCTACACATATGGCTTTAGGGAGATGTAGCATGAAAATCTCCAAAAGAAAATTGCTGTTATTTACTTACTATTATCATCCATTTTCCTCCAACAAAAGAAAAGAGAGAAAAGGAGAGAATAAAAAAGAGAGAATCTCCAAATATTCAGTAAGACATACATATTATAGATAACAATGTGTTTAATTTAGGCTATATGAATATAAAAGAGATGTTTCTTATTTAGTAGTAGCAATTTGTGGGCGAAGGAGTTGGCAATGATAAAAATGTCCAAAGTCACAAATACAGTATATAGTTAGTCATGGGTGGTGTTATTTGGCTCAAAAATAGACTTTTATTTTGCCTTTCTTTCTCTTAACCACATTTGGAATTAGAAGAGTGATGAGAACCAGCAGGAAGGTAGAACAAAAAGCCAATGACATTAGAGAAGTGTTCAAACAGCCAGCTAAATTCACTGCACTTCTCAACCACAGAAATATTTTCAGGTGATTCTGTTTTTGAGAAAACGTGGGAACCACAGGATCTACAACACTTCCAGGCAAAACTCAACAGCTCTAATAATAGTGACAGAAGTGAAAGCCAATTTGGATAAAATAAGACATTGACTCAAAGTCCTCTGAGAGATTTTTCAAAACAAAGTTTACAAAGCTCCTTTTGCCTTTTGGGAAATCACATTCTTCTTTGCACCTTGACTCTTTTTCTGAATTTCTTTCTGTCTGGGAGGATCTCCCTACAGTGTTTCTTCTCCATCTGACATCATGAAATGTGATACTCAAGCAGGAGAATCGCTTGAGTCCTGGAGGCAGAGATTGCAGTGAGCCAAGATCGCGCCACTGCACTTCAGCCTGGATGACAGAGCGATACTCTGTCTCAAAAAAAAAAAAAAAAAAAGAAAAAAAAAGAAAAAGAAACAAGGATATAATGAGATGTCTTTGTTCTATGCCTTTGTATCCCTCCAGACAAATCTTTTTTGTTGAACTGTTGTGCCCCAAACTTTTCCTCTGTTAAATGAAAGAGCTGAGATCAATGTTGTTTAAGATCCTTCTGTTTGTAACTTTCTATCCATAGTCTCCAGGCCTCTTCTACCTTGCTGGTTTGGTTATTACCCTCATCAGCTCTTCAAAATCTGGTGTGATCAAATTTATGTTTTGATAAATTCACTATTGTTGCAGTATGGAAAACAGATTGGAGAGGAAGATGGGGTTGGGGTTATAGAGATAAGAGACTAAGGCAGTAATTCTAGAATAAATTGATGGGGATATGATCACATGTAGGAATAGCAGTGAATAGAGTCAGAAGAGACATATGGTGTTAAGCTGTCTGGAAGCAGCTTTACTGGTTTGGATCTGGTGAGGAGAAAGGAGAAGTCGAAGATCATGGGCAGGCTCTGGGCTTAGGTCATCTGTGTGCGTCAGTGTCCTAGGCTGGAACACAGAAGGACAGTCAACATTAGGGAACTGATAACATTTGGTTTTGGACTTGAAATGTATTGGGGACACTGTCACCTGAATGTTTCTGGACACTTGAGGGCTATGACTTTCACCCAGCACATACCTGAAGCCTATCTCACCACACACATGTCATGGCATCTGGAAAAAAATTCAAATCGGACAATAATTTTGAAAAACATTGTAGATTTTTCTGGAAGTCTCCTTGGAAAGACAGAGGAAATAAGTTACATTGCATGTTATATATTAATATGTCTTTAAAATCACCCTTGCATCTATCTCTTGCCCCAAGTTTCAGCTCTCTATAACAATATTTATTTCCTTTCCTTTTCTTAAAAAACAATCAAACAGAAACTTTTCTTCTCTAACCACCATCTTCTGAAATGTGAAAACTTTGCAGCTTTCATCCTCTTAGACATGAAGCTCGGAAGCCAGTCTTGGCCTTGGGTAGTTTCATTGCATAATGCCACACTTACATCTCAATTTTATTATTAAGCACGTCATATTCTTGTTAATTATATATTAGTCTCCTCTATTATTTGATACTGAGCGTTTCAGGGACATGATTTTGTTGCTTCTTGTTTGTTCGTTTGTTTTTCTTTTTGAGACGGAGTCTCGCTCTGTCGCCCAGGCTGGAGTGCAGTGGCGCGATCTCAGCTCACTGCAAGCTCCGCCTCCCGGGTTCACACCATTCTCCTGCCTCAGCCTCCCGAGTAGTTGGGACTACAGGCACCCAACACCACGCCCGGCTAATTTTTGTATATTTTTAGTAGAGACGGGGTTTCACCGTGTTAGCCAGGATGTGTGTGTGTTTGTGTGTGTGTGTGTGTGTGTGTGTGTTTAATTGTAATGCCATAACTTAGGTTATTTATATTAGGTAGGAAATACATGTTTATTGACTGAAAACAATTATATTTAGACATCAGCTAATTATTTTTCAAATCACAATTATTTTCACAAAATTTCCCTGGACTTCGTAGGTTGAAGAAAACTCTCTTATAGATTCCCTAAATCAATTAATTTTATTTCTGGTCTCTGGCTTACACTTACCATATGCTTCATCACGCTAAGTTAATTCCATACATATTATATCCTTATTCTGCTAATCAAAGTTTATTAGTCTTTGTATTCCCAATACCCACCCTATGGTTTGACTAGGTCAGGTGCCGAAAAAGTATTTTTTGTAAGTAAAGCTGTGAAGGTATCAATGAATGAATGTCTGTTCTCGTGTTTAGGTTTGTGTTTGCGAACTGTTGTTTCTCTCTATATTTTCTTGCTCTCTATAAAACACGTCTGTTTCTGATTGTTCATCTTATACTAACCCAGTTTGATTTTGCTTGACAGCAGGGACCTTTTTTTTCTTAGTTTGTATTCGTTTATTACATGTCCTGTTTTTACATTTTACTTTTTGCTAATGCCAATTGCTTAAAATATACTAATTGAATGAAGACTTGCAATCACAGTCCTGTGGGATATCCAGTCTGTTATCCTCACAATGACATCCTCAAGTTTAAAAAGTGGGCACTCATAAGAAATTGAACAAAATTTGTGATATCCTAGCAACAAAGAAGGGGCAAAAACTACTGAAAAGTTTCCTGATGGTGTTTATCCCCATGTGATATTGCACCTTCTGAGAACATGTTTGAAATTTAGTACCTGTTCACAGGGAATTTTTAAAACATTAACACTTAGTTGCACTAACCTGTGTTGTGTGTGTTGTTTTTTTTTTTTTGTTTTCAGTAGCAATGTACATCTAAAAGTTTTCTCAATTGGATTATGTGTCATAGAAAGTACATATGTCTTCTACAGCATCTGCAAGACATTTGAAATATTTTATGAATCTTTTAGCAGAGAATAACATCACCTACTTGAAAGTGCAAAAAACTTTTGAAAAATTATGTGGAGATGGTTCAAGTGTACCAAAATAGGACCACTGCATAGAAAATGATAAATGTCCCTTTAATTAGAATGACAGCAGGAATTTAGGAAGGCAGAATTTAATGTAATTAAAATTAGAAAATCATTGTTAACAAGAGTTATGTTACATTTCTTGATGAGAACACAATGAGGAATTTTTAATTTCGGATGAATCAATAATTTTATTTTTATGTCTCTCTTGAGCCTGTTCTAATTAAAAGAGTATGGAAGATCAATTAGAGGAAACATTCTAAACTTCCCTTGTCTCAATTACAAAATTTTGCTTGAGAAGTATGTTCACAACATTTAGTGAAAGTTAAAAAACTGATACTTTAAAAACAAATATGAATGTAAGGAACCAAGAATATTATTCAAGTCCAGGAGTAAAGAATAGATATAGCTGTACAATTTATTTTTGTTCATTACTGCTTACCTACTTATTGACATTTTTAAAATTAAAGTATATATTTAAATAGTTACTAAAATGAATATGCTAGCAATTCAGAAAATTTGGAAACACAGAAAAGAACAGAGGGAAATTACCCAAAACCCTGCCAGGTAAGAATAACCACTGTTGATATTTTCTTCTAGTCTTTCTCCAGGTCAGACATATTTCAAGACGATGGTCGCCCTGTTCAAAATATTTTGTAGCACACTTTTCTACTTAGAAATTTATCCAGAACACTTTTCATATCAAATATTATTCCACTGAGTGATTTAATGGCCACATGGCATCATCCCATATGGGTGTAACAGTGTATATTAATGTCCCACCAGTTCACATTTGTTTCTAGTTTATTATTGTTTTTATTATTAATATTCTTTTAAATTGATAACTCATAATTATATATATTTATGGGGTACCATGTGATGTGTTGATTTATGCATATAATTTGAAATAATTAAACTGAGCAAATTAACATATCCATCACCTCATTTGCTTATCATTTTTATGGTGAGACAATCAAAATGTACTTAGTTATTTTGAAATATACAATACATTATGATTGACTCCAGTCACCCTACTGTGCAATAGATCTCAAATGTATTCCTGCTGTCTATCTGAAACTTTGTACCCTTTGACCAACAATGCTTATTGACATTTTTTATTAAGGAAGAAAAGTTTTATCATGATCACATTCTGAACCTGCATGGTGAATTTAAATTGTAAATTATGCATTGCAATTGCACATCAGGTTTTTCAGCTTTGATTCTCTTAATTGAACATAAACTTAAGATTAAGGTGCTCAGTTTATTAAGCAGAAGAAACACCACATAAAACAGTTCTACACTGTGTCAAAAAGGAAAAAAAATGCTACAAATAAATTGTATTGTACCACATATTAAATGAGAAAAAAAATGCTTAAAGAGAAATTATTTTTAACATACTAATGAAAAGAGGGAAGTTTTTAATTTATTGTGGTAATTACAGCTTAGATATGGATTTAAATGTTAGTTATCACCACTCGTGTGTGGTGCCACTACTGTCTTGGGATGGAGAGCATGGTAGGGTAGGAGAGTTTTGGACTCGGAATTTATCACTACCACTGTGCCAATAATAATATTGAAAGTTAATTTTTATTGAATTTAATATGTACCAGTTACTTTATATGCATTATCTCTTTAAATCTTCACAGAAATCCTGTGAGGTACTATAATCGTTACTCACCTTTTTCAGATGACTAGTTGGAGTTACAGGAAAGTTAAGCAAACTGACAAAAATTAGTAGCCAATAAGAGCCAAAGCTAGGATTCAAATCAAGTCTTTTAATTCATAAGACTGTGCTCCTCAGAATTTAATGTTCTAGTGTTTAGGTTTGTTTTTATGCACTATTATCAACAATCTGTGTATTTTTCTCTCTACATATAAAACTCTTCTCTTTTTATGATTGTCTGCCTTATGCTAATCCAGTTTTATTTTACTTGAGATCGAGAAAAATTTCCTTCCTTATTTTGTATGCTTTAATTACATTTCCTACTTCCACACTTGTCTAATGCTAAGTAGATATGCTAATAAGTGCTAATGAGTTGTTGGGGCCAGGATTCAAACCACGGAATCTAACTTGCTTGAGCCCGTGTTCTTCACAACAGGGCCACATGGCTTCAAGAAAGACAAGTTATCTCTCTGACTCAGTTTCCTCATCTATAAAATGTGTAAAGGGAGTTAGATGCCTGATATGATTTGGCTCTGTGTCCCCACCCAAATCTCATCCTGTAGCTGCTATAATTCCTACATGTTGTGGGAGGGACCTGATGGGAGATGACTGAATCATGGAGGCAGGTATTTCCTGTGCTGTTCTGGTGATAGTGAATGGATCTCATGAGATCTGATGGTTTAAAAAAAGGGAGTTTCCCTGCACACACTCTCTCTTTGCCTGCCACCATCCATGTAAGACGTGACTTGCTCCTCCTTGCCTTCCACCATGATTGTGAGGCCTCCCCAGCCACGCAGAACTGTGAGTCCAGTTATACCTCTTTCTTTTGTAAATTGCTCAGTCTTGGGTATGTCTTTATCAGCACTGTGATAATGAACTAATACATTGCCTTTTAAGGACCTTTTCCTCTCAATAGTTTAATCATTGTATATGATTATTCTAGGCCAATGCAGGGCTAAGGAAAATAGAGCTCTTTATGGAACAGAACAATAAACATTGCTGTATTGCGATTTTCAATGGCTGGGGCTGGTCTTAGTTTCCATTCCTACAGGACCCAGTTAAGGATTGAAATATAAGTAGTGTGGGATCCCAGGACATATCAGTAGGAAAGCAGAGCAGTGAAGTTAAGTGGGCTGGTGATATGGTGTGCTATCAAGCAAGTCACCACTGTGGATAAAAGCAGCTTAATCTCTCAAGGGAATTCAGAAAAGCACAGAACACAGCTTGGAAGTTCCATTATGTGAGAGAGGCTGCCAGGATACTTACTAGTGAGGGCTACTCCCAGAGGCTAGTTAGGCACTTCCAGCCTGCTAAGTCTGTAAACAGAAAGGGCTCAAGAGACCAGAGGAAGCACCCAGGCAAAGAAATTCAGGTGCAAACCATTTAAAATCACACCTGAAGGATTTAGGGGATCTGCCTGGAGACACTTTTCCACAGGATGTGCTGACAAACTTAACTTTTAGGTTAAGAGTTATTCTGAAACGTTTTTTTGTTTGCTATTGTACAGTTAACTTTATTTTCTGGAATAATACAGTCTTCTTCCTTGTCTTAGTAAATGCAGTGTAAAGAACATAATTGAATCTCTTTGATGATTAAGTTTCCTGAAGTCCCTCAGTGCCCTATTATGACCAAAGTTTGGGTATTTTCATTTTACCTCAGAAAATGGTTTCACATACCATGACGCCTCAGAGAAATAGTTCATATGAGATCTCTGAAAATACAAGGAGAGAACTTGGAAGCCCAAATGATGGCTTTTATTTTTTTCTGCCTTGCCTCAGAGAAATGCACCTACCATAAACGCAATTCTAATCCTTTTAGAGCAAAACAATTTCCAGCTCTACTTTTGTGACATCTTAGCGTACCCTTAGAAATATAATTCTCAAGAAAACACACACATAAAGCAACAGCCAACAAATTTTGAATCAATCCTATTTCATTTTATTTTCAAAATGTACATAGAGCATGAAACACATTTTAGGAAGTAGTTCCTTTAATGAAATAACATCAGAATAATAGGTGCTCTAATCTACAATGCTTACTAATAACTGCTTTATTAAGCTAAGAGAGAATAAAAATCATGGACACTGAAGGACCATGAAAAGAACATATGTACTGACCCAAAGTGGTTCTAATTTTTAGGACTGAAAAGGAGATTCACTGAGTGAAGAGAGGAAATAAATTATTACACAAAAAATTAAATTTTTTTATACAGCCTTTAAATTTGTTTTTCTAGATTCCCTGTTGCTCTTGTACCTTTCCACTTTTTAATAAATTTATTTTGTTATGTGAGATTTCCTCTCTCTCTCTCTTTCTTTCTTCCGCCTCTTTTCTCCCAAACCCTTTCTCCATCTTAGCCAGTGTGGGGCAAGAAGATAGCTATTATTACAGAACTTCTCTCTCTTGCAGTCCTAAACATTCTCTATTGATTTCAGAAGAGGCATTCTGGGAAATTCACAGACATGGCTTTGAATTTCTTGTTTTGGTCCTTTCAGCAAATTTATAAAATGATATATAATGTATCTGTCATACTGTTTTTCAACATCCATTCAAATAAAAATTAATTTAATCTTAAAATTGAATATATAATTTTGTTTTGAAAGTGGTTAAAGAATGCTTAAATGTGTCTACAAAGAATAGCATGACATCTTTAATGCAAATATTTATAACTGAGAATTGTTTAAATGACTTTGTAGGTTCAACATCCTATGTTAACTGGAAGCAAACACATATTCCAGTTTATATTAATAGCATCTTTTTGGAAGAGACCGCTACTGTTCATTGAAGTCCTTTGTCACCTTCCTCTGTGATAAGAGTTGTAACTAGAATACAGTTACCCGGAGAAAGACTATATTTTTTAGTCCCGCTTGAAGCTATGTTTGACCAATTAACTAAATTATTGCCAGTGGAATGTGAACAGAAATGGTGGGTACTAATTCTGCTCCTGAGTCTTAGAAAATTGAACATATGTTATTCCATGTCCTTCTGCCCCTTTTATGGAACATAGCTTTGAACCTTCAGATAAGGACAATGCTCAAGGAGGTGAAAAAGTAAAAATATGCAAAGAAACTGGGCCCTAAAGGATTGCGTAGACTGGGGGAGTCTCCTGTGAAAGTATCTGGCTTATTGTAGAATTTATATGTGGCATCAGAAAACAAACAAACAAACAAAAAAAAATGATGTTTTCTTTAAACCGTTTATTTTGGGGTCTCTTTGTTCTTTATATTAGCTAATGCATTACTCAATAGGCAGGGATGTTTCTATCCCCTGAAGCCACAGCAATTATCTCAAAGAAACTTTATTCTCCTCACCAAGCAAAGGAGGTTAGGGAGCACAGAGTTGATTAATGCGTGCTTCCAGTCTGGGCATAATGGAACAGCTCATTAAATACATTGTTGAACTGTTGGTAGCAGACATTTGAGAAAACAGCATAAAGGTTATAAAGGTTGCTTTTTTTTTCCCCCCTACCAAATGGAAATCTTATTGCTTTGAAAGTAATTTAAGATGAGCTTTAAATCTCAAAAGTGCAATGATTATACCTACATAATTTCCATGTTTATGGATTCAAACACAAATACTCTGGTGGTAAGGATGGGAAATTAACATCCTTATATCTGCCATCAATTTCATCTAATATCATGATGACCGTATGGTTTTGGAATTATCAGTCTAATGTAAAATTGACAAAAATGAAACTCATTTTTTGACAATGGAGATAATAATGATAATAGCAGAAAAGGGAGAAAAGTATAGAGAAAGGTAAAGGAAGAAAAAATGTGTATGATTGCATCTAACGCAAAAGAAAATCAAAGAATAGACATACAATTGCTTATTTGATAAAGAAGGATCCCAGTCATACAGTTGCTTGAGGGTGGTAGAGGAAACAACACCTGGTGGCTGTATGTTCTTGGACTGTTATGTCAGATCTCCAAAAATAGCTTCTTGAATAGTTGTATTAATAAAATTTGGAAGTTTGCCATAGCCATTGTATTAGTTTCCTAAGGCTGCTGTCATTTATCTCAAACTGGGTGGCTTAAAATAACAGGAATGTATTCTCTCATTGTTCTGGAGGCTAGAAGTCCAAAATCAAGGTGCGAGCAGAGCCATGCTCCCTCCAGAGCCTGTAGGGAAAGATTCTGCCTTTTGTCATCAAGCTTCTGCTAGTCCCAGGCATTCTTTGGCTTGGGGCAGCCTAATTCCAATCTCTGCCCCCATCTTCACAGCTGTCTCCTTCTGTCTGAGTGCCTTTGTGCAACAAGAGAGTTCCCTGACCCCCTCGCAGGACATGTGACACGGGTGTGGCTCGTCTGTTCAGCCGCTGCGCATGCTCAAACCCCTTATGGGAGGGGAAGCACACAGACGGGCAGGTGCAGGAGCCTGGGCAAGCACTTTTTGGGCTCCAACCCCACGGTGACATCTAAGGGTGGGTGCCGGCAACTCCCAATAGTGCTCTTTTATTTCTGCCATCTGCAGACGACTTGTGTTAACCAGCTCAGTGCCCTCTTAGTACCCAGGTTCTTGTCCGGCATCCAGGAACAATCAGGTCACACACGGACTTGAAGGATAGTGAATGCAGAGGTTTTATTGAGTGGTGGAGGTGGCTCTCAGAGAGATGGATGGGGAGCTGGGAAAGGGATGGAATGGGAAGATGATCTTCCCCTGAAATTTGGCCATCCAGTGGCTGATCTCTTGGACTATCCCCAGCTGCGCTTCTCTTGACGTTCAGACATTCCTTCCCTTCTCTCCTTCTCTGCTGCACCAATCCGCCTAAATAGGAATGTCTATTCCTATTTAGGGCCGTGGGTTTCCAGGCTTGGGGTTGGGGCCTTTGCTGGGGAACTGCCCTCTTCTACCCTGTACTTCCCTGTTTCCTGTGTGTGTCATCTGCATCTTAACATGAATGTCTCCCCTCTTCTGATAAAACATCAATCATACTGGGTTAAGGGTCCACCGTGCTCCAGTATGTCCTCATCTTAATGCAACTAACTGCATCTTTAATGACCCTTTTTATAAAGGCTTAGGACTTTAACATATCTTTTTATTGGAGAAATGATTCAACCTATGGCATAATTAGTAGCAAATTAATTTTCCCAAATGAAATATAATATTCTACTAAGATTGGTCTATTTTTAGTTCTTCTGATTCTTCTATTTTAAAAGAACTGAAAAAAATCCTGACTTTATAACACACTAAAAATAATTATTAAAATACGTAACTGAGAGTTAAATCATCTTGTTTTTATCTTAAAATAAAGGCAAAAATGTGTCAAAATTCAAAAAGACTGTTTTCATTGCCCATTCAGCAAACTCTGTATCTGTAAGCTTTCTTTCTTTCCTAGAAATGGCATTAAGCATTGAATGGGCCAAAAAAAAAAAAAAAAAAGGTAAATAAAAAGACTTGGACACTTTACAATCAAATTGCACTTGGCAAAGGAAAGAACTTCAATATGCTTTTTAGAAAGATCTTGTGTATAGAATCATACCCATAATATACAGTCATTAAAGCTGTCAAAGTCACAAATAAAAATCCAATTATAATAAATTAGTTTATATTTCTTAAAGATTTTAAAAATTGATTTCTAAATAAAGCAATCCAAAATATCTCATAAAAATCTTCCAACATTTATAAAATAACAGCAGATTGTTTTACCGTATTGGTCTTTATGTATTGTATTTGACCATTCTTCCTCTGTTTGTCTTTTACAGGGGCTTTGAAATAAAAGATCTTCTATTTCTTATTCTGTTTCCCAAAACAGCTTTATTTGTGTGAGAACCAGTGAAGAATTGGGCAAACCTTCTTTTTCATGAAACTAGTAAGAAGTTTGACAGTCTGGCTGCTAGCCTGAATTTTATGGCACAACTGTACTTATAAAGATAGAATTTCAATTACACAAATCACCTTGGCACTGTCTTTTTAAAAGAGAACAGTTTATCCCCCTCATATTTCAGTAATATTCTTCTGAATTAGATCTATGCTACCAAAACCAAATCAAAAGCTACATTACATGCCACATTATAAAAGATCAGGCTTTATAAGAGATTTGAGTTTCCTCAAATGAAAGAACAGGCTACCTTACTAATTGTGTTAAGGATCTAGAAAACAAGGAAACATTCTTGACTCTATCTTGCTTACTTCCCTAATATTATAATTAAAGACTAGAATAGTAAATAAGCTCCTTAAGTACAAGCAATAAATAGGATCAACTGTAAAACCACAATTTCACTACAAGACGACATTCCTTTTTTAAACAGTTTTTTTCTCTACATCTTATGTCAGTAAATAACAATGTATTGTCTTCTTGAGAGCTATAATATGACTTCGTTTTCTACCAATTTCCTTTGTAATGTCCTATAGGGAAAGGTATCTTTCAAATTCAAATCCCCAGCGTAGCTCTTGGCATATGTTAGATGTTCAATAAATGTCTGCAGTGTGCTATGGGTTGAATGTTTTTGTCCTCAGACCCCAAATTCATTTGTTGAAACATTAAGTCCCAATGTGACGGTATTTGGAGGTGGGGCCTTTCGGAAACATTTAGCCCATGAAAGGGGAGCCCTCATGAATGAGATTAGTGCCTTCATAAGAAAAGACATGAAAGAGACAATCTGTCTCTCTTTCTCCCATGTGAGGATACAGCAAGAAGGTGGCTGGCTGTCTTCAAACCAGAAATAGAGCTCTCACCACACACTGAATCTGCTGGCACCTTGATCTTGGACTTCCCAGGCTCTCGAACTGTAAGAAATAAATGTTTGCTGTTTAAGTCACCCAGGCTATGATAATTTGTTATGTCAGCCAGAGCTAACTAAAACATGGTGTAAATGAGAAACCAAGGAAATTAAAAGGGAGAAAACACCAGCCAGTGATGGAGTTTTACGGTGGTGACCAAAGCAGGCACTATCATCCACACAGTTCAAGTTTCCTGTAGCTGCCTTACTGATCCTTGCTCTATACCAGTGGCTATGTATTGACAAACAATATCTGTATCAGAGAGGATCTCCCTTGCAATATTAGATATTTTTTTGCAAATATTGAAGGTGATTTCGAAGCACATTCTTGAAATTTTCAAAATCCATTTAGAAATTATCAGATTCTCTTTAAGAAAAGTAAATTAAGGTGTGGTGGTCTCCTCTGGCATGAGACCTTTATAACTCTGTACTTTCTCTGACTAGTACTGAAACCATCATTTTTAGTAATATCTCCTTCTGTATCATGAACCATGCACACAAGACCCTAGGCTTGCCATTTTGTGGACTGCTGCTTTTTTTTTTTTCTTTTGTAATCCTTGACTTCAGACTAATTCACATTCTGTCCACTCTTATGTTGCTGCACGAATGCCTTCCCTGCTACTAGCGGATGACTTTTCTGTTAGTTGACCCTGCAGAAACACTTTACTGCCTTTTTGCTACAAAGCAGGACAGGATAATATATCTCAGTCAAAATATCTCATTTCTCCCTGCTGAATGTATCTGAAAATTCATGTTTCCATCAACACCTGCTGAAACACCCACTTGGAGAAACACTGAAGATGTCCTTATTGAGAAAACGTTTGTGGCTAAAACTATGTCCTCCCTTTCCCATGTATAGTTCACTGGGGAGGGTTTCAAGGCCAAGGAAATTCAGGCTTCCCAAATGTATCCTAATGAGGTCATCTTTGACATGTTCTCCAAAAAACTCCCATGGATTGCTTCCGAATTGTTGCACTAACCAAATCTGTCATTTGCTACTAACTTCTATAGCTGCAATTCGAACACGTAAGGTAATGTTTTTAATGATCATAAAGCTTAGAAATTAGGTAATCAGCCTAAGTCAACTTTAACATGCATACTATATAGTTTTCCCCCAAGCTTTGATACCAAATATCTTTATTTCATGCCAGGAGATATAATCAAAACATAAAGGGAAAGTACTCTTTTATTATTATTTTTAATCTGTGCATCATTTCTTTTAATTGTGCTTTGTGTTTTTTTAAAGTGGTAACTTCACTTTTGATGTTATATTCTCTGGAAATATCATTTTGACGTTTTAAACAAGTATTCAGGTGACTTTACTAATTGCTGTTCTTTTTCTCCTTTAAAGTATGGGATTATTTAAAGTCAATTATTCCTCCCTATTATTTGAAATAAAAAATTGTGATGCAGGAAACATTCTTAGTTTTCAATATAAAATTCAATTTCCATAAAATTCCCTGCAAGAAAACGTTTAGTGTTATACCATTGTTTAACAAAATATATTTAAATAATAATTCAGTTAAATCTGTTTTTAGCTTAAAGGATACTTTTTTCATGAAGTAGAGCTACCTTTTAACCACTTTAATAGTAGCCAATGAGAAAGAAATAAAGTAACATAATATTTTGAAAAATATAATTACTTACATCCAACCTTTAAGAACAATAAAATCTTGGTGCTAAACCAAAACAGTTCAATATTCACTCTATGATATCTCTTGGTAAGAGACTTCTTTTCAAGATTTGCCAATGCCTAAAAATCTTGAGTTCAAATGATCCTATGGAGAAACAATTTTATATCAAATTATTTTAATGAGCAGTATTTACTATATGATCTTCAGTTACATCACTTCTGCAACTACGGCACAGATCCGTAATTGAAAAACAAAAGAGCTCTAATGTGTGAGTTCACACTCTAAATCGGACTTTCTCTATACAAAGCATGAAGGTCTTAGCCAAAATCATTCTAGGGTTTTTAAATGAGCACATAGTTCAAAGAATGTCAGAGAATGCCCAGTTCTCTGCAGCTTGAACTCCTCACTGCTGCCCCGTATGATGCAAATAAATGGTCTAGCTCAGGGCTGCTTCAGAGGCTGACTATAGCCTGAGAGAGGGTTAATAATCATAAGAACAACAAGGATCTGGGCTGAGTTCTTACTGATTATCCTTAATTTTCCTAATAATCTATTGAAGCAGATGTCACTTCATTTTAGGAATGAGGAAATTACAGTTTGAAAAATGAAAGTAATGGTTCAAAACTATCCAGGTAGCAAGTGCACAAGTTATCATTTGATTGTAAAGTCCATGTTCATAAAACATCTCATATTATTCTAGCTCAACTTTGGAGGAATAGGCTGCTGTGGGCTTGAAACTTAACTGGAAAAACTTAGTTGGCTCGATTCTGAGAAATATGATTCTGCCTTTTTCCTTAGTCTTCCTTCAACACCTTGCCTTGTCTCATCCCAGTCTTGACATTCTGCATAGAGCCAAGTGAGTTAAAAGAGACTTCCTTGATGTTTCCTCACTTCCTGCTTCTCAGCACATATTAAAGTCACTTCCTTAATGCCCTCCATGTTCTCCCTTTGTGCTCCATTTCTTTGTGTTAGAACAGTAAGAGAGCACATGCTTGGTGGTACTCAGATTTCTTTTCTGAACCCACATTACTCAAAATACTGTTTTCTGATTTCTTAGATGGATTTATTCTAAGACCCACAACTGAATCTTCTGAACCCCAATCATTCTCACTGGCCAAACTGTAAAGTGAAATGTCATAATCACTTATGAGAGCAAACAATAACTGATTGTTATAATTAATTTTCTTGTGTAATCACACAACGACTACTGAAAAGATAATAGAAAGGTAGTAGTGATTATTATACAATAGCAAAAAGAAAGATTATTGCCATTACTCTGGTCCTCATTACGTAGCCTATGAGATGTAAATCATCTCCTGTATTATCACCCTGATGAGAATCTTTTATCTATTTAATAATTTAAAAAAAGTTATTGAGCCCCCTCTTCTTGCCAGGGACTGTTCTGGGTGCCAGGGATACATAAAAGAACAAGATTTGCCTTCCAGTATTTCACATTTCATTTGGTATGGAAAGGGGACTGAGGAGTAGCAATTATACATAAATAAGTAAACAAAAAATGGATAATAAGTTCTATTGTTCAATTAAAATTTAATTTAAAAGACATTATAGAGAATGACTAGTTCTGAAAAGATCTTTTTGGTAAAGTCAGATTCAAGCTTATTTCTGAGTGACAAAAAGAAGCTAGTTAAACAAACACTATTGGCATCCCATTACCATTTGTACAACTGGATCTTTATCAAGAATATTAGTGAGTCAGCAAAGAGTTTTTAACGAGTATCTTAAAATTTATGTGAAATATCTCTGAAAATGAAACTTCCTGTGGGAATTCCATTGAAGACGTCACCAAACCTACCTCCTTCTTAACTGTGGTGAACTAGAGTTCTTCTTCCAGATTGGGGTGATATTAACTATAGATTATCCCTCTCTGTGTGTGTAGGCATGGGGCAGGGGGCAGGCAGATGTAGTTATTAATGAAATAATGTGATAAATAAACACATCACAAAAGAATATACCTGCTGATTTATGGTACTTTTTAAACCATATCACTTAAGACTATGTACTTGTAGAAACGCCTGTGATGTTTAATTTGATAGAAGTACCTACTTCCGGATTTTGACCGTTCTCAGTCTTCTTATTCTTGGTGCATTTAGACTGTATCTGCCTTATTCAAAGATATGACAAAGGCCATAAATGCTGAGGTGTGGATAATAAAATTATTCCTGAAAAACAACCTCTGATTATCTTAGACTTTGTAAAGTTAAAATAGCGATAGTGGCTTCTATTTTGTTATTCCTAAAAGAATAATAACTACAATCACCCTGACTTTCTGCTCTGGGGCACTTTTTCATCAGGGTGCAAGGAGGAGAGCCCAAACAAAGTATGCATCCTGGCTAAGAAAAGAAGACAAAACTTAGTGTGTTGGGGGGCTGATGCCGCTAGGATTTGTCAGGCAGACTAGCAGAGAAGAGAGCTATAGAGAAATCTGCAGAGCACTTCAGAAAAGAGAGCTATACAGAAATCTACAGAGCATTTCAGAAATCTACATAGCACTTCAGTTTCTTTGAGTCTGTGGCTAGATATTAATCTGCATATGCATGGAGTGAAACCCCATTAGAACAGACAAAGAATTACCAGGGATCCTTAATGTGATCAAATCCCAGAATTTAAACAGGACAACGATGCGTGAGTTCTGACCAGCCAGATTGCAGTGATTTTAGTGATTATCAAGGTTATTCAGTAGAAATTCCAGAAGCATAACATCTTGGTTGTAATACCTAGCCTGAAAGGATTTTTTAGCTCCACCTTAATAAAGCTTAAAAACAAGCTTTAAAATAATCAAGGTAAACAAGCAATTTACCAAAATCAAATTTAACATTCTTTGAAGGAAGAAAATAAAATGTAGACATTCAACAATTTAACATATACAATGTTCAGAAGTGAATACAACTTTCTAGGTATTCCAAGAAACAGAAAATATAATTTATAATCAGGAGAAAAATTAGTAATAAAACATTCCCAGAAATGATAAGAATGATGATACTATCAGATAAGAACAGGCAAACTGCCAAGAATGTAAAGAAAGACAAAATGAGAAGTGAAATGGACATAATAAGAAGTGAAATGGAATTTGTTTTAAAAAATAAAATGGGAAGACCAAATGTAATTTCTAAAGGAGAATCTGAAATGCAAATTTTGCTGGATGGGATTAACAGAAGATTAAAGGCCAAGAAAAGATCAATGAACTTCCAGTCAAGCAATAAAAACCAGTCAAACTGGAGCACACAAGAGAAAAAGCCCCAAAGAAAAGTTTAACAGAGCCTTCATAATAAGACCTGTGGGACAAGAACATACAGAAGATTGGAATCCAATGATGTGTAGTCAAAAGAATAATTTCTAAAGAGGGAATAGACAAAAGTTTTCTTTAAAAAATAAGCTCTAAAAAAAACCCTATACAGTCAAGATTAATGAACTCAAGTAAGATAAAGATCAAGGAAACCACTCTAAGACATATCTTATCAGATTTCTGAAAACCAGTAATATAAATAAATAAATAAATAAATAAATAAATAAATAAATAAATGTCAGCCAAAGGAAAAAAAATACACTGTACCTACAAGGGAAGACTTTTAAGAATAACTACAGACATTTAGCTTTTAAAAAGTGAAAGTAATGTGGTTGAAATTGAAGAAGAAAATATTCTAAGCAAAAGAAACCAGACACAAAGAAATATACTGTCTATTTTTATGTAAATCAAATTTTAAAATGGGCAAAAGTAAATTTAAAAAGATCAGTGTTAGTCCCTGAAGTGGGATAATTCAAAGCAATGATTCAGAAAGAAAATTTTTGACATATGAAAGGAAAATAAATCTTGGGACCCCAAACTCACTAAGCCAAAGAGTAAAGTCAAGGGGAAAGCTGGGTCATGCAAACCTGCCTCCCACTTGGTTCCTAAATAATATGACTACAAAGGTAAAAAGCTACATATATCCCTCACAACTTTCCCACATGGAAATTCTTTGTGGGCTCCAACATCTTTATCCTAAAGCATTTCTGTGAATTTGACCCTGGCAATATAAATTGATAGTTTACCTTCACAAGGGCGGGACAAAGGATAGAGCTCAAAGTCATCCCTCTGCTCACCTGAGACAAATGAGTATCTGACTGCTTCCTCTGCCATATTATCTAAGTTATCTTACATAAAATTACCAATTCACTGAGCCAGATGAAGGCATGAGTGACTATTTCCTCTACTCTCCTCTCTCATGAAAATTGTATATTCAGTGAAAGGCTGATCAAAGACTCCAGAGGGTGCAACTGTTTTGTCTTATTGTCTACTGACACATTTTAAAAATATTTCTGTTCCCTCAGTATCCACTGTTTCCCCTTTAAATACTGAAGCCCTCAAGATCATCTTCGGAGAAAGGCATAGACCTGCCTCCTGGGTGTGTGACCTTAACTTTGGCAAATAAACCTCCTCAAGTGATTAAGACTTGCTTTGGTAATTTTCTTGGATTTACAGAGATAATATCAATGTTACCTATCTGGGTTGTGATTACATGGTTTATATATTTATCATAAAATATCAATGTGTACACTTAAAATGGGTTTATTTTATTGTGTATAAATTTTTACTCAATAAAGTGGATTTCAAAAACAAAAACAGAATAGAGGTCATAAAAGGCGAAGATGTAAACGTGTAAAAGTGTTCCTGACACGAAAAGATTACCACAATCGCGCACTCAATTTCCTTATAATTCTTTAGGAACCTAGGGTGACAGAGAAACACATTGTTTTATATATGTATTTATATTTATATTTATATGTATATATTTTTGACTAACAACAGAAATCGAGGATATTCATTTACTGAGATATAATTTTTCCTAAGAAGTTAATCTTGGCAAAGAAGGTGATGTTTATGTAAAAGAAACGTTTGACAACTCAAAGGCTAATGCTTTCAACTCTAGTTTTAGCAAAGGTACAAATGCTGTTCAAATAAATAATGCATGTACCAAATATCTTTACATGAAGTAAAAGCTTTTTTTGCAGCAGTTGAGACAACATGGCTCAGGTACACTTTGGCTTCTACACATCTACTCTAATTCATTAATGGAGCTTTAGGATCTAGGAGAAGGCATAGTTAATACAGCCATTAGAGTAGCTCTTAAATATCTGATTTCTCAAATGAAGGTTAGAGAAAATCTAGATTGTAATTAATTTATATATGCATATTCTGAGAAGAACTTTTAGTACATGTATTCTAAATTGTTGAATAAAGAGAAAGCCATGCACTTCAAATACCAGATATTTGTTAGACAAAGTTGCATTCTTCTGTGTAACATTAAAAGTAAAACTTGTATTTTCACCCAAAAAGAAGGCTATCACCCTTTAACACAAATGTAGAAAGTAAAAGTCATTTGGTACCGAATTGTTTTTTCTCTCTGAAAAAGAAAAAGAAGCTTTGGATCATCTCAGTGGTTAAAACCATAATCGATAAATATTCCAGTGCTCTGTATTATGTAATTGGAACAGAAAACTATTTTTTAGTTGGTTGTCATTCTTCTGTGCTCTTGAATTCTTCTAAAATTTACTTTGTCTTTCTAAAATTATTTTTCATTTTATTTTATGTATTAATAATTGATCAATATTATTTTTGATGAACAAATCATCATCATATATATTGATAAAATACACTGTGATGTTTTGACATATGTGTACAATGTGGAATGATCAAATAAAGCTAACAAACATATTCATCACCTCATGTACCTATTATTTCTTTTTGGTGAGACATTTGAATTTACTCTGTTATGTTGAAATAAGCAATATATTATTATTGACTGTGTAAAATTTACCATACCTTTTAAAAAATGGGCTGAGGGTTTAGATGCTGGCCAAGATGAAGTAATTTTACTATAACCTATCTCTTTCACTGATTATCTTAAAAACTCAGGACAAAATATTAAAAGTAACATCTGAAGACTCAGAGAAATAAGCAATAAAAGGCACATGGGGAAGGGGAAGTAAAAACTTGAAGAATATCCTTTTTGGGGTAATTTTTCCATTTCTTTCTGCTCTTTTATCTCCTATCTTGTACGTGAGGTATCTCTAGTCATAGAACTATGCAAGAGTTGCAGTCAGCAAAAACTCCATGCGAAACCAGAGGACCAGAAAAAGGGATTCCTGCGAGCTGGACGGTGTAGAAGGAATCCCATTAAATTTTCTTGTTTCTCATTTTTCTCCCCTAACCCTGTTCTAATGGGCAACTGAAATTCTGAAAACAACAACAACAAGAACAAAACCATGTTTCTGGCCTGAAGGACTGACTGAAAAACAGGCTCACATAGTCCAAGAGTGAGGATGGAATACCCATTATTTTCTGTCTTTTTTCCTCATTGCTTTGCCTGATAACAGTGACCAGTCATGAGGAAATGCACAGAAGAATCTTAGGTGACTAAAATTCTAAAAGAACTACTATATTTCTCTCCAGATGATGGGGAAAAGGGAGTTCCTAGAGGCCAAAGCATGTGATGAGAATCCCAGAGAAGACAGTCTGGAGAGGGGGCTCCCCCAATTCTCTGTATAAAAAAGCACAAACATTAGGCTCACCCCTGAACTGCATGTATGTAGTACAGCCCCAAACTAACATAAAAAAAAGGCTTTGGGAACTAAATTACAATAGAAACCAACACCTAAGGCCCAGACTAACTCCTCAGTGACACATGCCTGGAAGACACGAAAACAGCTTATCATTGACCTTGTAAATTGAACTAACATTAGAACCACCAACCACAGAAGGCGAGACAGATACATGGTCTGAAAGTAACTGGATTGATTGTCTCCTAAAACCAACCAACCAACCAACCAACAAACAAGCAAACAAAACAGACATTTATGGGACAATTTTAATAGAACCCAGCATCTCGCAACTTCATATTTTCAAAATTAAAAATACAGTCTAAAATTACTCAACTTAAAAAAAGTCCCAGGAATATGTGACCAATTCTCAAGTGAAATGATAACAAAAAGATGCCAATTCCAAGATGAAGCCAATACTGGAATTATCAGATAAAGACTTTAAAACAGTGAGTATAATAACAGTGTTCCATGACTTAAAGGTAATCACCCTTGAAATGAATGAAAACATGGAAATTTTGGTAGAGAAGTAAAATGTATTTTTTTAAAATCCACATGAAAAATTTAGAACTAAAAAATATAACATTTTAAATAAGCACTGTATAGACTCAATAGCTGCATGGATGTGACAGACGGATGAGTCATTGAACACAAATACAGAGTAATAGAAATTATTTAATCTAAAGAACAGAGGCAGAAGGCTGAAAAATTAACAGTGTTAGGAAACCGTGGAACAATATAAAAAGTTGTAAGTTAGCGCCATGTCATTGGTGTCTCAGATAAAGAGGAGAAAGATTGTTGAAAAAATGTTAAATAAAAATGTCTGAAAGCTTCTCAGATGTGATGAAGGATACACATTTGTAAATTCGAGAAGCTTAGCAAACTCAGAGGGGTAAAGTTAAAAAATACCAGAACCAGACACATATCAAAATCAAATTGCTGAAAACCAAATAAAAAGAAAACCTGAAACTTTCATTCTTTATTGTTGGGAATGCAAAATGATTCAGCAAATTTTAATGATAGTTTGGCCGTTTTCAATTAAGTTACACAGAATTGAGCGTTGAGCACTATGGGTTTGAATGGCACAAGTTGACTAACATGTGAAATTTTCTTCTGCCTCTGCCCCCTACAACAGCCAGACCATCCCTCCCCTTCCTCCTTCTCAATAGTCTACCAAATATGAACACAATGAGAATGAAGACCTTTATGATGGTCCTCTTCCACTTAATGATTTGTAAATATATTATCTCTTTCTTTATGATTTTCTTAACATTTTCTTTTCTGTAGCTTCCTTTATTGTAAGAATACAATATACAATATACATAATATACAAAATATGGGTTAATCAACTGTTTACATTATTGATAAGTCTTCCAGTCAACTGTAGGCTATTAGAAGTTACATTTTTGGGGAAGTCAAAAGTTATACACAAAGTTTTGACTGTGCAGTGGTCATACCTCTAGCCCCCATGTTGTTCAAGGGTCAACTGTATACATTTACTGTATGACCCAACAATTTCACTTCTAGGTATTTACCCAAGGTAAATGAAAACTGAAGTTCACACAAAACCTTGTACATAAGTGTTTATAGTAGTTTTATTTACAATTTCTCAAAACTGGAAACAATTGGAATATGCGTCAACTGTTGAGTGGATAAACAAACTATGTCACCTCCATGCAAAGGAACACATCTGCACAACAAAAACGAATGAACTATTAATACTCCCAGAAGCGTGGATGAATCTCAAATGCATTATGCTTAGTGAGAGAAGCTACACTCACTATATTATTCAGTTGATATGACATTCTGGAAAAAGTAACCGTAATGCTCAAAACAGGTTAATGGTTGCTAGAGGTCAAGTAGGGAGAGGAGATGACTACAAAGGGGCAGCTTGAAAAATTTCTAGTGACAATGGAATTATTCTGCATCTTAATTTTGATGGTGGTGACATAACACTATGCATTTTTTAAAAGTTACAAAACTTCACAAAAATGTGGTTATTATTCTATGTAAATTAAAAGCTGAATAAATTAAAAACAAATGGAAAAGCTTATTAGTAAATATTGAACAAAATGTTCAAACAAAACCTTTCTAATGAACATATGTTATTGACATTCAATGTTAAATTGGCACTATTCTTTTCTCAATATTGTTAATTTAAAAACTATATCCTTCTTTATTTAAAACATATTATCAATATAGCCCAAATCTTCAACAACAAATTAGGAAATATACTAGAAATTATATTTGCTTCTTACAACAGCAAAACAACAATAAAATACTTAGAAATAATCATATCAAAAAATGTTAACAGGATCTAGATAACAAAATATTTTTTCTACTGACAGACACAAACAAAGAAAGGGTAAATAAAAGGTCAAGTTATGTTCTTTGATGGGAGAATAAATTATATTTTTAAAAATTAAGATCCCAATAAAAATATCAACATAGTATTTTTAAAACTATTGAAGTTGAATCTAAAGTTCATCTGGAAAACCAAACAAGTTTTTAAAAGCCAGAAATATTTTGGTCAATAAGAGAATTGGCTGTGGAGGATTGGGTGCAGCAGCTTAAACCATTATTCCATAATTATGATCCCATAATTAATTGTGCTCTTCTCTTTTACAAAGATGCAGACCAGTCATTGGAAATATACATAAAATACAGAAATAGGCACAAATTCATTTGAATGTTACTGTGTAATAAAGCAATATTTTGTATCAGCAAGAAAAAAATGCACTGTCCAATTAATGGCATTTTTATTACTACGACCGGAAGCCACCTGGAAAAACAAACTTGTGTTCTTATCTTACTCATTATAACAAAATATAAACTTGAGGTTAATCAAGACGGAAATCAAATATTAAAAATACTCCAGGCTGGGCACTGTGGCTCATGCCTGTAATCCCAGCACTTTGGGAGGCTGAGGTGGGCGGATCACCTGAGTTCAGGAGTTCAAGACGAGCCTGGCCAACATGGTGAAACCCCGTCTCTATAAAAATACAAAAAAAAGTAAGCCAGGCATGACGGTGGGTGCCTGTAATCCCAGTAACTCTGGAGCCTGAGGCGGGAGAATCGCTTGATCCCGGGAGGCGGAAGTAGCAGTGAGCTGTGATCGTGCCATTGCACTCCAGCCTGGACGACTGATCAAGACTCCATCTCAAAAAAAAAAAAGTACTCCAAAACACTTGATAGATTTTTCTCCTAAGCTCTCAGAATAGGAATGACTTAACACAGGATAGAAATCTATTCAACAGATTCACACACATTTTTAGATGCGGTGACTTCACATAGGATGGAAACGGAAGTTTCCATGTGTAATATATAATGACTACCTAGAGATAAGCCTGGTTAAAACAACCTCTTTTGAGATTATAAACTTTTCTGATTTTGCTCATTTGCATAACAAGAATCTTGGCCAAAGTGGCTATGTAGGTTTCATCTAGTTCACATATCTGGCTATGATGGGAGTTCCTCCAGGCCAGTCAAACCCGGGGACACACATGGAATTCACAGTAACTAGTAAGCCACTTCTCTCTAGCTCAGTCGCAAAGTCTCTCACACTGAAGAATAACACACCACTGAAACTTCTCGCTGAGCTCCAGCAGCAGCCAATAAAAGTGTTCCTTTGCTCTTTGGTACAACTGAAGACATTTACATGGACATTTTTTCTTATTCTACCACTCCTTACTCTATTCCTATGTTTATCTCACAGCTGATACTTTTGGGGCTTTTCATTTATCATTTTCTAGTTGACTCCTAAGATAAACAAAGAGCTTACAACAATTCCTAGTACATTATAGGCATTCATTAAATGTTTGCTATGCTGCTGTTGCTGCTAATGATGGTCTTGCAAAATTTTTCATTTCAGAAGGTACCTAGTGTCACTTACTCAGCAACATATGGATTGCATCTTTAGGAATTATCCTTTCTGTTGCATTAGAAGAATCCTTACCAGTTAGAAGCCCCTGTTACCCATACATTATAATGTTATGGTTAAGAGATAAGTATAAACTATATTTAGGAGACATCTTTCCTAGTTATTAATGGTTTGAACTTGGACAAGTTGCTTAAACATTTTGCCTCAGTTTTCTCATTTTTAAGCATTTGACAATAACATATATTTTGTGGAGTTTTTCTGAAGATAAATCAAAATAATACAGGTAAAGTGTCCCTATATACATCTGAGTATCCAGAGACGAGGGATGGGTCATGCTTTACTCCTCATTGTGTCTCCGGTGACAAACATAAAAACAAAAGTCATTTATCCATCTAATGCACAACTCTTTTTGGAAGGTACAATGAGCAAAATGTTCTCTAAGTTTCCTTTTAGTCCTCTATTATACATTTTATTGCAAGTTGTGGAAATAAATTATTCACATTGGATTTACGACGACACATCTTTCAATTATTAGTTATTAAGACATGGTGGTAAAGAATAGCAGCTAATAAATATACAAGATATGATCTATTTTTAAAATCATTATTTTGCAATCCAAAATATTTGGCACATTCAAGAATCATCTATAAATGCTACCCATTTGGCAGAAGCTTTTTAGGGAGTAGAATAACATATGGCCACAAAACATTACTATAGAGATAATTTATCAATTACAAAGGGGTAAATACACTTTTTCTATGGAGAGACCCAGTGGTCACCACTTTAGTGAACGAAATTAGCATTATCAATAATAAGACAACATGACATTATGGGCCTTCCTATGTGACACAATAAGAAATACTGTTATGAAAGATCCTGGCACAAATGTTAAATCTGAAATTGATCGCAAGGTATACATAAGAAAAATCCTAAACAATGACTGGCTTAACCTTCAAGATAACAGAATCATAAGCAGCCACAAAAAAGGTAAAACAATATTTTAGATTAAAAGCAACTAAAGTAGCATAACCACTAAAGGCAATGCATGAGCACTGGTTAATAGATATAAAAAAATTGGGATGGACAATTAGGAATATTTAAATTGTCAACATTTTCATTTCAATTCTAAAAATAATTAATTTGACTACATTTCAAAACAAATATATATTTCAAATATTCTAACATATGACAATGATATTTTGCTTCTGTAGGGAATGATATATTTTGATAAGGAAGTATTCATATTCGTATGTATATATACACACACACACAAACCCACATATATGTAAAGAGAGAGAGACACAGAGAGAGATAAAGAGAAAAATAAAGCAAATGTGACAAACTGTTAATAGTTGGAGAGTCTTGGTGAATTGTAAATGGGTGTTCGTGGTAATATTTCAACTTAATAAAATGGGAGGAAAACTTAATACATTGGGAAGAAAAATACATGGAAGTGAATTGTCTAATTCAAAACACATAACTTAGTAATGGGTTCTCTGGACAACTTTTACAAAAAGGATTCTAGAATAATCCAGTTTGTTAACTTGATTTTCTGTCACATAGTTTTCCTTCTGAACCGGAGGCTCAGTCCCTCACACCCCTGCTGGCATACATGCTTTTAGCCTTCATCCTATGTTGAGTTAGTATGCATAGTGTATACTCAAAAAATGCTAAGTTAATTGATTTTAAAATTAGCTCTTTAAGCACTCAAAACAATTTCAAAGGACACTCTGCTGAAAAACAATTATCTAATGTACTTTATACTTAAATATTCATTCATTTTTGTATTCTACAATGTTGATATTGTCCAAATCTCTGCCAATCACTAGGAGAATATCAAGCTAAAAATTTACTAAATGATTTTTAAAAAGTATATTGCTTATTTGTCTCTTGAGTAGCATGTCAAAAGGGGACTTAAATTAACTCAGGGTATTTCATTAATCACTAGAGAAAAATGCCTAGGACTCATTTTATTGTCAACATTTTGATGATACAGAATTCTAGAAAATTCATCATCTTATTTATGTTTCAAAACTTATACGACATATTTAAAATATTAACATACTACAATGGTATTTTGCTCCTGTAGGAAACAATATATTTCAATACGGAAGTATTCACATTCATATATATATATATATATACACGTACACATATAAACACGCATATATGTAAAGAGAGACACAGACAGAGGGAAGTGGACTCCTCAAACACAATGCTTTAATATTTATCCTTAAGACTAGCATTGTTTTTGACATGACCCTATGATTAATCAAATGCTCGATAGAAGTAGACCACGTTGCTTTGAGTTTCATTAGCCTCACATCGATGTGTCCTAATAGGGAATAGTCAAGATGGTGTGTTGGCCTCTTTGTAGGGTGCATCCAATTTTAACATAACTTCCTGGTCTCCTATGTCAGATTATACCCAGGAAGGCCCAAGGAGGATCTGCCATCTTCAGTCCCCATTTTAATTAGTTCTTCAAAGGCCAGAGAATGTCTCACAGGCACATCTTGAGAAGATCATCAAGGGAATTTGTGACATTGTAATAACTATGCTTCAAAATACCACTGGAAAAAAATGATTCATGAAAGCCAAATATTAGCTAAGCTTTGCATATGATTTTAACTTTCTTTGCTTTTAATACAAGTAACAGAGCACTAGAGTGACTATCCTTACAGGGACAGGAAGGCCCTTGACTCACAAAAAGAACTTGTTCCAAGGCATACAGCTAATTATTTTTATTAAAATTACCAAAGGAGGATGCAAAGTAGCTTCAGTTTCTTCTTCAAGAAGGTATAACTTGCTTACTTGATAAGAATTGGAGATGAGTGGAAACTTATACTTTGTCAGCTAAAATTAATTCACACTGCAAGGGGAAAGTATTTGAATGGTATCCGGAATTGCTTTAAACAAATACACAAAGACTGAAGTACTTATGAGGAATTTTGTGAGGGAGCAGTTGGCAATTCTATACTGATTCTCTCCTACACTATTTTTTTTTTAGCTCTCCTGAAATTTCATGTATTTAGTTTGCTTTGGCAAGATTGTGTGGCTGAAGTAATATTAGTTTTCTTCCTATGTATCTTGCTGGGGAGGGGAAGAAGAAGAAAGGAGATGTGAGAAGAGGAAGACTTAGGATTATTATACTGCAATCCTACATAATAAAAATAGTTTAATCAAATGAATAAAGCTCTCTTTCTTTAAATATACTGGGATATAACTATTTAATAAGGCTCTTCAAATGCGTAGGCTGAGGTAATTTAAGCAAAGTAGCACTGGTTGCATAATTAATGTGACTATTCTGGCCTCAAAAACAGTATTTTTATTATAAAGCTCATTTTCATTCTCTGAATTTGGGAATTTTTTTCACTTGCCGAAGATTGTTTCACATTGAACCTGGGGTGAATGGATTCATCAGGATAGGGATAATTTTATTTGAAAGGGTGTTTATATTTTAGGCAGCCCATAGGAATACCTAGTGAGCAGTACAATGGGTATTAAGGTAACACATAGGAATCCCAGTTTATCCCCTTAGTTTATCGGGGTCTGTAACCATGTGGGCCATCAAGTAAAGAATGAATGCTTTTGTAGCAAACAGATTGCTGTGTATATTGGATAGGACAGAATTTTAAACAACAGTCATAAGCTTTGCCCTTCAGCCAAGTGAAAACAAAAATGATTTGTTCTTCCCTTACTGTGAATTTCTGTAACTCCTTTGACCTCAGTAAATAACAAAATCATTTTCCTTAAAAAAAAGAGGCAGCTATAGAAACTCTATAATGAACTTGACTTTCCCATTCTGTTCTGGTTGGGATAAAGTGGGCAAGTATGGGAAAATATTTTAGGTAGGTGCAAAAGTAATAGCGGTTTTTACCATTATGTTCAATGGCATAAACCACCATTACTTTTGCACCAACCTAATAACAGTGATCCAACTGCCTTAAACCCTCATTGGCAAAGGTAATAAGGAGGAATGTGAGTGTAGAGGATAGCTGGAAAGAGAATCTACCTATCTTTCCTTTCTCTTTCCCCAGCAGAGGCTTAAGGTGACTGCTAGGGTTTGAACGTGTCCCCTCCAAAATACAGGTGTTGAAACTTAATGGCCAATGTGATAGTGTTAGAAGGTGGGGCCTTTAAGAGGTGATTAGGGCATGTGGGCTCCTCCTTTGTGAATAGGATTAAGGCCCTTATAAAAGTGGTTTCACACAATGTTCAGCTCTTGTTCTTCTGCCCTTTGCCATGTGAGGACACAACGTTTCTCCCTTTTGGAGGAAATAGCAACAAGGTACCATCTTGGAAGCAGACAGCAGCCCTCTGGAGAAACCCAAACCTGTTAGTACCTTCATTTTTGACTTCTCAGTCTCCAGGTCTGTGAAAAATAAATTTCTTCTCTTTATCTATTATCCAGTCTCAAGTATTTTGTATTTAAATAAAAAGAGCTTTATTTATTTGATTTACTTGATTATATTTGTTATTTAGTCCTTAGTCTAAACAGACTAAAACAGTGATGCTCTGTGCCATTCCACTGTCATGAGGGGATGACATACTAGTCAAGGGCATAAGATACCCTGCCAGGCAGTCTGCAAAGGACACATTAATAGCCACATAACTACTTTGCATCTTTTTAATTAGATAAGATTATTGTGTTGCTGGAAGAGGCTCTAGAATTTGTCAGGGACACTTAAGAGTAATTAACCCAGTGGAGAAGTGAATACAAAACACTTTGCTTTGAACTTGCATACAATTTTTACTTAGAGTTTATGTTAATTTGAGGTTTCCTTTGGTGGCTGGAGTAATGCACATTAGAGGAGTTGGACCTTGAAGCCAAATTTACAGAGCAAGCACAGTATTTATTTAGAACGTGTGTTTTAGCTGGGACAGACTGCAGTGAGCTATTGCTTCTATGCTGTCAGCCAGGCTAGCCCTGGGTGACGCCACTAATGGTGAGCAAACTTTTTTTCTCTTTTTTGCACCTCATAATCAGGAATTTATGTTGAATTATCTCAGTGCTCACATAATTCTAATTTCCATCTTAGCTCTTGTGCTACCAAATAATAAGCTATATGGCAATCTGTGCCATTAAAATGTCAAGGTGCTTTGTGAATCATCCCCAGAAGTTTGTTGATTGCCATTTCTTATATTTAAGCAAAAAGGAAACTGGGACATGGTGAAACTAAATGTTCCTGCTTTAAAGAACTAAAATTCATAGGCTTACAGCTGAATCCATTAAATTGCATTAATGCATTGTTGAAACATATGTAATTCTTCCAAAAAGAATTTTAAAAGAAGTAAATTTTTATAATTTATTTATAGACATGAAAGAATTAAAATTATTTTATAGAAATGATGCATCTGTATTACTCTCCCTTATATGAACAGCAGCTCTTATAAACCTAAATGGCTATGAATGGAACTTTATGAAGTCTAAAATATTTAAATGTTATTCAACAAAGCAATAAAATTATGAATGTGCAAGGGAAATTATTTTTATTATGGGGATTTGTATGTTGGTAATGAATCTTATAGTTAGCAAATTCTCATTAGGATTTCTTTAAGTTAAACTGTCCTTTTATTTTTTTGCAGTTTAATTTCTTAAAGACTGAATGACTTACATTACATTTAAGGGAAAGGTTTGTGAGATGGCTGGTTATTACTGAACCGTAGCCTCAGAGTGCTTTCATCTGCTTTGTACATTTCTTTAAATTTTGGAGGTGGAGGCCCCTAATACTATCATTACTGAGACGTTAATAGAAAGCTACCTAATCAGTGCCAAAAGTTAAAAGCAAACATTGGTGAACACATATCCATTAAAATATGTTTTATCTGCCTGTCATATTTTCTTAGTTGCATTTCAGTAATAAGCTTCTTTACATAATAAAATGGCAGTTGTATCCTACAGAGTACTTGTGAAATTTGACTGCAATGTAAATCACTCTTGCAAAATGCCTTGAAGAAGGATTTGTTTCCCTTAGATTCTGAATGGGAATAGTATTACATATCTGGTCCCTGTAAACATATCTCACACTTGAGGTTTATGATTCTTCCAAATAGAACTTCAACAATGATTCTTCCAATGGAACTTGAGGTTTATGATTCTTCCAAATAGAACTTACATATCTGGTCCCTGTAAACATATCTCACACTTGAGGTTTATGATTCTTCCAAGTAGTAATCATGAAGAAATTACCAATGTTATGCGATCATTTTACACAGTTTTAAAGCAAGATTTCTTAACCGTTTTTTTACAGTTTTAAAGCAAGATTTCTCATTATTGCCATTTTAAGCCAAGTGACTCGTTGTACGGGGCTATCCTGTGCACTGTAGGATATGTAGGAGCATCTCTGGCATCTATTTGCCTATTTTGACAACCAAAAATATCTCCATACATTGCCAAATGTTCACTTGACCCCATATTAACCCTGGTTGAGAAACAATATTTGAGAGGAATTATATCACAGAGGGAATAGAAAGGTAAGATAAACACAAGAAAAGTACTATCCACCAGACCCTTTCCTTTTATCTGAAAATGGCCACCATTTGATCACTTAGTGCTTTTAATAACCAGGTGCTTTTGCTACTTAGAGTTTGACTCATTCAACCTTAAATGTAATCCAATTCAGGGCAGAAAGTATATAATCATAACAAGGTTCCCAAATGCTCCCTTTTTAAATCAATTCAATCGCCAGAAATTTCCTCTCTGTTCACCAAATTAACAGCTACTCAAGGAGCTCCTGGTTCAGAAACAAGAAAGCAGAGACTCACTCTTTCTCCTCCTTTCCTTTAAATGTGACTAACAACCTGGAAATTGTTCAACAGATAATGATAAAAGGACTCTGAGATCTGGAAATAAGAAGACAAACTGACAGCAAACCTCCGTACTTTAGGAAGGATACTGCAGTAAGTTCCCTGGGTTTTATTTCAATCTCCTATACACCTCCAGACCAGGCACTGAAGAGGCCCGCAACCAGGAACCACCAATGGGCATAGACAAAAGAATTCAAGAAAAGCCATTTTTTCTGTCCAAAAGAATTGGAGATGGGAAGTCCAGCAGACCCCTAGTAGGGAGCCCTAACTCCTACTCTGAGAATAAAGGGTGATTCTATCTGTTGGCAGCAGCAGCAGCAGCAGCAAAGCCCTGGACTATCCCAGCCTCTGCCCTACAATTAGGACACTGGTGGGCACTTTAATCTGCCCACGGTATTGGCAGTAGTTATGTGACTTTCTGGTCTCACTTGTGGATTAAGAAGATCCAAGCCCAGCAACTACTGCTTCCCACACAAGATTGCCCAGAAAGAACAGACAGCCCCAGAAAGCACATTCTGTCCCCCTCAGCGCCATCAAGGATTGAGTGGGAAGAAAGACAATGCAAAAAGAATGAAGCAAACCAGAATGGCACTGCAAGGGCTCAGAAAACTGAACTCTCATGGGAACTAAATCCCACAGAACTAGGCACAAACCTACCCTCTAAACCTAAACAAGGCTGAATGCTTTCTAAAATAGAAAATTTACAAAAAATAGAGTCTTCTAGCATAATAAGTGTTCAGGACAAAATTAAAAATCATTTGTCATATCAAGAACTAGGAAAATCACAATTTGAATAAAAAGACAATCAGTTGACGCTAATACTAAAACAAACCAGATGCTGGAATTGTCTGAAAAGGAATGTAAAGCAATTGTTATAAAAATGCTTCAAAAAGAAATTACAAATTTACAAATGTAATTTATTCAACAAGAAATTACATTTACAAATGTTTTAATAATTAATTATGGATTACTATAATAAATTTATAAATTTTTATAATAAATTACAAAATACAGACAAATGAAAAATAGAATATTTCAGGAAATAAATAAATAAAAGTTATAAAAAGAACCAAATGCAGGTTACGGAACTGAGAAATATCATACCCTAAATCAAAACTTGCCAGATTAACTCAATAGTATAGGATATGATAGAAGACTGATAGAACTTGGAGAAAGAAAAATCTAATTTATTAAATCTGAGAAACAGAGATAAAATATATGGTAAAAATAAATAGAATATCTATTGGCAATGACAAAATATCTAATATTTTGTATCACTGAAATTTCAGGGAATGAGAAAAAGTGTGGAAATAAAGAGGTATTTGGAGAAATAAAGGCTAAAACTTTCTTCAAATTGGTAAGAAACATTAACCCACTGAATCAAGAAGCTGAGTGAACCCCAAAGAGTATAATTCAAGAAAATCCACCCCAAGACAAATCATAACTAAACTTCTGAAAACTAAAAGCAAAAAATTTTTTAGAAACAGCCAAAGGAATGAAGTATATCTTACAAAGGAATACCACGATAAGTAACAACAGATTTCTCATCTAAAACCGGATGAGAAATTACTTCTGGATGCCAGAGAAGAAAATGGAGTATTTACAAGCACTGAAAGGAAATAACTGTCAACCCTAAATTCTATATCAAGGGCAAATATCCTTCAGGAGTGAAAAGGAAATATATATAGTCTCAGGCAAAAGAAAACTAAGAATTTCTTGGTAGCTGACTGATATGGTTTAGCTGTGTCTCCACCCAAATTTCATCTTGAATTGTAATCCCCATAATCCCCATGTGTTATGGGAGGGACCCAGTGGAAGGTAATGGAATGATGGGGGCGGTTTCCCCCATGCTTTTCTCATGATAATGAGTGAGTTCTCATGGGATCTGATTGTTTTATAAGCGTCTGGCATTTCCCCTGCTGGCACTCACTCTGTCCCACTGCCTTGTGAAGAGGTGCCTTCTGCCATGATTGTAAGCTTTTTGAAGCCTCCCCAGCCATGCAGAACTGTGAGTCAATTAAACCTCTTTCCTTTATCACTTATCCAGTCTTGGGTATTTCCTTATAACAATGTGAGAATGAACTAATACACAGACCTACTGATAGTGGCAGAAGACCAACAAACTCCTAGGCAGACAGGGATGGGTCCCCAGTAAAATCTGACCTTCAAGAAGAGATAGCCTGAAGCCTGAAAACTGAGCTGCCATTTCTAGGTAGAGTCTAGGATTGGAGTGACAACTTCCTTGAGAACTTTTAGCCAATCGAATGGTGCTTTTTCCAGGCCCTGCCCATGGACCAATCAGCATGCACTCCCCCATTCTGAGCCCATAAAAATCCCTGGACTCAGCCACACAGACTGAAAGCTACCTGCTTTCGGGCTCCCTCTCACAGCGGAGAGCTACCCACTTTGGGTCCCCTCTTGTGCCCAGAGCTTTTCTGTCACTCAATGAAATTCTTCTCTGCCTGGTTCACACTCTGGTGTCCATGTATTTCATTCTTCTTGGTCATGGTACAAGAACCTGGAACCTGCCACATGGCAGGTGCAAAAAGAACTATAATATAACTCCCCATTCACTAAGCTGTGGGCATCAGGACCAAATGAGCTGTGACATACTCCTGTTTGCCAAGCTGTGGGTGGTGGGAACAAGCGAGCTATGACATGCCTCTGTTCACCAAGCTGCAGGTGGCAGGAACAAGCAAGAATTGTAGCATTTCTTGGGGGCTTGGACCTCGGGAATCCCTAGGCGAGAGCCATAACACCCCTTGGGGCTACGTGGTTGCTGGCATCTCCAAGTTTTCAGGCATCACCACGATTCTCTCATCTAGACGCCAGTGCCCAACCCAGAGGTTGCTTGCAGCATGCCCACTCCAGCCATGGGTTGAGCACAGATCCTATGGTGAGCGCAGGATCTGGGCTGCGACACCAGTTGAGCCCAGTCTGCTGGGCCGAGTGGGCAGAGTGAGCCTGGTGGGCCCGAAATACGCCCCAGGCAGAGGTCATGGTGGCCCCAGAGATTTCCAGTTGAGGAAGCAGCACCAAAGGAATTCTGTAACACTGTAACTCTTGCTCCTGATTGCTGAGCTACAAGAGTGAAAAAAGCTGCTTGGGTGCCATTCCCTCTCACAAGCCAAACTACACAAAAGCCGCAACATTTCCTTTAAAGAATGGCTGATGGAAGATCTCCAAATACAATGCAAGTGATAACAGAAGACTGAATGGAAATTTCAGAAAAGAAAGAAAAACAATGCTATAGGTAAAAATAAAAGTAAATAGACTATCCTCCTCATGAATTTCTTTAGTCATATTTCATGGTTAAAATAAAAGTTATAACTTTTATCATAAAATTTATAGACAAAAACTTTATGTGGTCCCCAATGTATGTAGAAGAAATAATTAAGAAAACTGCATATAAACGGTCAGTAGGATAAAGAGATTTAAATGCAAATAAGGTTTTTACATTTCACTCAAAGTGGTAACATGTTGAAACAAATAGGCCATGATAATGATATGTGTATATGGTTATACATAGGAAAACACTGAGAAAGCTACATAAAGCAATATACTAAAAAACATAAATAAATCAAAGTGAAACACTAAAATATTGTTCAAGGAACCCACAGGAAGGAAAGAAAAGAAACAAAAGGGTGAGAAATGGAGGGAAGAAACAAAAAACGAATAATAACATAGCAAACATAAGCCCTAATATAACAAATAATTAATTACCTTAAATGTAAATGGTATAAATATACCAATTAAAACAGCAGAGATTGATAAGGTGGATAAAAACAACTGTATGTTGTCTACAAGAAAGTTAATTTAAAAATAACAAACATAAGCAGGTTGAAAGTAAAATGATAAAAATAGATGTATCATACAAACATTAATAGAGAAATCAAGAGTTACTATATAATACCAGATAAAGTAGGCCTCATAGTAAAGAAAAGTACTGTGGACAAAATGTTGCACTATAGTGATTTAAAAAAATTTATTCATCAAGAAAATATAGCAATTGCAAATGCGTATTTACCAAGCCAGAGAGTTTCAAAATAAAGATAAATCTATAATTGTAATTGGAGACTTTAATACCCAACTCTTAGCAATTTTAAAACCACTAGAAAGAAAGTCAGCAAGGATATTGAAGAACTGGGGGCCAACATTAATCAACAAGTTGCGACTGACATTTATGGAACACTTCACACAGCAGCAAAAATATACACAATATTTTCAACTGCTTATATACATTTACCAAGATAGAGCATATTTTGAGTCTTAGGCAATAAAAAAGACTTGAAATGATACACAGTATGTTCTTTGAACATAGTGGAATCATGGTAGATTTCAACACCTAAAAGACAATTTAAAAATCTTCAAATACTTGAAAACTAAATAACATACTTTTAAATAATCTGCAAGCCAATGAGGAAACCTCAAAAAATGTTTAAAAATGCATAAAAAGGAATGAAAATCATATAACATATCAATATTTATGTAATACAGCTAAAACAGTACTGAAACAGAAATCTATGTTACTAAATGTTTACATTAAAAAAGAGGAAAAGTCTCACATCAATAAGAAACTAGAAAACAAGAGGAGCAAAATAAACCCGAAAGAAGCAGAAGGAAGAAAAAAATAAAGAGCAGAAATTCATAAAGTTGAAAGGATAAAAACAACAAAATAAACTGAAACAAAAAGATGGAACTTTGAATAAATGAAGAAAATTGATAAACTTTTACTGTTATCGATAAAACTAGCAGCAGATAAGACATATTTTGCCACTGTCGGAAATAAAATGGAATATCTCTACATATCCTGCAGCCCTCAAAGCTGCATAAGGCTGATAAGGGAATACTAGGAACAACTTTTCATTCATCAACTCAGCAACTTACATGAAATAAAAGAATGTTTTAAAAACAAAAATTACCAAACTCGACCAAGATGAAGATAACCAGAATAGTCCCATACTGATTAAATAATTTGAATTTGTAATTTACAAGATCCCGGAAAAGAAATTCCAGGTGATTGCACTAGAGAATTTTACCAAAGAAGAATGGACACCAAATTTACACAATTTCTTCCAGAAAATGGAAGAAGAGGGGATACTCTCTAACTCATTCTAGGAAGACAGTGTCACCCCGATACCAAAACTAGACAAACATTACATGCAAAAGAGAGAAATGCATACAGGAACTTAGATGCAAAAATCATCAACAACATTTTAGTAAATTGAACCTGACAATATATAAGATCAATGATATACTATGACCAGAATTTATTCCAGTTATTCAAGTCTTGCCCATTACTTGAAAATCAATCAATATAACCCACCGTATCAACAGGCTAAATTAGAAAATCCATATGATCATATCAATTAACACCCGAGAAGCATTTGACAAATGCAACACTGATTTATGCTAAAAACTCTCAGAGCAGCAGGAATAGGAGGGAACTTTCTCAGCCTCATAAGGAATGTCTACAAGTTATCAATTCTTAAAATCATATATAGGTATAACACAGTTCCTGCCAAAATTTCAGCAAGGATTTTTGTAGACATAAACAAGATTATTATAAAATGGGTACAGAAAGGGAAATGACCTAAAATAGCCAAAATATTGTTTTTTGTAAAAAAAAAGAATAAAGTAGAAGAAATCACACTTCCTAATAGTAAGGCTTACTATACAGCTACAGTAACAAAAACAATGTGATACCAGTGGAAGTACAGACTCATAGATCAGTGAAACAGAATAGAGAACCCAGAAATAGAGCCACAAAAATATGTCCAATTAATTTTTGACAAAGGAGCAGAAGAAATTCAATGAAACAGTGATAGCCTTTTTAGTAAATGGTGTAAAAGCACTGGACATCTATAGGCAAAATCATGAACCTTAACCTATGCTTCGTATGTCATAAAAAACTAACTCAAAATGTCTCATGGGTTTAAAGATAACACATAAAACTATAAAACTTCTAGGAACAGAAATAGGATAAAATCTTTGCAACCTAGAATTGGCAATGAATTCTTAAACTTAGCACAAAAAGTAAGATTCATAAAAATAAAAAAATCAACTGGACTTCAACAAAATTAAAATCTTTTGTTCTCAGAAAGACTCTTTAAGGAGAACGGAAAACACATTACAGGTTGGGATAAAACATTTGCAAATCATGTGTCTAACAAAGGACTTGTATCTAGAATATACAGTTAGCTCTCAAAACTCAACATTCAACAATTAGAACATAGGCAAAAGACTTGAAAATACATTTCACTGAAGAGAATGTACAGATGACAAGCATACGAAAAAATATTCAAGAACATTAGTCATTAAGAAGGTGCAAATGAAAAGCAATGTGATATCACCACACATCTATCAAAATGGCTAAAGTTAACAACAAAAAAGTGACACACCAAATTTTGGTAATTATGCAGAGAAAGTGTGTCTCTTATACGTTGGTAGTAGAATGTAAAATGTACAGCCACTCTGGAAAATAGTTTGGCAGTTGCTTTTAAAACAAAAATGAACTTACATGATCCAGAAGTTGTACTCCTGGGCATATATCCAAGTGAAATGACAACTTATCTTCATAAAGAAACTTGTATAATAGTGTTCACAGCAGCTTTATTCATGGTAGCCACACACTAAAGACAATTCAAACATCTGTCAATGGGTGAATGGTTACGTAAGTTATAGGATATTGCATCATGTAATATTATTCAGCCATGTACAAGGAGAAAACTATTGACATAAACAACTTGGCTAAGCCTTGAGGAAATTTGTGGAGTTAAAAGAAGCCAATCTCAGAAGGATACAGACTACATAATTCCATTTATGCAACATTTGTGAAGTAAGATAATTATAGTGATGGAGAGATTAGTGTTTGTTGGGAGTTGGAGATGGGAGGTGAGAAAGTGAATGAATCTATAGAGAGGTGACGTAAGAGAATTTGGTGTTTCAGATGCAGATAAATATCTTGATTGGGGCATTGGTTACATGAAGCGAAACATCAGAAAATTGCATAGAGCTTGGCACACACATACATACATGCACAACTGAGTGTATATATAAACTTGTGAAATATGAATTCACTCTATGGCTTGTACCAGTGTCTATTTCCTCATTTCAGTATTGTACTATAGTTATTTAAGATGTTAGCACTGGAAAAGACTGAGTGAGAGCACACAGGACCTCCATGTACATTTATTTGCAACTTTTTATGTATTTATAATTATTTCAAAAATTTTTAAAAAAAGGATAAGTAACCATAGAGGCAAAGTAAATGATCAGTAATTTGGGCATATGTAGGTGAGCAGCAGCCAATTCTACTGCTGGTTGCCGTATTGCAAGATGGTAGATTGAATAACACCTCTTTCTCTTCCTGGTCACATGAGTGTCACCCTCATTGTCTGCTCTTGAGAAATTCCTTCCCTTCACCCTCAATTACTTTCAAGTTTGCTATATTGGGATGATTTTTGATACGGTAACCTAGGTATGTTCATTCTAAGTAACATTCTCTCTACTTTCTAGACCTTTTCTTCTTCCTGCTAACTAGGGCACTGCAATATTGAGGTGTTACACCAAAAGTTCATCTCTGAACTAAGAACAACAACAAATAAATTGCTTTAATAAGAGAAATTCCAAACACAATAGCTTAAATAAAATTTTTTTTTTTTCTGTTGTGATAGTTTGGCAGGCCAGGTCAGGAGGAGCAGCTCAGCTAAATGAAGAACCAGGGACCCAATTTCCTTCAGTCTTGTTCCTCCACCTGTTCCTTGAGTGCGGTTCTTTGTATGATTGTAGCTGAATTACTGCTCTGTGTTCCAGTCCCCAGAAATAAAGGGAAGGATTTTCCTTCTAAGTAAGTAATACATGGGTGGCATACATCACTTCCATGCATATAATGGAATATTATTCAGCCTTTAAAAAGAAGGACCCGGAAGTTCAAGGCTGCAGTGAGCTGTGATTGTGTCACTGAACTCCAGCCTGGGTGACAAAGCCAGACACTATCTCAAAAAAAAAGGAAGAAGAGGGAAATCATGCCATCTGCAACAACATGGATGAACCTGGAAGAAATTATGCTTGTATGTGGATTCGAAAAAAGTTAAATTTCTAGAAACTGGAGAGTTGAATGGTGGTTTCCAGAACCTGGGAGATGCTGTAGGGGAGGGGATGCTGGGTGGATGTATGGAAATAATGGGGAAGTAAAGTCTGAAACCTGACATACAGCACTGTGACTATAGTTAACAATATTGTGTTGTATCACTTGTAATTTGCTAACAGCAAAGATCTTAAGTGTTTGAACTATACAAACACACCCGCAAAGACAGTAACTATGTGAAGTGGTGGATATATTAATCACCTTGAGTGTGGTGATTATTTCACAATTATACATACATCAAATCAAGTCGTATACTTTAAATATATACCTTAACTGTCAATTATACTGCAATAAAGCTGGAAAAAAATTATATTTTAGCAGAAAAACTAGATCCTAGGTGTCTACATTCTGTGTGTTTGGTAACTTATTATAAGAACTTCTGAAGGCCATTGAAAAGGGGATGGGATTACTTACTTAGAAGGAAATCCATTCAGGGTAAGTGAGACTGCCTCTGAGCATTTCGGAGAGGAGGCAGGCCAAGAAGTAGACAAAAGAGCATTGAGGAGGGTGGAAGAAGCCCCGCTCTTGGCCCCACCCCCGCTTTTCGTAGGAGTAAAGACGCGGGGCTAAAGGCTCCAAGGAAAGGCAGGGAACAGGTAGTGTGGCAAGGGGAACTGTAGGCAGTGAAAGCAGGGAGAGAAGAAGCATCTCTGTATCTCCACACTGGGCCTTTCCTCCACAGCATTCACATGAAGGAATGCAAAACATTGAAGCATCTGTAAGTTTGATACCCTCACAATATGGCTAAATGCCAATTCTTGGCACAGTTGGGCAATAACCTAGGAATTAAAAGGAGAGATAATAAAAGGGCAATACCCACTCAGTTGGGGTTAGTGAGTGCTATATTTCTCCAGTCTGCAATTGAGACACCTCACTACCTAGACAAGAAAAAGACACTGCAGAGATTTATTCCTATTCTCCACCCACTTCCTTTCTACATTGGGACTCGCCCCCTCCTATATTTCATTTCTGTTTTAACTCAATAGATACGCATCAGTTTTTAAACTTTTTTACTTTTCACTGAGTTCACACATATGGAAAATATTTCAAGGTAAAAGATATGTTTTAAGTTAATTTTTAAAAATACCTATTATTATAATAGAAGCCAATTTCTTGTCTTTGCATAAGTTATTGTCCCAGACAGTAGAGCTTGAGGGAGCTCAGAAAGATTTTTTAATAAGTAGCAAAAGTAGAAAGAAAATAAAATGGCCAGAAACCCTGGTATGTTTGCTGTAAGCCTACCTTGCAGCTTGCGCTTGCTAGCTACATTGCAAGCTCACCTAGACCACATTATGATCACAATGTCACCATTGATGCTAACGTTCAATTCTTCTTTACAAACTTTACATGATCAAAACCACATGGGCAAAGAAGATGATGGAAGAAATTAAGTTAAAAAATTAGAAGCCACTTTTTTAAGTCACATGAAAGATAGCAGATTGGCAGAAAGCATTTGATGTTTCAGCCCCTGTAGACCTTTGTTTGAATCAATGCCAAAATAAAGACAGCACTTAGAGGATTTCAAGTTTTGTCAACTCTCTAGGAAACATAGCAAACTGCTTACTCTGCACGTAAGTTAGGAATGGAAATAAAATTATTTAAAAAGTGTTAAGGGAAACCGTTGTATTCTGGGGTAGAATACACAATTTCAAGTTTAATTGGGAGGTCAAGGAGAAGGAAAGAAACAAACTCAAAATATACACGTGCAGAGTGCGTTGGTTATCTTACAAATACCATCAATTCATCTCAGTCTTTTATTATAAAACATGTTGACTAAATTAATGAGAAAGATTGAGCAGTTTCTTCAAACTTCCGTGAAAGACCAAAGCATGAAAAACATACAAAGCTGAAATTCTTGTGATGTGTTGTAAAGATTTTTTCATTACTCACAAAGTAGTATGTGTAACAAGATGTCAGAGGAACCAGTTGAAGTAAATAGAAATTCAATTAAGGAAGAAAAGAATGAAAGGTTTTTAGAGAAGCAGAAAAACAAGACTGCACATAGAAGTGCGCAGTGAAGCCTCCCTTCTCATTAAGGCAATTGGTTTACTGTCCCTGTTGTGCTTTATACTCATGCCCTCCTCAGAATACCTTGTTCACATCGTGAGTCACTGTGCACTAGCTCTGTCCATTTCTGCTTTAATCCTGTGGGTTCTTTCATTTTAAAATGACTAGTGATGCCTGGCATATTCTATCCTGACTTGTTCAAGATATCCCTGAAGAGCTCCCCTCACTAGCCACATAGCAGCATAAACTAGGGTTGTATATTCACTTATTGCTAAGATTTTAGAGGAATTGTAATGAATTCAAGGGTAAGGCATTGCCCAATTAATTAAAGGTAATGAAAGTGAATGCAAAACACGAGAGTCGATCATCCTCATTTTACTCTTCCCCCTGGTTTCTCCTTTGAGTAGGAAAATTGGTCAGGGTACCATGACTACATCGATGCTGTTTTGTGAGTGGGAATCAGAGTATTTCTCCTCTCCTCTCACCATAGTTCCTTTCTTTATACATTAGTTTGAAGGCAGCATATTCCTGTAATAATCTGTTCCAGAAACAAGAATTAGGTATTAGGAGGAAAAAAGTGACTGCAACAGAATAGGAGGCATCACTCTGAAAAGAAAAGATTTGTTGTTTGGAGTAAGATAGAAAAAATGACATCAACAATGCATTCCAAATATTGTAATTTCCCAAACACTTATGTCAGATATCATTTTACACAAGTGGTTTCATATTGCTTAAAAGCTTGGTAGACAGTGAAATATGAAAACATATTCATATTCAAGTAGAGAAAGAGTAGTGTTTATGGTAACCCACACACATTCTGATTATTGGCAAACATTCATATAGATAAATCTCCCTTTTGCTTGATAATGAGTGACCATATAAAAAAATCAAAGCAAAATACAAAAGGATAAGAATCTACAGGAACAAACTGTCCAATTAAAGAATCAATGGAAGAATTTGACCTGCAGCGACAAATTGTTCAATTGATCCAATATATGTAACCGTAATCTGAAGCCTAAGAAACAGTACAGTAGAATAAATAAAAATGCTGGATTTCAGAGGAAGGACACATTTTTGAAAGTGTTCTCTTCCATGAAACCAAAGACGATTTAAAGAACCAATTTGGCATCTTCAATAAGATGCACAGAATAGGGATTGGGCTGAACCTATGGGCATGGTGGGCTCCAAAATCCAAGGCAGGTAGTTGTGGTTGAGACCTATGCTCCTGTAGTTAGTGTTCCCTTGCAAGTATTTCATGCAAGACGGAGACCAGAAACAAAACCATGGCCTGAAGTCAGGTTGTAGAGAGGCCTAAGTTACCTCTGAGAGGAAGCTGAGGCTGAAAGAAATGGAACTATGTTGTTGGCTAGACAGAGTTTATAGAGTCCTCTGGGCTCAGGGAAGTGAAAGGAAAAAGGAGTCTTCTACAGTGAATTGATCTGACTTATTTTTATCACCAATGTCACTACAGAGCTGAAGCCAAAACAAGAAGGCAGGGAGAGCCCAAAGGAAAAAACAAAAGAAGAAACCCTGAAACTTCTGTCTCAAAATGACCCTGAGAGCCAAAGAACATCTATCGCTAAGAATGGCAGCCAACAAAATGAAAACTCAAAATATGAATTCACTCCAGATAAAAGTGACTTTTTTGGAAGAGTTTGACGTAGACTTTGAAATAAGCACATTCAGGATAATCAATGAACAAAAAGTGAGCATTATAAGAGAACAAGAAAAAATAAAGAAAAAAAGACATGAAATAACTACATATCAACATAGAAAGAATCAATTTTAAATTGTCAATAAAATTAAACAGCCTATTGAATGATTGATTAAAAATGAAGAATAAATTTAGTGTTTCCAAGATGTACTAAGAAAAATTCTAGGAAAAGAGAATGGAGAGATTAGCCAGGAGGCTAACTTTGAAAATTATAAAAGGAGTATTTTGGGTGTTTTTGAAATGAGCAAACATTAGAATCTTCAGGTGGAATTCCCACTATAAATACTGATCAGAGAGAAAAATATATTACTATGCTCATTAATAAGAAAATTTAAAATCACAGAAATCTTCATGGCAGAGCAGGCATAGTAGGCATATGCAAGTCTTAGGCAAGTGTTCATTGCATAGCAAGCAGTGCACGTCTTAGCAATGCAAGTCCTCCCGAATATATCTTAGATATAATTATATAATTCCAACCCAAATCCCAGCAGACTGTTTATCTTGGAACTTAATAAGATAATCTTACCTTCTTTATGTTGGGAAAAATGTTTCCCAAGGACTCCTTCCCTGTATGGTTCCATGTTTGAGTTGTCCAAAAGAGGATTGCATGCAAAATTTGAAAGATGGGAGCAAACAAGCAGCCATTACTTTCTGAAGGTGACCATAATGAAATGCACGGACAGACAGACACAAAAGTGCTTGTCTTTATTCTCCTATGCTTTGTGTCCAGCTCTTTTTTTTTTTTTTTCCTGGCTGATAGCCCTGGTGACCATGTGTGACTCCAGGTTACCAAACTCTTAACATGGACTCAAAGAGGTAACAGCTTCTCCATCACCTTCCTCTTCATATTCCAACTTTGGAGGTGAGATGTGTTTGGCCTCTAGGCCGATGAACTGGAAATTTCTCTTATTCTTTAGCTTCACCTACTTCAGTTATTTATTGCTGCTTATCTAGCTATTACCCTTACTCTTTCCAACATTATTTTGCTTGCAATTGTGTGGGTAAGGAACTCAGAAAGGGCTAGGCTTGACAATTCTCCTCTCACTCAAATGGTGGTTACTAGAGTGTTCACTTGCAAATTGTTGCCACTCACTCACATATCTGGTGCCTTGGGCTCCTTCTCTCTTTATCCATGTAGCATCTCATCTTCTGAGGACTCTTCATATAGCATGGGCTTTTCACCTGATAGTCATTCTTTACATAGTAGCTGAATTCTAAGGAGCAGGAAGCAGAAGCAACCAAGCTCTCCTGGCTCCTACTACATTTTCTCTCACAGGCATTTCCCCTCTACTGTTTTGCATGTTTAATTTTGTCTTAGTATCTGTTTCAAAAAGGTTCAGGAATAGTATAGACTTCATGCCAATAAATTTGACAGCTTAGATAAAACAGACATATTCCTTGAAATACACAAAAAGGGAAAGCATGTCTAAAACACAGATGTGATAGTTAATATTGAGTGTCAACTTGAGTGGATTGAAGGATGCAAAGTATTGTCCCTGGGTGTGACTATGAGGGTGTTGCCAAAGGAGATTAACATTTGAGTCAGTGGACTGGGAAAGGCAGACCCGTCCTCAATCTGGGTGGGCACAATCTAATCAGCTGCCAGCATGGCCAGAATAAAAGCAGGCAGAAGAACACTAAAAAACTAGACTGGCTTAGCCTCCCAGACTACATCTTTCTCCTCTGCTGGATGACTCCTGCCCTCGAACATCAGACTCCAAGTTCTTCATCTTTGGGACTTGGACTGGCTTCTCTGCTCCTCAGCTTGCAGACGGCCAATGTGGGACCTCACCTTGTGATCCTGTGAGTCAATGCTCCTTAATAAACTCCCCTTTGTGTATACATCTATCCTGTTAGTTCTGTCCCTCTAGAGAACTCTGACGAATACAATAGATAACTTGAATGGCCCTAAATAAATAAAAAAACTTACATTCATACTTTAAAGCTATCAAAGAAAAGGACAGACACAGGTAGATTCACAGGTGAACTCTGCCAAACATTTAAATTATGAATAATCGTTATTCTGCACATAAGGGGGGAATTCCCAACTCATTTTATAAGGCCATCATCATCTTGTTATCAAAACCAGACAACTCCACTACAAGTAGAGAAACCAGACTAATTGCCAATTAATATATACATAGAAAGTCTAAACAAAATTTTAGCAAACAGAATCCAGAAATATACAAAAAAGATAATATTTATGATTGTTAATTTTATGTGCCAACTTGACACATAAAATTACAGAGTTCCCAGATATTTGTAAAACATTATTCTGGGTGGTGTGTCTGTGTGTTTTGGATGAGATTACCATTTACACTGATAAACTTAATAAAGAAGATTGCTCTTGCTCATCTGAGTGGGCCACATACAATCAGTTGAAAGCCTGCATAGAACAAAAAGGCTGACCCTCCTCCAAGTAAGGATAATCCCTGCTGCCAGACTGCCTTTCAACTGGAGTATCAGTGTTTTCTTGCCTTCAGCCTTGAACTAAATCATCGGCCATTCCTAAATCTCTGTACTTCATCAGGTACTACTGTATAGATAACTCAAGTAATTTTTGTATTGTAATTCCAATAATTAGTTAGGCCTGACATGTAGCTCAGATAATCACCATAAGTTTTCTCTCTTCTGAAAACATTTGAGGCATACAAGATATCAGTGAAAATTCATCACTTTTGCAGTGAACAACTACCCAATTTGTATTATGTTTCTAGTTACACTATGTACTACTCAACAATAGAGCTGATCTTTGAATATCAGAAATATACAGTGCTTTCCTTGTAGTTTTGTTATTCCATGGAACTGTAATATTCCCTGTCAAGTGTATTTTTCATCCCTGGACAGTAACTATGTCTTTAATTTCTCTCATTGGATGTAAAAGTTTATATGTGCATGATAATGTGATATTGGCAAAAGGATTTTTTTACTAAGATAATTTGAAATAACTATTATATATACGCCATATAATGCTTCCACGAAGATAATTTGAATTAACTATTATATATATGCCATATAATGCTTCCACTGTTTTTATTAACAACTTATTTAAATACAGAAATTTCATGATATTACAAGGTTTCTGCACAAGAAATCACATATATCCGAAACTTGTTCAGCTGTCTACAGCAAAGATTCATTTTTCTCTTATCGTTTTGATATCCAAAATGTTACCCGGCATGTATATCAATAGCTCTGTTACTATCATATGTTGTTCTTGTTTGAACACAGGCACTTTAAACTGTTCAAATTTCAGTAAAATGGTGCCTGTCATCTATTTTTATATTTTAAGAAAACATAAATGTATTGGAACCCTTTGTTGCTGTGAAGTTGTTCCCCTACTACACGTGAAATTGAGTGTAAATATTGTGAACTATTCAATTTAATATGGAATATTTATGAAACATACAAAATTCATATTTATGATGAGCATATTCATTCAGATCAAAGAGAAACTTTACAGGAATTGATAACTGAGTGCAATGATCACATTTGTCAGGGTCTAAATGACCAGTAGTAAGCTTGCTATTTGTGTTTGAAGTTCAACTCCCAATCTAATATCTCAGAAAACTGAAATTTCTTTTGGAAACTATTTCACATTTTAACTCAATTTCTCCATACAACGTAGTTAGCCTCAAGCCTATATCATGGTGGGGCAAATTGATCCCATAGAAACGACTCCATTCTGACAAAAACAAGAAGACCAAACCACTGCTTTCTAGGAATAGGCTCAGATTTTTTTAAATCAATGCTTAAAAAAGTATCAAGACCTTAAACCAGTACCGCGCTGGGCTGGTTCCTATTGGGTTGCAAAAGTGATTGTGCAAATCTTTTCCCAACTTTATATTCAGGGACACTATGCCTGATATTGGTTGTAGTAGAAGTATTACCACTGTAGAGTTTGGCAACCGTTACAAATCATGGCTTTTAAAAAGATAAGTGTCCCACAACCCTAATCCAAGCTTCTTAGACTAGTTTTCAAAATTGAACCATTCATGGTAAATACAGAGAATGTATAAGTGATTGATTATATAAAGCAAGTACAATCACCTTTATAAGAAAGAAATGACGTATCACAAATAACTAGCTCTTTTAGGATTGTGTCACACACCTATCCATGTGGGAATCTGAAGAGTTGATTTTATATATAGACTTGTCAACTTTGGAATAATTAGATGCCCTATATGGCATGGTGTAGTTCATTGATTTTTCCAGAACAATGAGGTAGGTAATAAATGTGTTTAAAATTTTAAAAACTAAAGAAAGGAACATTAGCAAAACAAAAACAAAAACAAAACCACACCCTCCTTCCCTCCTTTCTAATGTGCAGGGTATTTATGGAGGAAAGTGTGGTAATTTAATTAGAATTTACTTATTTTATAAAAATGTTCAATTCTAGAAGAAACTTTGCTTTCAACTGTGTGTAGTATGCATGAGCCATTTTCTTTTGCATTTTCAAAAGGCAAAACAGCCAGTTTAATGTTCTCCTACAAGATAAAAATCATTTGAACAACATATATCTAATCATTGTCTGACTACTCATCAACTGCAATCACGTCCTGACAACCTTACTTTATTTCTCATCTGCTTTTAACACCACTTCCTTCACTGCTAGTCCAAGGATTGGCAAACATTTTTTTGTAAAGAATCGGATAGTATGTTAAGCTGTGTAAGCCAAGTACAGACTTTGTGACATGCATATTCTATTCTATTTCTCTTTTCTTGTCTTCTTAAAAGGAAAATTGTTTAAAATCCTTTAAAAATGTAATAACTGGCAGTATTTAACCTGTAAGGAAAGCATACTTTGGTTATCTCTATCTAATCTAGCATTTTCTATTGTGGCATGCGTATTCTATTCTATTTCTCTTTTCTCGTCTTCTTAAATGGAAAATTGTTTAATATCCTTTAAAAATGTAATAACTGGCAGTATTTAACCTGTAAGGAAAGCATACTTTGGTTATCTCTGTCTAATCTACTCTCTTGTGCCCACTTTTACTTACTCACGTCTTTTCCCAACAGCATTCTGTCACACCTCCTAATAGTTTTGCTCATCATTCCTGCCTTTTGTCCGAGATACTCATATTCTCCCCTATTATAAGCACTGCACATTCTCAGATTTTTTATTTTGTGGTCAAAACACATATAACTTTCCACTTTGGCTATCAGCCTTTCTTTCATTGTTTCTTTTTCATCCTCTGCCAACCTCTCTTTTAAATATTAGAAAGTATCCTAGTTTCTATTTTGTGGTGACCTATTCTGTTATTCTTGCGTGTAAAGTGAATTATTTACCTCTCTCTCTCTTTGATTTTATTCGTTACCTTTCTTGGTTTGCTCTTCATTATTTATCTCTCTTCTTGTAGAAGTCTATCTTGTTTCCTCTTCTGATAATTTTCCTCTCCTATGCTTATTTTTGTTTACCCTTTCACATCCCATACAATGTTTCTACTAACAGCTACACAACAATTCCTTCAAAGAAGAGCTCTCAATAAAAATGTCTTTATTTATTATCATTGCTTTATACATAACTTCTGTCTTTTACGCTTTTCCATTTGTAGAAAGAAAACACACAATCCCATGTAAATGCTTCTCACTTTTCTTTAAATAGCATTAAGATTTTTTCTTATGAGCATCCCTGAAAAACCGCATAAATGCTTAGCAAATTATGTGAAAAAAAAAAAAGATAGGGTTAGAAATCTGCTGTTTAAGCCTCCCTCAGATTTTTCTTTTAGAGATATTTTCCTGGAAGGCCTTGGACATTTATTTTAAATGGGGGATTGTTACAAAAAGAAATAAAGCCCATTTAACCAAAACTAGAGAATAAAAACTATCCCCCTGCATAACCTTAAAAGAGCACAAAGAAAAGCTTTGGTTTTGAAAATGTGAATAATTAGTATACTTTAAAATTTTTCACATTATTCTGTATACATTCATACAGATTCAAATAGTATTATAAAATATTCTCACAATTTTTCAAAAATATAAAATGTCTTATAAAAAAGTGAGAAAGTTTTTATTTTCAACTTATTTTTATATACACCTTTAAGATATTTTCTTTAGCAAATGTTTCTCTCTAATTTGAATGGATGTTTACTGAATAAATCAAATTGGTTTTGCTTCATTGACATTACTATAAGCGAATTCCAGTAAATTTAAGACCACATTTTATGAAATGCATTCAAATAGAAAAGTCTATTATGTTATCAGAGTGCCCTTTGAACTTATTTTAAAGTTTGTGAAAAGTAACGATTACCTTTTTTTAAAAAAAATCCCAAGTCTTTGAGGAAGCACTTGATGCGACACATTTTAAGAAGTAATGAGAACAAAAAAAGTGAAGAATGGCCTGCTTTTCAAAACAGCAATTTATTGGCCTAGATAAGAAATGGATTTTAAACTTGATAAGATTTTTAAACTTAGATGATTAACATATAATCATCTTCTAATAGACTTCTATTACTCCATCTGAGTGTTTAATGTGAAATCTTTGTTAAACACATTTACGTGATAAATCTCCAAGTGCCACTTATCTTCTAAAATAAGTTGTGGTACAGGAAGTTCACATTCTCTTTCCTCTAGTTACTGAATAAAAGCACATATTTCAAATTTTCTCAGCTAGTTTTATGCATGAGAACTTTTCTGTATATTATTAAAGCCATATGTTACAAAATGGCTATTTCAAAGTAGATTAATAGATTATGTAATGCATAGGTCTAAATCATATTGATTTTAATTATTTTAACATTTCCCATTTTAATGTTTTCTATTTAAACTTAGATATTGACTAATATACATTCACTTACTTTCTCTTATACTTAAGATGCTTTAAATAAGAAATATGGAATAATTTTTCAAAATAATTGAATTTGTTTCATTTTTTTCCTTTTAAGCAATGTTATCCAAAGTAATTTCCTAAGCCCCTCTGAATAAAGTTGTCTACTTAGGCTTATTTTGGAATTATAGAAAATTGCAGATAGAAGCAAATTAAAAAAAGAAGATTAAAAGATTATACTGGGGAGGGATCTGAAAAGAGAGGGAGATGAAGATACGGTAATGATAGTAATACTGTATTATACTAACATTAGGATGGAAGGACCGGGGTCCCCAAGCTTACATAGCCTCTACTTTGGCACAGGACATTGTGTTCAGACCTCAACAGAAAGATACAAAACTATAGACGATTATAATGTGTCATTAAATGAGATATGCACCGAGTTGTTTACAATAATGATATGTCTGAGATACCAATGCACTTCTAAGTATTTTTCCCCCACAAGTTTTACTAAAACACAGCTTTGTTATTACCTAAGATGGATAATTTCTCTGTAAGAAGAATGGACCTGCTTATTAGTAACATCTCCAAGATAAACTGCATCTAATGCTGCCTTACCACATACACTGTTTTTGTTCAGCATAATCGTAAATATGAGCAATGGAACATAATATTAAATATTTCATGCCCAGCACTTAAAGAAGAGTGCCATCATTTTTTAAATGTAGAAAATCAAATAGAGACAAATGCTGCAATTATTGTATCCTACAAATAAGTTAAAGAACTGACATTAATGTTATGGTAGTCTGTGTCTATACTCCCCAATGCATTGTTACAGGTAGGTAGATAGGCATGAGCAGGGGGAGGAGAAGGCTCTTCTCCCCTACCCACTAGGAATGTCAGGTGATGGTTTGACAATTATCACACTGTCTCTCCAAAAATAATAATTCAGCAGCCGGCACAAAGGCTCCAGGGAAAGACAGTCTCCTGATAATCCACAGCTATAAACATAAAAGTCTTAATTGAACAGAGATGCCAGAGAGAAGCAACTTCCTGGTCATGTGCATTAGGAGACAAAATGGCGGCCAGGAACGGTGGCTCACATCTGTTATCCCAGCACTCTGGGAGGCGGAGGTGGGTGAATTACTTGAGGTCAGAAGTTCCAGACCAGTCTGGCCAACATGGTGAAACCCTGTCTCTACTGAAAACACCAAATAAATAAATAAATAAAATAGCCAAGCGTGGCACACACATGTAATCCCAGTTACTTGGGAGGCTCTCACTTGCATGCTGTCACTTCCCAATGGTAAGAAGGGCAGTGCACATGTGGGCAGCCCAGCCTAAGGGAAGAATCATGGGAAACAGGAGAGCCTATAAAGTCCTAGAATCACAGTTAAACGAGGCACTTGACCTTCAGACACTTAACCTTCACATGCCTGCTTGGGTCTTTTCCAAGCATATCTTCCTTTCTTTCCTGTTCTAAAGCCTTTTTAAATAAACTTCCACTCCTGCTCTGAAACTCACCTGGGTCTCTTCTTCTGCCTTATACTCCTCAGTCGAATTCTTTCTTCTGAAGAGGCAGGAATTGAGGTAGCTGCAGATCTTTCCTCTGGTAATTCCAGTATGGTGAAGACAGTATGGGTGAAAAATAAATTTGGAAGTTAGCACCCATGTGTAAGATTTTCAATAACTCTAAGTGCTGATTATATGTATTTAGCAAAGTAAACCTTTTATTTTTGTTTTAACTTTTTTGTTGTTATCTAGACTGAAAACAATGCTCTTCTCAGGACACATTATTAAGACTTCTAAGACGCTTCTCTATTTATAAGAAGAATACATAAATGTCTACTATGTGAGTCACTAATTAACGAGGAAAACAAAATTACAGCTCAATTGTTCAACCTATTTTCGATTTTTTAGTTTCCGCATATTTCTGTCTTTTCAACCATTGCCAGAGCTTCACAAGAGTAATTTGTGTGCATATCTGAATTTTGTAATCAACTTATTTTTTTAAATATGATTTTATAATGCTCTTTCCTATAACTCATCCACTATTGAGGTGTTAAATTTCCATTCCTAAGACTGACCGTTATGAAGTTTCCCATTCTGACTACAGCCGAGCATTTTTCCTTTCTTTCGTGACATCTCTCAATGAATATGCATCCCCAGTAGAATGTTTATTGAAAAGCTTTTGTCCAAATGCTATGCCTTTGCTCACGTCATTTCCCATGCCTGGAAATGCTTCCATAAGGGATTCTAGTCCAATCGTATCTATTATAAAGAGTTAGTTCAAGTCACATTTAACTCTGTCAAAGTCTTTCCATGTTGGCTCCTTGTCTATAATGTCTGAAATCTAGTTCATATCAAACGACCTATTAGATAGTTTAACCTACATTTTTTTTTGGAGTTATGTAACTATTGCTGTTAATTGTCTTTTTATGCATTTACACAAGGGATTGCAGATCCAAATGTCCATGGTGGTCAGGTTGGTAATTTAGTGACTAAATCAGCCAACTGTAATGCAGTACGCCTACACTGCAACAATGGGAGCAGCTGTTGCCACCTGCAGAATGTGCCAAGGAGCAGCCATTTCTCAGCTCCAGTCAATTATTGTTCTGTAGAAATGCAAGGCTCATTGTTGCCAGATGTTTGTATTATAAGTAAATAAACAAGAAAGTTGACTTTTTAAATGTAAAATCCCCTGAATTTTAGAAGTTGTTTCAGTTTTTAAAAACATTATAAAACTCATCCAGCCATAGGCTGCATGTATACAAACTCTTATTTATATTCCTAATCCATTCAACCACACATTTAACAAATATGTATTGAATACTTTCCATGTATCAGGCACTGTGCAGATCACGAAGAATAGTGGTGAATAAGATAAAGCCCCTCTTCTAAAAAGTGTTTACAGTCAAATGTGAACATATGCTACAACATTTTTCAGTCAGACACATCCTGATACATATTAAGTATTTTGATTTGATTTAGCAATAGAACAATGGCTAATATTAGAAATCTAACATGCTACAATAAAATCAGAACAAAATAGCAGAAGAAAAATCCCATAGGAAACAATGAAGATAAATAAAATAATAAACAGCTGTCTTTTCTCTTCATACACGTACATACATAGGCACATGTGGATATGAATAAAATAGACCAGACAATGCTATATTCTAACACCACTAAATCTTCTGTCATGCTCAACTACAACTGCAAAATATATTGAGATGTGAATATTGTGCTCCAAAGCAATATTCTGCAGGAATATTACTGTATTCTCACCGTTGAACAGATTTCAACAAAGAATATCTTTGTGACATTTATAAATAGTCTATGGTTTTTTTTTCAAAATCTCAGATAAGGTAGTGTTGAAACATTGAGTAGCTTTACTAATGAGATAGTTTTCAATACAAAATAAGTAATTTTAAAATGTTTTATTTAAAAAAAAAGAGGGAATCAGTCACCTACAGAGTATGAAAGTGACCATATTCCCCAGAGAGTTTAAATTTACCTTTCTGGACTGGTCTTTTCTGAAAATAAGGAACATATTTGTGAAGCATTAAAAAAATCTTTTGCTTCCATAAATGTATGCAATCCTTTAACATTGTTTTATTCTGTTTTTTTTAATTACTCATTTTCATTTCACAATGCCCTACAGGTCTATCAGGTGAAGTAGTTAACAAATAAACAAAAAATAATAATAATGGAAAGGAATGAGAATGGGGAAGAAAAAGACACATTTATTATATACTAAAAAAGTATTGGTTGCTCTTTTGCTCCTTCCCTTCCCTCACCTTCCATTCTTCCTCTTCATCTTCTTCTCCTTCCTCCTCTTTTATTTCAAATGATCCTTCATAAGCCAAAAAATGGGTTATATAGAAAATTATCTTAATTTATCTCTCACATTTAAGTGCTGGAAAATGGTTTGTAAGTTTGATTGATGCAGAATATTTAAGAAAGTAACCAACAACTAAGTCTGTTTATTGAAAACAATTTTGTTTCACAGATCATTATAAAATCAAACTTAAAATGCAACAAAATATAAAGACTGTATTTATTACACAACAAAGGGGTGAAAAATGCTTTCATCTTCTTTAGAATAGTTGCGTGCAGTTGGATTACAGTTAGAAGGTCAGCATCTCCTCCCCAATGGCCCCAAATCAGTTCTGATATGAAGAGCTGGAAACAGACAAGATTAAACTCTGATTACTTCTTTGAGGATGAGATGTTTTTAAATCAGAGTTGGCAAACCCTGCCACGAGTGCATCTGTCAGGGATCAAACTCCGTTGGCATTAAGGTTCATTCTAAAACCCAAAATGTACTTCATTAAGTATTTCTCTTTAAAGCAATCATACTGACTCTATTCATAGCCAGAGCATAAGGTTTTGAAAGGTGTTAATGATCAGTTTTTTAAAAAGTTCTTTGATGTCTAAAAAATTCTTGAAATAAGATCATTTAAAATTAATTGGAAGTGAAATTTACTAAAGGCAAATGTTCACACAAATCAATTAGTTCAGATTTGATCCCTAAAGCCAAATCCACAATTTCTAAATGGAGTCTAAACTTCAAAAATTATTTCTCCTTCCCCTCTGTAGAATAATTTGAGACAACAATATAAAAATAAGATGATGTAATTAGACTTCAAATCCCAAATTCACATTGTAATATTCATGAGGTGTTCCTAGTTTCTCAATTCTTCTTGCATTAAATTATAAATGCTCATTAACCAAGGGAATGAGATGCAAGGTTTTCAGCCTTAAAGTGAAAAAGGTCATCTAAACCACTAACAGCTGAAAACAGAGACTAAGAAGAAAGATGTATTTAGGGGTTGAATAATACGTATTTACAGAGGCCTACAGTGTACTCTGCAGTTGAGATTGCTGGAATCTATTGAAAGATTCAGGGATTGAGCTTATTTACCTATGCAGAAAGGATACTGAAAAAAGGAATAATAAGAAATATGGTCGGACACGGTGGCTCACACCTGTAATCCCAGCACTTTGGGAGTCCGAGGCAGGTGGATCATCTCAAGTCAAGAGTTCGAGACCAGCCTGTCCAACATGGTGAAACCTCATCTCTACTAAAAATACAAAAAAAAAAATAGCCAGGAGTGGTGGCAGGCACCTGTAATCCCAGCTACTCGGGAAGCTGAGGCCGGAGAATCGCTTGAACCAGGGAGGCAGAGGTTGCAGTGAGCCAAGATCACACCACTGCACTCCAGCCTGGGCGACAAGAGTGAAACTCTGTCTAAATTAAAAATAAAAATAAGAAATATGGAGAAAAATCACAATAATGAGTTGTAGAAGTGTTAAGCATAATAATAGATGTTCTATATATAGCATAACATGTATTGTTCTTAAGCACTTACTCTATGCTAGACCCTCTTCTAAGAGCTAATGCATATTGATGCATTTACTCTGACAACAGCCCTATGTAAGGGGAAGAGACGATCAGAGAGGTGAAGTACTTGCCCACAGTGACTGTCTTAGTCTATTGAAGGTGCTATAACACTTTGAGGGGGGTGTTTATAACATAAACCTAGAGGGGGTGGTTTATAAACAACAGAAATTAATTTCTCACAGTTCTGAAGACTGAGAAGCTCAGCATCAAGGCACCAGCAGATGTGGTGTCTGGTGAAAACTTGCTTCCTGCCTCATAGATGGTGCCTTCTGACTGTGTCATCACACGGTAGAAGGGGCAAATGAACTCCAGTGAGCCTCTTTTATAAGGTCACTAATCCCATTTATGAACACTCTAATGTCATGACCTTATCACCTCCCAAAAGTCCCACCTCCTAATATTCTCACCTTGAGGGTTAAAATTTTAACATGAATTTGGGGTTGGGTGGGTCACAAACATTCAGACTATAGCTGTCAGTCATCAAAAATGTCTAGCCCTGGATTGAATTCTTAATCACCAACCACTATTGTATTTTATGGAGATGCTTCTCTATAAGATGGCTAGCTAAACCCCATAGTAACATGAAGACAGTGGGTAGCTACAGGTTACTTCTGCCAATATCACTGAGGCATCTTGTGCTTAGAAAATTTTGTGACTTGTATGGTACATATGTATTACAGTTTTATATCTAGGTTACAGAAGACGGATTTTACACCTTCTGGCCTTCTTTTTCATCTTTAAGCCTATCGTGTCTGACTCCCATTTTGTTGTGTTTCCACTCCTAGAGTTCCATGTTTTCCACATGTTGGAAAGACCTTTTCATTGTAAGATTCTCTATCAGAGCTCCTTGGGCAGAGAGGGTGACCTGTCACTTTAGAATGCTCTAAACCAGAGTATTCAGGGCCTTGGGAAATGAACTTTATTTTCCATAACAGTTATCAAAAAAAGCTTAGTGGTTCAAGCCACTTAAAAGAAATGTGGTCCCTGCCCACATGGTGTGGAGATAATTGCCTCATCTCTGCCGTGGTGTCTGCTGACCAAAGCTCTCCTTTGTAAATCTCTGCATGAGTCCCGCAGTGCAGCCACAAGCATGGCACATGTTTTTTATCCATAAATAAGAGGAATCCCCAGGGCTCTGTATGGCTTGCAATAAACTCAAAATTAACTATGATTTTAGTTCTTAATATTAAAAAGGAAAGAATGAGTGGAGGTGGGAGTGACAATTCAGTAGGACACAAATGACAAGAGGGAGATTCTTTTATAAACTGGGGTTTCCTACAAACTAAATTTCTTTCTGTTCAGAAAGTCCAATAAAATATGAACATTATTGGGAATAAAATATCAGCATAAGGCCGGGCGCAGTGGCTCAGGCCTGTAATCCCAGCACTTTGGGAGGCCGAGACGGGTGGATCACAAGGTCAGGAGATAGAGACCATCCTGGCCAACGTGGTGAAACCCTGTCCCTACTAAAATACAAAAAATTAGCTGGTTGTGGTGGTGCTTGCCTGTAGTCCCAGGTACTTGGGAGGCTGAGGCAGGGGAATTGCTTGAACCCGGGAGGCGGAGGTTGCAGTGAGCCGAGATCGCGCTACTATAATCCAGCCTGGGGACAGAGTGAGACTGCGTCTCAAAAAAAAAAAAAAAAAAGAAAAAGAAAAAAGCCAGCATAAGAAATACAAATGATTTCTTTCTATCTAGCTTGAGCTATCAAACAGGACTTCAGTTTTCTCTTCAGTGGGAGGGTTGATATAAGCGGAAGCCAGTTTGAACCCTACCTATGCCAATGTCCTTATTGTGGACTTTGGAAGAAAATAACTTAAAAGTGACATTACCGTTATGGAGTAGTAAAAAATATTTGAGGGCATGTTAATCATTACTAATATGTATCTCACAAAAATGTAGACTTAACTGAAAACTCATCAATGCAATTTTTTTAAAAAAACATAAAATCTTAGGTATTCAAGTTCCATTTTTTCTGTTTTAAACTAATGTTTGAAAGCATCAACTACTGTTTCTTAATATGTTATATACTCTTATGGAAAATTCAAACCCAGAACTTTAAAATGATGTCCTTGTTTATTGACAACTGACTTCAGGAAAAAGAGAAGCACATCTCAAATGCAGACAACTTCAAGTTCTTCCATTTCTTCTTTACACATCTGAATTTTACTTTTCTTTTTATATATGAAAGCAACCCAAGATCTTTTCCAAGAATTTGTAGTCAGCAGGGATGAAGAGACTTCTGACACTCATGACTTGTGAGACCTCATGACGGTCAAATAAGGAAGACCTTGCTGTATTTTTTAAGGATGGAAACGGCCAAGAGGGAGAAGGGGAGCTTTGTACTGATAGTCAAAAACTTTGTTACAAATGAGAAGACTGACACGATGTTTGCCATAGGAGTCATAGTATTTGTTGGGGTGGCGGGGGGGGTGGAAAAAAGTAAAATATTATTAGTCTGCTGAGATTTTAACTGTTTCTCTGACTGGCATTCTGTATGATATGTAATCATGTCTATAATGAGGACTCCTTTCTTTATCTACATGAGCAATTCTCCTTCCCAGGTACTGATAATTTCAAAATGAAAGCCATGTACATACTCTGTTACATTAAAGGAGGAAGAAAACACAGAATGCAATAATATTCTGCCCTCAGATGCCCTCATGATCTCTCCATCCCTTCCTCTCCTTCATACAGTAACACGGAGGGAGTCAAAATGGTCTGGAAGATCTCTAACACATAGTGAGTGACTGTAAGTTATTTACACTAATTAGGCAAAAAAAAAAAAAAGTAGTCTGTATCAATGGCCATCGAATTAAACTTTGTGCATTCTCAAATTCCATTTCATGGTTTACATTGCTTAGGTAAATGTGGCCAACATTGGTGTTTTTGATTTTTCTTTTCAAATATGAGATGTAATTTCTATATGCATGCTCAGGCTATGTACTGTGTTTGCCTTTCTCAAAAAAAAAAAAAAAAAGAAAAAGAAAAAGCAGGCTTTCTTCTACCAATACCAAATCTACCTATTAAGACTGAAATACAGAAAGCAGGCTCATGGCTGGTAGAGATACTTTTTAACATTCCAAGTGAAGGACCATAAATTAAAACCCACTTTTTCTGTTGGGCTACAGTAGCCCAAGACTTCATGTATTTTCCCTATTACATAATATAAATGAGAGAATATGTGTTGCATTTTAAACTAGTATAGCTGTTTATTGAAGAGGTGGTCAGGAAGGGGTTTCTCACAGTTTCTCGTCAAGAAAAAGAATGTCATTGTTAGCTTTGCCAGAATTTGCTTCTATTAGTAAGAGTTGCCTTGGGTGGCAGAGGCGTGGGGGCAGGGATGGTATATTGGGATAACTTGTAAGTTTAGAGACCCTGTTGGATTTTGGTGACTTGAGAAAAATCGATCGTTGACTTGGATAAAGAACTGATAGAAGACAAGAAGGTAGCTTAAAGATTCTCCAGGAGAGTATGTTTTATTTGACCAACAATTATAAAAGTTGGACAAAACCCTTCTTCCTTTCCCCTTATCAGAGCAGTGGTGAGAACAACTTCATCAGGGAAGACAGAATGAATTAGCTTGTCCCAGCCTCCCACTTCTTTATCCCTAGAGGAGAGATTCCAGCTTCTTTGACTCTAGGCATCTTGCAGTTCTCTGCCCATAATCCCTTAAGGATGGGGCTTTCCTTAGCCTTTCTGTTTCTTACTCCATCTGAGATCAATATGTTAATTTAAAAAATACCCCAAAAATTAGGCCTTACGTATCTACTTGGAAAGATGTAAAAATTCAAAGCAAAGGATGTGTATCACTGATTGGCTTCTTTAATTGATAATACAATATGGTCTTTGAAACTTTCTCATCCCTTTATAAGTTTGACGTCTAAGTGGAGAACTCACAATTCTTACCTACTTCTTACAGAAGTACCTTAAAAATTAATAAAAGATTGTGTCTGTTCCAGGTACCTGACTAGAATAAACATAATAGTTCTATTTTTCCATGGAGTAAAGAAATTTTGGAACTTACCAAAAATACAAGCAATAGAACTTTCTTTATAATGTATTTTGCTATATATGGGATTTAGGTATAGTATAGTAATAATAGTAATAATTAACATGTAGTGCCTCTTGTATTGCAGGCATTATTTCTAATGCTTTGCATATACTAGATTAACTTATTTAATCTTGAATATAACTCTGTGAGGTTGATCTTTAACTTACAAATGAGGAAACTGAAGCTCAGATAGGCAATGTGCCCAAATCACACATTCATTAAATAATACATCCTGGTCATGGTGGCTCACTCCTATAATCCTAGCACTTTGAGAGGCTGAGGTGGGTGGATCACTTAAGCCCAGGAGTTGGAGACCAGCCTGGGCAACATGGCAAAACCCTGACTCTATGAAAAAATACAAAATATTAGACAGGTGTGGAAGCACATGCCTGTAGTTCCAGCTACTCGTGAGGCTGAGGAGGGAGGATTGTTTGAGCCCAGAAGATGAAGGTTGCAGTGAGCTGAGATCACACCACTACGTAGACTCCAGCCTGGGCAACAGAGTGAAAAACTGTCTCCAAAAAATAAAACAAAACAAAATAAAATAAAAATAATAATTCGGCCTTTATTTGAACCCAGGCAGTCTGACTCCTGAGTTTAAGCCCTTAATTATGACATTGCTACTACCTCTCTCTGTGCTTATATTATTGTCAGTACATGCCTTTTGACCCAAAAAGACCGCATAGCCTCCAATTTGAACATCATCATTCTAAAGGATTTCATCTGCATTCTACCTATTTCAGTACATAATCCACTGTATAAAAGCTAAGTATTGTTGGAGTCACTGTTAATAAGGTCTTATGTAAATATTTATATTTTCTCATATTGACAAATAATAACTTCTCAATTATAATAGATCTTGAGAAAGCAATCTCCATTATTATATTTTGGATTTCTACTTATTTACTCATGTTTTGATAAATTTTAAAAGTGGTGACTGCTATTCATAGTTCTTCTGGTTTTGAATCATGGCAAATATGTATACTTCTATAGTCAGAAGCTTGAGGACAGATTTAGTTCTCTAAATGACTGAGGTGACACATCCACTTTAGTGCAAAATTCAAGACTCATCTCTTCTTCATATTTGTGAGGTTCTTTCTCTAAATCTTAATAATGCATATACATTTCCGTTAGTGTTAATTCTTTTTTCTTCTCTCATGTAACTAAATTTTAGAGGAGTGTTCATTATCAAAATAACCTATTACAAAAATTCCTAGATTTTTATGAATTGAATCAGTCTTTCTTAGTGGATTTTTTTCATATAAGATTGATTTTTTATGTATGGATTATTTTATTTGTAATTATCTTGGTACATTGTAATTAATTTTTTGCTGCTGTTACTCTAAAGTTATTAGTATTTGATGTATCCGGTTGTCTTTTCCATCAGTATGATTAGACATAATAAGTATTCTGGCAGTTTGAATAATGACACCTTTATTGATCTTTGTGTATTTTAAAATTTTGCCTTCTTTAAAAGATGAAACTATTCTAGTTCACTTTTAATTAAATCCACATGTATGCTTAAAAATGCAAATTTTATAAAAATGTACATATTATCACAGGAAGACTAAAAGACAAATGTACTTAGAAAAGAAAAAATATCAATTCAAATTTAGAAGGACCTGGGTTCACATTAAAAATTAGAATGGAAAGGAAAGCAAAAACATAAGATTACCACGATTACTGACTTTACACCTCATTCAGGGGTTTCATATCCTTAAAAGAATTCACTTAAAAAATTGAACCAAAACCATCTGAAACTCCTCTCAGATCAAAAGCCCAGAAAATCAGACTTCAGTCCCTCAGTGGCAGCATTAAGAACTTAATCCAGTGAAAACTGTGGCAGATTAGTGAAATTAATGTAATTAAAATTGTAGTCAAGCACCATTTCTACTCATACCTGAGAGAAATCTAAATGAGAATTCCCTGACCTTTCCCAATATACCGAGAGAAAGGCTTGAATTTTTTGGGAAGACAATACAAACGGGTAAAAATCTGGAATACAAGAAAACTTGGAAAAGTGGACAGGCTGAAAAATATCACCCATAATCAAGAGTTAAGAGAGTTAATAGAAGGAAATACACATATAACTTGTGTATTAAGACCATCAGACAAATAATTTAAAATATTCATCACAAACATGCTAAGTTATTAATGGGAAAACATGCATATAACAAGAGAAGAGATGAATCTTTAGAAAAAAATAAAGCTCTAAAATTAGCCAAGCAAAAATTTGGAAATTTAAAAATATAGTAAATGAAATAAAAATATTCATTAAACATCTTAACAGAAACTTGAACATTGTTAAACAAAGGGTTGTACATTTGAAGGTGGATCAACAGAAATGCTATGAACAAAAGCACAGAGAAACAACAACGGAAAACTAAAAAAATGATCAGTGTATCAGTGACCTGTGGTACCATATCAAATGAGTAAACATATGTATAATTGGAGTCATAGAAAAAGAGATGAAAGGGCAGGAAAATATAAAGAAATTACAGTCAACATTTTTCTAAACTTGGTGAAAAATAATCAACCCATATGTGTAAGAAAGACATCAACCAGCAATCTGGATAACTACAAAGAAAAGTATAATGGGCAATATTGTAGTCCGACCTCTGAAGTTAAACAAAAAGAGGCTATCTATCATAAAAACAGCCTGAAAGGAGGAAAAAAGAAAATGAAAGTAAAGCAATTACAAGAGATATCATGAACATCTCACCAGAAATTATGGAAACTGAAAGATGATGGAATACAATATTTGTCAATAAAAAGAAAGAAAAAAGATTTTATCACAGAATTTCATCCTGTGTCCAGAGAAAGAGCTTCTCAAAATAACAGCATACCTGCATTACAGAAAGCACTAAATGAAGTTCTTCAAGGTAAGTGAGAAGTATACCTCAACTCTAATCTATAGGGAAAAATTAAGTTCACTGGAAATGTTCATTATGTGGGTAAGCAACTACTCCTTTTCTTAATTTATTTGAAAGACAGCTGACACTTAACATAACATAGTGTGGAGTCACTACATAGTAAAATATGTTAAAATTGAGTAATGGGAGAAAGAAATTACACTGTTGAAGTCCGAAGTGTTGAATTACACTGTGGAGTGGTACTATAATAATTTAAGGTCAAATAGGAGAAGGTAATGATGTGTATTTAAATCCCTAGAGCAATATTTTTAAAAATTGTAAATAAAAGCCTAGGGAATGAGGAACCAATAGAGTAAATAGAAAACAAATAGCAATCTGGCAAACTTAAACCAATGATATCAATAATTATGTTAGATGCAAAGGGCTGAGACACTCGAATTAAAAGGCGGGGACCATTGAACTGGATAAAAAAGCAAGGCCCAAGTTTGGGTTGTAGTCTGTGCTCTGGAATAAATAGTTCTGTGAGATTTCTTGACTCTGTTTCTTTATCTGTCATAAGGAGAAAAGCAAACCTGTCTCACTGCAAATAGGAGTATGGTTGGTACATAGCAGGTGTTCAATGAACTTGTTGAATTAATGAATGTTGAATGAACATAGGCATGCTGTTACTATTAAATATAAAATTAAATGCAAACATATATATATAACTCATTCAAAAATTAAGGTCAAATTATTGGTGAACTTTCTTTATTTTTTATTTTTTGCTTGCAATCAATGGACAACTTTTATTAACAAGAGATGTAGCCAGGGGGACTTTTAATACTGTCAGATAGAAAATAACCAAAAGAGAAAAGGGCTTTTCTGCAATGGCAGCAAGTTCTGATGCTAGACTTGGTGGAGAAGAGATTATTTTCCTAGCAAGAGCCAAGGAGGACAATAAACTCTCCTGCTGTGGCATTCATAGGCAAAGGCATATGTGGAGTTGGCCTCAATTCAGGGAAAGCAGTACTTCTAACAGTGCACATATTTGTGATGCAGGAGGAAATCTCAGTGTCCCCAGCAGAAGAAAAGTTAGCACAATGGACTTGACCTACAACTTTTAGTATTTATCATTGCAGATAACTGTCCTTATGCAGACATCATCACTTGCTGCTTGGAGAGGCAAACTGCATAGCAAGAAGACAAAGAGCTAATCTGAAATACTGAAAAATTCTGAATGGGATCTTTGCAGAGTAAGATACTTTTTTAGGAAGAACATTGTGCCTATAATTATTAGCTTAGGAAAATGTAAAAGAAATAGTTTTCAATTTTTCAATTACTGAATTATTGGCAGCTGATGACAATAATGTTGGCTAGCTTTCTGTTTGAAAACTTGGCCTCCACAGACTCTAAACTATGACGAATTATCTTTATAAACTGCTTTTATGAAATCTGGTTTCTGAAGTTGGATCAGTGAGCATAAAATGGATTTTTGGTATTTCACGTATTTTTACATTCTTTGTAGTCTTAGTGCTATTTATTTAAAAGATGACTTACGGAAGATGTTTAGGTATCATTTTGGAGGATTTTTCTGCTTATAAATTTTATATATGGAAAAGGTGATATTATGCTTCTAATTCATCTTCATGAAATGTAAAAAAAATTCCATAGGACTCCTAAGTTTAAAGATTTAAATAGCATAAAATAATTTTTAAAATAAAGAGTTCTTAAAGTTTATATTATTTAACCTTGCTATACTAGTATAGCAAGTTTATAAAATGAGAATATGATTAAGCCTAGTCTTTATTTATCTATCTTGTATTATTATTTAAATTTTATATATTTATTAGCTCAAAAATAATGTTTTCTTTCTTTAAATTTTTTAAATAAAAAATTATAAATATATTATTCTTAAGATTATTTACTAATTCATTTTTAAGTTGTGTAATAACTATCATTTTTCCCCATATTTAATGATTTGAATGTACTTTATTCAATGTAGTTTATTCAAACATCAGTGTTCACCATAATTATCAATTTTCTTTTACAATAATAAAAGATCATTATACTTTAATACTGGGAGACTCAATGCAAAAAAACAAATAACAGGAGTTTTCAAACTGTAGGTTATAACTAAAATGTTTATTAAATTTGCATGGAAATAGATATTACTAGTAAATCTAAATAAAATGATGCTTTTTTTCTGATAAAGATTTGGTGATCAGGCATACTGTGATATATTATTATTCACGGAAAAAATCAGTTCAGACAGACCAGAAATGTCATTAAAATACCTATCAAGCTCTTGAACTTTCCAAACATTGAGATTAAAATTGAAGCTGAAGAGGAAATTTTGGGTAAATCTGTGGTCAGAGTAAAACTTCTGGCATCTCCAGTGTAAAATATATTGGTAAAATAAAACACTAGGGAAGAATGTACTTTCACTGAGCTGTGGTCAGAAACTTTTGATTTAACCTAGTAACTAAAACATGTGTTCTGATATAAGAGTCTTGTAAAATTAGTACCTCTTGCCACTGCCAAACTAAGCAGGCATCTAGGCAAATAAGTATGCCAAGCTGTCCAGTGAAATGGCGGCTTCTTGTTCAACAGGTCTATTCATACGTCTAGTGTGAGGGACTGGAGTGATGTCCAGTGAAAGAGAAAGGGAATTCCTGTACAACAGGCTGTAACAGAAGGCTGGAGAGAGTATAGCTGAGGTAGGATGGTGATGGTGTATTGCTGATCCTGCTGGAAGGAAGCAAACTGTTCCATTGGTCTCTTACAAACAGAAAAATCATTCATTAAATCAATACGTCCCTATCAGGTGCCAGAGGAAATGTTCATTCGCTCCATCAGCAAAACCAGATCTGGAAGAAAAATTGCATCGAAATCACCACCTGATTGCATTTAGAATAACATATCATATTCTACAAGAATAATCCATCAGTCTTCTGCCTAAGCCAAACAGGCAGTTGAATAGGGATGGCATAGGAATCATCACCTCTGAATCTTTCAAGTTCTTGATAGTGGCCTGAATCTTGAAAATTTCCCCGGTAATGCAGGATTGCTTTCAATTTACTATGCTTTACGTAGAGTCAGTTCCAGTGGCTTCCACTTGGCTTTTTTTTTTTTTTTTTTTTAGAAGGAGTATCGCCCTGTCACCCAGGCTGGAGAGCAATGGCGCGATCTCGGCTCACTGCAACCTCTGCCTCCCGGGTTCAAACGATTCTCCTGCCTCAGCCTCTGAGTAGCTGTGATTACAGGAACACTTGGCCTTTCTAATCTTAATAGCTCTCACTCTATAAGTCAAGAAATCAGTGTGGCCATTCTACCAGTTGCTGAGTATGTCTATTTGAACTATGCATTCCAGAACTGGAATGTAACTATTGGTTGAGTTGGGGACCCATTTGGCACACTGAGAAATATAACTAAGCCAAAACTCCATTAATCAGCTCACTTCCATACATTCCCTTTCTGATTGGCAGATTACCATGAGATTTTAGGTCTCTAAGAATTAGTGGTTCAGAGCCAATGGCCAATATCACCAAAACTCTAGTTATTTTGTCCCCCTCCCCACCCACCATGCACAGTCACTCTGCTGAATGTGTGCAGGTAACACTGGGGAACACGAGAGGCAAGATCTGTAGCATAGGATTGATTTTGTTGATACCATAGGATCCTTCCTTAGGACAACCCAGTTTCCTCTTTGTTTAAGGGACTCTGGAACTGTGAACTGACTCAAGACTTGGAATAAATCACAACTCTATTGTGGTGATTTGTATCAGTCCTCTTTCCCTCAGATCTATAGTTTTTGTTTTGTTTCTGAGACAGAGTCTTTGTCACCCAGTCTAGAGTGCAGTGGTGCGATCTCAGCTCACTGCAACCTCTGTCTCCTGGGTTCAAGAGATTCTCATGCCTCAGCCTCCTGAGTGTCTGGGATTACAAGCATGTGCCACCATGCCCAGCTAATTTTTTCCAGTTTTAGTAGAGACATGGTTTCACTGTGTTGGCCAGGCTGAGTGCCAACTCCTTGGCCTCCCAAAGTGCTGGAATTATAGGCATGAGCCACCAGGCCGGGCCAGAACTATAGTTTTTAATGTGTTCAGATTAAGCAAAATGTTAAATAATCTGACTACAATTTCTTCTTGGGGACACAATGATAACTAAGATTAACATTTTTTATAAGTCACATCACTGTGATTCCAGAACTGGGATATAATTATGGGTTGAGTTGGGGACCCATTTGGCATACTAAGAAATATAACCAAGCCAAAACTCCATTAATCAGCTCACTTTCATATATTTTCTTTTATTTATATTCTGATTACTGACTTTGGTTTGTTTCTCAACCCATTAACCATGTCCATCTTGGCCTTGGCAATTGAGTAGGAATACTTGGCCTCTGCTATTCCAAGATCTGTTATCTCCATTGAATTTAGAAAGCTTAGTTTGATAGAAGCAATTTATCCTCTTATTCCTGGCTTATAAAGAATAGTTATCACGCAGCTTTTCAAGGAGGCTGGTGCTCCCTTCCCAGTGTATTTCCTAAGGTTGTGGTGAAGATAGTGTCCTCTGAAATATCCTCCAGAACAAGATTAGGGTATGGGTGAGCAGTTCTCACAATAAGCCCACTCCAGTATTCTCATCTCTTGGAGCCTTTGGATAACATGTGACCCAGCAATTCCAAATATATATATGATACATTCTAGATATATATATATTCTTTCTTTATATAGGATATATATACACACACACACACATACACATAAGGTATTATGTATAGGGCATATATGTATGTGTGTATGTGTGTGTGTGTATATATATATATATACTTAGAAGTGGAATTAGATTAGAATTAGATTCCATTTCTAGGCATATACATTTTCAAGAGAAATAGAAATATAGATCCATACAAAACTTGTATGCAAATATTTATAACATTATTATAAATCTCTTAGATTTCCAAGAGAAATGGAAATATAGGTCAATATAAGTACTTGTACACACAAATATTTATAACAACATTATTCATGATAGCCAATATGTTGAAACAATTGAAATGGCTGTTAACTGAGCAAAAATGGGTACACAAAATGAGATATATCTGTAAGTGCAATACCATTCAGCAACAAAAAGAAACAAAGGACTGATACATGCTGCAACATGAAACAGTCGTGAAAACATTATGCTGAGTGAAAGAATTCAGTCGAAAAGAATCACATACTCATTATCGAATTTATATCAAATGTCCATAATTGGAAAACCTATAAAGACCGGAAATAGAATAGTAGCAGTTGTCCAATGCTGGGGCTGGAGGCAGGATGGTAGGGAGGGAGGGATCAGAGGAGTGATAGCTAAGAGATGGGGTCATGGAAATATTTTAAAATTGATTGTGGTGATGATGGCAGAATCCTGTGAATATATTAAAAGCCACTGAAATACACTTTAAATGGGTGAATTGTATAGTATGTGAATTATAACTTAATAAAGCTGTTACATTTAAAAGGCGGTGAGGGTGGGTATTAAGGAAGTTTCCTGGCAAGGCATTACAGGTTTCTCAGACAAGGAGAGGCTAATCTCATCAGAAAGGGAAGAAAAAATTGCTTTCACTGGCAAAGGAGACTTGATCAGATTGGGAGTTAAGGTCTCTAAACTCATAAGAAACTGCCTATATGACCCTATTCCCGTATTTTTAATGGTCTCACTTCTTTCCAAATTTAATAGATAAGATTCCATAAGGTTAGTGTTGAGAATTCTTGACTTTGTAGCACCAGGAAATGGGGATTTCTCTCAGGGTAGCCATAGACATTTCATGGTTTATAATTGGACCTTGATATAGACAGTTAAAGTCCTGAGCTAATCAACTTCTTTTCATTAGGTCTCTAGCATATTTGAAAGCTGCCAAGAAAACCCACAGTCTTTATATCCTTCAGTTTTTCTAAAATATTTTATATCCGCAGCCACTTGATCACCCAGCATCTTGTCCTCCAAGAACACTTGCTCCTGACCTTAGATGCCTACAGGTGATAATTTAGGTATTGTTTGCCACTGCATGCTACAGACTGCCAGTGTCTTATTCACCATGGCAATAAGGAAATTTATATCTAGTCAGATGAGAGAATCAATACCAGATTCCCATCTTTAAGGTTCTATTTTCCTGAAACCACTTCTGGTACAAGTCACTGTGTCAGTTAGAATTCAGTAAGGGAAGCAGAGCCATATGAGTATTATGAGATATGGATCTATTATGTGAGGTGGACTTTCCACAGTTGTGAACAAAGCAGTTAAGTGAAAGTCCAGAAAGGAAAGTTGGAGAATCACACAAAAGCCACTAGCCATTCCTCCTGAAATGCTGAACCGGGGATGAGTTGGAGGAGATGCTGAAATGCATTTTAAGAGTGTAGGGCACCCACGGTGTAACTGCAGAAAGGGAGCTCATGGATGGGTCTGTGGAAAGCTATTGCCTCTATATGACTGTTGCCTCTGGGTCTGTAGCCAAAAATTTTATGGTGATCTCAGAATTGGTGTTACTCAGCTGAGACAGCAGCCAAGATCAATATCTGGAAAACAGCACAGAAGAGAGAAGCAGAAATTGGAAAGTGTTGTTCAAGATTATCCAAGTTGACTTTAGTACAATCCAGCACATTGTCATTCTGAGTCATTGGCCATAGTGGTCTCCGAAGGACTGAAGTAGGCAGGTGAATGAAAAGAGGGGAAACAGGAAAAAAAAAAAAAAGAACTCCTGGTTTTACTTTCACCAGTCAGTCACAGTAGGCCAGTTTTAAACCATACACTACTACAGTTATTGGTTATTATCAAGGATTAAAAACTTGATACTATTTTTGGTTGTCTCACATCTGTCCTAGATGAGACCTAGAATATAATAGGTTCTTAACATACATCTATTGGTTGGGTGAATGAATTCATGAGTGAATGAATGAGGATTTGGGTTTCAAAGTCTTCTCACTGCTTTCTAACTTTATCTTCATGTTATTTTTGCACTCATACTGATAATAGCCATTTGCCCTAGGGGTAGAGAACTCAGGAACCCTGTGGCTGATGCACAATAAAAGAAGGAAAGAATAAAGGCAGGCATTTCATAATTGAGGCGGAGGTTCAGCAGACCATACAGATTAAAAATAGTGCTTCTATCCAAGTGGAAACATCACAAACTTCCTATTAAAGAAAACCATGACCTCTCTTGACCCACTGTGGGAAGGTGGTCGGCAAGGATCATGGTCATACCTTGAAGAAGTGATTGATCTGTCAATTAGTGACTTCCACATTTTCCCATGTGCTATGGCCTGAATGTCTGAGTTCCCTCAAAATTCATGTGTTAAAATCCTAACCCCCAAAGTGATGATATTAAGAGGTGGGGTCTTTGAGAGGGGATTAGTTCCAGAGGCCAGAGTCCTCTTGAATGGAATTAGTGTGCTTGTAAAAGAGATCCCAGAAAGGTCCCTTGCCTCTTCTGCCATGTGAGATTGTAATGAGAAGACAGCTGTCTATCCAGAGAGGGGACCCTCACCAGACACCAAATCTGTTGGCACCTGGATCTTGCACTTTCCAGCTTCCACAACTATAAGAAATAAGTGTCTGTTTTTTATAAGTCCTCCATCTGTGGGTTTTTTTGTTAAAGTACCTTGAATGAACTAAGACACCATGTAAAACACCCTTGAGAAAAACCTTCAGTACTGAAAACTGTTTCCCTGTAGTTTGGAACTAAAATGGATAATAATCTGAAATGCCCAAACATAGACTAAGGCTCCCAAAGTTCTCAGAATTGAGATAAGATCCAAGTTTTTGTAAAGCCTAAAAATTTATGGTATGAGAAGATCTCTTTAAGAAAAGTAATACAAAATTATGAATAGAATTAAGTGCTTTCTTAGAATAATAAAGTAAATTATGACAAATTACAAATATAAAAAGCTACTAACTACCAAAAATATAGCAAATTTCCTCCCCAATAAGCAGAATATGATTTATTAATTAATTTCCCAACTCACATGCTTAATACTTTCTCTCTACATAATCTGGCTACTATATTTTTTGATTCTCTTTGTATATGACAATGATCTTGCCATATCATTTTCTATGGAAAGAATAGAAAGACAATTTTGCTTCACATAGCACAACTGATTGAAATTTGTTTTATTTTTATTTTCATTTTTTTGGTAGAGATGGGATCTCTGTGTTGGCCAGGCTGGTCTTGAATTCCTGGCCTGAAGCTATCCTCCCGCCTAGGCCTCCCAAAGTGCTGGGATTACAAATGTAGCCACCATGCCCAGCTTTTATTAGAAAATTTTATTTCACTTTAACAACTTGTTATGGGAAACATTATTTAAATTTTTTGAATTTTGATCAAATTTGCAAAAAGCTCAGTCTAGTTTTCTTCGTATATGAGATATATGATTTCAGGTACTCTTCTGCGTTGACTAGTGTTTTGAATCAATGATATACATGAAATAGTTCATCATCAATGTCCTCATTGCAGTGGCATATTAAGAGTTTTATACTGACATTGACGTGTCAACATTTCATGTCAAATCCACAATCATCATTACCTGGCTTATCAAACAATTCAAGAATTATTCATTACTTCTGTTTAAAACTTCTAATTACTTTGATTAATACTTCTTTGATATGATCTGAGCATTTTTTTTTGCTCAGGTTTTTCTTTATGTCAACATAATTTACATTAATCATCTTACTGCTTTCATTTCATATTGGATTCATGTTATATGAGTTTTCCCCAGTGCTTTAATAAAGAAATTTTAAAAGACAAAAGAAAGTACTTTTCATATGCATCCAATTCAAGGATCTGTCGTTTCACACTTTTTAACTGAAATATTCCAATATAACTTTCCAAATGCAAAGAATGTATTCGAACTTTATCAACTTTTGAATAAACTTTTGCATCTTGGTTTGTTCAAGCCTTTCTTTCAAATATCCAGAACATATTTAGAGTCCTTTAAGTTTTACAACAACTCCTTAAAGGGTAGACCATTTTATTATATTTAGACTCAAAAACAGAGCAAAACGAAAGATCAGCCAACCAACCACACACAAAAAGATTCCAAAGAGGCCGGGCACGGTGACTCATGCCTGTAATCCCAGCACTTTGGGAGGCCAAGCCTGGCGGATTGCCTGAGATCAGGAGTTCAAGACCAGCCTGGTTAACATGGTGAAATTCTGTCACTACTAAAAATACAAATATTAACCAGGCGTGATGGTGGGTGCCTGTAATCCCAGCTACTCCGGAGGCTGAGGCAGGAGAATCGCTGGAACCCGGGAAGCGGAGGTGGCAGTGAGCCAAGATACGCTCCTGCACTCCAGCCTGGGTGACAGAGCAAGACTCCGCCTCCAAAAAAAAAAAAAAAAAAAAGAAGAAGAAAAGAAAAGAAAAGAAAAAAGACTCCAAGGATCTGGCAAGGATATTTTACAGTTAGATCTCTTGAGAAAAAACATATAAATGTTGCAAAACATGAAGTAGTCAACAACTTCAGGCAGGTCTTTCTTCAAAGATCACGTGAGGGAAGTCTTTCTTCATAGATCATGTTCTACAAACTTTAAAATGTTGTTCAATGGCTGGTTACATCTCTCTAGAACTAATTTCATTTTGTTGAATAACATCACAGATACATGGTCTTACAATGGTGAAAAAGGTAAAAGTCACTTGCTTGGTTTTCTGCTATAATAGAACACCCAATACATATCAATATTCTGTAATTTATCAGTTATAATGTATCAGTCATAGCATGCATCTATGGTGGAATCTACAGCAATGAAGTGATATTTGATGTCTGGATTATTTATTTTATTTGTTATTTCATTTTACAGATATTTCCGGTTATTTTGATCAACTTTTGTGGGCAAATCAGTTACATTTTATCCATTTTGATATTTTCCCAAGTTCTTGTGCAAAAACAAATCAGTTCAGCAATCAGTTTGAAGTTAACCATGAATTTTATTATTCTAAGATTGTAACTTAGTGACAAAGAATTTTGAAGGACGAACTTCTTTTGCTTAAAAATACACTAATTATAAGTATTTTTTAAAGCAATTGAAAGAAACATTATTTTTATTATGTGTTTAATACATTGTCCTGGTGCATTTTTATTTATTTACATGACATTCAAATAAACAACCTGCTTAGTCTTTGTGAAGTAGTCTCGAGGGCTTTCAACATATTCTTCCAGAAAAATATGCATTATTAAGTAATGTTGGTCTTGCTAAGAGTGATTTAAAAATAAAATAACCAGCCTGGCCAACATGGTGAAACCCCATCTCTACTAAAAATACAAAAATTAGCTGGGCATGATGGTGCATGCCTGTAATTCCAGCTACTTGGGAGGCTGAGGCAGGAGAATCGCTTGAACTCGGGAGGTGAGCTGAGATCACAACCATTGCACTCCAGCCTGGGCCACAGAGCGAGACTCTGACTTAAAAAAATAATAATAATAATAATAAAATAATATATGCAACCTCCAGTTAGATTAGGCTATCATAAATGAGTTTAGCTATTTTTAATTTTCTTAATTTTTTGTTTGAGAAACATCTCTTCTGGCCATTATAAGTTCTGTTTGAGTGATAGATCTGTTTGATATTATTGAAATCCATCTGACTTTCTTTAAACAGTGTTGAATGAAATTATTCTTCATTGTAACAGGCATGGTTCTTATTTAAGTCAATGAATTCATCAAAATTAAGGCACTTGTTGATCTCATGTATGCGCTAATGTCTGATGTCCATACAAACTGATTTACTTCATAAGAATTTTATCTTCTGCATGTTTTTTCCTGTTTGATAGTGCCCTGATTCTTCTAATTATCCTGTTTCTTCTTGTCATTTTCATTATCTATATTTTCTAGATTACTGTAATTCTATTACTGGTTATTATGATTTTGACCAGAGTTTTTAATCTTCAGTACTTATGTATGAAGGATCTTTAATATGTAGAAGTTTCACCCAGTCTTTTTTCTTTCAGGTTATGTTTTTAGCTTCCATTAGGATATTTTCTTCCTGCCATATCTGAATTTTGAGATAATAATCAACAGTTCTGAAAAAATGTAAAATTAATCTGAAGTTAAAGCATACACAAGAGAAATTTAAATGATTTTAAATTGCCACTGCTTGTGTTAGGTTACATAGTTGTGTACTCATCATTTTTACACAACTTACACTGCTGATTATTTACATAATTAATAGCTTTGTCGCTCTAACACTTGTTTCTTTGGCCAATTTTATTGTCTTAGTGACAGATTTTACCAGGAACTACCAGATTTTTCCAGGACAAGAAGCATCAGAGATTCTGAAACATAATTCAAAACTCTTAGAATGCATAAAACATGTGATTCTACTTACAGCTATATTTGAATTTTTTAGTATTCCATAGGTTTACATCTTACAAACATGGAGACTCTGACAAATTTTAGTGTTGCTTTTCTGTTCAAAAAAGAAAAACAAAGTATGGTGCATTTGTAATTGTATATGCCGCCATGTTTGTTAATAATATTTCTGATGGGAGAGAACTTCTATTATGACTAGATACCAACAAGAAACAAATCTTACAGTTAACAATTTTATATTTCTGATGCGGAAGAATTGCCCACATCCTACTTTCTGGCTACGCATATTTCAAAATCTTATTTTTCCTCTACTGCTGACATACTACCACTGGTGTGTGTCAGAGGACATATTAATATCACAATACACCTTCTGGTTCTGATGTTCATGAAGGAATGCTAAGAGAATCAGCACAGTGGACAGCAGGAATGTTCCCAGAAGCGACTTATCTTCTGTTCTGGGTAAATTAGCAATCACATAACTGTACATGTATGTTATTGTTGTAGGACTTTCTCCGTAGTTGAGCCAAGAGCTAGGTCCTTGTCACACAGCCATGAAATATTAGGCTTGCAAACACTTTAAAGGGTGAGAAAAATGGAACTTTTTGGTCAAAAAGGGAAACAGGGACTCTCAGCAGAATGAGGGTCCTGCTATACACGCTTCCTGCCTCACAGATTGAATCCCAGATTCCACCAAGGAAGAGGAGGGGCCAGGCTCTTCGCAGCGGCGAATGGGGTGAACTTCCTTAGCTCCACCCCAGTACGTCCTCCTCCCAGTGCACAAACCAGTCAGAGGTTCCCGGGGGACCCCTTTCTTGTCTGTCTCTTTATTGCCAATCACAAAAATATATCCCACTAACCTAAATGTATTTCTACATTAATTTCATATTGTGTAACTATGAAAATGTTGATTACTATTCCAAAGTCATCAACCACAAGGGGAAGTATAATACAACAGAGTTGGAATTGAATAAAATTGACAAACTTAAGGAATTGCAGTTAACATATCTCACTTTTGCAAAATATACGAAGACTTGTGATCTTGAGAACACATTGCTCGGGCTTCTCCCAGGTCCTGGCTAGGGTTAGTGGAAGGGAAGGGTCCTGGAACATAAGCTTCACTGTTTCATGGTACATCCACCTCAGCTCGAAATTCTTGCATCTTTTAGATTTCAGCTTCCATCTGAGTAACAACATTAGGTGATATTTCAAGGATCAGTGTGGACCAGTTCTAATTAGACAGACAGAAAGTGTTGCAGTGACAACAATTGTAAGAAATACCCAACAAGCTCTAGTCACAGGGGTTTCTAAGGTTTAAACCCAAGCTGGATTTCTTTCAAGATGCTACCTCTGCTGCTCTCTCAACTTTCTTTTCATCTCACTGTAAGTAAGAGGGTAGGTCCTTGTGCCTTTGGCACTTAGGAAGAGCGTGTTTTAAATGAATAGATTCTACACTTTACATTCAATGTAAGGAAGGTCAGGGTGCTGGGTTGAAGCCACAGCAAGAAAGTTACAGGATTCTGAGAAAAGAATAAATGCCCCTATTTTTTCTGATAAAAAATTTAACCGATTATGCCTGTTTACTTGCTCTACTTACGTATATTTTCCTTTAGCTATTTATCTTGGATGCTTGACCCCTTTGGACTAAGGCATTATTCTAAATACCACCTTGCAGAGGGGGACTACTGCATAAACTAGGCAGTGAATCAAAGCTGCTGGCTACAGTTGTAGAGGGTGACACAGCCTCACTGACCCAGCTGGAAATTTCTACCAAGAATGTCACTTCTTTTCATTTAGTTCTTCAAAAATGCTCTAAAAACACTTCAGAAAGCAAAAGAAAGGGATTATGTAATAAGCCCCTCTGCACACACCCCATACTTCTTATTTGAAGTAAATCCACTTCAAATAAACAGATTCCTTTAAAAAATGTTCAGCTTTATTTTTTTCAATCTAAACTTTACATTCTATTGAATAAGTTTTACATTGAAAGCATTTCTGAACAAATGCCTGTTTAGTATTTATTTTCTTCTCTCCCTACTCCCAACTGCACTTGAACTTTAAAGGGCAAAGGTAGTCATTGGTGTTTTACGGATGCACGACAAGTACCTAAACCACTACCTGGATCAAAGCAGCCACTTTTGCCGAAGGGGTGCATCATTCAGACAAGGCTCATGCTCCAGAGAGATCTGTTATATTTACACTGTGGATTGTCAAACCTGCAGATCTAACTCTCTGTACCTGTGCAGCTAAGTCATGTATCTCAAAGGCATCAATTAAAATATTTTAGGGTTACTTGTGAGATAAGATTTTAATACAGATTAATCTAAACAAGCTGTCAACCAGCAGATAACAGGACCTTGAAGACTTACGACACAGAGAAGCAATTAATATGGAGGTCAGGAATAGGAGAAGGAAGTATCTGTGTGCCTGGAGCCAGAAGTAGGGATGGACGCGTTAAAATAAATTACAGTAACCTCCCCATTGTTTGTTGGTTTAAACACTTCAGGCAATGGTTCTGCATGGGTATGATTACAGCATTTTCCTCAATTCATAATTTTATTCTTGAAGCTTGGAATCTTATCTTCTGGAGTCCGTCCATATCTTTGAAGCTGAAATTGGAAATTCTAACTGCGATCTGAGCAAAGTTCCACAGCTGATTTGCCTTTTTTTTTTTTCCTGAAGCAAAGTCAGTTGAGAAATCCCACACTGCAGACCTTGTCTTTTCTCAGTGATTTATTGGCTATTTTGATTCCATCTGCAATGGTTTGCTCCGTGGTTTGTGCCAAACATTTTAAATGCTTAAGAGTCAATCAAAACGCTATCTTCCTCAAGGAAAAGTCAAGTCACCCAATCTGGAACATTTTATATTTCGGTTGTAAATTAAGCCTTAATTCTGACTGTAGACTGGCTCTCACTTCAGGGATGCAAAACACGAATGATCTTTTCCTGTATCTCAAGGACCACATGCCACTGTGTTCCGCCTTCAACATGTGTAAGAATTTCTGCTGTTTGTCAAAATGCTAACAGGAATGACACCAGGAATATCCTATAGTAGTAGCTTAATTTTACCCCCATAAAAACATTTCATTTTATGTCTCACGTGTTTTTCATACATGCCTATTATGTTTCTTTTTGTTCCAAACTGATTATCAGTGTTTGACTGTAAGGTAAATAAAATACCATTAATTAGGGAAAGGACTAATTGGTCCAATTTGGAGAAATGCTGATAATCAAATTGGTGTACCTTCTTGTATTACAAGTGACATTTTGTAACAGTTTCCAGGTGTTAATTATGATGAGCTTGCATTTCAAAGAACTAATTAAGGTTTCTTATTGTTTCTTTTGTAGCCAAACATTTTACCCCAAGGCTACCAAGGAAGAAAAGACAAAGGCAGACATCTGCAATTTTTAAAGCAGCTTCTTATTCCTCGCTCTTCCTCTATTTACTAAAAAAGAATATGTGTTTAGAGTGGAGAGGGGCATGTTGGGGGAAGGTGGGGAAGTAAGGGATGGGGAGAGAGGAGGGTGGGAGGAAAAACAAGACCACTCACTTCTTGGGTTCTTGGCACTCCAAGAATGATTTGGTGATAGTTTGATGAGTCATAGAAAATTTTCTTGGTAGATGAACAATAAAAATGAATATTTATTCATTTACCCATTTAAGAAATGTTTGATGCCTAGCAGAAGCTAAGGCAGTGTTCTAGGTACTAGGACAGTAGTAATAAATGAATAGTCTTTACTCCCCAGAGACCTGCAAAATAGTGGAGGAGACAGGAATATAGAGTAGGTAAGTATGCATGAAGAAAATACACAGGTAGATAAACATGTAGAGAAAATAACTTATCTTTTATTTCAAGATTTCAAAATTATGAAGTAAAAGTAATTTGTGACTTGTGTTGAGATTTATGCCCTCTATTAGACGAAGCCTGAAATACGTAAGAGAAATCTAGATCAGTACTGTACAATAAAAATAGGATGTGAATCCTGAAGGTGAGACACATTACGGAATATGAAATTTTTCAGTAGCCACATTTAAAAAAAGTAAGAGGAAGCAGGTGGAATTAATTTTAATACAATATTTAACCCAATATACCCAAAATACTATTTTAAAATGTCAATAAAATAGTTTCTGAGATGTTGTTTTACATTCTACTTTTGTACAAAGTCTTCAAAATACAATATACATTTTATATTTACAGCATATCTCAATTCAGACTAGGCACATTTCAAGTATTCAATAGCCACATGTGTCCAGTAGCTGCTGTACTGCAGTGAAGTCTGTAGATTATCAGTTCTGGTTGTCAGAACCTATCTGTCCCTATGTTTTCTCTGTAATATGGGCTGTCATTTAGACAGATGTTTCCTACTTATTATTCATTTATTCTACATTTAATAAATATATGTTAGTTGTTAGGCATGGTGCCAGGTGCTGGGGGTGTTGTCGTGAATAAAAACAAAAATCTCTGCCCTTACGAAGTTTATATTCTAGTGGGTACTATTATCTAGGACAATCTCAGATTCCAGGTGATATTTAAGAGTGTTAGCCCTTTTCTGCTATTTTATTAGGCAGTTTTCACCAATGAACATATGCTACATAATCTTACTAAAACCAGGACCTGTCTTCTCTTTGAATAATTTCCACACATAAAACCCCAATATATTCTTTCCAATTCATATCACTATGAATCAGAATGAAGTTGTTGCAAATGATGGTCAGTGAAGAAGAATAGAAGGGAGGTTGGAAAAAGTGAGGCTTATTGCCTCTAACATTTCTGCCATTCTTACAGTGATTGGTATGCTCGATGTATTACAATTTGTCCTCACTTTGTTAGAATCAACTTTGTTATCTTAAACAGCCAATCATATAGCCAAATAACAACATCAACAACAAAAAGAAGTGTTCCAAAACCACTAGCCCGGTAGCAATTCTAATGCAGGTGGTAAAGAGGTATTTGATCATGTTTATTCTTTGGTTTCGTTTATTTTAATGCAGTCTGTCTCAGACATTTTCTGTTGCTATAACATAATACAATTGACTGGGCAAATTATAAAGAAAAGAAATTTATATCTCACAGTTCTGGAGGTTAGAAAGTTCAAGAGCAGAGCACGGTACTGGCACCCAGCGAGGGCCTTCTTGATGCATTGTAACATGCTGGAGGGCATCACATGTCAACAGGGCAAGAGCACGTGTGTCAGCTCAAGTCTGTTTCCCTCTTCTCATAAAACTACCAGTGTCATCATGGAGGCTCCACACTGATGACCTTATCTCATCCTAACGACCTCCCAAAGACCCCACCTCCAATCAACGTATGAATTTGCAGAATAAGTCTCCAACACATAAAATTTGGTGAACATATTCAAACCATAGTATAGTCCATGAGAAGATCTTCTCTAATGGAAAATTTGCTAATACAGCTTGAAGCCATTGTGTTCATGTGGACTTCTGTTTTCCAGCAGTGATTCTTACCCTTGGGTGAACCTGGGAATCAACTGCTTGTGTTTTAGAAATTCTAATATTCAGGCTAACTTCAGACCAATTAAATAAGTTTGTGTGGGGTGGGGCCAGAGCATTAGTATCTTTAAAGCTACCAATATGATTGTTAAGTCCGGAAAGGCTGAGCACCACTGCAGCAGGCACACTCCCCGTTCTTTTTGCCTCCCATTGCATTGGACATTAGCCATTTTAGCCTTTGTAATTTCCTGCCCAGGAAGTTAATCTAAGAACTTTCTTCTGTTGATGTGAATGTGGATGTGAGTTGCCTTTCTTAACTCAGTTGAGGACCATCTTTCCAATTTCCAAAAACCCCTTCCATCATAATCAGATGTCACTTCAAAGTAAATTTTAGTGTCATTCACATGACATTGGATGGCAGGGATATGTCCATGTTGGGCATTTAATTATGATGCACACCTGTTTGGAACATTGGGGAGATGGCACTCAAATTTATTACAAACTCCATTGAACTTCTGAAACCATTTAGAGTCTTTACTATTCAAGTGTGATGGGGGAAGTAGAAACAAGGGCATCTCCTGGAAGCTTGTTACAAATGCACATTCTCAGGCCTCAGCCTAGACCTGCTGAATCAGATTCTGCATTTTAACAAGATCCCCAAGTGGTTAGTGTGCACATTAAAATTTGAGAAGCCCTTGCTGAGTGTCAGTTACAGAACATATGTCACAAACTGAATCATGATATATTCAGTGTCCATACTAATTCCAAGGGCTCTTTGATTTTCATGGATTTCAGCTTGTGTGTGCTGAAGCCTGTGGCAGACACCTTGCAGACCTCCAACCGTCTCTCAGCTGAAGAATCTTTGTTCTGAAGCAACCAATAAAAGGGATTTCTTTTTCCTTAAAGAGCAACTGGGGTCAAAGCATACTGGAGTGAGCTTCCTGGTAAGTAAGAGTTCTTTATATTAGACTCCAGGTCTGTTCTAATTCATTCCTGCTGCTTCCTTTGATGAGATATTTTTCACACCTTCATTCTTTCTTTCATCCAGATTTCTCAACCAAATATGCTTCCCACTGAGGGGTTAACAATTATACTTTTATTTTCTTCAGCATGGGCCTGAACGTTAGCATGGCTCACCTTGACCCTGCTTTTAGGCAGAGCTTCTCCAATCTATCAGCCTCTCCATTTGACAGCCATTTGCTCCCTTTAATTTTTTTTTTAGTATCATTTACCTGAATTTGTGAAATATAGAAAAGCATTAGATATAGACTTGCAATGCTCTGTCCTAAATAGTAAAATGTAAGGTCATTTCTTTCTTTTTTTTTTTTGGACACAGAGTCTCACTCTGTCACCCAGGCTGGAGTGCAGTCATGCGATCTCGGCTCACTGCAACCTCTGCCTCCCAGGTTCAAGCGATTCTCCTGCCTCAGTCTCCCAAGTACCTGGGATTACAGGTGCCTGCCACCACACCCGGCTAATGTTTTGTATTTTTAGTAGAAACGGGGTTTCACTATGTTGGCCAGGCTGGTCTTGAACTCCTGATCTCAGGCGATCCACCCACCTTGGCCTCCCAAAGTGCTGGCATTATAGTCGTGAGCCACCACGCACGGCCAGAATGTAAGGTCATTTCTAATAGAACTTTCCTCTTCCTTATTTGCTCCCCTTCCTGGAAAGATATTTAGCTTGTTCTTATCTTAGTACTTCTTTTCTACCTCTAAAACTATGTAGTGAAGTATGATCAATCAAGCTTAAAATATCTTAGTTGCAAAGGTGAGGGAAAAAATAAAACTCCACAATTTTCATTTGGTAAATCTCTCTCTCTCTTTATATATATATATATATATGTGTGTATGTGCGTGTGTGTGTGTGTGTGTGTGTGTATACACTGTATATATATTCATGGATTATGACATTTTCATAGATATATACTGCATGTATATACAGATGAATATAGATATAGATATAAAGATAGAAAAATAGATACATATTTATGTACTTGCACACACATAGCTACCCTCCTCTCCACCTCTAAACCACAAAGTAACTGATATAGTGTCGTCTTGTGTCAGTAATTGGTTATTTTTTTCTGATTGGCATGATAACTCTTTCCAAGTTCTCTGGTTCTAGCCCTGACCACTCACTGTAGGTCAGGGGAGGAGGTGATCCTGGCCTCACCATCTTCCCAATGTATGTCATCTTCCTGGCAACAGCATTTGTGCCAATCAGTGATCATGTGACTTGAGAAAAGCCAATCCCAAGGCTTCCCTGAGACTGAAATTTCTTTCTCTGCTGGGGATTCCAAGATGGGGCTGTTAGCAGTAATATCGTTTACTTTGTGGAGAGGATCTATTGCAACAGAAGAAATAAATAACTCGGAGGAAAGTCAAGCAGAGATGTACAAGAATCTTAGGGAATTCCTGAAACCTGCCTTCCTATAGCTTCCTTTCTCTTTGACATCCTTTCCCAAATTATTGTTGTGGACCAATAATTGAGTCTTTTGCTTATGCTGATTTGAGTAGGATTTTATCACCTGTATTTGAAAGAGTCTCAAATAATGTCAGTGTATTTCTACATTCATATTCATGCAGGATTTTTCTCAGCCACTTTGCCAGTTGAGGACCTCCATGGCCAGCGATGTCTCCACCTAAGCCTTGCTCTACAACAGGCCTGCCACAGGAGGCACCCTGTCCACTCAGCCTTCTGGGCTATGCCTGGCTTGCACGCTGGTCCGCATCCTACACTCACCGCGGGGTCCGCGCTCAGTTTGCAGCTCGTACCTGAGTTTGGAAGTTCCCACGTTCTTGTCCCGCCTCCAAGAAGAATGAGGTTATGGTGACAATCAAAAAGTGAAGATGGGGGAGAAGAATTTTACTGAGCGATGGAACAGCTCTCAGTGGGGAGGGGATGCAAGGGTGGTCCCCCACCCAAAGTCGGGTGGTCTTTCCCATAGTGTGGCTGCATCCAGGGCTTTCAAGGCTCAGAATGGGGGAGTGCATGCTGATTGGTGTGTGAGTATACAAAAAAGGCTAAAACAAAGGCACCACTCAAAGATGGGCATGACATTGTAAAAAACCAAATGTGGGAGGGGTAGATATATATAAAATAGGTGAAAGGTGAGGATCAATCAGAGGAGGGCGGACCAAACAGGAAGGGAGGTTCTCAATCTGGTCCAGGGCTTTACTTGGGACTTGTAGCTTGACTTTCAGGCTATAAACTGTCTTTGGTTTGAAGGTAGAGTTTCACCAGGGACCTGCTCCTATCTACCTAGGGATTTGTTTGCCTCCTGCTGCTATCAATATTTATTCACCTTCTTTCTATTTTGATCTCCATATTGCCAACAAGTTCAACATTTGTATAGCAGGTTAGACTTAAATGTTAGACTTAAATTTCTTAGGCAAGTAACCAAGGAATTCTCACTTAGGCAAACAAGGAAACTGTTATTGGACCAGGTTAGAAATTGAACTGGTTTGGTGTTGAACATACTGACGTAAAGCTAGACTTTCACTGGGAAAGGCAAAGAAAGGGGATTTCCCTGACAGCCTCCAGAGGGAACACCTTGAAACTGAAGTATACTTATATAGTTATCAATACCATACTTCTATAAGTTAATCAATTTGTGTTGTTTTTAAGCCACTGAGTTTGTGGTGATTTGTTTTGCCAGCAGTAGGAAACTAATCACTTGTCAACTGCCTCATCTGAATCTCAGTTGTCAAGAGAGAATACCCCTGATGTGTGGCTTCTTTTGCCTCTCCAGTAAGGCCTGACCATATCACTTCCTGCTGTGCGGTAGTGTCTTGAATTCCCAACCTTTCATGTCTTTAGGGCTGAGCAGGATGGAAGGATAGATCCCACCACTAACTTCGGCTCCCTGCCTCTTTTGCCCATCTCTCAACTATGGCACTGCCAGGCCCCATCTTACTGTACAGTGCTTATTAGTTTTCATTGGCTGCAGCCTTCACTCTGGGACTAAGCTTGAATCTAAGTATAAGATCTTCTTCTTTAGGGCAGTGTTTCTCATTTGCTGTACCCCAGGGCTGGGAAGCCCTGTCCTATACATCACCAGTTTGGTAGATTTGAGAGAGAAGAGGATTTGGGGGTGATACATTTCTGTTTGCCTCTGGACTCTGCAACAAACTAGTAGCAGAATTTTGAACAAGTTGCTTTATTTTTGTGAGTCACAGAATCTTCCCTCCTTCCCTCCTCTTCTCCTCTCCTTTCTTCTCTCCTCTCCTCTCCTTTCTCCTCTCCTTTCTCCTCTCCTCTCCCTTCTCCTCTCCTCTCCTATCTCCTTTCTCCTCTCCTCTCCTCTCCTCTTCTCTCCTCTCCTCTCCTCTCCTCTCTTCTCCTCCCCTCCCCTCCCTTCCCTTCTCCTTCCTTCCTTCCTTCCTCTTTCCCTTCCCTCCACTTCCTTTCTCTCCCCTCCCCTCCCCTCTCCTTCCCTTCCCTTTTCCAAATGTAAAAAAAAGATAATGTCCACCTCTTCTTAGTAATGTAAGAACTCTCTAACTGAACAAACACATACAAAAAATCTGGATTCTCTGAAAGTGTTCAACAAAAGCTTCATTAATCACCTTTCTTGAACTTAGTAACAAAACAAACAAACAAGGAAAAACACAATTGAAAACTTAGCAAGATTAAACTGCCTTAAAAGACCAGGCATTGCACTCTGTGCTAGGTCTAATAAATGAAAACAAAAACAGTAACTTGGTGGATACATGTTATTACATATTTGTTAAAACTCATAGGTTGTACAACACCTAAAGTGAACCCTAATGTAAGCTATGGACCTAAGGTAATAATTATGTATCAATGTAGGTTCATCGATTGCAATAAATGTAGCACTCTGGTGCAGAATGTTGATTGTGAGGGAGGCTGGGGGGGTAGGGGGAGGAAGGAGTCCATGGTAGTAACCCTCTGTACTTTCTGCTCAATTTTGCTGTGAACCCAAAACTGCCCTAAAACATAAAATCTTTAAAAAATTAATGTCATCAAATAAATCTACAAACCCCTGAGTAGAAGAAATGGATGTCAACGTAGTGAGTGTGTCTCATGGGCAAGGGGGTAAATTGCAGATTCAGGGAAAGCTGGAGGACCCTTTGCCTTCAACTGCCTTCTCTTTTTGTGCACAAAAGCTAATTCTTTCACAATTTCTTACAATGTGTTATATTGTATTTTCCACTGAAAGCCACCAGCATACAACTATGAATCAGAACTCATATAAGGGCTCATAACTAGGGTAACTTCTTAGTTCAGTCTATATTGCTCTGGTCCCTTATCTGGAATATTTGTTCTCCCCTAAGAACATTATAAAATCTGTTTAATGTGTTAAAAATCACAGTATGCTAAATGCTATTTCTTAAGAAAATTCACCCATGTTATTTCTTGTTAATATTTAACCACAAAAAAAAAGATAATGTAAAAAAATACATGGAGAGAATATTATTTCTTCTGACTATTGGGGAAAAAGTCTCTAAAGTAGAGTTTTTAATAATACTGAGTTTGGGGATGCCTCAATCACCTCCACTTAAATCCGAGAATTTTTTCTGTAAAGGGCCAGACAGTAAGTGTTTTAGGTTTAATGGGTCTTGCTTTCTCTAGGACCACTACCGAGCTCTGCTGTTGGAACACAAATGTAATCATAGACAATATGTGAACACACGAGCATGTGTTTTAATACAATTTTTTTTTTTTTTTTTTTTTTTTTGAGACGGAATCTCGCTCTGTCGCCCAGGCTGGAGTGCAGTGGCGCCATGTCGGCTCACTGCAAGCTCCACCTCCCGGGTTCACGTCATTCTCCTGCCTCAGCCTCCCGAGTAGCTGGGACTACAGGCGCCCGCCACCACGCCCAGCTAATTTTTTTTTTTTAATACACTGTTTTTAAAAACAGGCTTACGGGCCATAGTTTGCATACCTTTGATTTAAATCCTTGTGCTACCCTTTGTCATGTCATACACATTGCATATTCTTCAGAGCAAGCGGATAACTAAGTAAGAAAGCACCTTATAATCCAGAACCCCAACCATCACTGTTCTTACACTTGCTCATTCCGTAATTCAGAAAACATTCATCAAATTCTAGCTCTGCCCATAACATTGCAGAATGTCTTTTTATTCCTCTTTTCATCCAGTATTCACGATTGCCGCCCTTAATTGAGCATTTCTCTATCTGGATTCCCTTCAGAGCTTCCAGCAGCCCTGAGTCTGCCTCAGTGTTGTTTTTTTTTTTTTTTGCTAGAGGATTAATATATATGTATTTATAATGTATATATACACATATTATATATGTATATATAATACATGTTAAAACGTTTACAGAATGTTTCTGCTATCTATAAATGATTTTAACTTTCCTGCCTGTCATATATTTTATGTAAATACTAGAATAAAAACATTTTAAAAATACAGAAATGTGTGATGAATACAGGAAATGCCATCTGCAATTCTCCCACCATATAGATCTTAGAGTTTTGAACTGTATTTAGTGGAAACTAGTCGCTGCCTCTCAGCCACTAGAGGACTAATATCTATGATTATTAGAGAAGTTGAAATAAAGTGTCTTTCTAATGACTCTTTCTCAAAGCAGATCACAGGTTGATTTAGTGAAACCAGGTCGTCAGTATGCGGCCAAGTGTTGCTGGTGCCTGCTCTAAAGCAATATGAGGTGGGTCACTTCTCCTTTCTTATCAGCAGCCACTCAGATCTCTTCATTCGTCTTTATTCAGGAAGCTCTTAGAATTTCCCACTGGTATCCTTATCCTGTCCTTCTAAATTTAATTCTAAGACCAAGGCCACATGTTATATTGGTCAGATTAGTTAGACCCAGAAAATATGAGAGATATCAAAACAATTTATTTCACTTGGAAAAACAACACTTTAAGCAAAATTCAAACTCTATTATGTCCAGGAAAGCTTTTGGTGACTTTTCCAGACTTCTGGTGAGTGTAGAATAATTGACAAGTGGAGCTTGTTTGTCCATGGAGTGAAGAAGAATGGGTGATTTAGTAAATCACAGGCTGAAATGCATTTTAATAAACAACTTCCTTATTCAGTTCAGCATTTGAATGTCTTGTTGCTTACTTTGATTTGAGGTCTGCAATATCTAAATCTTTTTCAAGTGTTTCACAAAAATAACCTTTCCATGTGTTACTCACCCAAAGCTTCATTAATTAACTCTCCTGTGGTCAAAAGGTGAATAGAAATGATTTGTGGCAATCCTCTCCCATGGACCAAAAGATGCCAATTATCTCCCATTAACCATTCACAAAATCAAAGACACAAGCACATAGAAATGAGGGATACAAAGATAGGGAAGCAGGACAAAAAACACCAGTTACTGAACTGGTTGATGAAATTGATGGATTTTCCTTCTTTTTCCTTTTTTTTTTTTTTTTTTTTTTTTTTTTTTGAGATGGAGTCTCACTCTGTTGCCCAGGCTGGAGTGCAGTGGAGCGATCTCAGCTCACTGCAAGCTCTGCCTCCTGGGTTCAAGCAATTCTCCTGCCTCAGCCTCCCGAGTAACTGGGACTATGGGCACCTGCCACCACACCCGGCTAATTTTTTTGTATTTTTAGTAGAGACGGGGTTTCACCGTGTTAGCCAGGATGGTCTCAATCTCCTGACCTCATGATCCGCCTGCCATGACCTCCCAAAGTGCTGGGATTACAGGCATGAGCCACTGCACTTGGCCTCTTTTTCCTTTTATAGGAAGCAGAATCACCTGCTTTTGCTCATTCCCAAATATGATTTGGAAACAAGATAATGTTAGCTGATCTTTCTCTCCACTTGTTAGGTGTTGCAACACTTGTAGTTCTGTCACCCTCTGATCCTTGGAGGACTGAAGAACTTTAGCAGAGAGGGAGAGTAAGAGTCCATGATAAAATAAAAATAAAGAGAAGAAGATGGGAGAAAAGCAACCTAGACCATCTACAACAGAACTTACAGAAAAAAGACAAGAAAGGGACAATTTATTTTTACAAAATAGTTAATATTTTCTCTTTTGGCAAGCATAATGAATTTTTATTTTGCATTTTTATTTGGATAATTTTCGATTTCCCAAATACTTTAGATAGTCTTAATTTTTGTTATCTGTGTACTTTCTCCTCAACATGCTCAGAGATACTTTCTTAACTTATAAAAAGAAATTAGTCCTCATTTTTAGATGAAAGCTCAGTTTAAAGAAGTCAGAGCCCCCATAGACAGAAACAGAGCCCGTTCTTGCTGGGTTGGAGTTACATGGAGCCCCCCAGCAACACCCTTCTCATGTGAAAGCACAAAGGCAGTGACTCATGTGGTGCATTTGAAAGATTCAGAATGCCCCTTCGCTGCAGAATATCACCCTTACTGTTCCCAGGGCTGCAGTAAAGTTCCTTCATTTAAGTCCTTTTTTAAAGGATAAAATCTGATAGCAAGTAAGAAAAACATTTACTTCCTTGAATTTGCTAATTATACCTCCAGACAACCACGATAAAGAAGCTAAATACATGTGTCATAGGATGGTTTCTTGTGACTGAAATGATGGAAGGAAAAGGAGAAGAGGAAGGCAGGTGAGGACTTTGCTATAAACGTTTATTGATTTCAAATGATCCCCTCCCTCTTTTCCTTCCTGCTCCCTAGCTCTCTTTATCTGTCCCTCCTTCTCCCATTTTCCTTTTCTTCTCCTTCTCCCTTTTTTTCTTCTTTCATTCTTCTCTTTCTTCCTTCAATTCTTCTTCAATATTCAGTGGAAAAGCCATTGCATGGGAATGAACACAATGGCCATTGACACAGGAGGATGAAGGAAGGCACAGCAGTCTGTTGGGGATGCAGGATATGAGTATGACAAGAAGGGCACCTGTGGAAAGTTGGGGTGCAGGGTGTGGTAATGAAGGTGGCCAATCAGAAGTGGAAAGAAGAGAGCATCTGCAGGAAGGTGAGGACAGAGTAGCTTGGTCCACAGAAGGAGGAACAGCTAAAGCTAAATCAGGGTGGTTTGAGCCTGATTGTGGTAAGGGGGACATTTGAGAAAGAGGTTGCAGCAGGTGGTGAAGTGTAGGGGGCAGGTCAAAGCTAGGTGGGGGCAGCTGTAGTTAGGAGCTTGGGCAGAGTATCGAATGCTGAATTAAGGGTGGCATATCCCTTCCACTTTGGGAGCCAATAGTGGTCCCTAGCAAGTTGTCGAGATTGTGAGTAAGGACCAGAGGACACCTGTTGGGAGGTATATGACAGATCAATGGTAGATTGGTTACATCCAAAGACAATTCTTATAGTAAATTGATATTAGAAGTTAAACAGAAGCCAGTTTTTCACTGTTGGGAATAGATTAAAAATACAGAAATGGGGAAAGTTAGAAATGAATCTTTTGTAGTTGATTTAGAATTGGAGTTATTAATGTTAACTTATACCTTTCAATACATATTTAGGTAGGGATAATTAATGATGTAAATGGCTTATTGCTAAATTGTTTTTTTTTTAATTGTTGAACTGTGAGAGTTCTTCATACATTCCACATACGAGTCCTGTATCAGATGTATCTTTTTCAAATATCTTCTCCAAATTCTGTGGGCTATATTTTTCTTTCTTGATAATGTCCTTGAAAGCACAATGCTTTTAGTTTTGATAAATTCTCAGTGGCTCACACCTGTAATCCCAGCACTTTGGGAGGCCGAGGTGGGCAGATCGTGAGGTCAGGAGATTGAGACCGTCCTGGCTAACATGGTGAAACCCCGTCTCTACTAAAAGTACAAAAAATTAGCCAGGTGTGGTGGTGGGTGTCTGTAGTCCCAGCTACTCGGGAGGCTGAGGCAGGAGAATGGCATGAACCCGGGAGGTGGTGTCAGGCCTCTGAGCCCAAGCCAAGCCATCACATCCCCTGTGACTTGCACATATACATCCAGATGGCCTGAAGTAACTGAAGATCCACAAAAGAAGTAAAAATAGCCTTAACTGATGACAATCCACCATTGTGATTTGTTCCTGCCCCACCCTAACTGATCAATGTACTTTGTAATCTCCCCCACCCTTAAGAAGGTTCTTTGTAATTCTCCCCACCCTTGAGAATGTACTTTGTGAGATCCACCCCTGCCCGTAAAACATTGCTCTTAACTTCACCATCTATCTCAAAACCTATAAGAACTAATGATAATCCACCACCCTTTACTGACTCTCTTTTCGGACTCAGCCCGCCTGCACCCAGGTGAAATAAACAGCCATGTTGCTCACACAAAGCCTGTTTGGTGGTCTCTTCACACGGACGCACATGAAAGGTGGAGCTTGCAGTGAGCCAAGGAGCACCACTGCACTCCAGCCTGGGCGACAGAGACTCCATCTCACAAAAAAAAAAAAAAAAAAAAAAAAAAAAAGATAAATTCTCATATATATCAACTTTTCTCTTTTGTCACTTGTGGTTTTGGTGTCATCTTGAAGAGACCATCACCTAACCCAAGGTTACAGAAATTTATGCCTATTTTTTCTTCTAAGGAGTATTATAGTTGTTGGCTTTTATACTTAGCTCTATAATATTTTTGAACTAATTTTTGTAGAAGGTATGAGGTAGGGATTCAACTTCATTCTTGTGTCAACTTCTTTGATGCGTCCACTAGAAATTATTAATTACAGGAGAACTGGATACAGGAGGTGGCAGGGAAGACTCAGTCAGTCCTCAGCTCCACCATCAATGACCCACAATAATACATAAATCGGTGGGAGTGGGCAAGGAGAAGAGATAGCATAACAGGCAGTGATAGCACAACCCCCAACCCCGCAAGCTACCTATAGTTGGGTAACAATTTTTCAATACTTTCTGATAATTTTTGCCTTATGATGAGAGCATTTAACTCATTAATATTTAATGTCAATGCTGATAAGACAGGATTTACATCTTCCATATTGTTAGTTGATTTCCATGTCTTAAGTCATTTTGTGTTGTTCCATTCTTTCCTTATTTCCTTCTTCATATTAAGAAGATATCTTCTGGTATGCTTTTTAAATTCTGTTTTTTAAAAAATTATATTTTTAGTTATTTTCTTAATGATTTCCTGAGAAAGGACAAACATATATTTATACTGTTTTATATGTACTTATATAGTTGCTTTCATCAGTGCTATTTATTTCTTTATGTAGTTTAGATTTACTATCTAATCTCTTTTTATTTCAGACTGAAGGACTCGTTTTCATACTTCTTATTGGGTAGGACTGCTTGCAGCAAATTCTCAGTTTTTGTTTTTCTGGTAATGTCTTATTTTCCATTCATTTTTGAAGGATAGCTTTGCTGGCTATGATTGACAGGATTTTGGGGTCTGCCCTTTCAATATGTCATCCCACTGTCTTTTGGCCTCCATCATTTGTGGGAAGAAATCAGTGGAAGAAGTTAAGGAATCTTATTGAGGATTCCTTGTATGTGATGAATCAGTTTTGCCTTGTTTCTTTCAAGATTGTCTCTTTGTCTTTCATCAGTTTGACTATGATGTGTCTAGGTATGGATTTGAATTCATCCAATTTGAATTCATTGAATGGATAGATTAATATTTTTCATCAAAGTTGGGATGTTTTTGGTCATTATTTCTTTAAATATTCTTTGTGTCCCTTGTTTGCTCTCTGTTTCCCTTCTGAAATTTCTATTTCTATTATGCATATTTTGGTAAAATTGATGGGGTTTCACAGCTCTCAAAAGGTCTTTTCATTTTTCTTCATTCTTTTTTTTCTGTACCTCCCACCAGACAATTTCAACTGACATATGTTCACTTTTGTTGATTCTTTGCTGGCTCACATATGTTGTTGAGACCCTTCAATGAATTTTCCATTTCCTTTATTGTACTTTTCAACTCAAGAATTTCTATTCAGTTCTTTTTTATATTTTGCCTTTTTATTGATATTCTCTTTTTCGTGAGACATTATGCTCATACATTCCTTTAATTCTTTAGGTGCAGTTTTTGGAACATGTACTATCTGATTTAAAGATTTTATTTATCAATTTCAGAAGCTGGACTTCTTCAAGTTAGTTTCTATTATCTGTTTTTTAAAACTCATTTATGGACTATAGTTTCCTGGGGTTTTTTCGCCAGTCACATACAAGTTTTTATCATGTTAAAAGCTGAACATTTTTAATATTATAAAATGATAACACTAGAAATCGAATTTTTCTCCCTACCCAAGGTTGTCTGTTGTTGCTGCTTGTTTGTTTAGTCATTTTCCAGGACTAATTCTATAAAGTCTGTATTCCTTGTCATGTGCAGCCCCTGAGGTCTCTGCTCAGCATAGAGGTCAGATAATTTTATTAGATAGAATTTTTCCAAATGCCTTGAACCAATCTGTTTACTACCCATTGCTGAGGCACCAATATGCTGACAGTGTGTTTGAACACATTTTCATCTTTATCAGTTTTCAATTTTATCTTGATTTTTACTTTCTACTTGTTCAGAGCCTCAAGATCAGCCAGAGGTGGGAGATTAATGCACATGATTTCCTGGGCACCTGTGCATGGGCTTTGAGATTTCCAGGAATACAGAGAATCTTTGTCCAGCCTCTTTGCCCAGTTGGCATCACTGCATTAGGCAGCTGCAATGTTAAGCAATTGCTGATGGATTTTTTTTTTAAACAAATTCCCTCAGATAAAACTTTTCTCACTGAACAAGCTCAGGTCAAGTATAGACCAACTCCATGAATGCAACCTTTGCAAAAAGCGTGAAAATAGTGTTGATTTTCTGGAGATAGGGCTTTTGGGAGCTTCAAGCTCATTCTAACTCGCACTCACCCTGTTACTGTTATTTTTCCTAGCTACCATGATTGTGAGGATTCTGGTTTTTAGGGCTTTCATGGAATTAGGAAAAGAGGAATAGAGCAAGTGCAAACCTCACAGAGCTCATTGTTATTTATAACATTAAGCTGTTTTTCTTGAATAAAGCTGCTCATAGTGTTGCAAACATTTGGATAATTTCCACAGCTCCCAAATACTTGATTTTGATAAAGTTTTATAGTGACCTTTTTGCTTTTATGCAGTGGATTTTTGGAGTTCCTTGTATGTCTACCAACTCTTTAGTTCCTTGTATTTATCGCTTTTCATTGACCATATTCAGCTCACTTAATCGAATAAGCATAGCTGCTTCATTAATTAGGGTTCAGTGGTTCTTGGAATCTATACATATTTCCACTGTGATGCCATAATAGCTTTAGTTTCTTATTTTTTACGTTATTCATTGAGCTCATACCAACTATCCTTACCTTTCCTAGTAATATCCAAAAATGGCATGGTCTTCTTGGGAACAAGACAAACTCCCAGTTGTCTTAAATTCACCTTTATTTTGACTTCTCTATTAGCAGTTACATTTTGTTATGTAAGCTGCATTTCATATATATGCTTGACAATTCACACTGCAGGGAGAGCTTCATTATTTTTCCATTTCCATAGAAATGGCCATCACCACTAATTTACAAAGGAAAATACTCTCCAGCCTTATTTATTATTGACAGTGGTTAATCAGGAGTAAACTAATTTTTGAACCAGTAGCCAAAGGCTTATGTGACATCATAATCTTGAAGTAAAGTGCAAATAATGTAGTTTATAGTGTTTATTATAAACCAGTATGCTTTTTTGCCCCTTTTCCTTAAATTGACCATTATAGAAGTTGCAAACCTTCTTGCTATTTTTCAGTAGTTGCCTAAAATAAACATCCCCCATCCTTCTTGTTTTCCCTCTCTCTTTTGTCTCAGCATTCTTTGTTTACTTTCCCAATAATATTTTAACCTAAGAGTACTAAGTCACTAATTTCAATAGCTGCAGTGCTGCTTTATTCCACAAGAGGGCACTCAAATGGCTTTCTTTCTGTGATATTCTAATTTCCCACTTTTTTCATATTGTTTGTTTTCCACAGTGGACTTTGAGGACAGATCTATCCCAGAGTCCTCCACTAAAACCAAGAAGATACATATATACTTATAAATGTAGTTAATTTCTTGGAAACATTGAAGATTTATATGTTCTAGAAATCAGAAGGTGAAAAGGAAGAGATTGAGATAGACCAGTGTTTTATCCATGACAATTCCACCTGCTTTCTCAGGGAAGGCTTTGGACTGCTAGCAGACATGACTCCTGAAAAGAAGGCGAAGCACCTGGAATATCTCATATGCCTATTCGATCATTTCCAAACTAAATGAAGCAAGTAAAACTTTTAAAAAAACAAAGCTTAGGCCGGGAGTGGTGGCTCATACCTAATCCAGCATTTTGAGAGGCCAAGGCATGAGGATCACTTGAGACCAGGAGCTCGAGACCAGACTGGGCAACATGGTGAGATCCCCTCTCTATTAAAAATCATCATCATCATCATCATCATTAAACTAGAAAAAAATAAAACTGAAAAAAAAATTCAAATAGGTGAATGCTTGAGATGACTGTACAGAGATGATAAATAACAATACCTGAGTTTTGTCAGAATAACAGGTAGATAACATATTAAGAAAAGATTTGATTTGCTGGAATTAAGATGGCAGAAAAAAATGGACACATTGTTTTTATTATGTAAAATATTACAGTATACAGCTACTACTAGAAAGTAGATGAGCAAACCTTAATCCAACTAGAGATGATTAAAATAGTTTTGTTTTTCTATAAATGTAGCCTGATGTGAGGGGGTAAGAAATGGAGTAGGGAAGTGAGTATTGAAAGGATGAGACATGTACTCTTCAGTCATCTTAGAAACTCTATGTATTTTTCTGACTTTATGAGAATTTTCCTGGCCTGCCTGGTAAGAGAACAAACATTATAAATGTCAAATCAGGCAATATTCTAATTTGAAGATAACCAGGATTGATTATAGAAGAAGAATGCCTATTTTTTTTTTTTAGCGAATATTGCAGAGTAGAAGTAAACTCTGGCACAGAATTGCCTTCGTAGCTTTTATATTACACCCAAAGAATTTTGGTGGAAGCCACTATCCCTTAATTTTGAATGGATTCTGATAATACCAGAATCTATGACTATTTGATAACTCTCTAACTACTAGGAGCAAAGAGCTATATCATCATCTTGCAAGATTATCCTGCAAAGCAAATGTAATATTAAAATTTTGCTTATTAGATGTAATTTTGGGTGTCTTTTCCTTTCATTTTATGCCTTTATCTTGGTCCATAACGATTGGATGGTAGCTTTCTAAAACAGCTATTTTAATCACTATCATTGATGCTTCTTGAGCAACCAGCTAGTATGTTAATAAAGAAGATCATTTTCCTAAATAGAGCCAATGAGTGAAAGGTGAAAATTATCTATGGCTGAGTGAGTTAGAAATCACTATCATTTGATAGATTGCCTTTGGACATTTTGTTTTTGTAAGTCTTTTTGAAAAATGTAATATCACTTTGGGGCAATGGAATTGATAGTTTTAATAAAACTATTAAAGACTACTTATGTCTTTATATACATTTCTAAACGGAAAAATAAGAAACATTTAACTGCTTTGTGAATAATATTGACTTATAGTTTTTTGAATATGTAGGAAAAAAGTGAAGAAAGAGTACATATTTGTTTTACCACATATTTTTTTTACTGAGCATCCGAAAGACCTGTTCCACATCTGTTATTTTTCAGTCATCTGTGCTTCCCATTTGAGTTTTCCTAGCAGCATCTGGAGGGGTAGGGAGAATCAAAGTGGTCTCCTTGGTAGCTGATCATCCTGCTATTGCAGGTTGGCAAATTCTCTGCATCAAGCCAAAACACAAAAACCAATTATGAAGTCTGCAGATATTTTATGTCCAGCTGTTTGAAACACATATGGCATTTATTCTATTCAGGGTACTGCTTAATTCATAGTGTGACACGTGGTTTGTTTGACAAATATCTAGACCTAGACCATATTTTCAAGTCTCTACATCTTTGGAGGCATTTTTAAAATACATTCACCATTTCTGAAATTAATTAACAAAAGAGCAAAATAGCCCCAAAGACATCTATGTCTGTGTGTATGGGTATGTATGTGTATGTGTATGTGTATGTGTATGTGTATGTGTGTGTCTGAAGTAATTAGAATTTAGTAAAAACATTATTCCACCATTACTTTGTGTTTCTTTTTAATGCCTTATATCCTTCCCTCAAAAAAATTTATGAATGCCACTCAAGAGTAAGTGGAGTTTTAATATTATCTCATTGCCTGCAAGGTCCAGTATAACTTAAGAGAGAGGAAATTAATCTTTGAGGTTAAGTTTACTTACCATTTGATGTCAGTGTTGTGCTATAAGAACAAAATTAATAGGGGTAGGAGGGTGTTGCTGAGGGCTATGGGAATAAGCTACTAGGGAACAAGGTTAATTTTAATGTGAAAGGTCATCAGCTTTGGATAACTCATCAAAATCTAAAAACACAGGTTTTCTAGTACGGCAGTTCTTTTATACGAAGTCAACCATCATATCCAACTACCTCTCATTTAAATTCAGAACTTGACACTTGTCAAACACAAGATGATCTTTCTTTTTTCTTTTTACTTTTCAAATGAAAGAAGCTGTGTTAAGGTGCTTGCTAATCTTAGAGATCTAAAGTGCCTCCCATCATTTTAAATGAAAACATATGCATACTCAATTTCCAGATGAAGAAAATCAATTTAGCCATGCATAATGAACGAAACCCTGTCCCTCCATTTAATTTCTCAGTTGTTTGTGTTTACAGGCAGCCTTTCTTTTCAAGGGCAAATTTAATAAGGACAGTTTAGGAGGTTATAGGAAAGTGGTGTGTGAAATGAAACATGTGAAGTGATTTCAATCTAGATCTATACTTACCTGGGTCTGGGATTACCAGAGGTACCAAAGGGCGCCCCTCTTACAAAACACACATAGGCATTTGGTTTCCAGTGCTCTAGCCATAACTTTTTATTAAGAATGCATACCACGTATTTGCTTATTACATGGTTAAGTAGCCACCTTATTCTTCAATTACACAAAATTCACCACTGAAAAGAAACTGTTTGAAAGAATGTGTTTGAAAGAATGAATATCTTTAGACTGGATACCTGCACTAGCTTGGATATTGAAGTGTATGTAAACTTTCAGTTGAATCAAGATAGAGGCATATGTCAGAGCTGAAAGAACTTTGTTGTTTATTATAGTTGGTTTAGATCTCTTATATGCATTTACATGAGAACTCCAGAGTGTCTTAGGAAAGTATAGAAATTAGACCGTAGATGCAGGAAAATCCCTCACTCAATTAAGGACTCAAATATAATCAATACTAATGTACTAGCGATAAATACAAAGTGTAGGAAAACACTCTTTCCATAGCATTTCATTCTCCACTTGCTGCAAATCAAATTACAGACATATGCATCTAATACTAAACTACTTTTGTAAAGTGCTTTCCTCTTTGACACACTATCTAGAGTTTCTTAAAGTGACAGTTTAACTGTTTTGAAATATATATATTTTTGCTGCCACTTTCAACTCACTAAGCTATCAAAACGCATCTTTCTCACCCATGTTTGCTATGACACACTGGAATATTAACTCCAAGAGGAATATCAATAAATTCCTCCTCCAGAATAGCAAGTATTAAAAGGCTCAACTGTGGAGGAGTGAAAAATCCGTACAGGCAAGTCCATAACAGTAAGATCTTATACTTGAAGAGTCAGAGGCAATTGAAACCAGAGTGACTCCATCTTGAATAGCAGCTGGGTAAAATAAGGCTAAGACCTACTGGGTTGCATTCCCAGGAGGTTAGTATTCTAAGTCACAAAATAAAATAGGAGGCTGGCACAAGATTCAGGTCATAAGGACCTTGATGATAAAACAGGATGCAGCAAAGAAGCTGGCCAAAACCCACCAAAACCAAGATGGCAATGAAAGTGACCTCTAGTCATCCTCACTGCTCATTATATGCTAATCATAATACATTAGCATGCTAAAAAACACCCTCCCCAGTGCCATGACAATTTGCAAATGCCACGGCAACATTGGAAAGTTACCCTATATGGTCTAAAAAGGGGAGGAACCTTCATTTGTTGGAATTGCCACTCCTTTCCTGGAATACTCAGGAATAATCCACCCCTTCTTTAGTATATAATCAAGAAATAACTGTAAAAATAGCCAACCAGCCACCCTAGGGGCTGCTCTGCCTATGGAGTAGCCATTTTTTAAATTTCTTTACTTTCTTAATAAACCTGCTTTCACTTCACTCTGTGGACTTGCCCCAAATTCTCCCTTGTGTGAGATGCAAGAACCCCATCTTAGAGTCTGGATCAGCACCCCCTTTCTGGTAACAGAAAGAAGAACCTATACTGTAAAGCCTAAAAATAAATAAATAGTATTTAAAATAAAAACCTATAGAATCAAGATTCGTTGTCAGGATTTGGCAACTTTTCTGAGGTTTTTAGATCCAAGATAAATTGCATAGGGTGAGGATTGTGGAGGGAAAAGTCAGAGAACAAAATCGAAAGTACTACTCTCAGACGTTAACATGCACACAAATCCCTGAGGATCTTGTTATAATGCAGGTTCTGATTGAGTTGGTCAAGGGTGGGATGGCCTGAGATTCTCTCTTTTTTTTTTTTTTTTTTTTTTTGAGATGGAGTCTTGCTCTGTTGCCCAGGCTGGAGTGCAGTGATGTGATCTTGGCTCACTGTAACCTCCGCCTCCCACGTTCAAGTGATTCTCCTGCCTCAGCCTCCCTAGTAGCTGGGACTACAGGTGCGCACCACCATGCCCAGCTAATTTTTGTATTTTTAGTAGAGACGGGGTTTCACCATGTTGGCCAGGCTAGCCTCAAACTCCTGACCTTGTGATCTGCCCGCCTTGGCCCCCGAAAGTGCTGGGATTACAGTAGTGAGCCACCATGCCCCGCGAGATTATGCATTTCTATTAAGCTCCCAGGTGCTGCTGATGCTATTAGTCTATAGACAACCCTTGGTAGCAAAAATCTAAGGTAAAGAATTTCTGAGTGTGGCAGGCCAGGTCTCACTAACGTGGGGCTCCATGACAACTGATTCAGCACTGAGTGGTTAAGTTAAATATTAAAAGCTGAAAGAGCCAGAGCGCTCATACAAAGGGTGGAATGTGACAAAAGCCCACCAAGAGTTTTGCCTAGGTCTTTTGTGGGTCTTGAAGCATGACAAGATAACAAAGGAATTCTTAACAGGACCCATTTAGGGTTAAACAAATTTTATTGAGAGTCTGAAGACACTCCCTAGGCCTCCACAAACAAGTTTATTGGGGGTCTGGAGGAACTCCCCAAAGCTCCATGATTTAACAGGAGACAAGATAAGGGTAATCACCCCAGCACCTGGACCCATTTAGATTAAGTACATTTATTGAGGCTCCGGAGGAAGGTCTTCAGGACTCAGATCTCAGTTATACATGGAAAGAAGTGAATCGCTTATGTCTTTAGATGAATGCACATTTACACATAGGCATATAGCTTAGAAGGTATATGAGCTCTGGAAAACATTGTAATTTTGAGTTGGTCTGGCGATATTTTCCAGGCCTTCTCTCTGTACCAGGTTACCGAAATAAAAACTCTCTTCTGCGGTTCATCTGCATCTCGTTATTGGGCCGTGAGAATAAGCAGCCCAACCCTCAGTTTGGTCTGGGAACAAGAGGACCGTGGAAGGTGTGGCTATGTCATAATCATCTGGGGACACATAAAAATACAGATGCCTGGACCCTATGCCACATGCTCCAATTAGCAGATCTTGATAAAGCTCTATTTTTCAAAAGAAAACATTTCCTAGAAGACTCTGATAGCAAACTAGGTCTGAGGACTAAATAAAGTGATATTTTCTCCATTTCACAGCTGGCAAATGAGATAATAGCTAACCTGTCTATAATTATAATGATGTTAATTAACCCTTGAAAATGCGGGATGGGAATAGAGGAGGATTAGTATTAATATAAATTCACATCTGGTATCCTCCATGCCTTTGAAATCTACCATCATAGCGCATGGTCTCGATGGAGAAAAGATTATACTATCAGAAGGGTAGTATTTTTTTTTCTTTTTAGAAATTGAATAATGTGAATAGAATGCAATATATTTTAGATACTCTAAGTTCATGTTCTCATTATATGCCCATATCGCCCCTGAGAGGTAAGCAGTGTTATGTTTTCATAGTTAAGAAACTAAAGGGAAGGAATATTAAGTCAATAGCACAAGGTCATTATGCCAAGGAGCAGGAGAATTAGAATAAAAACACAGGCCTCTCTACCATCAGTCTCATACTTGTGACCTGAGATCCTTGCAAGCTGCAAGATATGGGTAAGCCATAATTGTAGAAAATCTTAATCAATTTTTTGAAACTTTGGAAATTGTCCTTGTGTGCTATTTTTGACACTTCATGGTGTAATCTTTAGAAATCGTTCACATGTTGGCATAAATCTGAACATAAAATGATTAAAGAGAAATATATTCAGAGCTATCTCAACTTATCTGTGGTGGTGGTGACAATATTAGAGATGTTTCACAGGGATCATGTGGTGGCTGGATATCTTCATCCCCCCACTACAAAAGTCACGTATCTCTGCATTATTGAAGCATGGAAAAGATCAGTGTAGCAGAGAGTGGTCACAGTCATAAAGCAGGACATTTAAAACTAGACCATTCTCATGTCAACATGAGAATGCATTTTGAAGCATATACTGAAAGCATTTTGAAGCATATACTCAGAGAGCAATCCTCTGTATAAATCAGGTAAAAGAGTCTTGGTACCCAGAGCTCTTTTAACATTACCATGCATGTGGATTAATAATGTTTTGCAAATCTAAGTAAGAATCAAGGTTGTCTTGGGACACAGAAATGGAATCCATGGGCCAGATGTTCATCTAGTGAATAGCTCTCATAGTTCTTTGATTTGAGGTGAGAGGACAAAAAGAAGCTTTATTAATTAAGTGAGAGCTGCATAGAACAACAACCAACCAAAAGCAAAATCTTATTTTCCTTTTACTATCCCAGACGGCTTCCATCCTAAACGTAACTCAAAGTGGTATAATTTAGTGGACTTTGGAGCCAAAATGCTTGGCTTTGAGTCCCTGCTCTGCCCCTTCCTAACTGTGTGACCTGGAAAAATGACCTAGCCTCAGCTTCTGTATTCATAAAATGCAAATGAAGCAGTAGGCCGAATTTGGCTGTTGTAAGAATAGAATGAGTTAATATCTTGTAACATTCTGAGAATAGTGCCTGGCTCGCAGTAAGTAGCATTTGAATATTAGACATGATGAGTGTAAACTATGTGAAGATCCTAGGCGCTGTGGAGTACATAAAGATTGTCCCTACCCCAAGGGATATTTAGAATTTTTAAAAAATAACTGATATTCTCTCTCTAGCATCTATATCATGATTTACAAAGCTGAAAGTCACTTTCTTTTTGGAAATGAGTGTTTAGAAAATAATAATATAGTGAGCATGAGCATTTGGTGGCAAAAGAGTTCAATATCCTGTTATCTGGCTATCTGCTGTGGTTTAAAAAAAAAGCAGGGAGATGGGAAAGGATGGGGGCAGACTCAGAATCATGTTTTGGAAAAGCTCTGAGTCCTACCAAGTTGCCAAGAAAATAATTTAGCACAGAAGTGAATTATTCAACCCTGATGTATTATTGGTCCTTGTTGTCAGGGCTAATGCAATGTTTCTATCTAATTTGTTTAGCACAGGCATTTTTGCCTTAATGCATGCCTGCCCTGTAGACTAGTGTAACAGTCATCTCCCCCACAAACAGCCTGAAAAGAATTTAAGTGAATTTTACATTGACCTCTTCCTAGTGGCCTTGTAAAGTCTCAAGAGTCTTACTGGAGAATAGAAATACAGATAGTTGTCCACTTCCATGGACTTGTGGAGAGCAATTACCTACTGCCTTTGGAAATATCTTTTAATATTAAATGTTTTCTCAAAATCAGTATTGTTATTAGAAATCCCAGAAATACTTCCCTAAACTATTATGACTTACAGCCACTTCATTATAAAAATCATGACCCTCTAATATGTACTGACCAGACAACATCCTTCCCCATATCTAAGACACAAAGATCTCCGCTATAGAGTTCATCAATGTATGGGGGATGACCTGCAAAAACAGGGGAAAATGGTAACTTTAAAAGTTATTTAAAATTAACCAGCATTGTTATTAAGTATAAAGCACCATGCTCTGATGTTTTACATATGATGGTGAATAATGAATAATACTGTAATCTAAGTTTTAAGAAGTTTAACCTAGTTTGTGAATTTAGATATCCAAAGTTTAGATTTTTCACAATAGAAATGTTAAATCAGTGGCATTCAAATATTTTTCTTCCTTAGAACTATTTCTCAAATAAGATCTTCAGAGAAAGCCTAATAAGTAAAAGAGATACATTTACAGTGGTTCTGATTGGAGCAGTAGGGGGTGAAACTCTGTCTGATTTCCACCTGCCAACATCCTTCATTTGAAAAACCTCCAAAAAGCACAGTTTGAAAACCACTGATTTCATTAACAATTCAAGACATCACAGAAGAAATGCTGTGATACTCTAGAGAATTTCAGAAAACACTGCAGATTGCCTTCCTAGCATCCTCTCTGCCATCTTCCACCTTTCTAACAGTGCCTGGTCTTCAGGTCCTTCCTCCTCCAGGTGGTCATGGGTCTCAGGAGAGGCTGCTTTGTCTCCAGAACAGATAAGTGAGTCCTGATTGGACTAAACCATAGATTCTCAAACTCTTTGTCCTAAGACTCCTTGCCACTCACAAAAACTGAGGACTCCCCAAACAGCTTTTAGATTATATCTAATATTTAACATATTTGAAACGAAAACAGAAATGTTGAAAATATTCATTAAACATTTAATAACAAAAATAAGGCCATTATTACATTAACATAAATAACATTTTATAAAAACTGACATATTTTCCAAAACAAATACAATTAGTTTAAAAAGTGGCATTGTTTTCTCTTCCTTTTAATTTTCATTTTAAGTTCAGTAGTACTTGCTCAGGTTTGTTAGGCAAACTTGTGTCATGGGTGTGTGTTATACAGATTATTTCATAACCCAGGTATTAAGCCTAGTACCCGTTAGTTATTTTTCCAGATCCTCTCTCTCTAACTACCTTCCACCCTTCAATAGAACCCAGTGGGTATTGTTTCCTCTATGTGTCCATGTGTTCTCATCATTAAGCTCCCACTTATAAGTGAGAACATGTGGTATTTGGTTTTTTGGTTTCTGTGTTAGTTTGCTGAGGATAATGGCCTCTAGTTCCTTCCATGTCTCTGCAAAGGATGTGACCTCATTCTTATTTATGGCTACATAGTATTCCATGTTGTACATGTACCACATTTTCTTTAGCCAGTCTATTATTGATGAGCATTTAATTCCACATCTTTACTATTGTAAATAGTGTTGTGATGAATAGACATGAGCATGTGTCTTTATAACAGAATGATTTATATTCCCTTGGGTATATACCCAGCAATGGGATCACTGAGTTGAATGGTATTTCTGTTGTTAGGTCTTTGATGAATCACCACAGTGACTTCCACAATGGTTGAACTAATTTACACTCCCACCAACAGTGTAGTAGTGTTCCTTTTTCTTTACAACCTCACTAGCATCTGTTATTTTTTGACTTTTCAATAACGGCCATTGTGACTGGTGTGAGAGGGTGTCTCATTGTGGTTTTGATTTGCATTTCTCTAACGATCAGTGATGTTGAGCTGTTTTTTTCACGTTTGTTGGTCACACGCATGTCTTCTTTTGAAAAGTGTCTGTTCATGTGCTTTGCCCACTAAAAAAGTGGCATTGTTTTCTATTTTTGCAAATCTCTTTAGTGGCAGCCTTAATAGAGGATAGCTAGATTCTTGTATCTACCTTGCATTCAATCTGCTGTATTGTGTAGTTTGGGTTGAAGAATATGAAAAGAAACCCCTCAACTGTGGCCTATACAGTTATGTTATTGGAAAGGGAGAAACAGTTCAATAGCTTTTTAATATAATTATAGTATTCTTGGCCAGGTAAGTGGCTTACGCCTGTAATCCTGTAATCCCAGCACTTTGAGAGGCCAAGGTGGGGGATTACGAGGTCAGGAGTTCGAGACCAGCCTGACCAACATAGTGAAACCCCGTCTCTACCAAAAATACAAAAATTTGCCAGGCATGGTGGTGGGCACCTATACGCCCAGCTACTTGGGAGGCTGAGACAGGGAAATGGCATGAACCCTGGAGGTGGAGGTTGCAGTGAGCTAAGTCGCGCCACTGCACTCTAGCCTGGGTGACAGAGCGAGACTCAATCTCAAAAAAAAAAAAAAAATTATAGTATTCTTATCTGACAGAACACCAAAATTTAACCAGTGACCATTTCCTAACAATAGTGTTGTGAAAGCCACAAACATCTCGATGAACATTTCAGTCTTGGTTACATTAAAATCTCTTGCACTGTATTGGATATTTTACCTGTTCATAATTTTATAACAATAGGCATTCATCATTTGGAAAATACTGGCTCAATGAGTGACATAGATCTTCCAAATGTTGACATATTTCATTTACAATGTGAAAAGAAATCACATTCATTAATGTCATCATCAATCTCATCAGAAAAGTCTGTTAGTATTGGGAAGCTGTCCAGCTCATGGTGGCAGAAGAAAAGCTTTCCCAAATTCAAATTTTTACTTGAAAGCTCATATTTTATCATTGTCAAAAATAATGTCAGTTGTTTTCCTCAAAGTCATGGGCTCAATTCGTTCATTTGTGAGAAAATATGTGCCAAATACTTAAGTTTGAATCACATAATTTGTCCATCAGTTTTTCATTCAAGGAAAAATAATGGTCTAGGAAAATAGTAGATGATTCAGCTTCTAACTGAAAGAATTGCAGAAGGGCTTTCCTAAACAGAATCACCATTCCTGGGTGTGCAACAGAAGTGTTTTGTTATACATTTTCTATTTTTTCACATAAAATAATAAAAAGACAGAATCAAGGGACAAAGTTTAATAAATTAATAATTTTTAGTGCTTTATCAGGTCTTTTCTAGTAAAGCAACCTTTTAAATTATTTGCCTAATTTAATTAAAAAAAACACGTGGTAGTGAAGAACACAGTGACTGCTTATGCAATTTGGTGTCGTTTTATTGGTGTGAAGCATTTTACTCACCATTGCCTTTTCACTATCGCTGGAAATCTCAACAAAGCAAAAAGGGCAAATAACATCATGGGATTATTAGAATAATAGTTTTCATTTTGCCAAGACCCCGAATGGTTTTGAGGACACCCAGGTATCTGCAGACCCCACACTGTGAACTTCTGGTGTAAGGTAATTGTGAATATCCCATTCATAGGCCAGTCAGTAAATGGTGTAAGATTCAACTCTGGCCAGTGAGATATAAAGGACATATGCTATGAATTTTCTGGGAAAGATGGCCTTGCTCATAGAAAGACATTGGCTGAGGTAGACTTCTTCTTTTGGATTTGTCCATTACCTGTACCTTGAACTGTGGCAGCCACCCTCTACATAGATAAACTAGTCTGTGATGAAGTCACCATGAAGAGAATGGCATGTTTGTATTTATTTTTAGTTAGGTCTTTTCCCAGGCCCAGTATCTGTGATTTGCTGTACATAACAGCTGGGGCTCTATTGTTTCTTGAGAGAAGCAATTTCAAAAAGCTTAAGATGCAGCAAGAAACTTGATCCTTGATGGTGTATGAAGCCACTGAAATAAATAACCTCAGGGCCATTATAACTTAAATTGTTTTGCTTTGGGATTTAGTAAATTTCCTTTTTGGTTTTCTTATTGCTTATAATCAAAACCATCCCATCTGGTACTGAGGGATACATTCTTATTTTCCATTTGGCTGCAGCCACATTATTAGGGAAGAAAAGCTAGTCTACTAACTACCAAAGGAAAAATCTCAGGGTTTATATAAACTTTAAAATCAATATCATGTAAGAAAAGAAATAAATGATGATAGCTACAATATTTTGAACTTTTTTATTTTTAATTTTTGTGGGTACATAGTAGGTATATATACTTATGGGATACCTGAGATGCAATGTGGAATAATCACATTATGGAGAATGGGATATCCATCTTGCTTAGCATTTATCCTTTGTGTTACAAGAAATCCAATATATTTTGAACTTTAAAATGGAGCTTGTTTGAGCAGATGGCTCCATCTAACAATACCCAGCTGACTAGAGACTCCTTGGAGGGCACTGCATTAGTCCATTCTCACACTGCTAATAAAAACATACCTGAGACTGGGTAATTTATAAAGGAAAAAGGTTTAATTGACTTACAGTTCAGCATGGCAGGGGAGGCCTCAGGAAACTTACAATCATGGTGGAAGGGGAAGCAAACACATCCTTCTTCACATGGTGGCAGCAAGGAGAAGTGCAGAGTGAAGGCTGGGGGAGGGAGAAGCCCCTTATAAAACCATCAGATCTTGTGAGAACTTGCTCCCTCTCACAAGAACAGCATGGAGGTAACTGCCCTCATGATTCAATTACCTTCCTCCAGGGCCCTCCCACCACTCGTGGGAATTACGGGAACTACAATTCAAGATAAGATTTGAGTGGAGACATAGCCAAACCATGTTAAGCACCATGTTGTGTCCAGTGAAAAAATTAATTATGCCACAAGAAAAATCAGACCAAAAAGGAAAAAAATACGAAGTTTAATTAATCTAAGTCATAGTTATTAAGGTTCTCCCCTTCTTGAACATATTAAACAATTTTCTATGAAGCAGTTTTCTTATAAAGTAAGTGCAGTCACTTCATGTGGTATTTTGTTGTTGTTGTTGTTGTTAACCACAGATTAAAACTGGAAGAGGCCATGTGACATTTGATTTCCAGTCAAACTGTGAAAGAAAACAAATATGTGAATGCTAAAATGTGTTTTGGGTGAAAATATCATTTGAGCAAAAATATTGTAGATTGTAACTTCCAACATGTCTGTCATTATTCATTAATTTATTCCAAATTTTCTAATACCTGGGAAGCAAAGTAATATCTTGAATTATAAAATAGGCAAAACGAATGACATTTAGAATCATCACTTTAGTATATTGATCCCATCCCTCATGAAAAGAAAAAGTGGGCCAGGCTGGTGGCTCACGCCTGTAATCCCAGCACTTTTGGGAGGCCGAGGCAGGCGAATCACGAGGTCAGGAGTTCAAGACCAGCATGGCCAACATGGTGAAACCCCATCTCTACTAAAAATACAAAAATTAGCCGGGCTTGATAGGGGGCGCCTGTAATCCCAGCTACTAAGAGGCTGAGGGAGGAGAATCGCTTGAACTCCGGAGGCGGAGGTTGCGGTGAGCTGAGATCACGCCACTGCACTCCAGCCTGAGTGACAAAGGAAGATCTTATCACCAAAAAAAAAAATTGTCTCTTGTCCCCCCTAACCACTGCTTACATTAATACAAGATGATGCCTTAAGCCTAAGAACAAAATTATGACTAACGGCTGGGCGCAGTTGTTCATGCCTGTAATCCCAGCACTTTGGGAGGCTGAGGTGGGTGGATCACTTAAGGTCAGGAGTTCGACACCAGCCTGGCCAACATAGTGAAATCCCATCTCTACTCAAAATACAAAAATTAGCTGGGCATGATGGCACACACCTGTAATCTCAGCTACTCAGGAGGCTGAGGCAGGAGAATCACTTGAACTCGGGAGGCAGAGGTTGCAGTGAGCCGAGGTCATGCCACTGCACTCCAGCATGGGTGACAGAGCAAGACTCCATCTTAAAAAAAAAAAAAAAAAGAAAAGGAAAAGTATTCAGCAAACCATACCATTGAGTTGATGAGCTTCCTTCTTTTATGTTTTCTAGAAGCCAAATTACTGTTTGAAAATAATCGTAACATTCAACTTTGTTATTAAAACATGGCTCATTAAATGTCGTTGCCAATCACCTAGAGAGATAATATCTGAATCACCTTTGAAAATACTTTGTAACTACAGGGTTCTAAAAAAATTTCATTTTTTGTTGCCCATATATTTTTTTAACTGTATTATATTGAATAGGCATATTCCATGAGAATAACTACAAAATTATGGAATTACACTTTTAAAACCTAAGAATACATATTTTATTTATTTATTTATTGTTAGTTTAGGTTTGGAGGTACTTGTGAAAGTTTGTTACATAGGTAAATGTGTGTCATGGGGGTTTGTTGTACAGATTATTTCATCACCCAGGTATTAAGCCCAGTACTCAAGAGGCCTCTTTTCTGCTCCTCTCCTTCCTCCCACCCTCCCTCTCAAGTGCACCCCAGTTTCCTTGTTTGTGTTCGTAAGTTCTTATCATTTGGCTCCTACTCATAAGTGAGAACATGTGGTATCTGGTTTCCTGTTCCTGTGTTGACTTGCTAAGGATAATGACCTCCAGCTCCATTCACATTCCTGCAGAAGCCATGATCTTGTTTTTTTTTAATGGCTGCATAGTAAAGAATACATTTTTAATTCAGTATGTTTGAAAAAATTAGTTATTCCTGTACTTAATATATATATATATACTAAGACTAATGCCTTCTAAGCTTAATACTATATTTCTTCTTATGTATAATTATACATTTTTTGTTTTATTATTTTTTTCATCTATAAAATGAGTGAATTGTTCCAGCTTAATAATCTTTTGTACTTCACTAGTAAGCTAGTTGAAAGCTAATTTTCATTCCCAGATACGGATTTTCCTACAAAAATCTAACAAATTAGTCTGTATTAAGATAAAATTAGGTGATCAAAGTGTGAGAGTGTTATCTACACAAGACATCTGATGAGCACAGCCACATGTAATTCTTCATATTAGCCTAATCCTTTCTAGGGAGATTAACCAGTACTTAGAAAGTGTTAAGCTCCAAACTCACCTCTTAATGTTCTGAAAGCAAGAGAAGTAAGCTAAAATTTATACAGAATTTACCACGTGTAAGGAGCTCTTCATAGTCTACCTAATTGATTCCCCAGAATTACCCTAGAAGGATAGTGTAGTTTCTGACAGAAACTGTTTGATGTAGGCCACAGTAAAGGTCACCGAAGAAAAAAAGTCTGATGCTTTAAGTATAGAAGAGTAAAATAATTTTGAAAATAGCCAGGATGGGGGAACTGAAGGATCACAGAGGCTCAGCAGAGACTGCTCTGTCTTCTGGTCCACCAAAATTGTCCTGTTTACTTCTGTTTTGTCCTTAAAATAATCTGTTTTATAAGATAACATTCTTTTAATGTCCTCAACGTTAAAACAAAACATCTCCTCCGCCCCCCAAAAAGTTCTTTTTATTTTTTATTTTGATCAGAGAAAAGCCCCAAATGACATTAATAACCCACGAATAATCGTTCTCCATGGCTAGAACATGTTAAAAGCCTTTGATCCTCTTTCAAAGGAACAAAACACAATCCCACTAAAAGTGTCATGTGGCTGTTTTGCTCTTGCATACAGCAAGGAAATGAACCTCAGTGTTGTGCAAGCAAGTTTTGCCTGAAATTAATTTTGAGCTTAACTATCTATTTAGGCTGTAACAGAAATGGGTCTGGAGTAAACAAGGAAAAGCCACTTGAATTACATCTCGGCCTCTGAAGATTCTAATTTGCTTGGTTGCAAGTCTCATCCCTCCTTTCCGGGAGATGATAGCTGCAATGCTGCACACAGGGCAAATGGAGATCTAGAACGAGTTGACAGCGCTATTTGAAAACTCACTTCTTATATTTAATTCCTGGTTTTTGTTCTATTTTCTTTTCTTTTTTTTTTCTTTTTTTTTTTTTTGAGACAGTGTCTGACTGTCGCCCAGGCTGGAGTGTGGTGGTGCAATCTTGGCTCACTGCAAGCTCTGCCTCCCAGGTTCACGCCATTCTCCTTCCTCAGCCTCCTGTGTAGCTGGGACTACAGGCGCCCACCACCACGCCCGGCTAATTTTTTGTATTTTTAGTAGAGACAGGGTTTCACCGGGTTAGCCAGGATGGTCTTGATCTCCTGACCTCGTGATCCGCCCGTCTCAGCCTCCCAAAGTGCTGAGATTACAGGCGTGAGCCACCGCGCCCGGCCTTTTTGTTCTATTTTCAAAATGAGGTCACTTCTTCAAAAAGAGTCTAAAAGTAACAGCTGTCATGTTATACAAACTTTCTTTTTATCTTCCTTCCTTTTTACTTTGACATCTTCCCCTCTTCATGCCAGTGTGGTTCTCTATTAATTCTGCCAATCATTAACCTAGTCTCTCAGCTCTTCTTCACAGTATTGGCACAGTTTATCTTTCAATCATGTCAATGAACAAATATATTTCACTACAGGAAGATGTTTGGCTATTTCAATGTGGTAATGAAAGCAAATGCAACGTGGCTCCTCCTTTATTCCAGCCTTGCCAGTGAGTATGGTTCCTCTGCCACACAGTCTTCATGGGAGGGCTACTCTTCACCTACTGTTGTTGAATAAACCCTGTGTTCTCTCACTTCTAAGCCAGAAGGCCTTTTTTGTATATCTACCTGTCCTGCAAAGATCAATTCAAATTCTGCCTCTGCCGAGAAACTTCATCCCAACCAACCCAAGGGCGCATGAATCTCTCTTTCCCATAATAATATGCTACTTTGTTTATCTCTCTGATTTAGTATTTATCACAGTCTTCCTTGAGACTGAGTTATTTATGAGAGCTTCTCTCTTGGTGAAGTATAAGAGGTCAAGGACCATGTATAATTTATACAGTCAAACCCCCAAATGCTCAGCATAATCCTCTGCACATAGTATCCACAAACAAGTGTGTGTTGAAACAAACTGCATTGAATTTAGAATACTTTTAAATTTGAATTACTCTTACATTCAACCTCAAGAACAAGGTAAATAATTTAAAAAGCTAAATATACTTTTGACTTCTTTTGTAGTAATTTTGGATATCACATTCTCAAAATCGCTTGTCAAAGCGTTAGGGTCAAAATAAATTTTGGGACCTCACTCTTTCTCATCTAGCTAGTTTCATTTGTTCATTTGTTCTTCTAGCTAGTTTCCATCCACTCTAATGAAAGGGGGTAGAATCTTATTTTTCCCCAAATTTTCCTCAGATGGCTCATTTATTAATAACTCAATATTCTAAGTGCGGCCTGTGAAGCAACAGCAACAACACCACCTAGGAACTTGTTAGAAATGCAAAATCTTAGGCCAAATCAAGACCTACTGAACCAGAATCTACATTTTATCAAGATACCCAGGTGGCTTTCATATGTAAGTTTGAAGGCCGGGTGCGGTGGTTCATGCTTGTAATCCCAGCACTTTGGGAGGCCAAGGCAAGTGAACCACCTGAGTTCGGGAGTTCAAGACCAGCCTGACCAACATGAAGAAACCCCGACTCTACTAAAAATACAAAATTAGCTGGGCGTGGTGGCACATGCCTGTAATCCCAGCTATTCAGGAGGCTGAGTCAGGAGAATCACTTGAACCCGGGAGGTGGAGGTTGTGGTGAGGCTAGATTGAGCCACTGCACTCCAGCCTGGGGAACGAGAGTGAAACTCTGTCTCAAAAATAAAAATAAAATAAAATAAAATAAAATAAAATAAAATAAAATAAAATAAAAAGAGGTTTGAGAAGCACTGCTATCATATCATGTATGTATTTCCTAAGGCACCCCTCCACCCCCTCCCCACCCAACGCCAATCATGTGTGCCACACACACACAATTGCCTGAAGCAATTGCTGGTTTCTAGAAAATTAAGAGTTAGTAAACAATTCTGATTTTGGTTTTAATTAGAAGAGCTACACTTGGGTGGGGACTGGAGGATGCCTTCTTTATTCAATCTTATTCTCTTACTTTTGTGTTTTGACTATTTTTATCATTTTAAAAGCTCAGTACAAGGTTAAGTAAAACATTATTTTCTATCTGTGAAACAAGAATAACTAGATATTTAAAGCTATACATTTAGGCTTTCTGTTCTTCAAGGGTTATTTCTTCTTTTCTAGGCTTCATGCTTATGATTTTCATAGCTTTGTTAAAATAAATGGTCCTGTTGTCTTGTATCTCAGTAGTAAAAACAGGATAAACTTACACTTCCTATTACAGAAAATAAAATATTCACTGACTACCAACTATGTATCAAGAATTCAACTCTGTATTTTTCTCATAATCAGGTAGACTTCATTTTTTCCCCCGAATATACAGGCAAAGGAAATGAGACCCAGATGGACTGAGCAATTTGCTCAAGATCATATTTGAACTCATCCATTTGACCTCTCAATTTCTGTCCTTTCTAACACATTCATTTGCCCAACTCACATCTACTTATTGGGCATCTAGAATTTTCCAGGCACTGTGTTAGGAGTAAGACACATATAGATTTTTGCCTTCATGGGGCCTACATTATACTAGGATAATTTGAGAAAAATAAATAAAAAGCAAAAATGAGTTAGTTACGGCATTTATGATAAGTGCTTTGAAGAAGAGTTTTAGAATGCAATGAAACTGTACAACATGGGACTTAATTTGAGAAGCAGAGAAGACTTTCCTGAAATGATGAATAGTAATGAACCAAGTAAGATGGCTAAGTAAGTGAGGGAAGGATACTATCTTACAAAGACAAGCATGAGCACGTATAATACCTTGGAGCTGAAAGAGGCACTGGTCTATTACCACACTGGAGAGTTATTTCTAAATTCTGGGAATTGATTCAATGTTTGAGAAATAAAATTCCAGCTTTTCCATTTGCATGCTTTGAGATTTCTCTAATTCCTAGTTTCCTTTGCAAATCTGGATAAAAACCCTCATAATAATAACATCACAACAACAAGTCAGCGATAATAATGTCTATTCCAAAGTGTCTGGCAGATAATGGGTACTCAATGGATATTTAACAATAAATGAATGATGGTTGTGATGACTAAATAATATAATAAATGTGGAAAGCCATAATTGTTCATTTAGCCATTCATTTGTTTACTATTAATATAAATATTTATTGAGTTCTTTTTGTAGGCCTAGTAATATATAGTTAAATAAAAATATCTTTGTTATATAAGTGGTAGTTTTTCTTCTTGCTTTTTTAAATGTTATAAAATTAATAAAGGATCTGTAAATGTTAATGGATCCCTGAGTTGCAGCACTCACATGCTTTTGTAAAAGTTTACCATTTAGATCAAAACTCTGGGAAGTATATATTTTGAAATTCACAGCCAGAGTATTTCCTCATAATTTAAGTTTTAGCTGTTATTAATCATGGTTTCAAGTAACCAAGGCTTTCCTAACTTTATAAAATGAAAAATCTGACTATAATTATGAATAATACAACTGTACCCTGGGAAGCTGATGTTCAGATATTGTCATGCTGAGAAAAGCAGCCCAGCCAGCCTCTTATCCTAGAACATCATATTCTGTCCCACATGGTTTTACCCCTCCGGTTATAACCAATTGAACCACGGATAGACAACTGACTCAACATTAGCCAATGATCTATGAAGTGGCCAAAGGTGAAACCTTTGTAGGGTACCTTATGTGGGATGGTGAGTGCTAAAACCAAGCAAGGCCTCTCATTTGGAATATGAATGTAGGAGTAACAGAAAATGAGTACTTGCTCAATACGAGTGGAGAGAATAGAAGTGGAGAAGGTAGCCAATAAGAACATCAGTGTTTTAGGGGGTACTTACTATGGTTCTAGTGAAGTCCCAGAGTTGATGTCAAATGAGTAGTGGTATAGATGATTTCATAAATTCAGTTCTCAATTTATACTCCAATCTTGAAGAAACTTGACTATTTAGAAATTCAGTTTTTTCCCCCATAAGAATTGGCCAGGTGATGATACTGAATTTTTACATTTTCCACATAACTTTCAACAAGTGTCAGTTTATTACGTTAATATAATTTAAGAAAGCCTAAATGGTGTACTATACCTACTTCAAATTTCTAAGTCAGGAACCCATGTTATTACTAGTTTTACAGAAAATGTCAAAAGTTACTTTAGAACAACTTTATTTCAATAGTGATTTCCAACTTTCCTTCAATTAAACTATCACCAGAAAAATCTGTAACTGCTACAAATTTTCAGAGAAAAGTTACTATTCTACTCATAGGTGTGTGGTATCAAGTGAAACACTATTTTATGCCACATATACATGAACATGCATGCAGCAGTGTTTTCAACTGGCAGCATTTTGCCTAACACTAACCTTGCTGACTTCAACTCAGTACAAGGTTAAGTAAAATATTATATTCTATTTGTGAAACAAGAATAACTAGATATTTAAAGCTATACATTTAAGTTTTCTGTTCTTCAAGGGTTATTTCTTCTTTGCTAGGCTTCATGCTTATGATTCAGCTTCATGCTTATGGTACTAGGCTTCAAGTTTATGATTCAGCTTCATGCTAATGGTATTAGGCTTCATGCTTATGGTACTAGGTTTCATGCTTATGGTACTAGGCTTCGTGCTTATGGTATTGGGCTTCATGCTTATGGTATTGGGCTTCATGCTTATAGTATTGGGCTTCATGCTTATGGTACTAGGCTTCGTGCTTATGGTATTAGGCTTCATGCTTATGATTCAGCTTCATGCTTATGATATTAGGCTTATACTTATGGTACTAGGCTTCATGCTTATGGTACTAGGCTTCATGCTTATGGTATTAAGCTTCATACTTATGGTACTAGGCTTCATGCTTATGGTATTAGGCTTCATGCTTATGGTACTAGGTTTCATGCTTATGGTACTAGGCTTCGTGCTTATGGTACTAGGCTTCATGCTTATGGTATTAGGCTTCATGCTTTTGATTCAGTTTCATGCTTATGGTATTAGGCTTCATGCTTATGGTACTAGGTTTCATGCTTATGGTACTAGGCTTCATGCTTATGGTACTAGGCTTCGTGCTTATGGTACTAGGCTTCATGCTTATGGTATTCAGATGGTGGTTAATCACCATTCCAGTGGTTCTGACCTGTAAATCACTAGCAACCACAACAGATCTTCAGCATAATCTCAAACTTGTTTATATGTATTTCAAATAAAAGATGCCTCATTTTCTTTCCAAAAATTACAAAACAAAACAAAACAATAACAGTACCAGACTACCATGTTTTTAAATAGTAATTTATTAAAGTGTCTATATATTTCAACTTAAAATATGAAGTGGGAAAGGAAATGAGCTCTCGATATTATAGTTCCCATGTTAAGTATATTTCATTTCATAAAATAACTTTGGATCCCATTTTGTCAACAAATAAATTTTGAAGAAGTTAAAAAACATTTAAAATAAATAACAACAGCAATAATTTCAATAAGTTAAAGAAAAATCGAAGACAAACAAGACTATTGTGTCTGACTTAGATGTATAGCATTTGAGTGCAAAACAATAAAGAAAGTAATATCCACAAAAGTCAGGCTAGTAGTTAATCTTTGAGATTAACCAAATGGGATCATAGTTGGATGAAGAAATGTGAATATCTTTGGGATGACTTGCAATATTCTTATTTCCTGAGATGAGTGGTAGTTATATCAGTTATCATTTTATAATAATTCATTGAGTGGTTTGTTTTTTGCAGCTTTCTGCATTTATGTAATATTTAACAACAGAAAAGTGTTTCTAAAATATGATTTTGTTCAAAATAACATTTTGCCTTAAAGAACTGTGATTTACTAATGTATGCAAAATAAGAGGTCCAGAAGTAAGCAGTTTCAGGTTGGGATAATTTTGTTTTAGTGATGTGGGGATTTAGGGTCAACTTCTCTCCCATTCTCTAAGATTCTCCCTCATCTTTGAAAGATGGTGGACTCAACACCAAAACACACCTATGTACACCTGCTAGAAGCCTGAGAGAAGGAGCGTGGGAGTAAAATAATCTTTATATGACCTCCTTTCATTTTCTGAATGAGTTAGTGTGAGATTATTGCCACTTGCTCATTTAAGGTTTATAATAACTTAGTGGAACATCTGGGTGTATAATTTTTTTGTGGGAAGACTGATTTAAACCATTTTATTTAATTACTGGATATATGGCTAATTAGAGAATTTTAAATCTCTTGTTGTTTCTGTAGTTTTATTTTTCAAAGAGTTTAGCCATTTATTATAGATATTAAAATTGTTGGTATAATGCTGATGTTAATATTCTCTTTTAATCCTTTTAATGTTGGTAGGATCTGAAATAATTACTCCTCTTTTGTCAATGATTTTGGTAATTTCTATTTATTCCACTTTTAAAAATTAATAGAACTAGAGGTTTCTAATTGTATTGATCTTACAAAGTATCAAAATTGCCTTTGTTAGCTTTCTCTAAAATTTCTTTTTCATTTCATTGATTTTTGCTATTTGTTATTTCCTACCTTTCACTTGCTTTGAAATTACTTTTGTTTCCTACCTTCTTAAGATGAAATCTTAATTCACTTAATTTTAGACTTCAAAACTTTTTAAATACAGCAAATCTAGTATTTTTCTTAAAACATTGGCTATTTTATTTCTAAATTTTTTATTTGGTTCATTTTTTAATACTTTCTGTTCCACTGCTGAGATTTACCATCCTTTCATTTATTTTATTTTATTTTATTTTTGAGATCAAGTCTCACTCAGTCTGTGGCCCAGGCTGGAGTGCAGTCGCACGATCTTGGCTCACTGCAACCTCTGCCTCCCTGATTCAAGTGATTATCCTGCTTCAGCCTCTCAAGTAGCTGGGATTACAGGTGTGCACCACCACACCCAGCTAATTCATTTATTACAAACTTATTTCCTTTATCTCATTGAACTGGTTATACTAGCTATTCAAACATTTTTTTCGTGCCAATTCAATATCTGAGATACCTTGGAATTGTTCTATATTAATTGTTTCTTCTTTTGGAAAGTAGACATTTTACTCGTTGTTTTTATGTTGCACACTTCTGGATCATGTCCTGAATTTGTGATTTACATTATTTTGAAGGCTCTGGATCTTTTTATATTGCTCCAGAAAATGTTTTTGTTGTTTTTGCTGTTATTGTTGTTTTGGTATTCAGTTTACTTTGTTGGACTCAAACTGCAAGCTGTGTCTTTTCAGCAATAGGTCAAATTTCAGTTTAGTTATTTTATTCTTAGCTGGATTCCTCTGAATATGAGGTGCATATGTGTGGTTTAGGTATGAGCTGGAAATTTGGGTAGAGTTTATACTCAAAATGTGAGTCTGCCGTTCTCTATGCCTCTTTTCTTTCCTGGATATCTCCCTCACATTCTAGAAGCTAAGGTTGCCATGAAGTCTGCCCTTTGGTTCTTTAGGCCAGGAATTCTGTGAATTTTCTATTGAAATTTTGGCCACCATGGGCAATAGTAACTGACGCTTGCAGGCTAAAGGCTAAAATTGGAGCTAACACAATGTTGTTTCCTTCTTCTCTGTGTCCATTTACCTCCAGATTTTGCCTGTTCTATTTACACTTCAGGGACTTCCAGGCTATTCCTTTTGGTATTTTGTCTGGAGTTAATATTTGCTGTGTGTGAGAGGGCCAGTGGAGTCAGCATTTAATTGGCAACAGTATAAATGGAACTTATGCCTATTAGCAATCAAGTAAGAAGCTCTAGTGGACAACTTTTTATTTGCAGCTGTCTATAATTTTGTCACATGTCCCTCCTTTCATCAATTACGGTTCATCCTTAGGGTTGCGGGGAAGAGCATGACTTCCTTAAGCACATTTTTTTCCCTATAAATTATCAGGAATAAGTAAGGGGGGAACTGCCATTGGCATAACAATCAATAGCCTCTGGGAGTCACTTCCTCATAGATGCAGAGATTTGTTTTTCTTTCCCTTCCTTGAATTAGGAAGAAATGATGTTTTGAATCAGATTGTAGATGGATAACTTCAGCAAATCATTAGACAAACATAAATTCCTACTAAATTAAGTTCTTCTATGAGGTTCTGCTTAGAACAGACCCAATAACATCCCCAGGATTGGCAGAAAATCAGACAATTGAGTCTTGATTCTCAACTTAAATACTTTGCAATGCTTAACTAGGCACGAGGCATTATACCTTCACCTCATAGAGGAACTTGCCACTTTCACTTTACAGATGCAACGAAGAATAGGGTTTCTTATAGATGGTCACATAAAAAATGAAAACACAGTAGGAAGAACAATATCTTTTATGCCTGGGATTCTTTGAAAATAACAAAATACGTAAGATAAAAATTGTGTCCTAGAAGTGTTTACAATCCTTCAGGGGAGAAAACAAATTTCAAAGAAAGGCTGAATAATATGTTTTAGAGAAGCATATGCAATATAACTTCATGTGCAAGGAAGAAGAAATAATTAAATCTGGCAGAGAGTCTTGAAGGATATTTTTAATCTACAATATTTGAGCAGGATCACAAAAGATGATTTATTGTGATAAGTGAATTAGGAAAGGATATTACAGCCTGAGGAAGAATCATGAACTAATCATGGAAGCATTGATGTGCTGAGTGTTCAAATAACATCAACTACTGCACTGTGACAACAGTATCACAAAAATCTTAATGAACCAGTGAGAAGTAAGAATGTACAATCATTTGGGGAACATATCAGGGAAATCCTTGAACACAGGGCTAAGCATTTGAATATAAAAACATTGTTTCAGAATTCTGTATCCATGTGGCTACACAGATACACACACATTTAATAAGAGGCAATTTATGAAAAGCACTAAGGTTGCAGCTAAGAAAACAGGAGTAGTAGTTTAAAGAATAAAGATGACATTTCTGGTTTGGATAACCAAGGAGAGCTTTTAGAAGGGAATAGAAGTTGAATTCAGCCTTGGAATTTTGAGCAGAATGTTGAAAATGTTGACATGTAGAGCTGGGTGGCCATGGAAGATGAAATTGGAGGGAGGACACACATTTCAAAGCCCACATGAATTAGACGGGTAGAAAAAAGACCACACTGCTTAAATTGTGAGAGATTCTGAATGCATGAGACATTATTAGAATAGTAAAGCTACTGTATTTCATCTCAACTTAGATGCCATTAATAATTTGTACCATTATTTCACGTAATAGTAAATGGGGAGAAGGATATCAATTAGAGTATTAATTAGAGTTATTAATTGTAACTCTAAGATGTTGAAATATGAAAAATTACATAAATAAGAAGCGGAATATCTAAACAACTCTTTTTATCTACATTTTGCCATGAAAATATTTAGTTTTTTAAAATTATCTTCAAATAAACAATTCATTGGAAAGATATAAATGTCAACTTACATAAAATTTAATTGCTATCCTTTAGAATAATTTTGCCAAAAACGCAGCAAGAGTTGAATACAACACAACTTTATGAAACAGCAGGCAAGAACAAAATGTTAATGTTCCTATGTGCTTGGAAAATGATGAGGGAATAAAATGGGTCCATTCAACTCACTTGGGTGATGCTTATATCACGGCATAAGGGTTCTTTTGGTACCTTTGCTGAATTTCAACAATTCTATTCACTGGGCATTGCCAGAAAACTGACAGAAAGCCAGTTACAGTTTTCTTTTCTCAATTACCCTATTTTCTTCCATTCACTCAGAAAGTAACAACCTTGGGAGACTAAGATTTTACACTGTAAGTTCAAACTTCCAATTAAAAGCCACTCTCTCTATAACTCTGACATGTTTTTCTTTATTTTTCCCATAAATTAGTGAATTTGCAGGCTTAACTTTTACATAATGGCTCCAAGGGTCTTACCACATATCATTTATTCTGACAGTTTGGGGAAAAAAACAGTTGATTTTTTTTTTTAATCAAAATAAAAAGGCAAAACCATCATTATATTTCTGGAAGCAATAGGGATCACACAGGTTGTAGTGCAGTCTTAGAGAGCTGAACAGCTTTTAGGTAGTTATCATTTTGCTTTATTTTTGCATTAATTCACAAATTCATAAAAGTCGAGTAGATTAGATTTTACTTTTCTTTCTTGGAAAATGACAAACATGTTTCTTTCCAAATAGATACAAATTTTAAAAGTGCAGCTAATGAAGAATTAACAGCTGTCAAATTATAAGTAGATTTCATTCATTAATTAGTTTCTGTCCAGGGCACGCATACAGACATTTCAATAAACATGAATATTGAAACTAAGAAGCTATGTCTGGGAGGCTATGCGATTAGCACATGAAACTTCATTTAGAGAATTAGGAAGTCCTAGAAAACTCTTGATTTGTCAGTTATATGGCTATGTGACACTGAATCCATTATAAAGAAATATTAAATATCTGTCAGATATTTGATTTACATAGTACCAACTAAACAATGTGTTTGGTTTTTCATTGAAATGTTTAAAGACTGCAAAATCCTCGTGCCGCAGTTACATCTCTAATTCAAGGTTAAACGTTCAAAATAATTCTTATCGAAATAATATGAGATTATGCATTTTAAAGTTTCATTCCTCTTTTTCCTTACAGATTATACAAATCTTTATGTATATGTTCCAAGAATTTAGAATAAGATATGTGTATCTAACTTAGTTAACTTGTAAGGAAAGCACCAAATACCAGATTTATATTGTCTGATACCATTCCAGTTGAAGATATTTTTGTGAATTTTAAAAATAACAAAAAGATATATTATGCCTATATGCAATTTATATGAAATCTTTACAATTCTTTTTTTATTGTCAATCCCTCTCATCTTAAAAGAGAGAAATGTATTAACTTCATTTCCATGGATTTTCATTTCCCTAGCGTGTCACCACATAAAAGTACTGTTGAAGCATGAGGTAGGTGGATAACAAATTAGAGAATACACTAATTTGTATGCATGCAATAAAAATCTCAACTCAAACTATCTTACATAGTGGAGAAAATACATTATTGAACAGAGGGAGGTATACTAACACAGGGCAGCTCCCAAGCTGGCGAATTTAGTGGCTCAATGACTTCATCAGGAGTCCAAGTGCTTTCTGTACTTATACTCTTTTTTTTTTTTTTGACGGAGTCTCGCTCTGTCGCCCAGGCTGGAGTGCAGTGGTGCGATCTTGGCTCACTGCAAGCTCCGCCTCCCGGGTTCACGCTATTCTTCTGCCTCAGCCTCCCGAGTAGCTGGGACTAGAGACGCCCGCCACCATGCCTGGCTAAATTTTTGTATTTTTAGTAGAGACGGGGTTTCACCGTGCTGTCCTTATACTCTTGCCATACTTCGTGGATTGGCTCTCTCTGCAGGGGAGCTCCCCTTGTGATTTCTGCTGCAGGTCCATTGCTCATGTGAAAACCTGAGAAATTCCAGGAAAAGAAGAGACGTGCCTTTCTCCAGTGTTGTTTTTATGGGAGATGGGGGCAGGCAAGCCATCTTTCCAAGAAGCCTCCAGCATTCTTCTCTATTTCTTTAATGAGCAGAATTTCTCATGTGCTCATTATTAAACTGAGCACTGAGGAGCAAGAAGAGATGGTCACGGCTGCTTAATGAAGCACGTGATCGTGGGAAGACGTTGGGATGCTGAGTAACAAGGATGCTCTGTAAGTAAGAAAGGGTGGGCCGAACAGGAGAGACAAAAAGAAAACAGAGGACAAGTTCCAAACACCACAAATGAACACGTTTTCTTTCAAAAGTTGCATATATTTATCCAATATGTCTTGTGTAACCAGAATCAGGCAGTCTCTTGACTCACTAGGCCATGATCCCAAACGTCTACCAGTCTTACCATGCTTCATTTGATACTACCCTATTTTTTCCTATGTTGTTTTGGCTTATTATTTACTGTCTTTAATACATACCTTACCTCACTAATTAGTGCATTATCTTCCTTGCTCTTTCCCTTCCTTTTTCTTCCCTTTACCCATCCTCTTTTATTTACATTTTTTACTGGCCACTTGCTTATTTTGATACCTCAAGATGCTAATAGACCTTAAAGCTCTGTATGCCTTTCTCAAAGAACAGGAGTAAATCCTTTCATATGTGCCTTCCCTGTGTTTAGCACATGCTAATTTCGTTGCAGGTTCTCAAGGAAATGCTTGCTGAAGACTGCATACATTGAAAAGGCCAGAGGGTGGCACCGTGGTGAACCAAGCCTGGTGACGCCCTCAAGTCCCAGTGCTGCAAGTTGCTGCTGATTCACTTCTCCAATGAGTCCACATTTTAGTATTCGATGGTCTAGGAATTATCATGCACATGTAACTTGGTCTAAACTAGAACAGATTCTTTACTACCAGGATTTACATTTCTGATGTTTTAGTTATTCTGGTTTATAAGAGTCTTCAGAGAATTCCTGGTTTTGTTACCATTTAGCCTGTTTCCATCCTTGTCAAAATATTTGTCTTGACTATTAAGACAGAATAAGGAAGTTATCTGTGTGATGTAGCTGAAAGGGTTAAATTTCTTGGTCACTTAATCAGAGAATCCAAAATGTTTGTTCTTCATTTTTGGAAGGCAAGGAGCTTCACTTAGCCTGAAAATATTCATCAGTAAACAAATAGAATTAATAATATTAATGCCAGGTATGAAAAGGAGGGCTTTTCCCATAAGGGAAAGGATATACTCGGCTAGTGATAGCGGAAACCCGGCAGTAGTGTACAATCCAGTCCCAGGCATATGGCTCAAGTCTGCTGCCAAATCACACAACTTGAAGCTATCAGGTGGCACTGCCTTTGTTAGTGGATAGTGCCATCTTCATACACCATGGGCAGTGACACTTCTATTCCCCTGTCCCGTCTCTCAGAGCTTGTTCATCCTCAGGCCTTTTATACCAATATGTGTATTGATGATCCTTTTAAATAATACTAGGATGTACAGGTTGAGAGCAAGATAGCGTGAGTTAACATTTTCATAGAAACAGAACTGAGACATAAAAAGCATTAGCAGACTATATGTTTTAGCTCATTCTAGTTGTTATAACAAAATACCATAGACTGGGTGGCTTATAAACAAGAGAAATTTATTCTCACAGTCCACAGTCTGACAAGTGCAAGATGAAGGCACTGGAAGATTCATTATCAAGTGAAGGCTCGCTTCTTGGTTCATAGAAGGCATCTCCTTGCTCCATCCTCATATGATGGAAGAGGCAAACAACCTCCCTTGAGCCTCATTTAATAAGGACACTAATACCATGCGTGAGGGCTCCACCTTCATTACATAATCATCTCTCAAAAACCCACCTCTTAAAACCATCACCATGAGGGTTAGAATTTCAGCCCATGAATTTTAGAGGGTACAAACATTCAGACTATAGCACTATGCCTTCATTTTGGGAGCCCAAATCTTTCTAGTGGGATTCTTGAATTTTAAAATGAGCAAAGTTATTGATATTATGTTTCTGTAACTAGATTCTCTTACCATCTCACTTTCCAATTCTGATATAATGACCAGTATAGAAAAAACACTCATAAAATTTGCTTCTGTATCTTGGACATATAAGAAATGTAGGGTCAAAAAGTCTTAAGAGTCAATATTTAAGAGCTATTATACATTTCCCTTAAATAAGAAGTAATGGCTTCTGAGTAAATGTTTTTACAGAACATCTATTTTTTTCTTATGGTTTACTGATACAATAAGTTTGGTCTAAAAGGGAGCAATAGGTTGATCATAGGTTAATTATATAATTTACATTACCCAAAAGCAAAAATTCCAGAAGATATTACATACCAATTTATATATGGGAAGCCAAAAATATTGTTCAGATTTATGCCTTCTTGATTGTTAGTGTAAGTCACCGATAAATATCTGTGTCATCTGAAATTGATTTTCAAAACAATCTTGCTATTATTTATTAAAGTCATGGGTCAACCCAAGTCAAAACATTAGTAGAAAAAGCGTTCTTATTTATGTTAATGACTACAAAAATCATTGAATATCTTTTAAAGTTTTCAAAATGTCTCCTAAAATAGACCTATTTAAGCAATTCATTTTTAATTGAGAATTTTACACAATTATAGAGGTACACTTATGACAAATTTAGCTCTGCTAAATATGATAATAATTTATTTAATTTTCTATTAAAGGGGAAAATAATCCATATCTCACAGGGTTTTATAAGGATAAATTGAGTAGTATATGGGGACACACTTAAATGTTGCTGATATGGTTTGGCTGTGTCCCAACCCAAATCTCACACTGAATTGTGATAATCCCCATGTGTCAAAGGTGGAGATAATAGAATCATGGGGGCAGTTTCCCCCATACTCTTCTTGTGGTAGAGAATAAGTCTCACTAGAGTTGATTGTTTTATAAAGGGCAGTTCCCCTGCACATGCGCTCTTGCCTGCCACCATGTGAGACATGCCTTTGCTCCTCCTTTGCTTTCTGCCATGATTGTGAGGCCTCCCCAGCCATGTTGAACTGTGAGTCCATTAAATCTCTTTACTTTATAAATTACTCAGTCCTAGGTGTGTCTTTATAAGCACCATAAGAGCAAACTAATACAGTAAATTGGTGCCCACAGAGTGGGATGCTGCTGTAAAGACAGCCAAAAATGTGGAAGTGACTTTGGAACTGAGTAACAGGCAGAGGTTGGAACAGTTTGGAGGGCTCAGAAGAAAACAAGAAAATGTGAGAAAGTTTGCAACTTCCTAGAGACTTGTTGAATGACTTTACCCAAAATGCTGATAATGATATGGACAATGAAATCCAGGCTGATGTGATCTCAGATGGAGACGAGGAACTTGTTTGGAGCTGGATTAAAGATGACTCTTGCTATGTTTTAGCAAAAAGACTGGCAGCATTTTGCCCCTGACCTAGAAATTTGTGGAACTTTGAACTTGAGAGAGCTGATTTAGGGTATCAGACAGAAGAAATTTCTAAGCAGCAAAGCATTCAAGATGTGACTTGGGTGCTGTTAAAAGCACTCAGTTTAAAAAAAAAAAAAACAGCATAAAAGTTCAGAAAATTTGTAGTCTGGTGATGCAATAGAAAAGAAAAACTCATTTTCTAAGGAGAAATTCAAGCTGGCTGCAGAAATTTGCATAAGTAACAAGGAGCCAATTTCCCCCCATTTACAGTGGGGAAAATGTCTCCACAGCATGTCAGAGACCTTTGCAGCAGCCCCTCCCATCACAGGCCTGGAGGCTTAGGAGGGAAAATGATTTTGTGGGCCGGGCCCAGCACCTCCCTGGTGTGTGCAGCCTAGGGACTTTGTGCCCTGCATCCCAGCCACTCTAACCATGGCTAAAAGGGTCCAAGGTACAGATCAGGCCATGGCTTCAGAAGATGCAAGCCCCAAGCCTTGGTGGCTTCCATGTGTTGTTGAGCCCACCAGTACAGAGAAGTCAGGAATTGAGGTTCAGGAACCTTTGCCTAGATTTCAGAGGATGTATGAAAATGCCTGGATGTCCAGGCTGAAGTTTGCTGCAGGGGAGAAGCCCTCATGCAAAACCTCTGCTAGGGAAGTTTGGAAGGGAAATGTGGGATTGAAGCCCCAACACAGAGTCTCCACTGGGGCATTGCCTAGTGGAGCTGTAAGGAAAGGGCCACTGTCCTCTAGACTGAAGAATGGTAGGTCCACCGACAGCTTGCACCGTGCTCCTGGAAAAGTTGCAGACACTCAATGCCAGCTCATGAAAGCAGCTGGGAAGCAGGATGTACCCTGCAAAGCCACAGGGGCAGAGCTGCCCAAGACCCTGGGAACCTACCTCTTGCATCAGCGTGACCTTAATGTGAGACACAGAGTCAAAGTAGATCATTTTGGAGCTTTAAGATTTGACTGCCCTGTTGGATTTTGGACTTGCATAGGGTCTGTAGCCCCTTTGTTTTGGCCAATTTCTCCCATTTTAAATTGGTGTATTTACCTAATGCCTGTACCCCCATTGTATCTAGGAAGTAACTGACTTGCTTTTGATTTTACAGGCTCATAGGTGGAAGGGACTTGCCTTATCTCAGATGAGACATTGGACTATGGACTTTTGAGTTAATGCTGAAATGAGTTAAGACTTTGGGGGTCTGTCGGGAAGGCATGGTTGGTTTTGAAATGTGAAGATATCAGATTTGGAAGGGGCCAAGGACAAAATGATATGGTTTGGCTATGTCTCCACCCAAATTTCACCTTGGATTGTAATAAAACCCAGGTGGAGATAATTGAATCATGGGGGTGGTTTTCCCATACTGTTCTCATGGTAGTAAATAAGTCTCATGAGAGATGATGGTTTTATAAAGGGCAGTTCCCCTGCACACAGACTCTTGCCTCCACCATGTAAGATGTGCGTTTGCTCCTCATTTGCCTCCTGCCGTGATTGTGAGGCCTCTCCAACCATGTGGAACTGTGAGTCCATTAAACCTCTTTCCTTTATAAATTACTCAGTCCTGGGTATGTCTTTATTAGCAGCATGAAAACAAACTCATATAGTTGCCTAGGACACAGTTCATACCCAAAGAAAAACTTAAAAAATATTTTCCTTGTTACTTTTCTATGGTAGGCAGAATAATGGCTCCTACAGAGATCCATGTTCTAATTTCCAAAACCTGTCATGGCAAAAAGGGACTTTACAGATGTGATTAAATCAAGGACTTTGAGATAGGGAGATAATCTGGATTATCCAGGGGGATCCGATGTAGTTGCAAGGGTCCTTATTAAGAGGAAGGAAGGAGGGTCAGAGTCAGAAAAATTCTGCGTAATGACAAAGAGGAGAGAAGCAGAGTCAGAGAGAGAAGATACTACGTGAGTTACTTAGAAGATGGAGGAAGAGGTTATGAGCCCAAAGATGCAGGTGGCTTCTAGAAAAGGCAAACAAATAGCATCCCTTCTATATCCTTTCTGTTTACACCTTGATTTTAGCCCCTTAAGACTCAGTTTTGGATTTCTGACCACCAGAACTGTAAGATAAAATCCTTTGTTGCTTTAAACCACCAGATTTGTGGTGACATGAGCAGTAGAAAACTGACCTACACCTCCCTGTTCATGTTCTAGAACTTCTAGGGTAATTCCTCAAGTTTTACCTTTAGGTATCTTCTCTGCCTGTGAGACCATTACCAATGGAAAAGGATCTTCCCATTGCTTTTTAGGTCAGAGAAAGAGAGAGAGGGAGAGAGAGAGAGAGAAGGAAGAGCAAGAAAAAGAGGAAGCAAGCCAGGTAGAGCGGTGAATGCTGTAATGCAAAGGTAACATAAATGTGAGACATTTTTCAGGGGGCGGGGCATGGGGGAAGGCATACTGGAGAAGCTTTAGTGCTGCTAGTTAGAAAGATGAATTTTGGTACAAATAGCGACTCCAGTGTTAAGGGTAATCAAGTCTTAAGTTGTATAAATAATATCCAACATTTCTTTAATAAAAACAAGGGAAATAAAATACCTGTGTTCTTATCCTTCTGGGAAAAATGATGATAGAAAGAACCATTCAGTCATTTCCAAGATGTCACAGGCATTCTTCTAGTAAGGAGGTAGAGGCCATGCTGTTGTTTTCCAGAGGGGTGCTACCAGTGTTGAATGCCACTGAATTCTTAAGTTGCACTTTTAATCTTTCAATATATTTTTTGTTCTGGGAGCAATAATCCCATTGAGACTCAGGGCAGGGAGTTAAGGTACATTTAGGAAATGCTGATAAAAATAAAGTAAGCCCTTCAAAAGATCAGTGAGAAACCCAGGCTCAAGGTCTTGTTGTTTCACCAGCCTCAGTACAGGACAATTAGCCCTGTATCCACTCTACAGGAGGCCAACCGTTAGATGCCCCTTTGCCGTGCAGAGCCTAGACTTGCATAGAATTAGAATGGGTCCCAGCCTCCATACCTCCTTCCATTTCTCAAGAAAATATCATGTATTTTCCATCTCCTTGCTAAATGATTTCATGTAGGGCTTGATTTTGATTTCTCTTAAGAAGTTAATTATCTAGGAAAAAAGGTCATAGCTCATTGCAGCTTTGAACTCCTGGACTCAAGTGATCCTCTTGCCTCAGTGTCTCAAGCAGCTGGGACTACAGGTGTGCATTACCATGCCCAGCTAATTTTTATATTTTTTGTAGAGACATGGTCTCTCTGTGTTGCCCAGGCTGGGTACCCTTTTCTGAAAAGCAGCCTTCATATAGAAATTAGAAAACCTGGGCCCTGTGTAGGGACACAAATAACAGAATAGAAACACGTTTGAAGACCCTAGAAAAAGGAAGCTGGAGTAACAGAAGCTAAAACCTTTCTTCTTTGTATGCATCTTAAAATAGAAGTATATTGATAAAAATGAAGGTATTATAGGAGATTTTGTTTTTAGAGCCAAAAGCTAAGCCAACTCCTTTTTCTGTTTTTACTTCTCTGCTGAATCGCTGTCCTGTCCTCCAAAGAGGACCCTGCCCTTACCATTGCACTTTTGCCTTGCTCTTTTAGCCTCCAAGATATAATCACCAGAGTTATAGTAGATGTTCTTTATTCCTCTTAAGAGATGCATTTTTGCACCTGAACTCTGTAGCTGAACTTCTTTCTCTGGTCTGTCTGATTCTCAGGACTGACTTTTTATTTATTTTTTTAATACTTTGGAAAACTTTTGCTATATTTGGCTATATACATTTAAAGAAAATGAAAGACATCTCATTTTCATTGTTTGGTCTCTAAATCTACCACTGCTGTCCTGTATCAGTTAGCTATTGCTGTGTAACAAGCCAACCAAATTTCAGTGGATTATAGACCCAAAAGTATCCTTTATTGCTTATGAGTCTCCAGGTTAGCTGAGCAGTTCTGGTCACAGCTGGGCCCAGGCACATAGCTTCAGTTAGCTGTGGGTGTGGCAAACGTGGCTCTGATGACCTTGGCTGGTCCTTCTCACGTTCTCCAGAATCAACTGGCTGCAAACAAGTCTAGGATGGCCTCAGCTGTGATAACTGGGATCTCTTCATATGGTGTCTCACTCCTGCAGGCTAGCCTGGATTTGTTCACAGGACAGTGATGGAGTTCTGAGAGAGCATGGAAACCCACACAGCCACTGACGTCCGCCTTAGATTCAGCACATGGTTACTTTCACTGCATTCTATTGACCAAAATAAGTCCAAAGGTCAACTTAAGGCAGAGAAACAGACTCCATCTCTTAAAGGGAGGAACTGCAAATGGAGGGAGAGAGAAAGTACAAGGAATATTTTTTTAAATCAACGAACATATTTCTCTGTGTGGAAAAGCTAGAGCATGCCCTACTATTGCTTTAACAAAGAAAACCATCCTAAACTGGCTTTTGGTTTTGAATACTGTGTTTGGTTCAATGGTTTTAACAAAACAGATGTCAATCTTTGAAAACATAGTCTACCACTTAATTCTTTCTGCTTAGATCTTCCCACAAATATGGAACATCTGCCCTTGAATAGACAAAATAATAAAGAAAAGTGGTATGTGGAGTCTGAGACTTCAGTTCATCAGAATATACCTTTGCTTCTGCAATGCCTTTTAATTACAATAGATTGAAAAACAACAAAAACCTTACAAACAAAACCTCTAATTCTTCTTCAAATTAGTAAAGAAATATACTCCTTGCTTGGTTTCAACAACAAGCTTTCTACTAACATTACTTGTTTTCACACTTCTTACATCTATAGTCTATTCTGGATGGGAGAGTTTTATTATCTCATGTATACATTTAATTAAGTAGCTTTAATTAATAAGGCAAGAAAGTTTTGCCTGAAGAACCCTGGATGATTTTTTTCTGTCAGGGCCAAGAAAAGTTGATTAGCACCTAGAATATCCATTCTCTGGAACTCAACAATGTCTTCAGGTTTTAGACTGAAACTGACATTGCTCCTTTTGAATAAGGGTGAATTTTCTTCTCAGAGACCTCAGGTGTGTACTTTTCATTGGCTATTTGAGTGTCTTCTCCTAATAAAGACATCTTACTGGTCTGTTGGTCACTGGTTTTCCTCCCTAGCCTCTATAGGCTTTCTGTAGCTTGCAGTGTAATTTTTCACATGAACAATTTCTAAAGAGCAAACAATTCTGCATAATGCTTGTACATTCATTTCTCCAGAAACTTGCTATTTATCTTTCAGGAGAAAATCTACTTCTTTCAATGTGTGGTCCCATATAGGTTGCAGAGCAAAAAAAAAATTGTATGTGAAAATGAGATGAAAATCTCACCTAAGTGATATATTTGTGTGTGTGTGTGTGTGTGTATAGTTCAGAAAGCTACACTTTTTTCTCTCTGCCTTCCATATTTTCTTTAAATACTTTTAGTTACTAAAGTCATATTTTCAAATATTTATGAAAAAAAATGCTGGACAAGCCTTAATTTAATTACAATTCGTTGTTTTTTTTTATGGCGTCTCACTCTGTTGCCCAGGCTGGAGTGCAGTCGTGCGATCTCAGCTCACTGCAACCTCTGCCACCCGGGTGCAAGTAATTCTCCAGTCTCAGCCTCCCAAGTAGCTGGGATTACAGGCACCTGCCACCGCACCCAGCTAATTTTTGTGTTTTAATAGAGATGAGGGTTCGCCATCTTGGCCAGGCTGGTCTCGAACTCCTGACCTTGTGATCCACCTGCCTCAGCCTCCCAATACAATGCATTCTTATTAATAGCTTGTAAAGGGCCACTGGCACCTCTAGGCTTTTCGTTAGTGTCAATTAATTATGAATACGCTTGACAGAAAGATTCAGTTATCCAATGGGGATATTTTTGATAAAGGCTTTTAATCATACAGAAGCTCACTTCTGAATGTGCCGTAAGTGGTAAAGGGGCTCTTCTCTTAAAAGGCAGTAATCCTTTACTGTGGAGGCTCACAATAAAAACACAGCTACGATATATGTCAGGGCTCCTCCTGCTTCTCAGACTCATTGTCCAGAACTTTAATTTTTCAAGAGGTAAAGCACTGAAGTTATTCCATCCAGAGGCACACACATTCTTCAATTTAGTCTCTATCTTGAATCCCTGCTTGATTTTCTGTCCTGGAGAAGCAAGTCTGAACAATCTCCATTTCCCTTTGTTGAGCTGCTACCTAGCAATATTCATGTAGCATTGTTTGTGCTTGGCCTGACTGACTGTCCTAGTATTAAGTATCTTTGTCATTATTATTGTTAAATATTTTTGAGCTCTTCGTACATGCTGGGAAGGCTTTGCATTAGGGTGAGATGTTGAGAAACCAGTCCCAGGTGGAGAGCAACCAGTCTATCATATCTGCCTATTTCTGCCAAATGCTTCTTTCCATTGCTTTGGGAAAGAGCTGTTTGTTACTATGGTTATTTTTATTATATTGGCAGGAGATATAAAAGCTTAGCTGTCTGCAGTTCTGCATGTGATACTGGGATATATAGGAGAACAACTCTTTGGGGTACAGCTTTTCTTCCAATTCCGTTCATCCTCTCTATGACCAGACCTTTCCAGGGTGCTGCCGGGCAGGAAAGCTGCCTCGGTTGCAATTCCATCTCAGGAATTCTGGGCAGCCAACTTTCTACATTTTGCTTTGCCAACATTATTCCACCTGCTTTCTTTCAGACCATTTTGTTTAACTATCTCCCTCTGCTGATGCCTTCACCAATCCCCCAACACACACTTTCTTTGCAGTTGTGGATTTACTTGTTGTTTTCTTATTTTTCTGAAATTTTAAGTGAGTCTCAAAAGAGGGAGGGTAGGGTCACCCAATTTACTAGATAAATACAGGACACCCAGTTACATTTTAATTTCGGATATACAACAATATTTTGTAAGTGTGAGTATGTCCCATGAAGTATTTGGGGTACGCTGATATTGAAAAAAATTAAAATAAAAATCTTATTGTTTATCTGACAGTCCTAAGAGGTGAATCTCACCTACTGGCACATTCAGGCTTCTGTCGTTAAGTTGAACCTTCTTCTAGATTTATGATGCTTCCTTACATTTTGTAGCAGTCCCAAACACCAAGAATATATGAGAGTAGGTTCAAGGTAATTTCAACTTTCTCATAATCTTCATTTCGTTGGTAGCTTTTCAGTTATATTCTTTATCACCTTGTTAGAGTAAAATATAACATGTGGTTATTCTAAATGACCTTTCTTCAGCCTTTTTCTGAGACTGTAATAACCTCAAGGCTAAAATCCAAGAGCTCATAGAACTGTATTTATTAACGTTTATACAGAACCCATTTTGAAGTTCAGGCTCAGTAGAAACAATCCTTTCAGAGTTGAGATAATTTTTCCAGAGGGATAAAACATGGACATCATTTCTTTTTCACTTATCTTAACTACTCTGTATCATTTTCATTGTAGCTCATGATGACTTCTTCACTAGAGCAAGCGGAAAGAGAGCGCAGTTATATATGCAGATGGCCTGGCTTTATTGTCATGAAATAGAATGGATTTTGTTGAAAACTAGTCATGTTATTTAATTACTAACAAGAAAAAATAAAATACAACCAAATATTCTAAATAAAGCTTCATCATTTTGGGTGCCCCATATTACTTATCCAACTTGCATCCCCAACTGTCTTAAACAATGAAAGATTTCCCCTATCTTTGAATTAATTTTTTAAACATTTTAATTCGGAAGGACACCTTAAATTTACATTACCTACTGTTTGACAGGCTCTGGTTGTTAATGAGTTTCGCTTTTGTTTGGTTTTTGTTTGTTTTTTTGTTGTTGCTACTGTTTTTAATAATGTAAGGTCATCATCATTTGTGTACATTTGAGGTAAAAGGCCAGACTCAACTCTGGAGGTGGAGATTTCACAAGGGACCAAATGGAGGACTAGCTTACACAGGGCCAAGGCTAAAGCAGCTTTCCATGGACACACCCACCAGGGTGCCATGTCAGTTTACCATTGCCATGGCAACACTTGGACGTTACTGTCTCTTTCCATGGCAACAACCTGACAATCCAGAAGTTACCACCCTTTCCCTAGAAATTTCTGCATAAACCACCCATTAATTTGCATATAAATAAAAGTGAGTATAAACAGGACTGCTGAAGTGCCTCTGAGCTGCTTTTCTGGGCACACTGCCTGTAGGGTAGTCCTGGTCTTAAGGAGCAGTACGTCTGCTGCTGTACACTGCTGCTTCAATACAAATTGCTGTTTAACCCACCTGTTTAACACCACCAGCTTACCGTTGAATTCTTTCCTGGGCAAAGCCAAGAACCCTCCCTCTCTAAGCCCCAGTTTGGGGGCTTGCCTGTCCTGCATCACAGTGACTTTTCTGGAGTTAAGTGGTTGCCACGGGTGCTATAGTGATGAGAATTGAGGTCTTGATTGGTCACTGGTTTGCTTGTTAAAGTGGAGCTGGAATTAGTTCTGGGTGATGACTTTGACTCTGTTTTCAGGTTCCTGGGATTCCTGCTTGTAGGAGCAGGGTGACTTCTGCTTAAGTATCTGTTTGCATCACATTCCTCACCACTCAGGAAAGGTCAGTATGGGAGAGCTGCATTTTTGGTTCTTATATGAGAATAGGATCTAAAACTTGTCATCAGTGTTTTGCCAAAGCTGAAGCAAGAGAAACACTGTGGATGGACAAATACCAGGCAGATGTGTCTATTCCTTTATGCTTTAAAACTCAACCTGTTGTGTAAGCCAGAACAGAAAGGAACTCAGAACTCATCTGGGCCATTTTATGTTATCCACCTGAAATTGCTATCCCCATCTCCATGACACGTTTTTCTCATGCAAATAACTTCCAAAGAAACAGAGTTATGCAAATCATGTCTTTCTTTACCACCTCAAAAAAATCATGTCTTTTGAGGATGCGGCATACTCCATTAGCAGTTGTCTTCTGTTCATAAGGACCCAGAAAATTTTCTCCAATCCTAATACCAAGAATAAATATGTTTCTTCTTGGAAGTCTATTTTTTTTTTCTATCTTCTGAACACTGTGAATTGTACAACATGGTTACATCTCTTCAGTGATTGCAGGAAAGCTCAGAACAAAGTGTGTAGATTTTGAGCCAAATTTGGCTCAGAGCTAAAATCATATTTAGCATTAGGTATGGAACTCAAAGCACCATTTGTGTGTGTGTATGTGTGTGCACTAATCTCATCTCTGGCTATACTTTTTCTCTATTTTATTCTAATCTCACCTATTTTAATGCCTTTTATTTTCTACATATCAAGATTAAAGACATATATAGAAACATTTTTAAAATATGAACAATCAATAAAAAATTTAAATTAAAAATGTTAAAATATCAACAAAAAATTCAATTGTGCATCTCTCTTGCCTTACATACGTGTGTGCCTGTGTATATGCACATATACATATAAATTAAATTTTCTTGTATGTATTTTTATAAAGTATTTTTTCAAACTTAAAAATCAATCACTTTTTTTCACATAGGACTACATGGCATTCCATTTTATAAGTGTGTTATAATTTATTTAAAGAGCCTTTTACGTTGTCAGACATTGGAGTGTTTTCCAGATTTCTGCTGTTATAAACAACTGTGTCACACTCTCTTTATAACAACTATTTGTGCACTTTATTCATGAATATATTTCAATAATTCTTAAGCATGGCTGTGCATCAGAATTATTCTGCCTAATAATCTCTTTAAATCCTTTGAGACCAAATTTAAATTTTACCTTTTCTAGAAATAATTTCTAAGGAAGCCTGTCATCTGTCCTACAGAGAATTATTATACTCTCTAATATTCCCCATAGACTTTTTATATATTTTTGAGGGACGTTAAACTATTTTTAATGTATCTACTTCAATAACCAAGTATTGTATTAAAAGTGGCTTTTAACCAAGAATGTGCATCAGAATGCTATATTTGTGAAATACACTGTGAGTTCTGCTTCCCCTAAGGATGCAGAAAACCTCAAGAGAATGGAGCTCCTGATCTGACATAAGAAAAAGCTGGGTAACTTACAAAATAATACCTATTTTATTTTTAGGTTACCAGATTAGTGAGGTCCATCCCATGGCAACAAAATGAATGAAATTCCAAAGAGTGGCACCATTTGGAGGAAATATGGGCACATGACCTGCTTCACCTTTTCAAGGGCACAATAGGAAGAGGGGACCTCTATAGAAACCAGTAAGAAGCAATCAGCTAAAATTTTAAGAAATTCCTAAAGGCCAAGTGTGGGCTAGAGTTTCCCTTTGGTGTAGCTGGGAGCGGCAGGCGCAAGGGGAGTTAGTATCTATTTGCAAGCTCTTATCAAGGGCTTCTGCCCAGTGCTCAAGATTGGGGTAAGGCAGAAGAGACCTCCCTTGGTAGCACAGGAATACCAGGAGGCGATTGGCTGCCACTGGAGGAGAAAGGAAACACTGCTTCCTCCTCTAGACCCTTCTCTCATAGGAAAAGACATGAAACACTCCTGTTCCCATGGCCGAAGGTATGATCTACGCTTTTGTGCAAGAAGGGGAAGTAAAAACTGCTAGAAGGCAGGAAACCCTCATAGGACCGAGATCCTACAAGGAATACAAAGCAGAATTTTGCTACCTCTGAGGACCGGACAGAAAAGTTTCTCTTTCCCCAAATCTACCATAGATATCAGAAAGAATTTGGCTGCCATGGAGAGGAGGAGCAAGAACAATTTTTTAAAAACATACATCCAAGACCCGGGTGCACAACGTGGACCAGGAGAATCAAGAATTACTGTTTCCACTGTAAGGCTAGCTCCAGATCACAATATGTGGTCTATCACTGAGGAAAGGGGCAAGAGCATGGAGAGAGACTCTGTGTTCTGCAAGCATGCAGGAACTTCTGAAAGCTCAGGGAGAAAAGGAACCCTGAGAAAAACTCTCCAGCACACTGGGTCCTAATTTAAGCAGACAGCGGCCCACTGCAAGAGGACTATGAAGTCTGTGATGCACTGAAGGCAATGATGGCAATGAGAAATCGAAACCCCTCTCACTCCTGAATAGACGGACTCAAACTCCCCTCCCCATCCATCCTCACCCCCACACACATGCATGCATGCATACATGCACATACACGCACAGGCATAAACCTCAACTTGACTGAAAGACATACACTCATGCCTTTTCCTGGGCATAAATACTATTTGCCTCAGTCTCTACTGATACACTACACATAAAATTTGGTACTGGATAAAAGATTAGAACACACACACACAGATAAAAAAAATCAGACTCGGAGATATTGGAACTCTCAGATGATAATTTTAATAATTGATATGCTAAGGGATCTAGTAGAAAAAGTAGACAAAATGCACAGACCCTGGAGAATTTCAGCACAGAGATAACAGTCACATGAAAATGCTAGAAACAAAATACATGATATCCAAGATGAATCTCTTTGATGGGTTATTGCGCCAATTGGATAGCACTGAGGGGGGAGTAAGTAAATCTGAAGGTAGGTCAATAGAAATTAACCAAACTGAAACACACAATAAGAAAAAGAAAAACAAACAGAAAGAGAAGACAGGGATATTAGAATATTAGATTCCAAAAATATTAAAGAAATAAAGGCTAAAATTATTCCAAAATTAAACAAAGACAACAAACCACAAATCCATGAATTTTAAAGCAAATTGATCAGGATGAATACTAAACAAATCAAACTTAAATACTTCACTCCCAAGCTTCTGGAAACCAAAGATAAAGAGTCAATCTTGAAGTCATCAGAGTAAAAGAAACATTACATAAAGGGAAACGGTGATACTAATTAATTCAGATTTCTTTTTGTAAACAATGTGTATTTGTTTCCTAGGGCTGCCTTAACAAATTCCTGCACACTGTGTCACTTAAAATAAGAGAAATTTGTTTTCTTATGGTTCTGGAGACTAAAATTCTGAAATCAAGGTGTCAGCTGGGCCATGCCTGCTTCCTGGGAAGGCTGTAGAGAAGAACCCTTCTTTGCTGCCCTCAGCTTCAAGTGGTTGCTGCAATCCTTGGCTTATAGCTGCATCACTCCAGTTTCTGCCACTGGCTTCACATGGCTTCTTCCCTCTGTGTGTGCTTGTGTTTCTCCAAATCTCCCTCTCTTTATAAAGACACTGGTAATTGGATTACCACTCACCCTGATCAGGTATGACCACATTTTAACTGGCTTACATCTGCAAAGGTTAAGTGCTAGGTTTAGGACTTCTGCATATCTATTTGGGGACACAGTTCAACCCACAATAGATGTCCAAGAAGATGTGAATTAAATGAGTTTGTAATCGACATTTAGATATTGGGGGAATTAATTTGTTAAATCCTTAAATTTTCTTTAATTGGTTATGTAAGTATGATGTGACTATCTAACAGAATGTAGTTGGTTTCATGTAGAAAAATAATTTCCTTGTTTAATACAAGATATGTAAATATTCATTACACCAAATAAAACCAAATGAAATGTATGCTAGACATTTATGAATAAATCAATGAAAGAAGGAGAGACTATTGGAAAAAAAATCATCCATTGTTGTAATTTTGAATACAAATGTTGGAAGCCAATCAATGCCAACCTTTAGAACACTTATATTCCATTTTTGTCTTATTATCATTTCATTGAATCATATTTGGAACTTTAAATGTTCAGTTTGGATGATTATTCTGGTTTTTTTTTTTTTTCTTTTTGATGTGCTGTTTGAAAAGCGTGTGTGTGTGTGTGTGTGTGTGTGCAAGCGCACCTCTGTTAGTTGTGTGAGAAATGACTTTCAGGTTGAACTGTAGGTATATAAAGCATGCACTGGTGAATCGATTCTTGTTTCTGGGCTTATGAGTAGCTAGTGTGACATTTGAAAAATGACCTTAATGAGAGTTTTTCTTTTCTATGCCCTATCGTTGTATGTGACACCACAGCCCAAGGTGACGGTGTCTTCACTTCAATGCCATCTTTTGTCCCAGAGGCTATTTTTGCTTTAGTTACCCCAACTGACATTGGAATAGACCTGGTGATGTTTTATTCATGAAAGCAGATCTTGTGAATATAGCTCCCAATACACCAGAGAGACAAAAATATCACTACGATTGCACCTAAACTAATCTGTAGTTATGTAACAAATTGACACATAAATTAAATTTTCACTGCTAATGCCTGCTTAACTCTGTAATTATACTTTAGTTTGGAATTCTACTGAAGTAATTAGGTTAGCTGAGATTTGCTCATCAAAGATCACTGAAAGCTAGAAAGTATATGGACCTCTGTTCTTAAGCCACATGCTTCCTGCTCAGGGGAGATTTTAAAGCTATGTCCATAACTCTATGCCTATTCTTTTACATTTTACTGAATTTGATCAGCTGCTGGATACTGTTTTTTTTTTTTTTTTCTTGAGAATGTATTTATCCCGTTGTGGACATGTTCCTGTCTCCAATTCCCCCGCACTTTTCCTTTGCTCTTTATTGAGGAGTCATCCTTGTGCTGAAGAACTTTCTGTTTTTTATATGATTGATCTTTAGGTGGTAGGGGAGCCCTCACTGAAATGTGGTTTAAAAAAAAATCACACTCTTTCATCTTCGGTTTCATCTTCTGGAAGAAAGAAGAATTGAGCTATTTTACCAACTGTTGTGAACTATTCAAATTTCCTCTGGGGAGAAAAACCAGTTGCTTTCAAAGCTCTGAGGAGTATCAAAAAAAATGCTCCTAGGCTAAATACAGTAAATAAAAGGCAATGTGGACTTTCAAAAGACTGCTTCGGGGGCCTACAAGAAAGTTTTAGCTGGTGTGAGAATCACTGAAACCGAAACCTGTGGGAAAAAACCCAAAAAAACAAAACCAGATGAAATCAGAAAGAGTATCTATAAATTTAGCCTAAGTGCAGGGATACCTACATTCATTGTCCTGATGAAATAAAACACTGAAAGAAAATATGGGTAATCTCTTCCAGAGTTTGTGACCTTGCAAGTTAAAAATAGGATTTACTGATTTATGCATTAGATTTATTAATATGGACTTGTTCTTAACATTTGCTCTTTAATCGGTCTTTATAGGTCATTATTTTTTACAACAGGCTCCTACCTTATCTTCTGGATTCTGGATTCACCACTTTGAATCTATTTTGTGAGCATGCGCTCTCTCTCTCTCGCTCTCTGTCTCTCTCTCTCTCACACACACACACACACACAATGAAAAAGTAACTGAAGACATTGTTTAAGCCTGGCAGGGGACTTCAATCATCACCTTCTAAGTGTTGTCCTCGTGTAGACTTTTTCCTCATTGGATCGGGTTTGTTCTGTGTAACCAACAGTGTGTAACAAAAGTGATGGTGTGCTCAAGAGATTAGATATTAAAAGACTGTTCTTTCCTTCCTGGGTGTACTCTTGTTCCCTCCCTCCCTCCCCACCTCCATCTTTCTCTCTCTCTCTCACTGCTTCCTCTGGGGGAAGTCAGCTACTACCTAGTGAAGACACTCAGGTAGCCTCCTGTCAAGTCACAGAGATCTCTTAACAACCATCTGAGAGAGCTTGGAAGCAGACCATTGAACCCCAGACAAGCTTTGCGATGAGACGGCAACCCCAGCTTCCGGCTTGGCTACAGCCTAAGACACCCTGAGCCAGAACCATCCAGCTAAGCCCCTCGCAGATTCCCCACCCACGAAAATGCTGAGATGACACATAAGTATTGCTTTAAGCAGCTCAGTTTGGGATAATTTATAATATATCACTAACATGGATTTCTTAAAAAAAATATCTAAAAACCTATTTTCAACTTCCTTAACATTAAAATTCTCTGCCTACTCTCATGCTCGTTCACATTTTTGTCTTACCCAGTCTGTCTAGTCTGCTTTATTATTCACCCCAGATGAGTTCTATATACTTGCCTAGCCAGAATACTTTTTTTTCATCTGCTTATGCCTTCATCTCCATTAATTTTATTCATATTCTTCGTTCTGGGCAAAAATACCTATTCCTTTCATTTTACCGTACTACTTAAATAATGTCTATTCATTAAATCAACATACTTCTTGAATTCTTCCAGGAGTAACCCGGAGCACTCTAACCACTTTGTTGTCTCACTCCATAGCAGTTAAAAATTACAGTATATAGTTAGCCTTTCAGACCGTATTTTATACTGGTCCTTAAACATTCCTCAGAGGCAATTCTATAATACTTGTCGGCTGACTGCATGCTTAACTTAATCAGGATAAGGAAAGAGCAATTCTAGTTTCCATTAAAATTGAAGTACATATATAGGAATATATATATGCATACATACATACATACACATATACATACATATATACATATGATAATAGTCTTTATCATAAAATGTTTTCACTGTAGTTTGCAATAAATAATTATGAGCTTCTACACCACATAATACAATCCTTCAATTCAGGAATTTTTATACTCAATCTTGTATTTCCTCAGTCTAACACAGTGTCTGTCATAGACAAGTTATTCAATAGTCTTACTGAACTGGAGAGATTTGATTTTTATTGTCATTTCTTTTCCTGTCTGTGCATTAGTGAAGGTTGATAATCATGTCGAATGACAGAAGGAAATGAAGTACATTAGGAGTGCACTTAATCTACAAATTGGATCATCAATACCTACAGAATGGAGAGTAAAATATGCTCTATATTAATATACCTGCCATTGGTTTCCCAAGGACAATTGATTCATTTCACACATACCCTGGCGGTATGTGAGGCAATCCTATGCCTACCCTTTGACAAATAAAGAATATCAGGTGTTAAGTTGTATAATAATATTCACAAAACATCCATTGCCAATACCTGAAAAAATCAAAATAAAACTCATTCTTCCAGGTGCGTTACTTCTTTCCTGTGTTTCTGCTTCTACTAGAAACATGATTGGCAATATTCTTTTAGTTGCTTTTAAAATTCTTACGATGATATTCAAGGCCTTTCAGGTATGGATTCTTACCTACCATTCCAGGTTTAGCTCTCTAGTGACACTAGACCACTTTAGATTTCATTACGTGCCTTACTGATAGGATGGCCAGCATTAGCAAACAAATTCTGGCAATTTGAAAACCCAGTTAAATTTGAATTTTAAATAAACCCAGGAAAACAAAAAATGATAATGCATTGACAGTGATGATCTTGGAACAAATAAAAGCTTTCCATTTTTTATATTTTCATGGAACAGGTATATTTTGGAGAACTTAGAAGTAAGAGAATATTATTGTCTTCTGAGAATCAACAAGTAAATCAACACAAAGTAGGAAAATTTGGTTGACTGTGAAATATCAACAATAAATATTGAATGCAGGACCTGATAAAGAGTTTTCTATAATACTGTAATAATGTAATCTGTACTAACTCGGTAGAATATTTGATTAGCTGGAAAGCTCCTCACTGGTTCACTGTGACATAGCAGCTTTCACCTTTATTTGTTGCTCATCAGGAGTTAGTTGCACTTTTATCTACCAACCTATTTATTATACTAATATAATTTAGCTGAACGTCGTACAAACCAATGAAACTTGAGAATGAGAGTTGTTATTTCTATGAAAACTAAAGTGAATGTTTCAAAACTCTTCATAAAGGCAAGTTGCAAAGAAACACTGTTGAATTGGATGTGGGATTCAAAACAAAAACTGTAAAAAATTGAGAAAACAACAGCATCAACATAAAATTTCTCAATCATTTTATATGCAGGTTGCTTTAAATGTGTATGAGTTTTCGATTCACTTTAAAAAAGCCAAAGTTAGAAATAATTGTGTGAATGAATGAATCTTTCCAGGTTTGGAGTTTAAAAAATGTTTACAGTAAATATATATTATTTTATGCTACCATTTTAATTCAATATTTTAAATCAGTGACAAACTACTGGTCCCTTTCCATCAAGTAAGATATACAAAAGTTAAAATATTTATTGATATGTTAAATATATTCAAGAATATTAATGTTGCCTAAAGAAAAAATAATATGAACAGAAGATCCTCAATGTACATGGCAGAAGAAATTTTAATTTAATATTCTTTTATTATTTTCATTGGCAAGTTTATCCTTCCATGAAAATCAGTCCTTAAACTTTTCCATGCTTAGGTAAGAACTTTTGATTAAGTCATCTGAATTCACTTTCCTTTGGTTATTTTTGTAAAGCAGTTGTTTATTTTGATTTTTATTTGAATTGCTACCTAACCTATTTACCAAGATAGACTGTAGCTAAGCAGATGATGTAGATTTTTGTCCTTGGCTCTGATAACTCTTTGAAATATATTAGCCCACAATAATCAAAACAGCATGGTTCTGGTACCAGAACAGACATATAGACCAATGGAACAGAACAGAGGCCTCAGAAACAGCACCACACATTTACAACCATCTGATCTTTGACAAACCTGACACAAACAAGCAATGGGGAAAAGAATCCCTATTTAATAAACAGTGTTGGGAAAACTGGCTAGCCATATGCAGAAAACTGAAACTGGACCCCTTCCTTACATCTTATACAAAAATCAACTCAAGATGGATTAAAGACTTAAACATAAGACCTAAAACCATAAAAATCCTAGAAGAAAACCTGGGCAATACCATTCAGTACCTAGGCATGGGCAAAGGCTTCATGTCTAAAACACCAAAATCAATGGCAACAAAAGCCAAAATTGACAAATGGTATCTAACTAAACTAAAGAGCTTCTGCACAGCAAAAAACACTATCATCAGAGTGAACAGGCAACCTACAGAATGGGAGAAAATTTTTGCAATCTACCCATCTGACAAAGGGCTAATATCCAGAATCTACAAAGAACTTAAACAAATTTACAAGAAAAAAACAACCCCATCAAAAAGTGGGCAAAGGATATGAACAGACACTTCTCAAAAGAAGACATTTATGCAGCCAACAAACATATGAAAAAATGCTCATCATCACTGGTCATTAGAGAAATGTAAATTAAAACCACAATGCAATACCATCTCACGCCACTTAGAATGGTGATCATTAAAAAGTCAGGAAACAACAGACGCTGGAGAGGATGTGGAGAAATAGGAATGCTTTTACTCTGTTGGTGGGAGTGTAAATTAATTCAACCATTGTGGAAGACAGTGTGGTGATTCCTCAAGGATCTAGAACTAGAAATACCATTTGACCCAGCGATCCCATTACTGGGCATATACCCAAATGATTATAAATCATTCTACTATAAAAACACATGCACACATATGTTTATTGTGGCACTGTTCACAATAGCAAAGACTTGGAACCAACCCAAATGTTCATCAATGATAGACTAGATAAAGAAAATGTGGCACATATACACCATGGAATACTATGCAGGGACATGAATGAAGCTCAAATCATCACTCTCAGCAAACTATCACAAGAACAGAAGACCAAACTCCACATGTTCTCACTTAAAGTGGGAGGTGAACAATCAGAACACATGGACACAGGGAGGGGAACATCACACACTGGGGCTTGTCAGGAGGTGGGGGGCTAGGGGAGGGATAGAATTAGAAGAAATACCTAATGTAGGTGACAGGTTGATAGGTGCAGCAAATCACCATGGCATGTGTATACCTATGTAACAAAACTGCACGTTCTGCACATGTACCTCAGAACTTAAAGTATAATAAAAAAAGAAATATATTAGCCCTTGATCCCTTCACAGAAGGAAAACAGTTCCTCCAACTTCTCAACCTATCTTAAATATTTGTTTCCCAACCAATTCAGTGCCTTTATATAAATAATACAAACACAATTTCTGTTAAACTTACGTAGCTTGCTGACTTTGATAGTGACACTTATAGTACCTTTCAATGTATAAGTATTCATATACACATTTTATTTCTCCTACTGTTTTATAAAGGGCTTCAGGGCAGAGATTTACGCCTTCTAGTTTGTTTTATGCCTCATAAACCCAGAGAAGTATCTGGGACATAGAAAGTTGTATGTTGAATGTATTTGAGTTAAACTGAACTAATGAACTTCATGATGTCCAAAATCTAGTACCTCAGGCAGGAGGTGTTGCCCTATTCTTCAGCATAAACAGACAGTTACAGTTTGCCTACTAAAGGGAAACCTTAGGGAAAAGACATTTATTTCTCCTTGGCATGCTGTAAAAATCTAACCATCTGGCCCCATATCTCCCCCAACATGCTGTCCTATTAAAATGAAATATTTTTCCCTTCGGGTCCATGAACCAGAAAAGCAGCATCCTTAATTGTAAGACAGGGACGACTACCCATTAGCCATCTTGGCCCTGACATTCCCTTTTTCTCTACAGAAGATTGTGTAAGATTTGAAGATAGAACTTAAAGCAAATGCAAGAGGTAGAAAGACTAGGCTCTGCCAATTAGTTATTTTAGTTTCTATTGGGGAAATAACTTGTTGGTAAGGATTTACTTAAACTGGGCATAAAATTATAATTGTTCTTAATAAAAAGAGGCATATATTAATATTAGAATATGGGTATATTCAAAGAACTTTGCAGCTACACCAGTAAACTCAGGTACAAAGCCTTCCTGTGTTCTCTACTCTTCTGCTCTGTCATCTGATGGTATGAAGCATGCCACAATGAGAAAATTACCCTAACCTTTACCTGGCTTTCTTCTGGGAACACTATTTCAGACAGCTTCCCTTCAGTTCAAGAGCTTAAATCTACCTTTATATCCTCTCTCAAATTTAATTTAATGTCTTCTTAATTCTTGTCTCTCTTTTTCTCACTTTTCCTTTTGTTTTACCTATTTTCTACCTCTAATTTCATCCCTGTTTTTAAATTCTAAAGAATATCCTTTTGTGGAAATAGTAAATCTTTTTGTTTCTTTTGGGCTCAACTATTGATTTAATTTATTTTAAGTATTCTGGCCTACTGCTTTATTTTTCTCTATAGCCAAACTAAGTATCTCAGATTTATTTTTTCTTCTTTATAAAAATGTTTATGCCTTTTACACTCATTATCTTCTATTTCAATTATGGGTAAAATTTGAATAAACTCTCCTCTCCATATGACAGTTAATAAAAGTTAATGTTGATTTTATTTGTTATTTCTTGAATCTAAAGTTCCCAACAAAAATAAGATTTGATTTGTACATATGAACAACTTGCTCTCTGATAGGGTAGCACATAGAATTTTAAGATCCTTTAATTCTATATTTCTGTAAATGTTTCTCTAAATATAGCATGTATCTGATTTCTATGGAAAAATATGTTAATGTGCATATTTCTGAGTCCCAAAACAAAGGATTCTGATTCAATAGGTAGGTCTCAGGTGGAGCCTAGAAGCTGATGTTCTTTAATCAATATCTTGGGTCATTTTGATGAATATATGCCATGACAAAGACTAATCATGTATTACGACAAAATTGTTAGATGAAAACTCACATGCTTTCAATGAGTATTAATCACAGTATTCTGTGAGATTATCTATTTTATATAACATTTTCAGAGAGCCCTGGAAATATGGGGCGAGAATATGAAAAAGAGAAGTCCAAGTCAGAGCAATCAGGAAAGGGAAAGAAATAAAAGGCATCCAAATAGGAAAAAGTGCTCAACATCACTAATCATCAGAGAAATGCAAATTAAAACCACCATGAGATTCTGTTGCACACCAGGCAGAATGGCTATGATAAAAAAGACAAAAAACAACAGATGCTGGCGAGGCTGTGGAGAAAAGGAATGCTTATGCACTGTTTTTGGAGATGTAAATTAGTTCAGCTACTCTGGAAAGCAGTTTGGAGATTTCTTAAATCACTTAAAACAGAGCTGTCATTCAACCCAACAATCCCATCACTGGGTGTATATACCCCCCAAAAAATAGATCTTTAGACCAAAAAGACACCACATGCACTTGTTGGTTCATTGTCATGTTATTTGCAATAGCAAAAGACATGAAACCAACCTAGGTGCTCATCAATGGTAGATTGGATGAAGACAATGTGGTACATATACACCATGGAATACTGTGCAGCCATAAAAAGAATGAAATCATGTCCTTTGCAGCAACATGGATAGAGCTGGAGGCCATAATCTTAAGCGAATTAACAAAAGAACAGAAAACCAAATACTGCATTTTCTCACTTATAGGTGAGAACCAACATTGAGCACACATGGACACAAACGTGGGAACAATAGACACTGCAGTCTACAAGAGAAAAGATAGAGGGAGGGGTGTGTGTGTTGAAAACTATGGGGTACTATGCTCACTACCTGGGTGCAATATATGTATGTAACAAACTTGCACATATACCGTCCGTATCTAAAATAAAGGTTGAAAATTTTTAAAATATTATGAAAAAGGCAAATTTATTCATACAACTATTTGATGAACATTATTGAGTGTCTGTAATATTCTAGGCCTTGGGGATATTGTAATTTTAAAAAGGCAAAAACCCCTGCCCTCATGGAAGTTTAGTAAAGCAATAGACTATGAACAAGGTAAATTACTGACATATATAACATATTAGCTAGATAAAAATTCGAAAGAGATTTAAAAAAACAGGGAGAACAAATCAAGTGGCAGGGATTGAAATTTTAGGTTGGGAGGCTAAGGAAGGGTTCCTTGGGGTAGTGACTTTAGCATTAACATTGAAAAAAGTGAGCTTATCTCCTACAATACAGGGATCATATTCCAAATACATGGTAAAAAATACAACCTGGGTAAGCACAGACCTATCTGATGAATCAAAATAGAGGCTGTTTTCACCTCATCCTCAATTCACCATCATCCTTTCTCTGACCTTCTCCCACCTCCTCTAAAGCTAGGTACCCTCATTTTGTCAGGTTTCTTTGGCCACAAGGAAAAGATTCCAATGAAGTTGTCATCACATAATTCACAGAATGAAACGGAAGCCACATCTACAGAGCAAGGCTCAGAAACAGACCAAGAACCAGAGCATTGGGGACCATTTGACTCTCTTGTCAAAGCCCTGCCTCTTGTAGAAATAAACTGAATCATTATTTCCCAGTTTGTATGGCATTCATCTTCATATCCACAGTCTACAGAGAGACAATCTGTCTGTGCACATGGCCCTTCCTTGGCTGTACTGTCACACAACAAGGAAGCACTAGGCAGGAGGAACAGCTTAAGCTTTTGTAGAGGCAGTACCTCTAGAAATAGAAACCCATCCAGAGCGTACACAACGCAGGCAGCTAATGTTCACTACGGTCATGATTCCTCCCAGCTCTGCAGACTCCACATCAATATCTACTAGCATCTGGTTTAATTTCCTTAGACCAATTTTTTTTTCTATTAGTATGTTTTATAAACTTTTCTGTCGTAATGAACTGGCAAATGTAATGAGTTTTACATCAAATACCTACTCTTACAATGAATCCCACTGACTGACTTAGGTTGGGAAACACATTTTTCTTTTCAGGATTTCTTTAGCTGTGTAGCTGGGCTGGAAGGCTGCGGTTGGCTGAAGGCCGACTCCTGTGATTGACGGAAAGGAAACAGCCATTGAAAGAGGAGGAGCAAGAAAATTGGCACTAGTTGCCTACTTAAAGCTAAAAATTAGAAAAATAAATTAATAAGAACTTTCAAAATGTGTACATGATCTTTTTTTATTGACTAGAAAACTTCATTTTTTGAAACTTTGTGCAGTTTGTTTTTCGTAACAGTTTTCTGATCTCAGTGACCTCTTCTTTCTCTGCAGTCGACTTTGTGGAAAGCCTGATCCGGTTCCCACAGGAGCTTATGCAGCAGTGGCATTTGCAGTAGGTGGTGACGGTATTTCTAAAAATTTCTGTCTGTGCTGGAAAATAAGACATCGGCACTGACATTTCCAATTTGAGAACAATTGTGCTTCATTAATTCTGTATTATAAATGCCACTCCTGGATTTGGTTTTCTTTGATTTTTTTCTGATCCATTCATTTCAATAATACTCTTTTCTATAGAACTATCTCATCTTTATTTTTGGTTGTTTATGCTGGTATCTTTCCACAGACCCTTTTTTGTGATTGTATATTATTTAACTTATCTGTAGAAAGTAGTGATTGTATATTATTTAACTTATCTGTAGAAAGTAGTGATTGTATATTATTTAACTTATCTGTAGAAAGTATGAGTTGTGGTATTATACATTGTCTCTGCTTCGGGGTCACGGGCATGTGTTTTAGGTTTAAAAATGCTAATTTTTAATGCATTTATTCATAGTATTAGAATATAAAGGTGGTAAATCTAGGCTGAAATATAACTATTCTTGGGAAATGTATACATATTTCAATTTACTGATGTTGCAATCAAATAAGTAGTCTTTTTATTCAAACAAATGATTAGATAGAAATACTAAAATACAAAATATATATTTATAAATTGATTAATTTTGCCTCCCTACCTGAACACTGAGTCTTTCTATTTGAAATTGATGCCCATAACCTCTGAGGGGGATGGCAGATGTTGGGAATTCTTGAAGTACCAATGTGTTGACTTTGGAGATTCTGGAGGAAATTTTCTGTCCCTAATCATTTTTGTCCTTATTCTCTCCAGTAGCTGAGACCTGTGAGATTCTGACTCTCATCCCTAGCAGTGTGGACCGCAAAATCACTCTCTAGCGATTTGTTAGACGCCAAATATCTGAGCCTCACTCAGAATGTTGTGAATCATAATATCTGGGTCTTAGTTTATACATTAAAAAAATCTCAGATGAATCTTGTGTTCACTAAAGTGTTGAAACTATTTAAAAATAGTCATCTTTCCCCATAATGATAGTATTCAAATGCCAAATTCAGGTATTTTCTCCCTGTCTCTGAAACCTATCATGAAAGTAATCTTAAAAACAGCCAACATATTGAGTAGTTGATTCAACATCAAGTCAGTCTTGTTATTCCCTTCTTGTCCTTTGGTGTCTCCAGACAGTATCCATTATGCCTTATAACCTGCCTAGTAACCTTGTCTCTGGAAAGCTTGGACTCAACCATGCAATTCCTGAGACTGCATTCCTCCTTATGGCCTAGCTCCTAGATATCTTTCTGTTTTTAATTCTTCACCTACGCTCAGGTTAACTTTGTTGGAACAAGATACTTCAAGATTTGGCCAGAGTGCCATATATTATAGGAAGCACTCTTCAATCTCAGGCTGAGCAATTTGCTCCTTCTCTGAGGGCCCACCTATTCATTCCACCGAATCAACTTTGTTCACATTTGATTGCATTGCCAGTTGATTTTTAGGGTAGACTTTCTCACTGGACAATGAATGGCCCTAGTGCTGGGATCTGGTATGAGTTCTTGCTTTCTTGGAGCCTAGGGACTACTTGGCACCCAGTAAGCACATCGCAAAGACTTGTTACACTAAAAGGAATTGAGGCAACTGGTTTCTGTGCCAGAGTCTAGTTATGAAGCAAGATCTGATCTATTTTGCCATCTAATTCTAATCTGAGCTCTTTGATCATAACTTAACATATTGAAGAATAAAAGAGTCTCAGGACCATTTCGTTCTCTGACTAGATAATATTTACTTTAATATTTCAAAGAATTGAGAGCTCCCATTTTCTTTAGATGTAACGACAGTCCATGATATAAAATAAACTAATTATTGTTGAAGTCTAATTTTCAATTTGAGTGAAAGAAAATGAGACTTAAAAAAAATCTTTTTCAAGGCTCTGGCATAACAATAGTAATTATTTTCTTTTCACTGATTAAGTTAGAGAGCACTGACATTTTTGGTCTACAAATGAGCCTCAGGTGAGCACAACAGGTTTGAAAATAGTAATGTGATAATGGCTTCCAAAACAAACAGACATCTGAGTTTTCTTGAACTCTTATAAGTTCGCTATTCTGGAAATTCTGCATTTGGCTTGCCTAAAATGTGATATGTAAATTACAAAAGACAAGTTGAAGTTAATGCTGCATATTTCTCTTCTTTAAAACATATCTATGCTTACATGTGTCATCAAAATGAGGTATTGCAAGATAGTCCTATAACTAAACGTTAGCAATGAAAAGAATGTAATTGCAAAACCATGCTAATTACTTCTGTTTTTAAAACTACCGAATGATTTATTATCTTACTAAGTATATTTTAATAATTAGATCTTCTAAAAATTTAAATTTAAATCTCTAATTTAGGGCAGTCTATATAATTCTGGTTGGAGTAAAACTAGTACAAAGTTTCAGAGAAAAATTTGGCAAAATGTATAAAAAGACAAGTATACACATTCTTATAAGTTCCTATCTATTGAGGTATCCTAAAATGTGTTCCATGATGGGAAAAGTTTTTGATAAACACATTTATTGCTGATTTTTAATTATTGTTCCAACAAGAAAAAAAAAATGAAAAGTTCAGCAGTTGAGTAAGATTACCACTCAGTGAAGGGTTTGTGGTTAGTATTAAATTTCTTTTAACGTCTTTTCTATCTTTTTGAAAACAGTTATGATGCAACATTTATTTCTTTGGCAATCAAAAACACGTAAAACAGCTTTACTATTTTATTTGAAAATATAATGAATTAACAGTTTACTGGAAGCAGTTTTTAATGAGTGGTTCTATTAAGTACTAAAAATGTCCATAAATCACCATGTTAGGTGCTGTGTCTTGAGCAGTTGATTGATCTTTTAGAGTTAGCAGTTGTAGGGACAGCATAAACCAAATCAATAAAGGTTTACTGGACATTATACCTAATACCAAGCTCCAGGATGTATTCGTAAGTCAGAAAAACCTACTCTTCCAAGAAATTACAACTCTTAGCTACCTCCAAGTTACCTTTTCATTGCACAATAAGTCACACACACATTTTAATTATATATATTCAACAACTCGAAGAATGGTGGCTGTCAGTTTCATCCATACTTCTTATGAAAGGGTATGTGTGAGACATAATAGAGAAATATATGTAGTTATCACAACATTCTGTGAAAGGGAATAATTTTCTTTTTCTTGGCAATAACAAATGGGTCATATTCTATCTATGTCTCTCTGTCTTTGTCTATGTTTATCTATCTATCAATCTACCTATCTACTCATAAGAATTCTTGAAAGGACTCTGATTGGTAATATGTGCAAGTCTTTATAATCCAGAAACTATATTCAAACAGAATTTCACATGCAATCTGATATCCATTTTCTCACTCCCTTTAAAGATAACATCTTGTAATGTATGGGTTAAGAACATTATTTGTTTTCACTGAACCTATTAATTTGTCCTCTCCTTAGTACACTTCAACTTGGGTGGTTCTTTCTCTACCCCTGGGTCACAGTTTCACTGCTACTTACTGGTCACTCTAGTTTATTCAAACATTATTCTCCAGAATGATGTGCCCCTGGAAAACTATCCAGTAAGGAGAAGGGCTGAGGTGGGACTCCTCTTTTCCTTGTACCAGGTTATGCAGAGAGGCGTGTGTTTATTTCCCTACTAAAGAGGTAAGTTAGTTATAAAGGAGAATGCTAAAGTGTATTTAAGGTCAAGAATGTTCTCTAGTGTCCCCTTCCCACCCTCTCATTTCGGATCTAGCATCCTTGGCTCTCCAGTTCAAACTTTCCTCACTAAAATGCCATCTATTTCAAGTTCATCTGTGTCAATCTTCAGCACCTTTCTCCCAAAATTGGTTGCCATTGGGAAGTAGCTCTTGGCCCACACAAGTGATCAAAACTGCAGGCCCTGGAACTCAAATATTTCTTTATTTTATTTGGCTGAGTCTATTTTTTAAAAAAGAAGAAACCAACGTTTCACAGTAAGAGAAATTTTAGATAAAAATCCGAGTATCTTGACTCTTGTAGAAAACCCAGAAACTCGGACAATAATTCACCAGAGTGGAGTAGGAGCTGGGTCCTGTTGATAGAGAAGTTGCTTCACTCATTTGTTTGCCCGTTTCCTAGAAGCATCTGGGTTTGAGACCTTTGCCAGGGACTCCTCCTCCTATCCATCTACATTAAAGTTACAACCATCCAGTTTGTACTGCTCCCTCTGCATTCAGACCTGGCGGTCACAGTGAATTTTAGTTTATGACCCAAGTTAAAGAAAACATTGGAAGGAAAAGCAGGAAGAAAGGAAGGCCAGTTTACTCCTAGTGAGTGAAACTACTAATACATACATAAACACACACACACACATACACACACACAACCTTCTAAGGGCTAAAATTAACATACAAAAGCCTAAGTAACAAAAAATTTTAGCAAGCCCCATTTTCGTTTCTTTTGTTTTTCATTTTGTTGCCTCCTGAAAAAGTGAAGCTGCTATATTTCCATTCCAGCCAAGCCTCCCTTAAGTTCTGTAGGTCTCCTCAGTCTCCCACTCAACCTCAGGGCTGGAGCTACAAGAAGATAATCGTTCAGCTACTTCCATTCTTTCATAATACATGTAAAAATATTTTTAATACCACACAAAATAAAGAATATAAAGTAAGGATAAAAGAACAGATTCAGATATAAAATCCTATTTCTTCTCATTATGGAATTGGTAGAAAACGTTATATCTAAGTTTTCCTCTTGCTTTTTTAAGTGCCCCACCCTGCTCTTTCCTGAGGTTGATCTATGCTGGGATGTTACTAGGTTGGTGCAAAAGTAATTGCAGTTTTGCCATTATTTTTAATTTAATTTAATCAATTATGTTTAATGGCAAAACAGCAATTACTTTTGCACCAACCTAACAGCTTTTTATGCAAGGTCCTATTGCATAACATGTGCTGTGGATATGTTCTCAGGCTGTGTGTGCCATTGTTGACACTTCCCTTTCAGCATCAGGACTCTGCTATTGTTAAGGAGGTTTGTTTTCTCCAACAGCCTTGACAAAACGATGGCTTGCTGCGTTCATTATTCATCTGGGAGAGCTCCAGTTCTGTGTCTTGCAAATCTGAGAGTTCAGCCGTGTGTGTCCAGCGCTTGTTTTTCTCTCTGTGCCCTGCACTGATGGGAAAGCAGGCTCCGCAGTCTCTAATGAAGAAGGGCAATGTCCTGCTGGGTACAATGGAGAGAGAAAAATATCACAGGAACTGTAGCTCCATATAAGGCCTTCATTTAACCTCTTCATTAGCCACCTCATGCTCACTATCAAGTGTGTTACAAAAGGATTGAGTCTTCCTGACTATGCTTTTGGAGTCAATTTAAAAAAAAAAAAAAACTGTTCCTTGCTAGTATAAGAATTACATTATCTTGATCTAAAATATTTTTTGAACCTATTCAAAGAAGACTATGCTTTTAACTGAACGTTTTGTCCTTCTGGTTCCCCTTACAAACCTGAGAGAGAATTTTCAGAAAATGGGAGGTTAGGAAATAGGGCTGTATTGATATGAAGGCCAGGTGGTCATAGGCAGGGACTTCAGAGGATCCAGTGAATAAGAGACTCTGTAACAGTGTTAAATGCTTAATCTTCCTGAAGACATTGATGTCACACGTACTAAAATCTATAGAAGTAGTGGTAGAGGGCAGCAAATAAGTTTCTTCATTGAAAAGGTGGCATGGAAGCTCACTGGGTTACAGAGAGTAAAACGGATGCCGGTGTACGGGAGCCCGAGAAGCAAGTGTTACAAGCTGTTAGCACTGTAATGACCCAGAAGCTAACAGCCCACAAAGAAGAAGCATGCAGAGATCTCAATGTCTTGGGTGATAGCAAGAGTCAGAGATAAACTCTGAAACTGTGTGGTAGCAGCAAAGACTGTAATCCTCTTAGGAAGAAATCTAGGCACCTATTCAACCTAGAGTGCAAAAACATGGCAGCCAGAAGAGCTACATTTGGGAACACATAAAAGCCCTTTGGAAAAGCCATGGCATGGGCAGTGTTTGATCCAGGTAGCGCTTTCCGTGAGTCTGGTAGCATGAACACGGCATGGTGTGATACAGAAGACCGACGTGGTTTTGAGGCTTCCTTTCTGCTATATTTTCAAGCTGGTAGAGATTAGTAAAATATAGCCTACCATAATAAAGTAATAGCATAATTTAGCATCGATGTAATGGAAAATGTCCCCGTTTTATGTTTTGTGGAAACAAAAGGTTTACATTGATATTAATCCCTTAATTTTATTAGTTTGGAGTCTCCCTCTAGATATTTCAGAATTTAATTTCTTTTCTCAGAGTTTCCCTCAATTGTATTTAGGAAAACCTCTTATGTTTTCTTCTTAGAAGCCAAGAACAATAAGGAACGTTCTGGAAATAATTGACTAAAGCCACTATGCTAGTTCCTCCATGAGTAAGCTGTTCAGCCAGGTAGAATGACATTCCCATGATTCCACTGAGCAAAGTATTTCTCTAGAGGTAGCTACCTAGATGTTTCAGGCTGGCACGGTTCTATGATAAACTATGGTTGGATGGAGGGAATGACCCACTGCTTGACTGTAACTTAAAGGTTCTCATCTAGACTCTAGAAGGCAGCAGTTCTAAGTCTGTGTGTTTCCATTCCCTTGTCCAACAAATCCTGTAGTTTTATCCAATATCTTTCTTCCTATATGCGATCAGAACAAGACTCTCGGATTAAAAGAAAAACAAAACAAAAAGAAATCAGTCTGTTCTGCCTTGAAATCACCTTTCTAGTGTACCTAAGCCTGAAACAAGAAGAATAACAATGTCATCATCAACAAACACCTGTACTCTCCCTGACAAAAACATATATTAATTAAAGAAGACTAAAACAAAACAAAATACAAAAGAAAAACAGAGACCTTCTCCATTATAGCATAGAAAAATCTTAGGGTGGAATAGGGTCTTCCTTTTCTTAAATTCAAATAGCTTCTGCTTAGGCTCACTGAAGCTCACCTTGCTTACCTAAAGTAGCTCACTTTAACTCTGATTTCTCTCATACTGTTTATACACTGAATGTATAAACTTAGTCTTCTTAGTCCGGTTTCCTTGATTTTGATTTCTTTTTTTCCTGCTTTTCTTATCTCACTGCAGCATTCTCCTCTTGTTTGAAGTTTCTCCTTTATCAATTTCTATGTATTATTTTCTGTAACATATGCACTTGAGAACAACTTTAATACTTGAAGTCTCCTGTGTGCCTGTAGATCAGGAAAAATTCTAGGTTATGAGTAATGGAAAAAATTCAAGATTTCTTACAGTGAAAAGGGAAAGGCTGGGAAAAACAGGCAAAATATGAAGAGTTCTAGAGTGTTTATTTTTCTCATAATAAAGTTCATGTTCATAAAAATGTCTGGATTAACTGGCACTGCTTTTGTGAACTTGATCTCCAACCAGCTTCTTATTGTTATAAAATATACTCAGGATTCAAAGTCTAGAGGGAAAGCCTGAGCTTGCCTAATCCTCATTCAAATGCTTGCTACCTGACAGTGCCAGGGTGTGGAAACATTGGGACAGACTTGCCCCCGTCCCCGTTTTTTTTTTTTTTTTCCGTTGAGACGGAGTCTTGTTCTGTTGCCCAGGCTGGAGTACACTGGAGTACAGTGGCACAATCTTGGCTCACTGCAACCTCTGCCTCCCGGGTTCAAGCGATTCCCCTGCCTCAGCCTCCTGAGTAGCTGGGACTACAGGCACATGCCACCACGCACAGCTAATTTTTTGTATTTTTAATAGAGACAGGGCTTCACCGTGTTAGACAGGATGGCCTCAATCTCCTGACCTCGTGATCCACTGGCCTCGAATCTTCCCATTTGAAATGGTCACTAGGCCAGGCATAGTGGCCTATACTTGTAATTAGGGCACTTTGGAAAGCAGGGGCTAGAAGATCGCTTGAGGTCAGGAGTTTGAGACCAGCTGGTTAGTATAGTGAGACCCCCATTTCTACAAAATTACTTTTTTTTTTCTTTTTTTTTTTGAGATGAGTCTCCCTCTGTTGCCCATGCTGGAGTGCAGTGGTGCAGTCTTGGCTCACTGCAGCCTCTGCCTCCCAGGTTTAAGCGATTCTCCTGCCTCAGCCTCCCAAGTAGCTGGGACTATAGGTGCCCACCACCACGCTTGGCTAATTTTTGTATTTTTAGTAGATACGGGGTTTCATCATATTGGCCAGGCTGGTCTTAAACTTCTGACCTTGTGATCCACCTTCCTCAGCCTCCCAAAGTGCTGGGGACACAGGCGTGAGCCACCGTGCCCAGCCTATAAAATAACTATTTTATAAAAATTGCTGAGTAAGATGGCACATGTCTGTAGTCCCAGCTACTAGGAGGCCGAGGTGGGTGCATTGCTTGAGCCCAGGAGTTTGAGGCTGCAGTGAGCTACAATCACACCACCGTACTCCAGCCTGGGTGACAGAGCAAGACCTTGTCTCAAAAAAAAAAAAAAAAAAAAAAAGAAAGAAAGAAAATGACCATGGCCATTACTTCCAAAGTCTATACATAAAAAGGATTCCTTCAAGAGGAATATTGAATAATAAGAAAGATTTGGTATTGAATGGCTAAAAACTGGCAATTACTCACCAAAAATGTAATTTTAATTGTACTTTATTATGGAAAATATTATACAACTATCAAATATATTATTAAACATTTTAAAAATTTGATTAGATGTTCTGTCTTTAGCATCCAACTAAATAAAGCTTGCATGATTATTATCAGACTAAGGGAAATTTTAGTATAAACACCTGTACATCTTTAACATTTCTCTTTTTCATATAAACTTCATAATAACTATTTTCATAGTTATAATATTTTATCAAATAGATAAGATATAATTTGCTTATAATCTACCACCTCAGCCCAGGCTCACGGTGTCAAACACAGGCTAATATTTATTTATTTTGTTGACATGGATAATAATATAAAAACTATTTTTATTTATATAGTCCTTTTCCTACTTTTAGATTATAAGATAATCTCCTACAGGAGAAATTACAGTGTTAAATGTCGTAAACATGTTAAACCTTGATCAGTATTGGTACATTACTTTCTAAATACATTCAACATTTCTAAGCTTGTTTTGAATAAGGCTGTGCAAAAATAAGGTAGATAAAATGGCTGAAACTTCAATTAAGGGAATAGATGTACTATATATGGCCATAGAGAGAAAGAGAAGCTGCTTGCCTTAAGCTCTACAGAGGGCTCAACAAGCTTACACACACACACACACACACACACTCCCATTACACTATAAAGAAAAATAATCTGCATCTGATATATGGTATAGTTGTATGATAATCTTGGCAGAAATCTGGACTTAATGCTCATAAGTAGTAACATGCTAGCACTTCATTACATATTATTGACTTTGACTCATATTTGCTGCAAAAAAATATTCCAAAACCATTTGCAACTGAATAAAGCATTCAGTTTGCATGTTGGGAAAACTATTAAAAGTCGCTGCATGAAATTAAGGAAACCTCTGAGTTTATGAGGCTGCTTATCACATTTAAAGTTGACAGTATGGTTCTTAGGAGGCAGCAGAATGATTATGGTAAAACACTGTAGGTAGTAAGAGAACTTAAATGCCAAAGATCATTTTACCCAGGAAAAGAGGTAGAGAGGGAGTAATGAAACTAAAGGCTAGACCTAAAACTTCAAGCTTTATTCTTTCAGAGCAATTTCCTTTTTTTAAATGTACAGAAAAAGAAGTACTTAAAATAATTAATAGAACATTCTGTAAGTAATTCAATTATGCTAAAATTACTTTGACTGTCTCTCTGCACTCTCACAGTATTTGGGTAGGTTCACATAGGATGAAGAAGAGAATTCTAAGTCAGAATGTTAAGAGTTAATGTTTCCTTTAAATACCAGAGCTTGCCTTTGTGATTTATGAAAATGGAACAAGATTGTGGGATCTTTGAAAATAGAGTCAATATCATATTTATTCAATATTCTTTTTTTTTGACCCAGCTCTATATTTATTTAAAAGACTGTTTCTCCACTGTTCTGCAGTACGGCATTCATCATGAAGTCAGCATTCATATGTGATCAATACGTTCTCTGTTCTTTTCAACTTCAGTCAATTTGCCCATCTTTGCGTCACTATCACACTATCTTTACTTCGATAGCTCTACAGGTCTTAATATCTGGTTGAATAAATTCTCCATAGTTGTTTTTCTTTCTCAAAAATTTGTTTAACAGCTTTATTGAGCTATAACTCACATACCATAAAATTCATCTATTTAAATTATACAATTGAATTTATATGATGTATAGTTATAGATATGTGCAACCATGACTACTCCTAGTTTTAGAACATTTTCATCACCACATGAAGAAATCTTGTACTTTTAAGTTATCAGCCCCTACATTCCCATCCTTTCTCCAGCCCTAAGCAACTCTAATCTACTTTCTATCTCTATTCTGGACTTTCATATGAATGTAATTATATACTGGACTTTCATATTAATGTATATAATTAAGTAATATAATATGATTATATAATGTGTGATCTTCTGTAATCGGCTCCTTTCACTTTGCCTGGTTTCAAGGTTCATCCATATTGTACCATGTATCAGTACTTTCTTTTTTATGGAAAAATTACATTCCATTTTATCATAGTCTACATTTTGATTATCCATTTATTCGTTGATGGACATTTGAGATGTTTCTACCTATTGGCTATTAATACTGAATAATACTGTTATAAACATATGTGTACGTGTTTTCATTTGTACATATAGGTTTCATTTCTCTTGGGTATGTACGAAGGACGAGAATTGCTGGGTCATATGGTAGCTCTATGTCTAATTGTTCACAGAACTGCCAGATGTTTTTCATCCCCATTTCCCAGCAACAATGTATAGGGACTCAATTTCTTTATATCATCACAAACACTTGTTATTATCTACTTTGATTCTAGCCATCCCAGTTCGTAAGAAGTATTATCTCATTGTGGTTTTTATTTGCATTTCTCTGATGACTAATGTTGTTAAGTATCTTTTTATGTGCTTATTAGCCAGTTGTGTATCTTCCTTGGAGAAATGTCTATACAAATACTTTGCACTTTTTAAATTGTGTTTTTAATTATTGAGTTGTAGAGTTCTTTGTATATTCTGGATATAAGTTTTCTATCATATATAATTTGCATATATTTTCTATTATTTGGATTGTCTTTTCACTTTCCTGACAGTGCCTTTTGAAAAACAGAAGTTTTTAATTGTGATAAAGTCCAATTTTTCTATTTTTTCTTTTGTTGATTATGCTTTCGGTGTCATATCTAAGAAACTTTTGCCAAATGTAAGATCATAAACATTTACCCATGTGTCTTTTGTCTTTTTCATTCTTGCATACAAATATAATTTCTTACATAATTAAAATATGCTTAATGCATGCATATTAAAAATGTAATTACTAGAACATCAAAGAGGATGAATGTTAAAAGTATGTTAATTGCCACTGTAGAATATTCAGGTTGTTTTCTGTGTTTAACTACTCTTATACGAAAAAATATAAGGGTTCAGGTATATTGCTAGTATGCTTTGGTCTTCTTTACCAAACCTTCAATTAGATGAAAATAATTTGTATAACCCCCAAGCTAAAAGATTCAAAATAGTATTTTCAAAATGTGAAAGCTTAGTTTTGTTAACTTAATTTTCCTTAAAAGCATCACAATGAATTCATTGATTTTTCTAAAAAAAAAACTCATTCCTTGGACTATGTTAACTTTTAAAATGTTTACTAAAACCAGTGTGTTTAATAAGAGCATGACTTACATAATTTATTTAATCCCTATTAGTATATTATTCCTGGATTTCTCTTAAAAATAAAAGCAAAATTATTTAAGTTATAAACATGTTATAAACATATGTGTACTTTTTTTTGTACATTGTCATTTTTATAATCTTATTTTCAGGTTATATTAGGGTTTATTCATTTTGGGGTAAGAAGGCATAAAATATAAGAAAGCAAAAATTATAAAAAAGATGGGTGAATGAATGAATAGCTGATACCATGAAAGAGGGAATAATCCATAAATTATATAGATATATATATTCTTAAGTAATTAAACTTATGAGAGTATTTTTTCCTCTGTCCAATTTCATTTACATTTGGATAAATCTAACTGGAAAGCACAGTTTATGAATTTTACTGTACAGCAATGAGCAACTAGATTGTAAAAGATAATAAACTCAACACATAGCCTATCCCATGTCAGAATCAGGTTTAATGTTGAATGTTGCATTTTAAAAATGACAAATTCAAATAAATATTTACAAAGAAGGATTGACAGAATGTAAACATTCTAGAAAATATTTTATAGAGGAAGAGTTGAAGAAATAGGAGTGTTAATGTAACTAATAGATGACTTCAGGAAACATAATGGCTCTTTTACATTTTTGAAGAATAGCCCAATAGAAGATTGAGTTATATTCATAACTAAAGAGAATTTAGAGTTAATACATAAAAATTATAAAACGATGGTTTTGCCAACATAAAGATTTTTATAATATTTTCCAAAGTTGTAGAGTGACTCAGGTTGCAGAAACAAGACTCTGAACTCTTCTACATAGATATTCTTACGTAGTGTGTGATGCTTCTGACCAGGCGGCGTTGGTGTTTGTTCCACCCGTAGGCCCTAGGATTCCATAACACGTTGTTGTTAGATCCTCCGTTAAAATGTCTGAAGACACATAGAAATGAATTGTTTCAGTCACTATTTTTCTGAAAGTGAAACCACATTACTGAAATATATTATTTTTTGTCCTATATGAGGCACAATACCATGACCACCTGTTCGTAGAATGCATCTAACCCAGTCTTTGTTATTTACGGGGTTTGATGATACTTCTGATGCAATTGAAGAGGTGAAAAAAATGTTCTATATTTTCAGTGCCAATGAAGCTTAAAATAGTTGGAATTTTATGAAGTACTCAGTTTTCTGACAAGAACCCGCTGAAGAGTCTCCTTAGTGCATCTTCATACTGATAGCTGGAGACTTTGAACACCAAGGCTATGTATGACTTCCCTTGGAGAGACAATTTTAGTGTGGTGGGTACACTCCAAATTGAACCTGTACTTTTGTAGAGGGAGTGCCAATTCTTCAACAATATTCTCTGTTACATGTAGCTTATAGATGATTATTTTTGCCTAATGTAAAATCAAATGAACACGTGCGTAACTTTTTTCTTTTTCTTTTATTTCTTCTGTTTCCTCACTCTTTCCTTCTTTCTCCTTTTGTTAGTTAGTAATTTTTTTATTACCCTGGTGAGATTAAACCTGGGGCAAAGAATTATTTTTACTTCAATAGTTGGGGTAAATAAATGCATATAGAAAAATAGACACATTTATTTTTGATACAGATGTCTAAAACTGTCAAGGATATAGACTGAAAAGGAGAAAAAAAACCCAAAACTCAAATTTGTGGCCAACTCAAACTTGAGAAGACCGAATCTGTTTTGTTCCTGAAAAAGAACTAGTGAAGAGATTGTTGAGATTTTATACTTCCAGGACAAGTATCTAGGATAGTTTTTTTACTTGCAAGGCAGTGGAAACAATATGTGAAAATATATATGAAAAATTAAAATTATGTATCTAATAATGAAGCTGGATAGTACTAAAGTTATAATGTGTGCTTTCGAGTTAAACTACCGTATTTGATACCATGTTCCAACATTCTTTTATTTTTGTAGATCAGCTACTTAAGTTCTCTGTGCCTCAGTTTTCTTATCTGTAAACTGTAAGTAATAGTAGTACTTGTTACATTGGATATTATGAGGACCAAACAAAATAACAGATTTATCTAAAACTAATAGCTTATAAAACTCTTAGAAACATGTATGACACATAAAAATTGCTCACCACGTGTTAGTTATTATTTTCTACTATTTTAATGCAAAGAGTTACAAATATATATTATTTGCTTTTTCACTCTGAAAACTCTAAGGATAAAGTTAAATACATTAATCACTCATCAGACTTATTTATGCTCAGGTCGCTGGAACACTAAGTTAGTTCTCAGTCTTCTGAATATAGATGCGTCGGAAGAGACTCTGCAGTAGTTTGCTAGGGCTACCATAACAAAGCAACAAAGACTCAGTGGCTCAAACAACAAAAATTTGTCCAAGATCAAGGTATCAGCAAGTCTGGGTTCTTCTAAGGGCTTTGTCCTTGGCTTGAAGATGACTACCTTCTCCCTGTGTCTTCACATACCTTCCCTCTATACGTGTTTGTGTCTTGATCTCCCCTTCTTAAAGGACACTCATCTTATTGGATTAAAATTCACCTGTACAACCTCTTTTTAACCTACCTACCTCTTTACACATCCTGTCCCCAAATTCAGCCACATTATGAGGTTCTGAAGGTTAGGACTTCAACATATGAATGTGGGGGTTAACAGGGAACAATTCAGCCCATAGCAGTCTCCATGGGTGATGAGATGCTAGAGTTGAGTATGTTAGGATTGGAACAGAATTAACCAAAACAGTACATTCAAGGTGTGGCCCAGGGAGCCCCATGAGAATGTCAGTTTGATTAATGGCAGGAAGGCAGCCTCTATGGCAGAGCTCAGAGGAGCTGTGGGGACATGCTTAGCAAATTATGTACAGCTGTAATTTGTAGGGGTCTTGAGAAGCCTCACCAAGAATAAACATCTAGATTGGCCATGGGCATTAACCCATTCTGCAGGCATTAATGAAGGATATGGGGATGCCAAGGCCTGAAATAAGTTTTAAAGTGTAGAAAATTTCTGAATTTTTTAAGGCAATATACTTCAAAATAAGTGGTGAAATTCACAAACTTTGTTAAAGCTAAAGTGGAATACAGAGCCTAGCTTAATAATTTGCATCATCACAAAGGGATTTGGATAAAAGCTTGATGAGTTAAATTTAACACTTTGAAGATATTGCAGGTTTAGTTCTATTCTAGACTACTGCAATAAACCAAATATCACAATAAAACAAATCATTTGAACTTTTTTATTTTCTCATGCTTATGAAAGATATGTTTATACTATACTGAAGTCTAATAAGTATGTAATAGAATTATGTCTAAAAACAGTGTAGATTTCTTAATTAAAGTAATTTGTTACTAAAAAAAAATCTAAGAATAGTCACAGCCTTTAGTGAATCATAACCATTTTTCTGGTGTAGGGTCTTGCTTTGATGTTGATGACTGATGACTACTCAGGGTGGTGTTTGCTGAAGGCTGGGTTGGCTGTGGCAATTTTAAAAAAAAACACAACAATAAGATTTGTAGCAGTGACTGAATCTTCCTTTCATGAAAGATTTCTCTGTAGCATGTGATGCTGTTTGATAGAATGTTGCCAACAGTAGAACTTCTTTTAAAATGAAAGTCAATCCTCTCAAGCTCTGTCACTGTCTTATCAACTAAGTTGATGGAATATTCTCAATCCTTTGTTGTCATTTCAGCAATATTCACAGCATCTTTGCTAGAAGTAGATTGCATTTCCAGAAATCGCTTTCTTTGCTCATCCATAAGAAACAACTCCTCATCTGTTAAAGTTTTATAAAGAGATTACAGCAATTCAGTCACGTTTTCAGGCTTCACTTCCAATTCTAGTTCTTTCATGCTTTTCACCACATCTGCAGTTACTTCCTCTACTGAAGTCTTGAACTCTTCCAAGTCATCCCATGAGGGTTGGAATCAATCCCTTTCAAAATCCTGTTATTGCTGATATTTTGACCTCCTCCGTGAATCATGAATATTTTTAATGACATTTAGAATGATGAATTCTTTTCAGAAGGTTTTCAATTTACTTTGCTGAGATCCATCAGAGAAATTGCTATAGTAGCTATGGCCTTACAAAATGTATTTCTTATGTAATAAGACTTGAAAGTTGAAATTACTTCTTAATCCATGGGCTGAAGAATCGATGTTCTGTTAGCAGGCATAAAAATTAACATTAATCTCCTTGTACATCTCCATCAGAGCTCTTGGGTGACCAAGTACATCATCAGTGATCAGTGACATTTTGAAAGGAATCTTTGTGAGCAGTAGGTCTCAACATGCACTTAAAATATTCAGCAAGCCATGCTATAAACGGATGCACTGCCATCTAGGCTTCGTTGTTCCATTTATAGAGGACAGGCAGAACAGATTTAGCATAATTCTTAAGAGTCTTTGGATTTTCAGACTGGTAGAAGAGCATTGGCTTAAAGTCATTGTATGCATTAGCCCCAAACAAGAGAGTCAGCCTGTCCTTTGAAGTATTGAAGCCAAGAACTGACGTATCTCTAGCAATGTCTTGGATGGCAGTTTATTCCAATAGCAGCCCTTTTTGTCTACATTGAAACCTATTGTTTAGTGTAGTCCTCCTTCATCAATTACCCTAGGTAGTTCTAGATAACTTGCTGCAGCTTCTACGTCAGCACTTGTTGCTTCATCTCGCATTTCTATGTTATGGAGATGGTTTCTTTCCTTAAACCTCATTAACCAAACTTGCTAGCTTCCAACTTTTTTTCTGCAGCTTCCTCAAGTTTTTCAGCATTTGTAGAATTTATAAAAGAGTTAGGATTTTGCTCTAGATTAGCCTTGGCTTAGGAGAAAACCGTGGCTTGTTTAATCTTCTATACAGATCATTAAAAATTTCTACACATCAGCAGTAAGACGGTTTCCCTTTATTATCATTTGTGTGTTCACTGGAGGATTTAAATTTTCTTCAAAAACTTTTCTTTTGCATTTACAATTTGGCTAACTTGTACAAGAGGCCTACCTTTTGGTCTGTCTTGGCTTTTAATATCCTCACTAAACTTAATTATTTCTAACTTTTGATTTAAAATGAGACTTGCAACTCTTCCTTTTACTTGAATATGTAGAGGCCATTGAAGGGTTATTATTGACCTATTTTTAATATTATTGTGTCTCTGGGGATAAGGAGGCCCCAGGAGAGGAATAAAGGAGGAAATGGCTGGTCAGTGGAGCTGTCAGAACACAACATTCATCAATTGAGGCTGTCATCTTATATGGGCATGGTTTGTGGTGCCGCAAAACAATTGCAATGTCAATATCAATGATCACTGATTACAGCTCACCATACAGATATAATAATAATGAAAAAGTCTGAAATACTGTGAGAATTACCTGAATGTGACACAGAGACACAACTTGAGCACATGCTGTTGGAAAACTGGCACCTGTCGACTTGCTCATCACAGGGTTGCCACAAACTTTCAATTTTTAAAAAATGCAATTTTGTGAAGCACGTTGAAGTGAAGTGCCATGAAGCAATGTGTGCCTGTATTTGGTGTTTTAATCAGAATCTTTAATGTTTTTCTTAAAATTCAGATGGTTTGGAAATGCATCCTGAGGACACAAACATACAGCAAACCGAAGCATCTATTGTACCCCCCAACTATGCATCTCTCATAGTGCCTTACAAGAGGGAAACATAATTTGAGAAAATAGAGTCTATTAAGCCCCTCAGATATTTCACAGTGTACATTTTTGTGTTGCTACAACTTTGTGCATTCCTCTTTCTGTTCCATAAAAAAAGGAACTGCTAGAAACTCGGCTCTTTTCCAAATTGCTATGGGTCCCATTTACTTTTGTTTTATGTGGAGCTACTCTGCAATATAAACACTATTTTTGTTCTGAAATAGAATTATTATGTTTTAGGTCACATTGGAAAACTTGTGCATGTCTGGGATAAGCACTGCTTTCTGATTTTCCCAAGAAGCAATCTTTATCTTAAATAAATGGCCTGGCTCTTTCTTAAGCCATTTTAATTTGAAAAGTACCAAAGGAATAGCAAATTTCAAAGTCTTTATACTGCTGCACCTGTGTGTGTGTATATATGTGCTTCTTATCAAGATAATTCTGTTGCTTTGAGCTCTCTGACACTGGGAAGAAAACATCCCACTTCATATATTTCTGGCCAGGTTTCTATGATTAATTTTATGCTACAAGAGAAAATTCCAAAGACCTGTAGTGTCAAAGATCACGTTGAACAGCCTAGCTTTTGATGTTCTTTCTCTTTTTAAGAAATCACATACATGTCTCCGCATAGTCTACTCAGTTCCAGAATTATGAATGATGATCAGCTCTTGTGACACTATCTTAATAAATTCTTCGATTTCATACTACTTTTTTCAACAAGTGTTTATTAGATAACTATGTTATTTTCTGAAATATCCTAGGTAGTGACAGAAGTATGTGAAATAATCAATCTTTAAATTCCTTACATTTTAAAAAGGTAACAAGATATGCTAAATTGTAAAAACAAGTAGTGTAATCATAGGAAATGTATATAAAGAAAGACTAAACATAATATACATTTAAATATCCAGATCAATGGACAAATAATGAGAAATTTTAGTTTTACTGAAGTTTTCTAAATACACTCCAAAGAAGATGTAGGATTTGAGACAGGTGAAGAATTCTGAAAGAGGAAAAATAAGATCAATGGCTTAGCAACAAGGGTGCTTGTGACTCATATGTCTTGTGGAGACCAGCTAGTCTGAAGTGAGGCCAAAAGTTGAGAGTTGTGAAGAGTCTAGACTAGCAAAATGGAACTAAACTGCCCCATGGAGCTTGGCACATCATATAAGGGATAGAGGCGCAGACTTGGTCCAATAAGTAATGAAGGTGTTGATAAAGGAAATGGCGTGGTAAAAACCTACTTTGTGAAATGTAAATTTGCTGACTGTGCAAGACGACATGACTTTGGGGACACTATAGTTAAGAAATCTTGTCACTTTCCATATGTGAGTTCATTAGAGCTGGGGCTAGGGTGAAAGCAGAGAAAATGAGAAGAAAATGTCAAACAGGGGAGACATTAATGCAATGAATTTGGTGGTAACTTACATAATAAAAAAGAAAGACACTACAGTCCATTGTAGCATTCCATATTTGGTGCCTGGCATCTGATGTTTCCAGTAACAGAACTGGAGAAACTAGGGAAAGTATTACTAAGTGGGAAAGACAAGGAAGTCAGTGCCTGGACTAATAAGATAAACTTGGGGGTCCTCTGAGGGATAAATATCATAAAGGTGATAGTAATTATCAATCAGAACGAAGTTAGGATGGTGATATTGATTTGGAAAAGGGGGCATTAAAATGGCAATTGTAAAGTCTAAGTAAGTAGGCTCACCAAGAAAAACACAGCAGAGAGAGAAAAGTAGAGGACAATTGATAAATGGTTTAGTCATGTTCACCATTAGGAGATGGAGGCTTCCCTCCATCCATGTGATGAGGATGTCACATCAAAGAGGGGGGAATAGTTGGAGAGGTAGGGAGTTTTCCTAAGTAATGTCATGGAAGTCAAAGGAGGAGGGAGTGTTTGTTTGAAAATATTGGCTTTTTAAGTATAAAGCAGAACAAGAAAGGAAGGAAGGAAGGAAGGGGAAGACAATTCCTTTAAGTGAGAGAAGAGAGTTATAACTCGACTCTTAATAGAGCTATTTAGTATAATAGCAGGAACAAAATCATAATTGCAGGGTGGAAGGGAAGAAAGGCAAGGTGAAGTAATGTAGGTAGAAGATAAAACCAACATCATTGAAAGTGCCTATATAAAAGATGTGACAATAATTAGGAGCCAGAGGATAAAGTGGAGGCTTTCCCATTGCGCCTCCCCAAAAGAAGAGATTTCTTTACATATGTGAAAGTAAAGTATTTAAGTGGAAGTAAAGTATTTAACTTATTTGAGAAGTTAGGATTTAAAGCATACATGAAGTGGTAAGATGTGTCTCTTCTCCTTCACCAGGTTAACCTCTCTATCTGGATCTTTGTTAGTGCATCTTTTTAAATCTCTCCCAAAACCTCGTGTCATTAATTCTTTTTTTTTTTTTTTTGAGGTTTTCATTCTCAAGCAGCTGTCTGCACTGGCTTCTTGCCAGTGTCTGCAAACACACTCTGGTCTCCCCATCCACAAGATATTTTCTCTTACTTGTGCTATACCTCTCAGCTACAAGCTCTCTCTTTTTCCCTCTTATAGAGTTTTCTTCCCTTACTTTTACTAGAGCTTCCTTTGTGTTCATAGTTCTGCACGCTCCACAAACACTGCTCTTGTCAAGATTATTAATGCGCCTTCATTACCAGATCAACCTGCTGATGTCTTTTTCCTTCTTAAAACACTGTTTCTTTTTGGTTTTATGACACCACACTCCGGGCTTTCTTTTATCTCTCAGTATTCTTTGCTAATTGCCTCACTGTCCTCTCTTCCTCTCACTTGTTCTGCAATCCACCACGCTGCTCTCGTGGCTCCAGCTGTCATTCTTGTGCACTTGAGTCCCAATTCTGGATAAGGGCCTACGTCTCTCCTGACTTGCAGACTGGATACTAGATCCCACACAACCCTCTAACTCAATGTTTCTATGGCTGAAGTCATATAGGATAGATATTCCCAAACCTGCTTTCCTCCTGGTGTTCTGTATCTCAATAACAGCCCACTCTCCGCTCAGTTATCCAAGCCAGAAATTTTGCTGTTATCCTTGCTCTCTCCTTCTTCCTCTTCTCTCACATCCCATCTGCGAGTAAGTCTTCTTGGTTTTATTTCCTAAATATCTACTAAATCCATCTATGTCATTTCACCTTGACTGCCACCATACTTATTCAGGGCACTATAATTTTGGCCTAAATTGTTGTAGAAAATCCCACAACTGATGTCTTTGCTACTGGTTTTTGTCCTTTTCCACCTGTTTCCTTAACATCTCTTCTGCAATTCCTAAAGCAGCCCTAAAATATGAGCCAAGTCTTGTTATTTCCCTGGATGGAACACTTCCGCAGCTCTCCACTGGGCTCTTTATAACATACAAATCCCTTAACATGCCTATGTATTAGCTTTTTAAAAGTATTAAATACTAAAAATATTAAATATCTGTGTGCCAGACATTGTCTAACATAACCACTGAGTTCCTCCAATGAATGTTTTTGTTTTGTTTTGTTTTGTTTTTTTAGATGGAGTCTCACCCTGTCGATAGGCTGGAGTGCAGTGATGCAATCTCGGCTCACTGCAACCTCCACCTCCCAGGTTAAAGCTATTCTCCTGCCTCAACCTCCCGAGTAGCTGGGACTACAGGCCATGCCAGCTATTTTTTTGTATTTTTAGTAGAGACAGGGTTTCACCATGTTAGCCAGGATGGTCTTGATCTCTTGACCTTGTGATCCGCCTGCCTCGGCCTCCCAAAGTGCTGGGATTATAGGCATTGCGCCTGGCCCCATCCAATAATGGTTTAAATCAAATCGGAGTTACTGCAGTGCCTCTTTGTAGTCTCTGCTTTCCACGTCCTTCCTAGTAAATCCATGCGGACTTCTCCGGGAAAATCTCTTATTCCACCTCATGTCTGTGCTTCAGCCAGATTAAATCTTTTCTACATGCTCTCTCTTGTGAACATGCTCTTTTTTATGCCTACACCTAATTTCCATCCCACCTCACTGCCTTTTCTTAGCTAATTCTTACTAAAATTTTAGATCATAACTTGCATGTCACTTACTTCCGGAAGCTGGCACTAATATGCTACCAATTCCAGCTTGCACATCAATGCTATGCACTTCCCCACCATTCGATATTTGCCACTCAAGGCATTTATGATATTTTATTATAATCACCTGTCTACCCCAATAGACGGTAAGCTTTCTGAGATCGTTACTTGTTTTGTCCACCTTTGTATCTGTCAAGGCAGTGGCCTGCAGAGAGTAAGTGCCTGGTGATTATCCTTTGAATGAGTGAAGGAATGAATGGTTTTGATGTAGGTTTATGTCTATATAAGGAAGATAAATGAAGAAATTCAGGTTTCAATGCTCTTATGAGGTAAGAGCGTCTGTTCAGAATGTGAGTTTGGCCACAGGAAAACGTAAACAAATAGAAAGAAACATGGAGTTCTGGAGTAGCCTTAATGATCATCAAGAAGAAATAGAATTGTTGAGGTATGTAAGGAAGCCAGAGTAAAATTGGATGGCAAAGACTGAACAATGATTTCTGCACCTTTCTCCAGAGGGAACTGTGCTACAGAGAAAGAGCTCAGAACTCAGAAGTTGGTTGATAGAAGCCCAAGGCTGAGAATCAATTCAGTGCTTAGAGTGGCATGCACTAGTATGTGTGTGTGTGCCTCTGTTTGTGTTGGAGATAGAGGTATCTGTGAGGTGGTGTACAGCATAGAAATGATAGTGGTTGTGAAGCCAACATATATATATATAACCAAACCTAAAATTTGAATGAAAAGAGATCCACTCTGCTGGAATAAATTAGATGATATGTGTGAATGGGAGATTTAGAATGGCTACAGGTTCCACTTCACTTCACTAGTGAAAGGAAGGTATTGAGAGAAGAGAAGCAGAGCATCAAAGAATTTATCAAATTTAGTATTTACTAATTTATCTCATTGCCTGTAATGACAGAAAACTACTTTTCACAAATATAGGTGTTTCTATCCAAGTCAGAACTGGTCAATAAGAAATAGTTGATTCTTCACTGGCAAAATTGTGATCAATAGGATGATTGGAGTTTCTTAAAAAAAAATGTGAAGTCCCTTTCCATATTTCTTTTCTTGATTTCAATCAGTGTAGAAAACAAACACTGGAAGACTCATTTCCCCAGGGCAACTAATTTATCCATTTAATGCACTCATTTTGGGATGAATCAATAAACTCTCCAAGTATTTATTGATCCCCTATTTTTGGCACAAGATGATGCTAAGTACTGAGAGTAAACAAGAAAAATATAAAGCATGATCTCTACCCTCTCAATCTGCAGTGTGCTCCTGTGTCAGTTAATCTGCCCTGATTTCATTGTCATTTCACTTTTGTATACTAGGAACAGTGTTGTGATGGTGTTAGTCGTTAACGGTATTAGTGACAAAGACTTTTACTGATAATTTCTTGCTATTTAGCTGGTCTTCCATAATTCTTTTTAGAGTCATCCATAACTACTGGCTCTTTTATGTAATCAACTGTCTTTTCATTTTTTTAAATAAAATGCTAATTTGATAGCATGTTGTAGGTGATAGTAAGCTTCTTGTGAATTTTAACATCAATATTCCCTATGCTATTCCGTAAAATGTGCTGTTTCTTACTTAAAGAAAGACCTGAATTATAGTGTTTTCTGAATTTGCATTGTGATGTATTATAGCTTTGGTTTTATTAATATTCCAAGTAATAAAACCTCTTTAGTCTAATTAACCTTTTGTTCCTTCTGAAAGTTCTACAATTACATTATCATTATTTATCATTAATTTGTACAATTATTCATTAAATCATTTATTTATCTTCCTTCTTAAATATAGCCATTATGTTTATGATTTAGAAATATTTTCCAAGTCTTACTTGGATTTTCCTATTTATATGTAGCTAAGCTTTATTGAATGAATTTTAATGACTTTTTCTGGAATTTCATAATTTAAACATGAAAGCTACAGAGCCATGATGCTACCTTTCACTTATGAGCTGAGATTTTGTCTAAATTTAGACTGAGAAGTGCAACTTCTATAACCACTATTGATGTTTATGTGGAAATATTTTATTTAAGCCGTGAATCAATGTCACAAACCAAAGAAGATAAATGGCAGATACATTTGTTGCAAGACACCATCAGTGAATCTCATAGCCAGTGATGTGGTTAATTCATGAAAGAATGAAAATAAGACAAAGTAAGAACACCTATTATTTCTGCATTGATAACATCTTGCACTTTTATTCTAACAGATAATGCTCTGCCCATCTTTTCTCATAGTCAAAATATTGTCTGTAGGAATGCCTCTTTCTGGATTAAAGCAGTAGGCGCTTCTAGAAATCTTTTGAAACACTGGAGTGACTGGTCTAAAAAGCCAAGGCTATACTGCCTGAAAGCTATTTACAAGTGGGATAGTTACCCATTTGTGCAGAAATGGTTATATGAACCTTTATTAAGGTTAGTGGACTCTGAAAAATCTTCTGGGTTTAAGTTTCTATTATTTGTCTAATATTTTCTTTGACATTTCGAAGAATTCTAACAATAAAAATTCTTAGATTCAAGCCTTATGTCTTCCCTTTCCATGGACATTCTGCTTTGATGGCTAAGTAAAAGAGACAAATCCCTATGGCTGTTGATGAGCAGTGCAGTAGAAAAATGATTTCTAATCCCACTCAAAATTTTGCAAAATGCAAACTGATAAACATATGATCACTTCAGGAGCATTCAAAATGGCCACAATCACAGGCACGTTCTCTGCAGGACCTGCCTACTTTTACAATCTGAAGCTATGCAGTCATATAATTGGAAGCATTCCCACCAGTCCCTTTTGAGGCAGGGAACTTAGGCTGAATATTTAATACGAGTATCCATAGAGCTATAGTGAAGAATGTGGACATGAAGATAAATAATGGGAACTCTTATAAAATCTGGGCCATACATATATTTTTATATTGTGCAGTAGTACATAGTAGTACATACGTACTTACATCTGCTATGCTTTGTTACTTTTCCTCACTTTACTCTTTTCCCCTTGTGCATAGTACTGAGTTAATATTCAGTATGCACAGCTACATAATTATAAATGCTAAGCAAAGTTTCTAGATTTATATGCTCTGCGAACAGAGCAGCATAACAAATTAAAGATTATAAATCAATTTAGCTATCCCAAGTTGGAAACTTTTAAAAATGTGTTTATTTTTTAATCGTTTTTTTCTCTCCAAACATTTGAATACTTTGCCTTTGATATATGTTTTGTTGTGGTGGTTGTTTCCCCAGGAAATATATGGAGGTATTCACAGGAAGTCAACATTTATTTGGGATCCAATTGTTTTAGTATTATTTTTTTCCTTAGGGCACTGCCTGGAAATTCAGTATAAATGTTTTTTAATGCACAAACATTGCTTATCAACCTGTCAATCAAGGAATCTTTGAATAGAAGAATAATGCTAATTTAATTATCATTTGTACATATTAAAATTTTGTGTAATTTTACCTTCCTGTAACACAAAGGACAGAAATTAAGAACCCAAACCCATGTCTAAAATATGAAACTTGAAATCTTAATGTAATTATCTATGATGCAAACTTATAGAAGAATTTCTAATTGTCAAAAGATGTAGAAATCTATTTTAAAAAATAGATTCCTGCTAATTGACACAGTACTTAGAAGAAAAATATATATATTCAAAAATACGTATTGCTAATACATATTCTAATTGCCATAGTCCTTAGTAGAAAAAATATATGTTGAAATATAATTTTTAAAGTGCCAGGAATAGCCTTTTAAACACATTTTGGCAAGTTTATGTAAACCTCTTAAGTTAGATCACTTTAAATATTTCTCATTTTCAGAAATAAATTCTGAACCCTAACCACATAGATAAATTTTCTAATTAGAATTTGTGGTTTGTGGATATGGAGCAAACCATTTCATGTGTCAAAATAGCCGATTTTAGTCTCACACAATAAAGACAGATAATTTGTCCTATATTTAGGTTACATAATTTTGCCATGGATATTAAACTCTTTTTATGTTTTTTTATTTTTAATTTTTGTGGGTACATAGTAGGTGTATATATTTATGGGGTACATGAGATGTTTTGATACAGACATGCAATGTGAAATAAGCACATCATGGAGAATGGGGTATCCATGCCCTCAAGCATTTATCCTTTCAGTTACAAACAATTCAATTACACTCTAAGTTATTTTAAAATGTACAATTAATATTAACTATAGTCATCTTGTTGTGCTATCAAATGAAAGGACTTATTCATTTCTCCTATTTTTTTGTACACATTTACCATCCCTACCTCCCCTCCAGCCTCCCACTACCCTTCTCAGCCTCTGGTAACCATTCTTCTACCCTCTATGTCCAATATTAAACTCTTTTAAAGTTCAATTTTTCAAATTATTAGCTCTCAAAAAATCAGTTTGTTGGGAAACAGATTTAAAATTCAGGTGTGGACTAGAATATTACAGAATAAAATACAGACTACATTGCAAGGAGTAATATTAGTAAGTGTGTTTTTTGAAACTTTTAGTTGGACTGTGTATGTATGTAGGTTCTATTTGCAATATAATATATATAGGTAAAATATATACATATAAGTATTCATTTTTAACTGTGAATAAAAGTGATTGACTGCAATTATTCTAAAGTTCTATCTTTTTAGTATCAATAGCCAACTATAATAGTTGCATATTATTATTAGTTGTACTAATTTAAGTGAACCATTATTTACTGAATAATAACTGTGCACCAAGTAATGTGTGATGCCCACATTTTTATCTATTACTAGTCCTTATAATTCTGTGAGATGATAGTTAAAATTTTCCTTGTTAAAAATTAAGAAAATAAAACAGGCCAGGCTTGGTGGCTTACACTTGTTATCCCAGGACTTTGGGAGGCTGAGGCGGGCAGATCACGAGATCAGGAGTTCGAGACCAGCCTGGCCAACACGGTGAAACTCCATCTCTATTAAAATTACTAAAATTAGCTGGGCATGGTTGAGGGTGCCTGTAATCCCAGCTACTCAGGAAGCTGAGGCAGGAGAATCGCTTGAATCCAGGAAGCAAAGTTGCAGTGAGTCGAGATGGTGCCACTGCACTCCAGCCTGGGTGACAGAGCTGGACTCCCATCAAAAAAAAAAGAAAAAGAAAAGAAAACATAAAACACAACTGATTAGAACTTGAAAGGTTGCAACGAACACACTGATATAAGATTTTTTTATACTTGAATTTTTCAGGTCTTTAAAAGATATTATTTCAAATAACTGACTTCAGTGATTGAGTTCTGGAAATTTTGAGTTAAACCTAGTGTTTTTTATGCAGTAATTATTTGGAAATTTAATATGCTAATTGGTATGTTGAATCATCAAATAAAAAGAGATGAATACACTATGAATTTCTGAAACTTATTTCACCTTAGAACCATTTAAAAATATTATGTCTTCAGACTATGTTTACTGGAACACACCCTGAGAAATGCTTAATTTAATCATGTCAATACATGTAACTCAAAAGAGACAAGGCCTTATAAAGCAAATGTGTATAATGTAATAATATTTGATAGTGTTTCCTTGAAATCAGACTAAACTCTAATTTTTCTATTAGCAAGACTTTAAAAATAAAAGTTTTTAATATCTTCAAGTTCAAGATTCAATTTAAATGATATACTCTGGCCCATTTTCCTAGGGAACACACTTCAGTAAATTTAGAAATAGTAAATGCATAATGTTTACTTTCCCTTCACAAAAATTGCAATGTAAATTTATCATTACCATTTATGTTTTTAAAATAGTTTGCAGTGGACAATTATCAGACATTGCCAGCAACCTATGTTTCTTCAAGTCACTTCATGTTGAAGTTACTCCTTCAGTACACAAGTACATAAACCATTACTATTTATTTTGTTCCATCTCCTTTCACAGATTTTAGGAATAGGAAAGAATTTCAAATCTGTTTAAGCTAATGTATGGATTTCCTAAGTGAGCTGAACGCAGTGGTCCTTTTGCCTACCACTTTACTTCAAACATTATAGCCTCTTTTCCTCCCACTGATGGTTTACAATACACAAGAAATCGTGAGAAAAATTAAAAATTAAAAAAAAAAACGGAAAGAAAAAACAAAGAAAACCAAATAAAATACACTAGAAAGCACCATCACAAGAGGTTCTGCTTTAATGGTTTGCAGTGTAGCCTTTAAATCTATTTTTTTTTTTAAGAAATGTCCTGTGTGTGCCATAAATGGAGGACCACAGAAGGGTTTCTAATTTCTGCCGTGGACTAGCGAGGATTGACTCACTGACTAGGCTACTGAGATTCATATTCTTTGCTCCTATCAGCTTTTCTAAGTCTTGTGCGTTGGGCCCTTTCTTATCTGCTCAAGGTTCCAATGCACTTCCCACCAAGCTTCCATGTGAGCCAGCTTTATCTTCAGTCTCATTTTTCTGTAGAGTTACCAAAGCTGTCTATATCTGCAGACATATTTAGTCGGGTGGCCTTCTGTTTTCCAGTGTTCCTTCCTAATAAATCTCTCTGCCTAAAGAACTGGCATGACTACAGGGGGACATAAGGAGATGAGGGTCTCTCATTGTGAACTACTTGTTCTTGTTCCCATGGTAGGAAAACCCTTTTCTTCAGTCAGAGATCAGGAGGCTTCACTATCCCTTTCTTGAAGTGTTTTCACTCCTTTACGGCCCACCCTCCTGGGAGGGCCTGGGAGACACGAATGGCTCACCTGTTAGAACTTCCTGGACATGCCTGCTTCTGTAATTTGCACAGAGATTAGTATGCAGCACTGAAATACTAGAAAAATAGTGTCTGTTATAAATGCAACTATTGCTTCTATTCTCTTTACCACCACAGCGACACTGGTAAGCACTTTACATAATTATTACATTTAAGCCTAAACACATACTTTTAAAATTGGCATGTGCATTCTCCTTTTTTAATGAGCCAAATGAGTGACAGAGGGGTTAAATCATTTTCTTGGAGTAACTCCAGCAAAATTTGAACCTGAAGCAATGTGATTCTCTGGCAAGGTTAGCCTTGGTATAGAATGAAGCTCATTTGGTCACTATGAATTGATACTTAGGACAGGGCTCAAACCACATGAGCTAGCCTTATCTGTCTCTTCATTTTACAAGAACAGAATTTTAATGTCTACTTACCAAGGTTGCAGGGTTTGTCTCTATATATTACACAACAAATTTAAATAGAACCTTTTTCTGCAATGGCAGGTTGTGGACCTGCTCAGAGAACAGAATGCCCTCTTGAGGATGGGGAGCAGGGCAAGACTGGCCTGCACAAGTCTAACTGACTAATAATTCATGTTGGGAGTATCAGCAAAGGTGGAGGAAGCTAAACACAGATCTGAGGGAGAAGGAATTATGGGAGGGTTTGGCATTTTGTGGAGGGATTTAATTCTTATATGAGTCACTGAGTAAAACACAGAGAGGGAGAGGCTAACTAAAGAGGAAGGGAAATGAATCAATTTGGTGGTGCAGAGAAAAGAATTAGAAGATAAACATGGAAAATCAGAAGGAGAAACAGTAGATGGAATTAGATAATCTTTTGATAAGTCCTTGGATTTTTTTTCTAAAATTCTGGAATTCACTTACATTTACAAATATTTCAAATTAATCAAAATAACCATTCTACTATTGTCAATGACAGAGAGGCAACACATTTACCCAGCATATATTTTCTGGACACGTATTGAACCACGTGCTAGATCAAACTACACAGGAAAAAAAATCACCTCAGTTTGCTTAAAGTAAGGAAAAGAGAGAACCCATATACAAACATGTACTCACCATATAACTCTGAGGCAACAAGCAATTTATTTGTCATTGACACTAAATGAACTACTATATAAAAAAAATACCCTGACAGGAACTGGCTTGAGAATAACAAACCACATTCTCTGAAAATGCAGTCTACAAACAACTTAGTTTAGTTGAACTAATTGAAGACGACTAACGGTGTAGTTGCTCTTTATCTTCAAATGAGAATTATGTTTGAGGCCAATGAATATCATGATTTAACCATAAAAATATTAGCTAGAATTTTTATTAAATGGAAACCCATACCATAAAAACACTCATGAAAAATCTGAAATGGTTCTATTAATATCCAGCAAAGTGAACTTAAAGACAAAGTATTACCAGAAATAAGAGGCATTTTATAATGCTAAAATGGTCAGTTCATCAAGAAGACATGGCTGTCCTAAATGTGTTGGTACCTTTTAATAGAGTATCAAAATAAATGAAGCAACAACTAACAGAAATACTTTTGATATAAACAAATCCACAAATAAAGTTAGAGATTTTAGCACTCCCCTCTCAGTAATTGATAGGACAATACACTAAAAATTGGTGTGGATATAGATACAGATAATATTACCTACCAACTCAGTCTGCTTGAATAATCTTCCTCCTATGTGACAATAAATACAACAAATCCAAAATGCACAACCTTCTGAAGAGCACGTGTGCACATCCACCAAGACATATCACATGGCGGGTGTAAGGCAGTGTGGCAAAATTCCTCATCACCTGTCCTTGCTCCTTGTGAATTCACCTTGTGAATGTCTCAGGTTGCAAGTGTCCTCCACTGTCAAGCTGTCCACATGCGGAACAATGAGAAGGAGAATGGCATGCAGGGCTAAAGCATGGCACCTTTCCTTCCACACTCTCAGTTGCTTTCTCCATTGAATCCTGAATTTTTTTTTTTTTTTTTTTTTGAGACAGAGTCTCACTCTGTTGCCCAGGCTGGAGTGCAGTGGCGTGATCTTGGCTCACTGCAACCTCCGCCTCCCGGGTTCAAGCAATTCTCTGGCCTCAGTCTCCCAAGTAGCTGGGACTACAGGCACACGCCACCATGCCCAGCTAATTTTTTGTATTTTAGTAGAAACAGGGTTACACCGTGTTGCCCAGGCTGGTCGCAAACTCCTGAGCTCAGGCAATCCACCCCTCTCGGCCTCCCAAAGTGCTGGGATTACAGGCATGAGCCACTGCACCTGGCCCTGAATCCTGAATTTTATGTACATACTTTATTTGCCAGGTAGTGATTTTCCACCATGATTCCTTTCTTCCTGAATGTCTACTCTTTCCTTTATGACCAAATTTAAGTTTCAGTTTACTTTCCACAATGTCTACAATCCACTCTTCTCTCTACTTTGAACATCGTAAGCATATACTACATATTATTGTTTAACTCTTTCCTGCATTTATGCTTTATCTCCTCCACTGAATTAAAATTTTTGTGAGAGCAGATGTCACACTTTGCATTTCTTTGGAAATACTGCCTAACTAATTGCTCAATAATTGCTTGTTAAATTAACATGGCAAGTAAAGGTTGAAAGCTACCTTTTGAAGTTTTATAGCTTCAACTTACTTTTGGAGACATATTTTTAAGGTGTCTTACACATGGCCTACATATTTTACAAAGACACATGTGCTGCTAAAAGATGAATTGAGCTACTATTTTAGATAGACTTTGTTGTGAAAGTAAACATGCAATGGACAGGCCAGGTGTAGTGGCTCATGCCCGTAATCCCAGCACTTTGGGAGGCTGAGGCCGGTGGATCATTTGAGGTCAGGAGTTCAAAACCAGCCTGGCCAACATGGTGAAACCCTGTCTCTACTAAAAATACAAAAATTAACCAGGCATGGTGGTGGGTGCCTGCCAGTTACTCAGGAAGCTAAGGCAGGAGAATCGTTTGATCCTGGGAGGCGGAGGTTGCAGTATGCAGAGATAGCACCATTGCACTCCAGCCTGGGCAACAGAGCCAGATTCTGTGTCAAACAAAACAAAACAAGACAAAACAAATGCAGTGGACAAAAGTCAAATGGGAACTGGAATCAGAGAGATAAGAATTTTAAAATACTCCCAAGGTAAACAGTACTTTGAAATTGAGACGGGAGAGTTCCTTTGACACCTTCGCAGGACTTGCGACAGGGGTGCAGCTCGCTTACTCTGCCACCACCACGCTCAAACCCCTTGCAGGAAGGGGAGCACACAGGCGAGCGGGTGCCGGGTCCGGGGCGAGCACTTCTGGGCTCCGGCCCCCTGATAACGTCTAGGCGAGTGTCACAATTAATGTTCTTTTAGCAGTTGCCATCCGTGGACAGCTAAGGGTTCATCAGCTCAGTGGAGATTCGGGGTGACAGCCTTTTAAACTCTGCCCTCGTGGTACCCGGGTTCTTGTCCGACATCCAGGAAGATTCAGGTCACATGGACTTAAAGGATGGTGAATGCGGATATTTTATTAAGAGGTGGAAGTGGCTGTCAGTGGAAGGGAAGATGACGAGCGGATGGTGCGGGAAGAAGGTGATCTTTCCCCGAAGCCTGGCCGTCTGCGCTGGGCTTCTTTCCGAAGTCGTGTCATCGGAAGTTAAGCCGCATCTATCTGTAGTCTCCGATGCTCAGTTGCTTCTTCTCTTCTCGACATTCAGCTGCTTGTCTCTTTGCCAGCTGAGGTCTGGGGTTTATATGGGTACAGGACAGGTGGGCAGGGTGAGCCAAAAAAGTAACATTTAGGCGGGAAAACAGGGATAACTGTTCTCATTTAGGACCTCGGGTCCAGGCTTGAGGGTGGAGCCCTCGCCAGGGACGCCGCCCTCTTCTACCCAGTATTTTCCTGCCTCCTGTCTGTATCAAAATGATGCTTCGAATTTAGTTTTAAAATTGGCATTATCATATCTTAAATTAAAAGTTTATCGATATGGGTCACCAACACATGTTTTTTAGGATTATGTTTCTAGGTGGCTTCCACTCAGTGCCTGCAGAAAAAAACAAAACAAAATAAAAAAAAAACCCAAAAAACAAAAACACTTGACTAGGAGTCTAGGTTTTCAGTTTTAATATCAAGTCAGTGAATAAAAAATTGTGAGCATTATGTCATCATATTGCTCTGAGATTTTTCTTATTCACCTATAAAATGAGACATTATATTTATATCACTTAAGGTACCTTATAAGTCTAAAGTTCCATCTTAGTTTACATAAGAGCTTCACACTTAAAGTGTCATAGACCAATAGCAATGGTGTCACCTGGGAGCTTCTTGGAAACACAGAATCTCATGTCAGACCTTAGCTCAGATCTCATCTGTACATTAAAATTAGAAAAGCACTGTTGTAGAGTGTATATGTTAAATTGCATCACATAACCATAAATTGGATGCATACTTTTTTTATAATAACAGAGTTGGTCATTAATGTGACCTATTATTATTATTTGCCCAGAAAGCTATATATTAGCAGTCTATTATTTACTGAGTATATAATTCTCATCTTGAATTTTCCCCTCTCCTCTTATACATGGGAGGTATGGCATTTTGGTCCTCCTATTTTCTATCTGTATTTGCCTGCTTCAGACCTAGGGATTTTGGGGGAAATTTTACACAATAGGACAAAAGCAGTACATGGACACTATTGTCTTTTATGGTTTCATCCCAGGACTGTAGTCTCTATCTCTTCTGCACATTCTAAGTGAATAATAGACTAAACTATACTGACATTTCTTTCTGAAATGAACAAAATATTTGGTTTAATTAGTTTTTCCTGTTGCATTGCTTGACATTAGCTATAATTAATGTGTTAAATGGTACATAAGTTTTCAGAGTTTCTTAATAGACAACAATCTTGGAACTCACCATTTTTCTTTTCTTCTAGGACAGATGGCTGTGTTAGTTACTTAATGTCATTGGTGATTTTCACTATGTTATGTTAATTCTCTCCTTGTATGGCATTACTCTGTCTTGCCAATTTCTAAAAAATGTGACTATATGATATTTAAAAAGTAAAATATTCAATCAAATGTTCCCTGATTTTTCTGTTAAAATTAATTATTTTAAATGAACTACTCATTTCATTGAGTGAAACAGTAAACTGATTGATGGAGTGATTTGACATTATATTAACACAGGCTTGTTAATTTCTCCTTTACCATTCTCACAAACTAAACTGAGAAAAGTATACTTCAGCCTGCCTCTATTTCTGTGTTAAAAATCTTCATCAATCTTAAGTAATTGACATCTTCATTATTCTTCAATTATACCACTTTGTTCCTGTATATCCAAGTGAGTTTATTTTATCACATTTCTTTCCACTGCTAAGATCTTCCTTTTTCAACAAGTCCCTACTTCCGTCAGTTCAAGTGCAAGTGAATCTATAACAAGGCACATTATTGTGTCATAGAAAGCTGTAAACATCTTAGTTTAGAAAGCAGAAATATTGATTTAGAATTACTGTTCAGTATGCCTTCTCATGAAAATCAAAGGGCTAAAGAAAGTCAATAGGCTACTGTCTTCAAATCATCCACATATATTGCATATTTCTGGATTCAACATGCTTTTTTTTCCTCCTTGAAAGTAAGTTGTAGTGTTCCCTTTCTATCAGGTACAGAAGGCCAAAGCCTCATTTCTTTGTTATTTCAATAGCTTTTGGGGTACAAGTTGTTTTTAGTCACATGGATAAATTCTATAGTGGTGGGTATTAGTCTGTTTTCACATTGCTATAAAGATACTACCTGAGACTGGGTAATTTATAAACAAAAGTGCCTTAATTGACTCACAGTTCCATATGGCTGGCGAGGCCTCTGGAAACTAACAATAATGGCAGAAGGTGAAGGGGAAGCAGGCACCTTTTTCACAAGGTGACAGGGAGACACAGAGAGAAGGTGGAAGCACCGCTTATCAAACAGCCGTATCTCCTCAGAACTCATTCAGTGTCATGAGAACAGCAAGGGGGAAATCTGCCCCCATGATCCACTCACCCTCCATCAAGCCCCTCCTTTGACTCGTGGGAATTACAATTCGGGATGAGATTTGGGTGTGGACACAGAGACAAGCCATATAATTCCATCCCCCGCCTGGCCCTTCCCAAATTTCATGTCTTTTCACAATTCAAAACCAATCATGTGTTCTTAACAGTGCCCCAAAGTCTTAATTCATTCCAGCGTTAACTCAAAAGTCCAAGTCCAAAGTCTCATCTGAGACAAGGCAAATCCCTTCTGCCGATAAGCCTGTAAAATCAAAAGCAAGTTAGTTACTTCCAAGATACAATGAGGGTGTAGGAATTAGGTAAGTGTTCCCATTACAAATAACCCAACTGGGCAGTCATTAAACCTGAAAGCTTCCAAATCTCCTTTGACTCTATGTCTCACATCCAGGTCATGCTGATGCAAGAGGTGGGCTCCCATGCCCTTGGGCAGCTCTGCCCCTGTGGTTCTCCAGGGTACAACCCCTGTGGCTGCTTTCTCAGGCTGGCATTGAGTGCCTGTGACTTTTCCAGGCATATGGTGCAAGCTATTGGTGGATCTATCTTTCTGGGGCCTGCAGGATAGTGGCCTTCTTCTCACAGTCTACTAGGCAGTGCCACAGTGGAGATTATGTGTGGGGCCTCCAACCCTACATTTCCCTTCCACACTGCCCTAACAGAGGCTCTCCATGAGGGTTCTAACCCTGTGGCAGATTTCTGCCCGGACATCCAGGCATTTCCTGGACATCTTCCTTTTCCAGGAGGTTTGGGAACCTCTACCTAGATTTCATTTCCTCTGAGATCTAGGCAGAGGTTCCCAAAGCTCAACTCTTGTCTTCTGTGTACCCAAAGGCCCAACACCATGTGGAAGCCCCAAGGCTTGCACTCTCTGAAGTAACGGCAAGTGTGGTACTTTGGCCCCTTTTAACCATGGCTGGATTTGGAGCACCTGGGATGCAGGGCACCAACTCCTGAAGCTGCAGAGAGCAGTATGGCTCTGGGCCCAGCTCATGAATTCATTTTTCCCCCCTGGGCCTTTGGGTCTGGGATGGGAGGGACTGCCTCAGAGAAGACCTCTGACCTGAAATGAAGATATTTTCTCCATTCTCTTGGCTATTAACATTTGGTTCCTCTTTATTCATGCAAATTTCTGCAGCCCTCTTCAATTCCTCTCCAGAAAATGGGATTTTCTTTTCTACTGCAATGTCAGGCTGCAAATTTTTGAAACCTTTATGCTCGGCTTCCCTTTTAAACATAAGCTCCAATTTTAAATCATCTCTTTGTGAATGCATATTACTGAATGCTTTCAGAATAAGACAGGTCACCTCTTGAATGCTTTGCTGCTTAGAATTTTTTTCTGCCAGATACCCTAAACTATGTCTCTCAAGTCAAAAGTTCCACAGATAATTAGGGGTAAAATTTTGCCAGTCTCTTTGCTAAAGCATAGCATGTGTGACTCTTATTCCAGTTCCCAATAAGTTCCTCATCTCCATCTGAGACCACCTCAATCTGGACTTCATTGTCTATATCACTATTAGCATTTTGGTCAAAGCCATTTAACAAGTCTCTAGGAAGTTCCAAACTTTCCCACATGGTCTTATCTTCTTCTGAGCCCTCCAAACTGATCCAACCTCTGCCTGTTCCAAAGTCCCTTCCACATTTTTATGTTATCTTTATAGCAGTATCCAACTCTTGATACTAGTTTTCTGTATTACTCAGTTCTCACACTGCTGTAAACATACTACCTGAGACTTGGTACTTTATAAAGAAAAGAGGTTTAATTAACTCACAGTTTTACATCTCTGGTGTTTAAGCCTCAGGAAACTTACAATCATGATGGAAGCAAAAGGAAAGCAAGGTATGTCTTACATGGTGGCAGGAGAGAAAGAGCATGCAGAGGAAACTGCCACTTTTTAAAACTATCAGATCTTGTAAGAACTCACTCACTATCAGGAGAATAGCAAGGGGGAAAACTGCCCCTGGGATCCAATCACCTCCTACCAGATCCCTCCTCAACAATAGGGATTACAATTTGAGATGAGATTTGGGTGGGGACACAGAGCCAAACAACAACATGGTGTATTCTGAGATTCTAGTGCAACTATTACCTGAGCAATGCACACTTTAGCCAATATGTAGTATTTTTATTCCTCCCTTTGTTGAGCTCCCAAAGTCCACTATATCCTTCTGTATATCTTTGAGTCCTCATAGCTTAGCTCCCATGTATAAATGACAACTTACAGTGTTTGGTTTTCCATTCCTGAGTTATTTCACTTAGAATGATGGCCTCCAGCTCCATCCAAGTTGCTGCAATATTTGTTTCTTTTTATGGCTGGCTAGGTAGTATTTCATGGTGTATATATACCACATTTTCTTTAACTACTTATTGGTCAATGAGCAGTTAGGTTGAAATTGTGAATTGTGCTGCTATAAACATGTGTGTTCTTGTGTCTTTTTCGTATAATGGCTTTCTTTTCCTTTGAGTAGACAGCCAATAGTGGGATTGTTAGATCAAATGGTAGATGTACTTTTAGTTCTTTAAATAATCTCCATACTGTTTTCATAGAGGTTACACTAATTTACATTCCCATCAGCATGAAAGTGTTCCCTTCCCACCACATCCATGCCAACATGAATTGTTCTTCAACTTTTTAATTATGGCCATTCTTGTGAGAGTAAGGTAATATCTTATTGTGGTTTCAATTTGCATTTCCCTGATGGTTAGTGATGCTGAGCATCTTTTCATATGTTTGTTGGCCATTTGTATGTCTTCTTTTGAGAATTGTCTATTTACGTCCTTTGCCCACCAAAAGAACATGGTACTGATTTACGAAATAGGCAGACAAATGGAACAGAATAGAGAACCTAGAAATAAAGCCACATACTTACAGCCAACTGTTCTTCAACAAAGCAAACAAAAACATAAATTGGGAAAGGACACTCTATTCAATAAATTGTACTGTGAAAACAGGCAAGCCACATGCAGAAGAATGAAACTGGATCCCCATCATTCACCTTTTATAAAAATCAACTCAGGATGATTTAATAACCAAATTAACAATTTTTTTCCCAAACTTCTAGCTCAAGTTTGGCATCAAAGATTTAAAATGAAGGCCTGAAACCATAAAAATTTTCAAAGATAACAGTGGAAAAATTCTGGACATTGGCATGGACAAATAATTCGTGACTAAGACTCCAAAAGCAAATGCATCAAAAACAATAAACAAATGATTCCTAATTAAACTAAAAGTTTCTGCAGAGCAAAATAAATAATCAGCAGAGTAAACAGGCAACCCACAGAATGGGAGAAAATATTTGCAAACTATGTATCTGTCAAAAGACTAATATCCAGAATCTACAAAACACTCAAACAAATCAGCAAGAAAAAAACAAGTAATCCTTTAAAAGACTTATTTTTATTACCTAGTCTGTCATTACATAAATTAAATTGCCATCACTTACTCACAGTGTGTTATTTTCACTTGGACTTTAGAGACAAGATTCCACGTAATGAGAAGTAACAAAAATCCAAGCATAGTCTATACTGAGTGATTATCTATTTCTGCATTCCCAAGTGATACTATAATAAATGGACTTTGTCTGCATGTTATGAGCTGGCTTATACATAAGCATGGAAGTAAACCCATCCCAACTTATAAGCAAAGATGCAAATTTTACTCTCCAAACTTCCATAAGAGAGATGCAGAGAGAGAAATTTCTTTATGTGGGTTAATAGCATCATCTTTATCCTTTGTTAAAAGTTAAAAAGCATAACAGATGGATAATAGACGTCAGTGATTTCAAATCCTGAAAAGAACCTGCTAGTCAGAGAGGTTCACTCAGCACTCGGAAATTGATGAATGAAGTAATCATTCTAGCAGCAATTGTCTTCAGCTGGTCCCATTCATAGGTATCCTATTTCTATCCTAATTTAGATTTGCTTCAGTGGCTGGCTAGATTTTTCTTTTGAAGTCACTATATATTCCCATGCGGCTCCATTCAAATTCAAAACAATCATTATTAATATCAAATATTGGGCTATAGAAATTCTAGAAGTACTCATCTTATGCTTTATTTGAGGTACTAGACATGTCATAGGATAGCATAGGGGAAGAACTAGTTATTCCAACTGATACTTTTTAAGTATATGCAAATTTTAAAAATATCCTGGGGAAGTGTTGAGCTATTTTTAAAAGCATAGAAAGATTAGAGGAGCACAGAAATGTATAGAAAAACTTCTGTTGTCTGCATTTTCTAAATCACATGAACACTTTACTGAGATATGCAAATTTGAAGTGTATTATTTTGCATGGTGGCTCACAGGGTTGCTCTCTGGAGCAACTCCTGTGATCAAAGTGACCAACATCAATGCTTATGTTAATGGATCTCCCCACCTACAACTTGTTAAACTCCATAGAATTCCTCCATTTCAATAACTTCCACCCAGTTTCATTTTATTGTCCTTTACGTGCTGTCATACCTTGGCCCACACCATCACTTGAACTACTTTCATTCCATATCCTGTACTAGAAAATTATTTTATAACAATATCATGTACTTCATTCATTCTCTTTCCCGCATTGAACCAGATCTTCACTGTCATTATGACCTTCACTTCTTCTATAAATGTTTTTTCTTATCATCTTTGAGAACTCCCCTAGCTTTATTTCTTCATTTCCTGGTTTTCACCATGAATCATTTCAACAATAATTTTACTAAGGACTTAGAATCAATCCCTTGTCTTCTAATAGTTTGCAATATTTTACAAATACACGCACAATCTTGAGTAAACATTATCTCATATACCTCAGCTATCAAACATTGTTGTGAGTAAAAAAGAACAATAAATGAATCATCAATAAACAACTAACAATGTCAATTCTCATAATTTAAAAAACTGGCAGCATCTTCACTTTTTCTCAGCATTCCTGTGACAATTAGCTGAGTTGATGTTTGAAAAAGACAGAATAGGCTGTGTTTTCCTTCATGAACAATCTCAAAATGTTGCTGGCTTAAAATAACAAATGCTATAGATCTCATGCTCGTTCATGTAGGTAGGGGATGGTTTTGCTGACCCAGGGAGATGGACTCTGTGCCCTTTAATAGTGCGTCTGTCACAACAAGCCTTCACGGTTCTCTACCACAAGTAATGGAAGCATAGCGCTGTGAACTAGAGGGAGAACTGAAACTTTTAGTAATCACTAGAAATAGTTTCTACAATATTCTGATCTTTCTCATCTTTTCCAAATCTAAGATCTATTTCCCATTCTTTGCCATCTCAGTAGATAATGTTGCTCCCTATCTTATTTTGCAAACAGATGCTAAACAACTTATCACCCAATTTCTTTCCACCCCACATTTCCCTGTACATTCATTCATTTTTTTTTCTTGTTTGGCATTCCTATAATCGTAAAGAGTTTAGAATCAGAGGCATGCATGGTTGATGTTGAAAAACAGAGAATGGCTGTTAGGAAAATAGAACTAGTTCATGAATCACAAGAGAATGAAAACTCATATATCGTAATATGATGAGGTCACTAACAAAACTGTTTAGGTGAGATGTGAAATCTGTAATCCAGGGTAGTAGTAAATGTCAGAGACATTAAAGTAATTGAAGGCAGGGATATGGGAAGAGTAACAACTATAATTTCACCTTCACAACAGTAATCAGTGGCCCTAAAATTGTGTTTACAGTTGTTTTGGATTCTCGGATTGGGTCTACCAACACCCATTCCAACCCTTTACAGAGTTGAAAGATAGAAAACCAAATTAACAATTTTTTTCCCACGACTTCTAGCTCGAGTTTGGCATCTGATTTTGATTTTACCTTTCAGATGCATTCCCATGATACCTGGATTAGGAACTGAATCATAGAGACAGGCTTGGTGGAATGTATCCACTTTGTTGGACAAGACCATGGAAGATGTGGCATCATCAGCATCTTTGCATTCATCAGCTCACTGTAGCAGCAGCAGCAGTTTTACCAAACATGGCCCACACAGTGTGGTTTAACAGTCAGGAGGAGGAGCAGCAGCTACCTGATTGCCAGCTTTCTAAAGGGGAGATCACTAACTTCAACAGAAAATGAATAATTGATGAATGGGGATTGTTTCTAGGAACTCAGTCTAATGCAGTCTCCAGGCTTTCCAACAACTCTGTAAACTCCTAAGTCCTTGTACCAAGTGTGTATTGGGCTAAATCAGCTAACATCATTTCTATTGTTAACAACTGAACAATGACCACCATCTTGGTTGATAGAATTGGTTACATGCAACAGACCTTCAGGAAAATGGGAATTTGGAAAAGTCTACCTCAAGTATTTGGATCTGAAGGCAGTGAGAAGCCAATTAACGTTCGAAGATAGGGCAGGTATGAGATGCCAAATAAAGGCAAGTCGTTTATGAACAAGGTAACTACTGAAACAGACCATTATTGGAGTCTCAAGGATTAGAAAGGCTGTAAGCTTCGATGGAGAGCTCAACGTTAGAAAGTGAAAAGTCAGCATTTAAAATTTTCCACCTAAGGTGTTAGCAGAGAACTTAAAGTTTTCCAAGATCGACTTAAATAATACCTTATATTCTTTAATCTTAAAGCTGATTTGGCAAAAGTCAACTTCAGAGTCTGATTCTGTTTATTACTCAATTATAACACAAATTGAATTCATTATGTTAGATAAATCATCAGAGAAGAAGGAGACATTAGAATTAAAATAGTGATTTGGGAATATTGAGATGACATATTAAATCTTACCAAGCCAGCCGGCAGAAACAGACCATCTTGCCTTCTGTGAAGGGACTGGGCCTGCATTGCCAAAAGACCTAGTTATAAATCATGTGTAATAGCATCTTGCACTGGGCAGCCATTTCTCTCCATGTTTTACACCTACCAGCTATCATTGCTCCCAGACCTTTAACCAGGTCATCAGGCTCCAGGGAGCAATTAAAATTCAAGCCTAGAGAGAAAAGTTATTGGCAACAGTAAAATTGCAAATTCTTTCTTTCCTAGTTTATCTCAGAGAAAAACAAAACTAAACTAAACAAAAAAAGATAGAAAGCTGGAATGTGATATAAGATCAGAAGAGACTGTGTTTTCTAACATGTTTTTACACTGATGGGAATGATTCAATGAAGAAGGTAAAAATAATAATGTATAGAAAACAGAGGGACATTTCTTGAACCCCTTCCTTAAGTGAGCAAGAAGGGATAAAATCTGGAATCTAAATACAAGGAACCTGAAACAAATAAATAGTTCATTACAACTACAAAGGAAGGCAGAGTAAGCGGCACATGCAGATGGCAATTGTGAGCTGGAGAGTTTGTGATTCTTTTCTGATATCTTACTTTTTTTTTTCCAGTGGAGCAAGGCTCTCAGTGGAGAGTGAAGATGGAAAAGGAAATAGTGAAAATTTGAAGGCAAAAAAGATATGAACGAGTCATCCAGGAGAGTGAGAGATGAGAAAAATGGACAAGAGAAATATAAGAGACTTTCTGGCAGCAGCAAGGGTCATGAAAAAGTTAGATGACTCAAAGTACTGATGTGTCTCTCTAGACTTTGCTCAGGTGCATGGGTGCAGGTGCAGAATGGGTGGAGGGTTAGATTTAATTAGGATGGGACTTTTCCAGTTCATCACAATGAAGCAAGGGATCAGCAAGTTATCTGAGAGTGTGTGTAAGAAAGTGATTATAAAGATGGGTTAGGGATAAGCTAGAAAGAGAAACAATGAAAGGAATGAAGTTAGTGAGGACAGGGTGAGCCCAGCTGATTATTTTGGCCCAGCCAAATGATTTTTTTCAATTGGAACATCACAAGGAATGGATGAGAAAAATAGAATAAAGTGATTGGAGTATGGGATTCTTGAAATTTAGAGTTTGGAAAGTGTGCAATTAATGACAATGACAAAGTTTATGCTATGATTAAGAGAGGGAGTGTTAGAGATATAGTAGAAGGCAGGATCATTGGATAGGAGGAGATTTAAACAATGGAGGAACTATGGTATTATATTTATCATCTATGTAAATGTCAAAATCACAGGAGATTATGACAGCAGTGGAGTTCAAAGAGTGACAGTGAATAAGAAGATACAAATTTTCAAAAAATAAGGTTGAGTGTCTGAGGGGTTTATAAATGATTTTCACAAGGTGAGGGAACAGGTGGTAGAATCTGAAAACATGAGTTTTAACGTGAGGACTTTAGGAGGGATGAAAGGATAGCGTGTGGTTGGCAGTCAGGAGTATGGAGAATCTCTACAGAACCTGCAAAGTGGTGTTTTGAGGGATGTGGGAAAGAAAACAACTTTTACTCCACAGAACCACATTGAAATCCACGTCTTTCAGGTAGAGCCAGGCGTTAGAGCAGAAAGCCGAGGGAAACTTCAAAGAAAATAAGGAAGGTAGACAGATAAAACAACCTGAAGATATGAGGAAGGATAGAAATACGTGTAAACAGAGCTTAGTCAAAACAAGGACATGGGCCTTGGGAGGAAGGGAGAAATTGGAAATTGTAGGCTTCTGGATATGCATATCAGACAAGGGTAAAGGAAAACAAGTGACACTCCTACCTGGCTTCAAGGTCAATTGTGTTTGTGAGACTTGGGGTGATGGAAGAAGGAGGTGAGGGTTCTTACCATGGAAGAGTTTTGGATTCCATCTTGATTCCTGCAGAGGAAAGTGTCAAGGCTAAGATGAGAGTGGTATTAATTAAAGACCATCTCTTTCTTCTTGTTTAGTTTATATTTATTCATACACCAATTTAATTAATTATTTTTTAATGAGACAGGTTCTTACTCTGTCACCCAGGCTAGAGTGCAGTCGTGCAATCATAGCTCACTGCAGCCTAGAACTCCTGGGCTCAAAGGATCCTCCTCTCTCAACCTTCCCAGTAGCTGGAACTACAGGCATGGACCATCAGGTCTGTATAATTTTTAAAATTTCTTGTAGCAATGGGGTCTCTTTCTCTTTCCTAGGATGGTCTCAAATTCCTGTCCTCAAGCAATCCTCTCTCCTTGGTCTCCAAAAGTTCTGGGATTATAGGCATGAGTCAGCATTCCAAGATCAATTTTATCTTATTTTTCCTCTTTCTTCAACTATAATATATGAGTTGTACTGGTGCTGAATAGATTCATAATTAATTTAGTTCATAGGTTATGCAAGCCCAAGGTGAGGTCACACCCTAAATAAGGAGAAATAAATGTCATGAAGATATAGATGTAACGAGTCTCTGGGTCGTCCATTCATTGTGATGATAGGGCAAGTGCCTAGTTGGATTATTTTGGGTGAGAACACATTGTTATTGGCTGGAGTAAAAAGTTCTTATGGGTAAGTCTTAAAGAAATTAAATTGGAAATGTAAGCAGAGACCAGATAACTAAGAGCTTACTGTTATTTGACAAGTAGTTTGGACTTTATTTTGATGCTCAGGAAGAATTTGGAACGATTTTTCAGCTACAAGATGACACAGTTATTTTATTTTTCAAAGAAAGACTAATCTGACAATTGTGGATAAAGGATTTAAAAGAGAGAAGGCTAGAAGCAATGAAACTAATTGAAGTGGTAATGCAATGGTGCATGTGATAGGTTTGAAAGACTTATTTAAGAGACTGGCAGTGGAACAAGAGTCAGACACAGCTTTGAGACATATTTACAATGAAGGTGTGACAAGGATTATTAACTGACGGAATTAGAGATTACAGAAGAGGAATCCAGGAAGTCCTCAGATGTCTGTCTTATGTGACTCAGTAGATGATGGTGCCTTTCAGCAAGTTAGGAGATACATTATGAGAAGCAAAATGAAGGATAAAAACAATTATTTCAGTCATATGTAGGTTGAATTGATAGTGCATAAAGATTGAATTGATAGTGCATGAAGATATATAGATGGATACAACTTGTAGGCAGAAATATGAGTCTAAATTTTGGAAAAATAGTCTGGGTGATGAAAGAGACTTGGGAAATTTTAGTTTATGGATGCATTTGAAGTAATTGGTTTAGACAAAATGCCTGGAGAAAGAAAGTAGAATGCAAAAAGAGAGGAAAAAAAATTTTTTTTATTAACACAATATTAAGTAGCTGTAGGAGGAAAAGAAGCTAATTGAATGAGAACAAGGAAGAATGGTGAGAAAGTTAAAAAAAAAAAAAAAAAAAGAACCAGGAGGCATTTAGAGGTGAATTATTGTTTGTGAGCATCAAAGGCTTCCTGGCAATCGTGCTAAATAAAGACTAAAGGTGTTCTTTGGATTTCGTAATCCTACCATCAGTAATTTCAAGGGCCTGGTGGCGTGGATAGTGTAAATCAGTTTGCAATAGGTAGACAACTGAATGGGAAGTTAAGACAAATACAGAACCACCATAAACTTAGGACAATTTTGGCTATAAAGGAAAGGAACATGTAATGAGAAAAGAGTCAAGAGGTTTTTTTTAATGATGAAATTAGAGTTAAGTACATTTATATGGTAACAAAAAAGACAGGGAGAAATTAAAGATCCATAATGCAAGGGAAATAATTGGTGGATGAGGTCTGAACAAAATTTAAAGGAAATAAGACTTGGGGTGTATATAAAGAGATTAGCCATGTATAAGAGAAGTGAATCTTTTTATTTGTGAAAGAATGAAGAGGAAGGAAGTTGATAAGAGTAACAAGAGAAAAACTGAGGGCTAAGAGAAGGAAGTATGACCAGTCTGATAGTCTGAGGATCAAGGGAGAGGCTCAGAAACTGAGTAAGGATAAAACATAAGGGAAGTGAAGGCAGCAAGTGACAGAGCTTTTTCACATGCAAATCCCAGGTTTCTTCTCCACCTACATTCTGACATAATTCTGGCAACGTCAGTGTAATTGTAATTGACCCATCAGCACCCATCCTTGTCAAATCTTGACTTCTTTATCCCCAGTAACTTTTATACCCTCTCCACCTGAGCAGGCCTAAGCTACATCTCATTGGTCTTTGTAAACCCAAACTAGCTCAGTGTGTGACATGAATAACCTCTCAATATACAGACATAAATAATAAAATTTATGAATAAATTAATTAATTTTAGTATCCTATTCTCTGACCTTCGCGTACCTTTAATCAAGCAATGAAAGAATAGGGGTATGTGAAGATCAGAGAATGGGATACGGAAGTTCAGCAATGCAAAATGTAGGTGCTTGCAAGAGTTAACTAGGCGCATGTTAGAGTCAGTTAGAGGGGATGTGTAACTATTGGAGCAAGGGAGGTCAAAGCAAAGGTCAACAGATAGAACTACTGTGTTAGAGGTGCTACCTGTCCAGTGCTGAAGGTTTCTAGCATGATAATAACATGGAAGCAACAGTGAACTAGGTGTCTAAGACTTTGAAAAATAAATAAGAAATCTTGTGAATAGATGGAGGTGATAAAGCATATGATAAACATCATAAGTCTGAGAAACAGGTGGGTTTCCTTGTCTGAAAATTTAAGTTTTGAAAGTAGCCATGGGGCACTGGGAGGAGGCTGACCACAGAGTTTAGGAGAATGACCAGCCACCGCTGAATAGGGTGTCTGAGGCAGTGATTCCAGAGGGAGCCTAGTTCCTGACAAAGCAAGGCGGGGAATGGGGATCATACTAGGAAGAGATTCCAGTATTTGTGTCAGAGGCATCTGAACAAGAGCAACTCCATCTTGAATAGGGGCTGGGTAAAATGAGGCTGAGACCTACTGGGCTGCATTCCCAGATGGTTAAGCATTCTAAGTCACAGGATGAGATAGGAGGTTGGCACAAGATACAGGTCATGAAGACCTTGCTGATAAAATAGGTTGCAGTAAAGAAGTCAGCCAACAGGCACGGTGGCTCACACCTGTAATCCCAGCACTTTGGGAGGCCAAGGCGAGCAAATCATGAAGTCAAGAGATTGAGACCATCCTGGCCAACATGATGAAACCCCATCTCTACTAAAAATACAAAAATCAGCTGGGAGTGGTGGCGTGCACCTGTAGTCCCAGCTACTCGGGAGGCTGAGGCAGGAGAATCACTTGAACCTGGGAGGCGGAGGTCGCAATGAGCCAAGATTGTGCCACTGCACTGCAGCCTGGGTGACAGAGTGAGACTCAGTCTCAAAAAAAAAAAAAAGGAAGCCAGCCAAACCCCACCAAAACCAAGATGGCAACAAGAGTCACCTCTGGTCGTCCTGACTGCTACACTCCCACTAGTATCATCACAGCTTACAAATGCCATGGAAACGTCAGGAAGTTACACTGTATAGTTTAAAAAGGGGAGGCATGAATAATCTGCCCCCACCCCTTGTTGAGCATATAATCAAGAAATAACCATAAAAATGGGCAACCAGCAGCGCTCAGGACTGTTCTGTCTGTGTGGTAGCCATTCTTTTATTCTTCTACTTTCTTAATGAACTTGCTTTCACTTTACTCTGTGGAATCGCCTCAAATTCTTTCTTGCATGAGATCTCTCTTGGGGTCTGGATCAGGAACTCTTTCTGGTAACATTTGAATTCCAGCAAACATAGTGAAGTCTGTTGAAAGAACAATCCACAATGGGAAGCATCACAGGTCTACATGGAGATGAAGGTATCAGATAAATAATAATAATGACTGGAGGAACTTCCCTTTCAGGTGGTGACTAAAGATGGTGGGGTGAGAGGTATGGCAAGGTTAGCTGGCCTGGAAGTTCTGAATGTTCCTCTTGTAAATCAAAACTAAAATTCTAAGGACCCTCCAACCATCTGAATGGACTTCCTCCTCAGCCAGGGCTCTTTTAAAATTTGACCTGAGAGTCTGTTTCAGGCCATGTTGGGAAATGGGGTTCTCATTGTACCTCTCTGGCATTAACATGAACACAGACTTTAAGTCTGATAAGAAACATTTTATAACCTATTCTCTCTGAAGCCTACTACTACCTGAAGGCTTCCTCTGCAAATAAGAACTTGGGTCCCCACAATCCTTTATCTTAATGTAGGCATTCCTTTCTGCTGATCCCAGGTCTTTAGACAAACTCAAACAATTGTCAGCCAGAAAATGTTTAAATGTACCTATAGCCTGGAAGCCCTCCAATTTGAGTTGTCCTGTTTTTCTAGACCAAACTCATGTATTTCTCAAATGTATTTAATTGATGTTTCATGCCTCCCTAAAATGTGTAAAACCAAGCTGCACCCCGACCACCCTGGGCACATGTTCTCAGGACCTCCTGAGGGCTGTGTCATGGGCCATGGTCACTCATATGTGGCTCAGAATAAATCTCTTCAAATATTTTACAGAGTTTCACTCTTTTTGTCGACACTCTGATATATTAATAGAATTGTTTTTGCTGCTCCAGGCAGATTCCACAGCGAGCTTCAGCAGTAGCTGGATCTGGATGGTTCTAGTGACTGGCATTTAGTCACCAACTAAGGCTGTGACTTAGATTCAAAGTAGAATCCCATCAGGAAGTTATGTTACTTCTTGAAAATTCCTTCTTTGAGTTTTTTGAAGAGGAAGTAAAAAGCCAACACAGCATAAACACAGATTTCATCAAATACTGTTAAATTATATGAATGAATCCTCTTACACACTATTTTTACAGAGCAGGTTCCAGAATTTGAAAACATTTTTCTACTTAGAGCAACGCTTGTGCCAGCTACTTGCTAATACCTTTCTAAATTAATTTGTATTTTTGGTTAAGGTTTATACCAGTTAGTTGGACATATGAGATGTTTCAATAGTATAATTACCATAAATGACTTTTTCTTTTTTTTTTTTTTTTTTTTTTTGAGACAGAGTCTTGCTCTGTCACCCAGGCTGGAGTGCAGTGGTTTGATCTCAGCTCACTGCAAGCTCCGCCTCCCAGATTCATGCCATTCTCCTGCCTCAGCCTCCCGAGTAACTGGGACTACAGGCACCCTCCACCACGCCCAGCTAATTTTTTGTATTTTTAGTAGAGACGGGGTTTTACCGTGTTAGCCAGGATGCTCTCGATCTCCTGACCTCGTGATCCCCCCGTCTCGGCCTCCCAAAGTGCTGGGATTACAGGCTTGAGCCACAGCGCCCGGCCAAATGACTTTGTTAAAATTTTTCAGTAAGTAAACATCATTTTAATTTTTAACAATTAATATTGTAAATATTTAATATTTAAAAATTTCTTTTATTGAAAAATACCAAAAAGTGGGTTTATGATTAAAAAATATAACTCTAATTAATCAATGATGTTTGGCATTATTTTTAATCTTGTAAATTCAAGTAATTCTGAAAATCAAAAATAATTAGGTAAAATGTTAGGAAGGTAATAAAAATATATGAAAAGTAGTTAATTCAAGTGGAAAACTTTCATTATGTTTAAAATGATCACTTCCAGTGTTTTAAGCAGAAGTTAGGTTTTTGGTTTATATTATGAATGTACGACTTTATGAACATATGTAACATATCTGTAGATAGTTTGAAGCAGTCTCACACTCAATCCCAACAAATTAAAACAGATGACATAGTCTCCTTAATATGCTCGGTAGTGCACATAAGAGAAAACCTTTGGCAAAAGGTAGTTGGAGTCACCCAAAGATATTCTGAAACACCTGGGTGGGACAGCTGCTTCCCTCTGGCTTTGGGCCTTCCACAAAAAGTCAATTATCTATTAAGTCATCTGCGTTCATTTCCCAGGTTAATCAGGAAACCATGATCGCCCGAGGGATGGCTTGCATCATGCACACCAGGAAGTTTGAACTGTAGCCAACCATGCAATTAAGATGTTCCAGTATAGCTATTATTCTTGGTTGAGGCAAATTCCACTGGCACAGGTATTTACTAGGAGGAATATACCAAATTAAAAGTTAAAGAAAGAGGAAAGAAACACGAAACGTGGCTGGCGGTTAAAGACAGGTTTTCCTTAATTAAAACCTGAGAGGCACTCCTGGCCGATTTCAGTCAGGAGCGCTTTCTCTGACAGACTAAGAGCATATATTGGTTTAAGGGCGAGGAGCCTTATCAGAAGTTTGGAATGTTCCTGTTTGAGGGAGAAGTTTTCTGGCGGGGTTGGAATGTCTCTGGGAGGAGGCGAGCTTACCTTGGGGCAGCCATCTTTCCGCCAGAGCAAAGTTATCTTGAGACTGGCATCTTCCTTGCCCGATGCGGGTTATCTTGGGGCTCCATGCCTCTGATCCGGAAGGAGTTTGGAATCTTTCTGGTTGGAGATGTTATTTGTGGTTTATGGTCGTGCTGATCTTAGCCATTGGGCTGATGCCCTTTGGATTCAGACGTTTTTTATTAAGGTGAACTTTAGAATGAGGGGCTTGTCCAAGATGGCGATGCTCCTGCTCTGTCACCAAATAGTTCAGATTTTTACTCACAGTTAACGTTTCTATAGTTCATGTTTTAATTTATGGTGTTTTCATCAAATGGTTTATGTTTTAGTTCATGATTTTTCTCAGTGTTGTGAACTCAGAAAATGAGGTGAAGATAAAGGAAAGTTCCTGTTTGTTCTTCACAACTATTATTTTTATGAAATTTGAGCGCTAAGGGAAACAATTTATCTTTGTGTTTATTACAGTTGTTCCATATTTATCTAGTCTAATTCCCGTCATATTTAGGCTATAAAAAAGATTTGCTTACATTGTCACTTCAGTAACTCAATAATGTTTTACTGAGGAAATCTCCAATTTCCACCCTGAAAAACTGCGTGAAAAATAATGAAATCACAAGAAAGTTAAAAAACACCTAAAAATAGACTGTGGCAATGAAGAGTATCTCTAATGCAAAACTTCATCTGCCTGAATTAAGGAGTTCTTCCCCGAGGGTGCAGCCCCAGAAGGGGCTCCTGGCCAAGGCTCACAGAGGCATTCGTTGGAGCCCCTTCACAGATTTTCTGTGGTAGTGAGTGTGATTGGAATTGTTTATCAATTGAAACGCTATTAAGATTAGGGTTGTGCTCCTTAATAACCAAACCTTTCAATCATATTGATTTTGTTATGCTGTTTTAAAACTACACAGGTAACTAAAATTAAAAGAATTATACCTCTCAAAGCAAGTGAAATTTTAAAATGTGTTATATATTTATGAAGAGAAAATAAATATGCAGGTTTTTTTCAGTTGTAGATAGCGCCAATGCATTTGGCTATAACTTTCATAACTACATACAATGAAATAGTAAGTGGAAAAAATCATGAAGGAGAAAAGGATAAGAGATTACGGTGGACCGAAATTGCTTTTGACTGCCATGTGTGCTTTATAACTTTTGATTATTTGCTTCCTGTGTGTCAACTCTTGGAAGTATACATGGATCAAGGCAAGTCACCAAAATTTTTTCCCATTTCCTTGGGTATAGTCACTGGTTCAAAGATAGGCAACTTAATCAAAACAGGCCAATGCATTCCAATATTTTGAACTTCAGGTGATGTGGACCTTCCCTCTGGAACTATAGTGTTAGCTAGATAAAAATTTGGGACCATATTGAAAAGACTTGTGTGCAACTAGAAGCAAGCAGAGATGTGCCAAAATGAGAGTAGCACGAAGTGTCCAGAAGCCTGGAGGACCAGCTGAATCTTTGAGGCCCTGGTTCATGGTAGCTCTTCCTTGAGTTCTATCAGCTTTTCCAAAGCTTTCCCAGCTATGGAAGCCAAGGAAGTAGAGCTAGAACACAAAAAACAGATGTGGCAGATTTCTTACACATATTCATATATTTGAGTAATATCATCAATGAAATAATGGAAGAGTGTTATCTAAAACAAAAATTCTCCTGAGGTGTCCATTGCTAGCCCACTTAATTAAATTAAAATATTGATCATTGATTCAATACAATCACAGAATCGTAAGGCTGGTGGGACATTCCTTTGACAACTGAAATATTATTGCAGGCCCTCATGGAAGATGTCCAGTAAGAGTCAGTGAGCATCTGCTTACTCTGTTTTAGTGGCATGGAACTCACAATTTCACAAGGCAGAATATTTTAGTGTTTTCAGATACATCATACATTTTTTTCTTATATTGAGCTGAAACATGCAGCTTTGTAATTTGATGCTAACACTATTCCTGGAGTAAAAAGAATGAGGAGTCTCTTTCTTCTGGCAGACAAAAACTTTGAAATATTTGGAAGTATTCTCATATTTTCTTCACATAATCACTTGTCCAGGATAAACATTTCCAATTGTTCTAAAGATTTCTTAAATACACAGACTCCAGAACTGGATTTAAGGTATCTCCTTTGGGTAAAATCTGCCACAGACAATTGAATTATTCATTTCCAATTCCTAGCTCCAGCGATGCTGAAAAACTTGCACATTTGAGTATATAAAAACTTGATTAAGTGAATGGAAAAAATATCATTTTTTTTTTTTAGACAGAACCTCGCTTTGTTGCCCAGACCGGAGTGCAGTGACGTGATCATGGCTTACTGCAGCCTCAAACTCCCAGGCTCAAGGGATCCTCCCAGGCTCAAGGATCCCTCCTGTGAGTCTCTGGGACCACAGGTGTGCACCACTGTGCCTGGATAATTTTAAAATTTTTTTGGTGTAGAGACAGGAACTTACTATGTTGCCCAAGCTGGTCTTGAACTCCTGGGCTCAAGTGATCCTCCCACCTTGGCCTCCCAACGTGTTGAGATTACAGGCATGAGCCACTGCACCCAACTAATAGTTACGTTTTCTGACTATATAATTAATATAGACTCATTGGAGAAAGTTTGGAAAATCAAAAGAAGCATCTAAAAAGGACTTGAAATGGACAGTGCTAGTCAAATAAATATGATTTAGCCACCTTACAACTTATAAAACCTTTATAACCTTAACATTATCAAAGGAAATGCTCGAACGTTATAGCTCAGCCTGCTGCTCTAATGAGGAATTATAGCTCAGCACAATCCTCCACTATCTCCAAAATCTCTTTATCACAGCTACAGACATATGACCAACAGTTCTACCATAAGCTTCACCATCAATTCTTTATTTCTTATTTTTCTTTTTATCATTTAATTGCTACTTTACTTACTTCTTTTGTCCTTTATAAATATTGTACTGTGTATACAAGTCTAGATTACTTTTATGGATACTGAGTTTCAGATATGCAATATACCAACTAAATCAGACTGGATACTTGTGTTAGTTATCTGCAGCAAATTTCCCCAAAACTTAGCTAGCTTAAAGCAAAGAACATTTATTTCTCATTCAATTTCTGTGGCTCAGGAATCTGGGAGCAGCTTGGCTGAGTGGTTCTGGTTCAGGTCTCTCTGGAGGTGCAGCCATGCTGTGTCAGGTAGGACTGCAGTCTTATTGCAAGCCTCCACTGTTGCTAGAGAAAGCCTTTCCAAGCTCCCTCATGTGGCTATTGTCAGATCTCAGTTCCTCAATGGCTATGGGCCCAGGGAGGCTTACTTTCTGACCACTTGGGCATCTGCTTACAAAATGGCAATTTGTTTCTCCCAAAATGGCCAAGATGGAAGGCAAGAGCTTTTATAATCTACCTATGAAGTGACATTTCATCACTTCTGTCACTATTGGTCACACAGGCCAAGTCTGGAACCATGTGGAAGAGGACTGCTGAAGAGTGTGAAGACCCAGAGGCAGAGATCACTGGGGGCCATCTTGAATGCTGGCTACTCCAATACTAAACGAAACAATGATGTTCTTTTTTGTATTTTTTTCTGTTTGATTTTTTTTCTTTTTGTAGAGACACAGTCTTGTTATGTTGCCTACGCTGGTCTCAAACTCCTGGCGTCAAGAGATTCTCCCACCTCAGCCTCCCAAAGTGTTGGGATTACAGGCATGAACCACCAAACCCAGCCACAATGATGCTTTTAGCTATGCTAGAAGACCAAAAACTCATTTAAATTTATTGTTCTGTTATGAAAGTTAGATATTAATAAGTATCTCTTCTGTGATTTGAACAATAAAAGGGTCCTCCTCCACACAAAACATAATTTGTTGTCAAAAACATAATTTGAAAACTGACAAATAACATTAGTTAACATTAAAATATTAATTTCAAAAACAAAATACATTAAAATGTCACTATAGTTCACCAAAAAGACATGTGTTTCTACTTATTAAATACTTTCATAACCATTTATATGGTGATAATGCTCTGAAAATAACATTTTATTTCTTGAATTTGACAATAATTAAAAGTAAGCAATGCAAAGGCTGAATCTGCAAAAATGCATTTTTGAGCCTAGATTTTATTATATTAGTCTATAGTAGAAATTAATTTATTTTGTTGATCTCTTTAAATATGAGGCTGATATTTACTGAGTGCCTAATAAGTACTTGCTCTGTTAGGCAACTCACAATGGGTACATTTTCTTTCATCCCCACCATGCACAATAGAAGCCAGGCCAGTGACCATAAGGATACAGTGTTAGGACACACTGCTTCATCATCCAGAGGGCAGAGAGGACTCAGGCTTACTTTGTTAACCCATAGGCAGGACTTTTGTCCCCTGTCCCAATTCGTTATGATTGACAGTTCATAGCCTCTGACTTGATCAGTTTTATGTATAAAAAATCTTATTATTCATCATTTTCTTAATTCCATTTAAAATAATTTTGTATCTTTATGGTACAGGTTGTTATTTTGCTGGTTGCATTAATATTCAATAGAATATTACTTAGTTACCTATAATAGGATAATGGTATTACATAAGATCTCCACAGCCTAGTTGGAGAGAAAGAAGCAAATAGCAGCATATGGTCAGTACTATTTGTTAATTCAACTGATATATTTTGAGGCCCTACTATTTGCCAAGCATCATGCTGGGCTTTAGAACCAGAGGGCTGAAAATGGTGAAGAGTCCTTGTCTTCAATGAACTTGCATTCCAGAGATCAGCAGAGACCCTTAACGAAAAACTAGATCCATCTACATTACAGGCAGTGCAAAGAGGGATATAAACAGTGTATTAGGATACACAATAATCAGAGAAGGCCATTGTAGAAGGGGTAATCCTTAAAGGCATTTCTGATCAGGTCACACCCTAAAGGGTGAATATGAGTCTGCCTTGAGTAGAGCTAGAAAAAGACATTCCAGGCAGAGAATCACCACGATAAAGTTGGTGTATTCAAAAAACAGAAGGGAGGCTAGTAGAGTTAAGTGCAATGGACAAAGAGAAGAACTAGGAGAGATGAGATTGGAGAAATAGGTGGAGAATAGATGAGTGAGATAGTACACATGAGAATGTTAACACAGTAACATTTTCATTTTTAAAAAGAAAAAAGAAAAGAATCTCATCGCTTATGCTATGGGTAGGAGGATCCAGAATGAAAGCTGTGAGACCAGAACTATTATAAAGTCGCGTATATTATTCAGGAACATAATGGAATGAAATTCTTAACTCATCATCGATAGTCTGGGGAGTATCAGGGAGGACATGTCTGTGTTAAACACTGAGGGATCAGCCTTGCTGAGAAGAGTGGGGATGGCAGAGGGAGCAGCCAGCACAAAGGGCTGAAAGTAGGAAGTATTGAGGCAAATTTCAAGAACTGCGAGTAAGTCATCATGGCTTTAAGTTCGAGGTGTATTTCAGAATACCAAGAAATAACACGGAAAATTTAGATGAGGGTGAGCTCATAAACAGATCTGGATGCTGATCTATGGAACGCAAACTTTAAAAAGGATGGAAATCCAGTGTAGGGACATAATCAGAGTTCAGTCTTGGAAAATGATTGTGATTAAAATAAGCATAGTGAATTGCAAGGTATCAAGACTACAGAGGAAAGAAAAATACTAGAAGGCTCTCTCATTCATCCAGTTAGATAGAAGATGAAGATCTGGCCACAAAAACAGGAGATGAGTTCCAGAGTTATTCAGGAAGAACTGACAGGAGTGTAAGCTCCTTAGAATGTGAGCTTCATAAAGACAAAGACTGTTGATGTTTTATTCACTACTTTATCTCCATAGCTAGAAGAGTGCCTGGCACTTAAAAGAAGCTTAGTAAAATATTTGTGGAATGCATCTATGAATGGATGAGTTGGTGACAAATTAGGGAGGCTACATTTTTATTCTTTAAATAAATATGTATTAATCACTGACTATGTGTCAAGAAATGTTCCAGGCACTGGAAATACAGTGTTGAAAAGATACACATGTCCATCAGTCTATATCTATCTATCTATCTATCTATCTATCTATCTATCTATCTATCTATTATCTATCTATCTATCTAATCTATCTATCTATCTATCTGTCTATCTCTATCCTATCTTCTATCACCCATCCATCCATCCATCTGTCCGTCCATTCATCCATCCATGTATCTATTTATCCATCCACACTTCTGTTCCCTTTCTACATATCATTTTATTTATCTATCTTTTTGTAAAACAGTCATTATTTAAAACCGAAACTATTTCTTACAGACACTGAAGAGAGAAGATAGAAGGAATCTTTGGAAATGCAAATTGAAACCTACAACTGAAAAATAGAGTCTTAGTTTATTTGTGTAACAAAATCCATGGGAAATTAGAAGGTATCCTGGACATTGAAAACCTCACAGATCACATGAGAAGCAGAGTGAAGGAGAATATAAAAAATTGGATGCAAAAAAGAAAAGCACCTTGTGAGAAATTTCTGCTGTTCAGGTGTTTGAAGAGCTTTTACAATCAGGAATAGCTAATATTTGATTTTTAAGTTTAGTTTTTTTTGCATTTTTTGTACCTAAGCCCTCTTTGAAAACCTCTAGATAGAAGCTGCTATATGTAGATTTCTTTGTGAGAGATTGGGATTGTAATCCACATGTAAATTAGCAGGATACACACACAAGAGAGTGAACCACAAGAAGTGAAATCTAACATCCAGACTTAACAGTGACTAATAAAAAAAATTCCAAATTTGCAAATATCTTGTGGAGAGTGATGGAATTTCCAAACAAACAACAAACAAAACCAGAAACACACCTATGTTAGGATTTTTTTCTAACTGTAGTTAATTCTCACCAGACAAATTAATTTCAGCTAATATTTACATTACATATTTTAGTTTTTCCTCTAGCTAAATGATTATATCTTCTGGAATGTAAGACACTGCATGCATTTATATGTATGTGTAATGGGTATCAGTGATGAGTTCAAGAGATTGACATGAAGAAGAGAGGGAGGTTCTTTGTCCAGTAGGTTCTAGTGGCTCTTAATAAAAACATAGACTCGTACTGGCTTCCAAAATGCAGATACAACCACAACTCTGCAGCAGGCAAGGCTGCACCAAACCAGCCAAGATTCAAGGATCCAGTCCTATCCAGACATAATCCAGGGATAATTGCTTTCACGTTTCTTTCCCAAAGTCTTGCACTTTTATACCACTCCCTTAAATTAAACTCCTATTGTAAACCATAATAACTCCAGTAGAGCTGACGCAATAGCAGTCTTTATGGGCAGACACCTGCAAACATCCATTTAAAGTTGCTTTTTTAGCTGCCATAAGTACTTGTTGAAGACATTTGGAAGTGTAGTTTTGCACTTGAGATGGTGTTGAAAATACAATAGCAAATCTGCCAAAAGCAAGAAGAGGCAATAATAAGGCTGGTTCAAAAGAGCTCCCTGAAATTCTGAGTGGATCATTAGACTAATTGAGTGGATATTGGACTAATGCCTTTGACAACACCTACAAGACCTACTCCGTTTGCTTACAGATAATTACAAAGTGAGGGAGAAAACAGGCGTATCCATCCCATTGCCTTTGGCAAGTCTTCCTCAAACTATAAGGTATGCGTAAGATTACTCTAGAGCGTGTGTAGGTTACAGGATGCTGGGCCCCTCCCCAGATGATCTAATTGAATAAATCCAGGATGGGGCACAGAGATATGCATTTCAACAAGTATTCCAGGTTGTTTCTGATACAGTCGTTATAGGGAAACAATAGCAGTCAGTAAGATTTAAGAAATCTACAGGGTAAATGTATTTTTTTCCCAAAACACTTCCTTTATTAGCCCACAGATGCTTGAAAATTCTTCAAGGTTGGACAGATCCTATCAACTCTTAATTAGAGATGAAGGACCATCCAGTAATTTCCAGATCTAATGAGATATAAATGTCTTAGGGGTTGTGAAGAATGTGTGTGCTCTAAAAGTAAAGAGGCTGCCTTTGTTAATAATTGGCACTAAAATCCCTGAAACCATAATGACTAGAATACGGGAAGAAAAGGGTTGTCTTTTCTCTACACCATTGCCAACACTTGTTAGCTTTCATCTTTTTTATAATGGCCATTCTAACAGGTGTGAGGTGTATCTCATTGTGTTTTTAATTTGCGTTTTTCTGATGATTAGTGATGTTGAGCATCTTTTCATGTCTGTGTTGGCCATTTGTATGTCTTCTTTGGAAAAGTTTATTCGGATCCTTTGTCATTTTTTGATTTGTTTTCTCTGCTATTGAGTTGTATGAGTTTCTTATAATATTTGGCATATTCATTGCTTATCAGATATAGTTTGCAAATATTTTCTCCTGTTCCATTGGTTGCCTTTTCTTTGTGTTGATGGTTTCGCTTGTTGTGTAGAAGTATTTTGGTTTGACATAGTTCTAGCAGTTTTAAGATTTCTCACATCTAATCCAGTTCCTTGAATAGTGTGTGTTCATCAAGTACTTGTTAACATATTGATGGCTTTGAAGAGTTTACTAATCAATGATGAAGACCTGATACCCTTTCAAAGATTTAAATGTCAGAGACAAGAAAATGTAATATGGGCGTAAAATAATAAAGTTGATTGAAATGCTACAGAACGCTTTCTCACAATTGTAAAAATATGACTGTTGTGCAAATTCCTTGATAGATCACAAAACAAAGAACTCTACACCTTAGTTTTCAAAGTCCTTCATGTTCTGAACACTTAACTTTTCCAAACATATCTCAGATTGCTCCCGATTTGTATGCCTGAGTTCTAATTCACATGTCAATGGACACATCTAGAGGATTTCCATATTGATAGCTGTACTTGTGCTGTCTTCTCAAACCTTCTTTCACTTATTTTTACCCCTGGGAATCCCATTCTTCCTCAAGGTCAGTCTCATGTCCCCTCCAGATGCTTTACCTGCTCACACTCCTAATACGTGGATTAGGAGTATCTCTCCTCCCCCTCCCTTCTAAAGCACCCTGATCTCCTGATGGCAGTTATCGGAATTTGCATTGTATTGCTTTGTTTCTTTGATTTATTTAGTTTACATTTTTTTTTTGCAGTGATTTCTCTGTGGTGTGGGAAGTCTTACAGTTCTCATTATACATAAGCAAGAAATATTTATTATGTAAGTTATTGATATAACAAAAATGAATAATTTCAATTTTGATCTAAGTTATTTATGAATTCATAAAGTTTATATTACTTAATGTTCTTGGTGATGGGGTCCTCGTTCATAAACCAAAGATGGCAACATCTGCTCTGCAGGATTGGTACAAAGATGAACTGAGGCCATTTATGCAAGGCACTGGCATACACTTAAAATATCAGAAACATCCTTGTAGATGCAAAAAATACAGAAGATAGAAAACAAAAAATATTACATTGATATTGATATATAGATAGTAATACTAAGGGATGACTGAAATAAAGTCAATTTGAAAAAGTTTTAAACAACATTTATAATATTTGCTCAGAATTTTATGAGGCAGTAATTTGGTTTGGGGTCAGCTAGGATGGCCTCTCTCTGCTCCAAACAGTTTGACAGGGCTCACTCACATATCAGGGACCTCACGTGGGATTGCTGGAATGATTGACATGGTGTATTAGTCCATTCTCACACTGCTATAAGGACATATCCGAGACTGGGTAATTTATAAAGAAAAAGTTTAATGGACTCAGTTCCACATGGCTGGAGAGGCCTCACAATCATGGCAGAAGGTGAAGAAAGAGCAAAGGTACGTGATACACGGTGGCAGGCAAGAGAGCATGTTCAGGGGAACTACTCTGTAAAATCACAAGATTTCATGAGAACTCACTCACTGTCACAAGAACAGCATGGAGGTAACCACCCCCATGATTCAATTACCTCTCACCAGGTCCCTCTCATGACACGTGGAGGTCACGGGAACTACAATTTAAGATGAGATTTGGGTGGGGACACAGCCAAACCATATCAGGCAGCTTAAAAGAATGGGTCTCTCTTTACCTGACCTCTTATCCTCCATCAGCATAGTCTGGATTAATAACATGGCAGGAGCATTACAAGTTAGAAAGTTTCCTTTGCACTCTGTTGGCTACAGAAAGCCATGAGGCCAGCCTTGATTCTAGGTCTGGAGCAGTAGACTCCACCTCTTGTTTTTTTTTTTTTTTTTTTTTTGAGACGGAGTCTCGCTCTGTCGCCCAGGCCGGACTGCGGACTGCAGTGGCGCAATCTCGGCTCACTGCAAGCTCCGTAGACTCCACCTCTTGATGGAAGAAGCTGCAAATGATTAGTAGCTAATTGTAGTCTATCAAAATAGAGGAGATAGGGTGATGGAGGGTGGCTTGGAGAAGGCAGGGCTTAGGAAAGCAATGAAGCCACCAAAAGTATGCTTCAGATTTCAGGTAAACATGTGTGATTGATGGGACATGAGAAAACTTGAGTACAGTTGTGTATACACGAAGTAGTTATGTATCATTGTAAAGAGAGAGTTGAAGAAGAAAAAGTAAGAGAGATGAAAGATAATTGAAAGTATATCAAAAAGCCTGTGAGCTCTAATAAAGGAAGTGAAATGATAATAACCACAGCTGGAGGTGAGAATCCATGCTTCTGTCTATGAAACATGGAAGAGAGGGATTCACAAGATGAGAAGAGGGGAAAGAGGTCTGTCTCAGTAAGCCAGGCAATTAGCCATTGGGTTAAAGTTTGTGAGTGTAAATAGGAAAGGGATAGGTGTTCAGTAATGTTTTAGAGCATAATGAGCAAGAATAGAGAAGGTAAGAACCATAGCAGGAGGCATCTAAAGAGATGTTAGGTGAACACATGATTTATCATCCAAAATTGGATTTTTGAGAGAAAAAGAGTGCTATTAATTATTGCTCCAGGAAAACAGGAGCTAAGCCAGTATCTACATACAGTTATCTGTGTCTTAGAAGACCAAATGAATTGTGACACTTACAAAGGTAAAGAAAAATTGGTAAAATTTTAAGCTTAGAAAAACATAATGAATATGACTTTTGCTAAAGTTTAAGGCCAAAAGGGCACCCAAGTGAAATGCTCTGTGGGTAGAGAAATCAAGAGAACTATAAAGAGCTTACAACCTGGATTGCTGGGAGATAATAATAGTAATTATATTTTACATTTACATAATGCCTTATGATTAAAATACTTTCACAGGCACTGCCTCATTTTATCCTTACAGTAGCCCTTCCAGGTAGAGAGACTGGTTACTATCCTCCTTATATGGGGAGAAAGAGTGCTACATAGAAGACAGCACGCTCTTTCAAGATGCCTCATTATGGCTGGCAGGTGCAGTGACCTTGCTGTGTATCCCTGGAAAGGTTATATAACCTCTTTGAGCATCAGGTTTTTCTTAACACATAAAAGAAGGGTAATAATGAGAATTAAATAATCTCTCTCTATATATGTATAGTTTATTTATATGAAATTTAACTTATGTATATATACACACAATGTATATGTCTAGTTACAAGCATGTATTGTATATTGGAAAAGTTTATCCCTTTCCACACTCTGTAGATGAGAAAGCTGAAGTTAAGTTTTGTTGAAAGAGCCACATAATGAACTCAAATCTCCCAGTCCAGGACTCTTTGTGCTAAGCCATTTGCCGATTACTGGCAGTTGAAATAACAGGAATGAATGAGTTCTCAAAGGAAGTAAGCATATATGTGATCTAGGGAAGGAATAAAAAAAAATACGTCTCCCAACATCCTAAAGAAAAGAATTCTCAATAATAATTTAAGGAAAAAAATTAAGAAAGGTTCGAAAAACAGTTACAAGTTTATTGAAACAAATATTGACAATCTTAATGAATCTGACTTTTTTAGAGAAGTAAAAATGGAGGACATTTCAGGAGATGCAGAATGCAATATAAATGGCAGCTCAAAGCTGGAAGGCAATAGGTCTGAGTTCAAGTTGAGGTTGATGGACTAGAGAAGAGGAGTAATCACTGACGCAAGAGAAGGTGAGTGAAAAGCTGAAGGGCAGGTCTTTCCTGAGATTGGCTGATTTCAGTCTGGATAATGTCCAATGAATGTAGTGAGGTCTAGATTGAGGTGGGGAGGAGTTAGCCAGACAGGCTTAACTGCTCTTGGCCTCAGTTTACTCCATGATCCTTTTCAGTCTCACAATTGTATGATTCTGACCAAGTTGTCAGTTCTAGGGAAGAGGGAATGGAAAAAGGGCTTTATACGTGGCAGTTTTGTCTCCAATGCTTCTGACAATATTCATTACCAGTTAAATACCAGTGTTCTAAGAATTATTTTCCGTATGGTGAACCTGAATGTCCTTTTTTTCCCTCTGTACTCACTGAAATCCTCTCTTTCTATCACTGCAGTCTCTCCTCTCTCCCTTTTTTGTTTGTTTGCCCTGTTTTCTGGTTGTACCCTCTATTTATACTTTTAATTCTCCCTTATTATATGCCATCTATTTGTATTCTGAGAATCTGTTTGACAAATTTCTTTCCAGAAAACCCATACCCACAATTAACCTAGTTATTCAGTGTGTATGGGGGTATTTATTCCCTAAGAAAAGCATTCTTTGTCCCTCAAGCAGCGCAACCATGATAAAATGTCAGATACATCTTTATGGTAGTAGGAGTGTTAGCCATTTTGCTATAGTCATGTCCATTTCATAATTTACTTTTTACTTAATATTTTGCTAGTCACTTTTACTAGCCAATTCCAAGCTTTACTAATTGTAATCTGAATTCAGACCAAAAGATATTTTTTGTATCAGATTTTGTCCTCAACACTTTCTTAACGGGCAGTGTTTGTCCATTAGCTATTTTCTTGGAAATAATCCTGCTAAAAGGATACTAAAAACACAAAACTGCTTAGACCCAGTTAGGAATTGAACTTCTGATTTTCCCCAGATAAGGTGCTTCATATTATGGTTTACTTATTACTTTCTTTCTTCATTGATTCATCTGTCATTCATTTTCTCAGCAAACAGTTGCCATCTCCTATGTGTAGTGTTTTGACATGCAATTACTAAACATTTTTTAAACACTGAACTTAATTTTTGTTTCAAGCCTACATGTTAGATACACTTCATCTTACTCTCTGAGAATGCAAAATTTTCCCAGGGTTGAATCTAAGTTCTGTGGGCCCGTGTCAAACCAAGTCATTGATTTGATATTTAAAATCTTCAGTTGTTCACCTTGGATTCTGCTGAGAAGCCCCTATTTCAGGATGATTTTCAGTTGTATCTGTCAAATAAAACCAGGAAAACCAAAATTCTTCTAGATATTAAAATTAGTGGAATTTAATAGAGGGATTTGCTTACACAGGTTACAGGGAGAGTTATGAAACCGAGGAGAGGACTATGGAACTTCCCGTATACTAACAACAGCAGAAAGCTGCAACTTCCCAGATGATGAAGGAAAAGGGAGTATTGCCAGACCCAGGAATGGGGTTCACTTGGCAAAAGGCAGAACCTGGGCTTCAGTTGGGCCCTTCTGATAGAGCTGGAGGGTGGAGTGAGGGAAAGTTTATAGTCCTCTCTGCCTCTGTCCTCCAATCTCTCACCTAGCAGGTGGCAGCTGAACACAGGATCTTGGGAAAACCAGCCTCAGTAGCCCATCTAGTATACTTGACTCTTGGAGCAAATATACCACTCCTCTGTAAGAGAAGATTTTTTCCAGAATAAGCTTCAAGTTAACATGTTTTTATTATCTATACTTTAATAAACATTTTTATAGACATTACTCTGAAGAAATTCCGGTGCATTCATACAGGTTAGAACCACTTGAGCTAGCTAGCATATAATCTATGCCTCCCATTTCAGTAGCACAGAAATTGCAAAGACATGGAAACAGAACAGAACTCTGTCATTTTATCATGACTTGAGGGTTTTATTTGTTTTTTAAAAAATTAAAACAGTAAAACAGTATGGCTGGAGAAAAATTATTTGAAAATCATGCCTTGCTGAATTGGAATCTGGGAGAAAACTCTTTAACTTTGGCAACAGACCCATGAAGCCAAGTCCATGTGTGTCAGGGCGCATGGTAGTGTAGATGGCATCTTCTGTCTATTCATTTGTAGCATAGATGACATCTCTTTATCTATCATCTATGTGTCTATCTAATCCTCTATTATCTATCAATCACTATCATTATCTTTCATCTATCAATCAATCCATCAACTGTCTAAATATTATCTATTTATCATATATCTGTCATCTGTCTATTAATTGTTTGTCTCTCTGTGTACCTACTATCTATTTATCTACCTATCTGCCTATCCATCTATCTTAGTTTGCTAGGGCTCCCATATCACAAACTGTGTGGCTTAAAGCAACAGAAATTTATAGTCTCACCGGGCTGGAGGTTAGAATTCTGAGATCCAGGTGTCCGCAGGGTTAGTTCCTTCTGAAGGTTGTGAGGGAAGAAGCTGTTCCAGGCCTCTTTCTCTAGCCTACAGATGACGATCTTCTCCCTATGTGTCTCCACATCACCTTTTCTCTGTACCTGTCTATGTCCAAATTTCCTCATGTTTTTATAAGAACACCAGTCATATCTAATATCGTACCTTAATAATTTTATTTTAACCTAATTACCTCTATAAAGACCCTATCTCCAAACACAGTTGCATTTTCATTTATGCAGAGGTGAGATCTTTAACATATAAATGGGGGGAAGGCACAGTTAAGCCCATAACACTACCTACCTCTCTGAAGAGTAATCACAATGATTGTTCAGAACTTACATCAAGAAATTACATTTTTTTGTTTGTTTTGATGTGGTGTTTTATCACTAACATTAATTAGAAAGGTAAGCATGTGAAGATAATAAAGAACAGACCAATATTTAGTAGGTTTTATTATTGCTTTTCTATTATTTACAGAGAGAGCCCCCTCCTATTGCCTGTACCTGGGGAGGACTACTCTTACCACAAGCTCTTGGCACACACTGCCCAGCCGTGAGCATCAACCTCCACAGGATACAGATTAGACAGAGGAGTGAAGGAGCGGATCTGAAGGCATGCAGACATGGATGGGCCAGCTGCTTGTCCATGTGCATGACTGCTGTGTCTCATCTAGTCCCAGCCACTAGACCTTTTTGGGTCTGGCATGCTCTGTGCCCCTCTCGGATGGGTAGGAAATGTTCTTCTGCTCCCATGGCATTCCAGCTGCGGGGAACGTGGCAAGATTATCTTTTAGGCTGTCAGACTAAATACTTCACAGAGATGTCACTTATCCTCCAGCACTGTGAGGTCACAGGGAATACTTTGTTGACATCCTCAGCTCCACCTGAGTTAGGACACAGATCATTTCTGCCCTTGGATTCTCGAACCCATCTGAGAGTTTATTATTCCCCTGGGCCCCAGTCCCCAGGAACTGGACTAGGGAGTGGCCACCAGGCTACTCCCAGGGACACACTGATATCTAGACCCTCTAAACTCTGCTCCTTATTATTATACCTTCATCCAAGGAAATCATTTTATACTCTTAATCTTAAAGATAACCATGTTATTCTTGGCCCATGATCTCCTAAGAATCTGGGCTTTTTATACTTAAAGCCAATAACTTTCTTTACATTTCTGAATTCCTTAGTTTCATCTCTTCTCTGGGGGAAGAGGGGTTGCATAGCAGTTAAACCCTCAAACCATTGCTCTGTATGTATACTGTTTTTTGATCATTCCTCAAGTTATTATTAAATAACAACTTAGTCCTGTTGTTGAATTCTTGATTTCTGCATGTTAACTATGTGACTTTGGCCAAGTGAGATAACCTTGTATGTCTCAATTCTTTTACTTGGCATGTTTTGGTAACGATATCTACACTCTCTACAGCACATGGTGGTTACAAAGATCAAAACAGTTTAACAAAATGCTTTTAAATATAGCAAGATTTTTTACAAATGAAAAAGATTATTGGTGTGCATTTAATTAAATTTGTAAACTGCAGGAGTATTACTCTCTTAAAACATCTTCAACCATGTGTGATTAAATAATATTTTGTGATGTTAACTATTTTTCTATTTTCTGATGTCAACTATTTTTCTCTTCTTATATTCTCCCTTTTTCCCTGGTCCGCATTCCAGAAGGTGATTAGCAAAGAATTTCACTGAGTATGTAGAAAAACGGAAGACAAAAGTACCCTTGAAGAGTTTTAGCCTATGCATTTGCTTCTGAAAACCTCTATGAAATTGCACAAGGTTTTTGACAGTGGGGAAGGAGAAGAAGGGTTACAGAGGCGACATTAGAAACATTTTATTGGGAAGTAGCCATTTTCTCTACCACTGCTTGTGGATAGCTGGTAACCAGGTCAGCAGGTAAGGTTCCTGGCTATGACTCTGGATAATGGTACCATAGATCATCTCAACACCAGCTATATTGGTATTTTCCAAAGTTCCCCAAGCAATTCTAATATACAGCCAGGGTTGAAATCTACCGGTTCAAGCAGCCCAGAACAAGAGTCTCAAAAAAAAAGGCCAAGTATGGCAGAATTGACGGAGCTAAGAAGCCTACAAAGACTCTGTGGGCAGATAAAATAGACAACTTCTCGGATACCTGCAGTTACTGATGACCATGGACTGACCCCGGAAACCACCATGGAACACTGCTTAGCCCTGCATAAGATCCTAACAACTGTATAATATGTGGGGAAGTACTCAAGAAGTTGAACTTCAGTTAAATTTTAGAAAATAAAGATAAATTTCATGCACGCCGGGGTTTGTAGTAAGAAATGTGCATTCTTAATGCATCTTTAAATTCCTGGAAAATTAGTAAAATTTATTTTTGGTGTAATTGGAAAAATACTGCAGCAGAGTGGAGCAGGGAAAAATAATCTTTCCAAAGCTACACATTGATTAATGGAAGGCCAAGCAACAAAAAACTTAGTTCCTGAAATGTTAACACATATTCAATAGCTAATATTATCTTATGATTGCACCAAGTGTTATACCTTTTTACTCTTTGATCCTCTGGCTAGCAGAATAACATACTTCCCCATTTAGGCTGAGGAATCCATTCTTGTAAAGCTAATTACTTCTAGGTGAGCTAAAAGGTAAGAAAAATGATTCTATGACAACTTATTTGTCTGTAAAAGAAAAATGACTCTTTTCCAACATACCCAATATTAGGCCTTTCTGAATCAAGTCTGATTAAAAAAATCAATCTTAGGAAAAATTCACCTTAATCACTATTTTTCTTATTTTTATTGCTAATCTTTGAAGATATTTACACTTGTGTGATCTTATCATTTAATATTACCAGTGTTTTAAATACAGTTTTATATTACCAGGGGCTTCACCTACTGACGTCTTGCTGGTGGTTTGTAGAACGGAGTGAAGGTTGGATATTCACATCCAGGCTTGAGATAGCCCTGATTTAATGTTTCAGAGTTACTAAGTGATCTTGTGAGGACAGAAATTTATTCTAATTGACCCTACAGCTAAATATATCAACATCATTGTAATCTATTTTATTTTATTACCATAAGGATGAAGATGCAATAAATTTTTGGTGAGCAAATTCAAGCTTCTCATTGCAATTATATACTCAAAATTAAATACATTTTTATTACAAAATAAGCACAATATTTGAAGAGTTAAAACTGAACATGTAAGCACTGATTGATTCACAAGATCTAAAAGCTATTCAGAAGCAACCCATAGGGGTGATCTTGCCTCATAAACACTCCCCACTCACTCTCACCCCACATGACCCACCACACTTTTAACCCTGATATTGATATGGGAAATGAAGAACTGAGAAAATCATGTGTGTAATTCAAGCAAAACAAAAAAACCTTCACCATACCTATTTGTTTAGTAGAGAATACAAAAAAGGTATTTATCTTAGCCTGACTAATTGTCTGAATCATTACCTTGATTCTTCGAATTGCTTAGCATGTTTATACCTGTGCAATGACTAAAGAATAAAACAAAGAAAAGAAACCATTCCCTTCAATGCCCAAACTGCAATTTTCTATTTGGGACCATATAACCTCTAGATAAGAATTGAGTGTTAATAGCCTCCCATTGATGTGTCTTATCAAGATAGATGCTTCTGTTTGCTTGACGTGCAGATGGTAGGCTATGAAAAATGTTAGTTTTCATTTATAAATTATTTTCCTTTAAACAGTAATTCTAGGCAAGTTTAACTGTATAAATTAGAGACCTTAAAATCTGTCTTCTTAATTGTCCTAAGAGAAATCAGAGCTCTCTTTTCACTAAAGTGTCTAATTTTTATTGTGTGAGTTCCTAAAGGAACAAAGCCTTTCATTAGATGGACATTTTCGTCTAATTCAACTAACGATTATTGTTTGATATCTACAATTTTCCATGATAATCTTTTTAAAAAGGTCACCATTTAGTTGTTAGTATGTAGTACAAGAAACAATGTAGAGGAAAAATAATAGGTTACATTTTAGAATAGGTATATGTTTTATTGTTATAGAATATCAATTTCAACTTTAGATTCTTATCAGATAATACATGATGGTCAAAAAGTAATAAGTAGTCCATCATTGTACACTTGCTAATGATTATGGGTATACTTGAATTTAGAATATGAAAATTGGAGCAGCGATTGGGTCCAACAATAGTCAATGCATTTAATACACCTGAAGTCAGAATGTCCAAGTAAGTCATTTTCATTCCTACCACCAGTAACAAATTGAAACTTTCGTATCAATGTAAATCTAGACATAAAGCAAGTTCTCCTGCCTCACATACTTACAGTTTCTAGCAGGACTTTATAAAAAACATTGACCATAGTCCATACTTGGAGCCAAAAGGAGGCATTAGACATAACTGGTGGAGGTCTTACTAAGCATTGTCGTATTTCTTCGCTTATCTGTGTGTGGCACACGGTAGCCAGGCACTGGATATCTGTACCCTTGCTTCTTTCTGTTGCAGCAGCAAAATCCACAAAGCAGACCCCCTCCAATGAAGAGGACAGCAGCGCTTGCCCAGCCAAGGAAAAGTGCTGCTCCCAGCTCTCGTTTCTGACCTATGTGGATGGCTGGGTTGTAGAAATCTCTGATGATTATATTGGCTGTCCAGCTCACCGGAATCAGAACGAAGATGCCCGTCAGGATGAAGAGGACTCCTGAAGTTCCCAGAAGGTATGCTTTGGCCCTCTCGTTAGAGCCTGTGCACTGGACCTGCTTCATGCCACAGATGCCAATAAGCAGGGCGATCAAGGAGAGAGCAACAGCCACACACATGAGGGCCCGGGCTGTTTCCAGGGCAGGCGGGAGAGCCAACAAGGAGCTATAGAACTTGCATTGCAACCGGACCCTGGCTTGTCGGATGCAATTCATCCAGAGCCCTTCCCAGAGCCTCTCAAAGACAATAATGTTGCTGCCAACAAAAGCTGATACTCTCCACTGAGGCAGAAGGGTTGTGGCAAGAGTCCCCACCATGCCAAGGAACCCAAGAACCAGCCCAGCAATTTGCAAGGGATAAAATGCCATTGCCTTTACTTTGAAGACTGGTTCAATTCGGAGTGGTAGAAGATGCTCAAGATGTAGAACGTGGAAGCCTTTTGAGTCTAGAGAAGTCTTTGATGATGTTCTCCTTGGCTGCTGCCCATAACGTTTTAGTCCAAATCAGTAGCTGTGACTGAACTTGGCCTAACTAGAAGTACCTGTTGTAAATGCATGTTGCCTTTTTTCATACACATTCATTTCAGTATGGATTATTTACTAGTCATATATAATTGTTTCCCAGCCAATAAGAAGGTAGCTAGGGGTGTGTCAAGAAATACTGCATTCAAGTTTAGGATTTCTCATATTATTATTGCCTTAGCAATGCTGTAATTAAGTGTCAAAGTTTCTATTGTGGATTGCTAATTACAGAGCTGAAACTTCCTGTGTAAAAATCACTCTGATATAAAAGTATAAATACATGTGTCAAGACACAGCTGAAGACAATGCCAAAATGTTGTAAGTTTATTGGGGAGTAATTAAAAAACATTTTGGACTTTATTACTTTATTCTAGTGTAAGTAAGCCACTTTTCCTTAAGATGGTAATCAATTCTGGCTTTAATAAAGATGCCTCAATAGGGAGAAATATTTAGGTATTAGTTTCAAGACACACGAAAACTGTTGATACTTAGCAGGAGCCCTAAGCAAGAAATTAACATTTCATAGTTTATTCTTAAGATCCAGAAAAGAAGAAAATAGAGAAGTACTCCTTATAATTAATTTGAATGAACTGTTAATTATTACATTAGCTGTTAAGGAACACCTCTCTCTCTATTGAAGTAATGTTTAATATGGAAACTTTCATTCAATGTTTCTTCAATGGCAGCTTGAAATAGATCACATTTATTAAAGCCAAACACATACCTTTCATTTTTATGGAACAATATAAAAGTGGCCCTTGAAATAAGCTATGCAGTCACTTAAAATTTAGACGCTAGAGAACAATTTAGTGCTGGAAGTTTATCTTCAAGGCCATCAAACTTAAGACCCTTATTTGCCAGATGAACGGGAGGTGTGCAAAGTGTTTGACTGAGACAAGCCATGTGGTAACTGATCCAGGAACAAGCCCAGCCCTGTAACTCACTATGCTTACCTCCTCTGTCTGGTCCGATTCAAAAATAGGAAGGAAAGATGCTTTTTCGAATCTTTTCATATAAGTGGGACTAAACCCAGTAGAAATTTAACACTATCCTTTCTATAGTTTTTCAAATGGTTTTCAAAGGAAGAAAAATTCAACTGAGATTATTTCAAAATTCGAGTCAAGTTGTAGCTTTTGACTGCCGCTTTCTTGCCACTCCCTAGAGGCAGTGGGGGGCTTCATGTGGGAGAAGTGGACCCTTTTCCTTTTTCTTTTACATCCCACTGGCAAGGGATCTATTCTAAGGATGAAAATGTCTCCAAAGCAAGCACGCCAACCACACTCCAGGTGGGAGGCATTACAATTTGCAAAATGTCCTCCATTTCAGTCAATTACCGGCCAAAGATTTAATGGCTGGTCCAATGACATCCAGATTTAAAGAGTCCACTCACTGAATTAATGAATGTGAAAATCACTGAGTTTTCAAAATGATTGGTCTGAGAACTCCCTCTCTAAGGAATGTGAATCATTGAGCAAACAGATGACTTCTGTGTCGTTAACAGTTTCCCAACACCGGATTGGATGAAGGGTTTCTTTGGCCCTTTGTTCATGGTTACTGAGACATAGGCTTAACCATTCCCTCCCTGACAGGATTTTCCAGCATTACTCTGATTTGTTACTTCTGGGTCCTCTTCCTTGTTCTAGTTCCTCTTCCTCATTCTACTTCAGTTTTATTCCTATGTTCATTTTGTCCTGGAAGTTTCCAGTGTTTTTTTCCAATTATTTGCTTTCTCATCAGCTAGAGCATATTATCTGTATTATAAGTGAGAACACATGTTTGTTTAAGATATGGAGATACCTCCTAAATATAAAAATAATCTGAGGCTGGGTACAGTGGTTCACATCTATAATCCCAACACTCTGAGAGGCTGAGGCAGGAGGATTTTTTGAGCCCAGGAATTTGAGACCAGCCTAGGCAAATAGTGACACCATGTTTCTACAAAAAACTAAAAATTAGCTGGATGTGGTGGCAAACGCCTGCAATCCCAGCTACTCGGAAGGCTGAGGTGGGAGGATCGCTTGAGCCTGGGAGATCAAAACTGCAGTGAGATGTGATTGCTTTACTGCACTCCAGTCTGGGCAACAGAGTGAGACCGTATTCCCAACCCCCAAGAAATGAATAACTTGAAAAACATAAATAACGTAGGAGATCTTGGTCTTTGCCTCTCACCGACAAAACCAATTGTTAAAAACATTTTAACCTTCTCTCCTTTGTATTTAGGGGAAGATACTGCTTTCCTCTCCAACCTTTCTATGAATCTTATCCCCTTCTACCTCATCAGTGGGACTTGCTCTATTGATCATTCCCTCCTTTCATTGTACTGACACCTTCTCCCTCTCTCTGAGGTGTCCCTTAGAAAATAAACATACTCAATTTTCTTCTGTTTTAAAACTCCATCTTGGTACATATACATCATGGAGTACTATGCAGCCATATACAATAATTACATCCTGTCATTTACAGCAACATGGATGCAGCTGGAGGCCATTATCCTAAGTGAATTAATACAGGAACAGAAAACCAAATTTCACATGTTCTCATTTGTAAGTGGGAGCTAAACATCAGGTACATGTAGAGATAAAGATGACAACAACAGACACTGGGGACTGCTAGAGAGGGAAGGGAAGAGGCAGAAAAGGGTTGAAAAGCCAACGATTGGGTACTATGCGCACTGTCTGGGTGATGGGATCATTCACACCCAGATCTCAGCATCAGTAAACGACTTACACATGTGCCACCTCCACCTCCAGGGTTCAAATGATTCTCCTGCCTCAGCCTCCCTGGTAGCTGGGACTACAGGTGTGTGCCATCTGTAAAATAAAAGTTGAAGTTATAAAAATGTAAGAGAAATGAATAAAAATAATAAAATAAAATAAAATGAAATTTCATCTTGCCAGATCTGTATTCCTTGCCATGTATCTCTACACATCTTTTGGTCCTCTCTCACATTTCCCACTGCTATACACATTGAAATCTGCCTTTGGTCATCATGCTACCCACAAACACCTTCCTAAAAATGTTATAGACTTCTTGGACATCCTAGCTACTATCTTTACCAAAACGCTTCCATATTTCTGCTTATTGATATTTCGGTAAAGGTCACAACAAACCACTGTCTTCTAATGAGAGACAGTGAAGGGCATGTGCTCTGGAGAGAGATTTGGTTCTGTCTTGGCTTGATGCCTTAGCCACCCATCTCAGGCATGTTTCTGAATCCCCCCAAAAGTGCCTGTTCTACAAAATCAGGATAATAATAACATCAAATTCACAGGGCTGCCTTGAAGATTAAATAGAATGTGTGCAAAGAACCTGGTCCTGAGCAAACACCCAGGAAAAGTTTTCTGTTAATATTTGTCTCATTTGTTTTTGTTGTATTATGGTCCTTATTACTTCTCCACATACGCATTCTCACTTTTCTTCCAGACTTCCTGATATACCTCAGTATTCTTCTCACTTGGCACACTCTCCCTAAGGCACCTCACCTATGTCTTCACAGCATTACCTACCTCCTGTCAGGCCGTAAGTTCTGAATCTGTTGTCTTTAGTCCATGCCTGTTTCTGTTTGCCACCCTCAGCTCATTTTTCTCTCTTATTCTTTAATAAATATGTGCCTAGAGTGGACACTGTGATGTTCCACCCAGATGTCTTTTTCAGCTGCTTAGAGTGCTGTGGGCAGAACACCCTCAGCTCTCAGCCTCATTCAGGTATTACCTGGAAATAGGCATGTCACTCAAATTATTCCCCATTCATAGATGTAGCCCATATCCAGTGACTCATCAATATGGTCCTGACCGCTAGCCCTGTTAGCCCCATGGGGTTAACACTCAGGGGCTATTCTAGCTCCACAGCTCACTGTATGGTCAGATAAGGCCTTCATTAGCCCTGTATCCCAACTAAACTCCATATGGCCAATCCTCTTCCTTACCTTCTTTTCCTAAGGTGTTGATCTCATAATAAACATAATGCACACTAATCTCTGCCTCAGAGTCTCATGCTCAGGGAACCCAACCATTGACTGACACCTTATTCAAATGGATTAAATATGATTTCTGTTCTATGCTGTGTCTTAGTTCAGCCCTTTGACATTCCTCATCTGTACCATTTCAAGAATGTCTTACCTAACCTCCTTGCCTCTGCCCTTTCTTACTACTTTCTGATTCATTTTCTATTGAAGAACCACAAAACCTTGTGGAATCAAACTCTGTACATGCCACCACCTTACTTAAAATTTTTCATTATTTCTCTGTTGCCTGTAAAATCAGATCCAAATTCCTTAGCATGACGCGTGAGACCAATTTTTGAATGACCCCTGCCCAACTTTAAAACTTAGCTTCTGACCATGACTCCATTCCATGTCTTCACGGAGCTTACATTTTAGTGAGCATGATAAATACTAAACATGCAATTGCCAAAATACATATTATTAAAAATTAAGGTATAGCTATGGTTAAAAAATATATGGTATAAACAGAAATGATTTTAGTTTTAACTAAGGATTCTCTAATGAAGGAAGGGCACTCTGATAAAACAATATTGAAACTGCAACCTGAAGCTTGAGTAGAAATTAGCCAGATAATTCAACAAAGAGTGAGAGAAAGAGAATTCTGGGCACAAGAGACCATCTGGGTAAAGGCACTGCAGGCAAAGAGAGTTTGGGTCAAATGCAAGTGGAAGACCAAGCCAGAGGAGGGTGAGAGAATTGAGATGAGGTTGCAAATGTAGACAAGGTCCAGATATGCAAGCAATGTGAACCATGTAATAATCTTCTAAGAGCAATGCAAAGCCAGTTAAAGATTTTCGGCATGGGACTCACACAATCAAGACTCAAGCCTGCTTAAAAACAAAACAAAAGGCCACGTGCGGTAGCTCATGCCTATAATCCCAGCACTTTGGGAGGCTGTGGTGGGCAGATCACGAGGTCAGGAGTTCAAGACCAGCCTGACCAACATGGTGAAACCCTATCTCTACTAAAAATATGAAAATTAGCCGTCTGTGGCGGCACATGCTTGTAATCCTAGCTACTCAGGAGGCTGAGGCAGGAGAATCACTTGAACCCAGGAGGCAGTGGTTGCAGTGAGCCAAGATTGCAGCACTGCACTCCAGCCTGGGTGACAGCAAGACTCTGTATCAAAAAAAAAAAAAAAAAAAAAAAAGCCACACAGAAAAAACACCAACCACCAAAACAATATGGCTGTTTGGAGAAATTAATTAGAAAGAACAAAATTGAACACGAAGAAACCATTTAGAAGGTTATTGCGATAGTCCAAGTGAGAGATGATGAGAGATGATAGAAGCTGGATTAGAGTAGGGGCAATGTAGGAGTGGATGGCTTTACACTATGTAGAGGAGCTACAGTTGCTGAAGGTGGGTGATGGACTGGAGGTGGGGGAAGGTTTCAGAGATGCCTGTTGTACTGTTGACATGAGCATCATTGTACTCGGAGTTGCATTTACCGTGACGTGAGACACTGAAGGTTGAGTGACCTTTTAGAAAAAGATTAAGAGTTCAATTTTTAGATGTGAAGTCTGAGCTGCCTGTGAGCCATACCAGTAAATAATTTAGGAATTAGATGTTTTGGAGCACTTAGGGATAATCTGGGCTGTACACATATGCAAGAATCCATAACCTCCATCCTGTCCACAAATTATCTCTGATTAGATCACAATCAGTGAGACAAATCTGCTAATAAGGGCTGCTGACTAATGGTATTCTTATGTCCTCCTGAGACTTGTACTGAGGTCTTAGGGAATCTAATATATGTTGAGGAGTTTTTTGCTTTCCTCTGAAAAAATGTGTTAGTTTTACTTTCAGCATCAGCTTGAAATGAATAGAAGTAGAGGTATAACATCCGAATGGAAAAATTAGGACACAAAGCATCCTTCTCTTGCCTTGTCTCCCCTTTCACGGGTTCCAAACCAGAAAATATTAAAACATTCTCACAACTTACTGTATGTCTATTTTGTTTTGTTTGTTTGTTTGTTTGTTTCTTTTTTGGAGATAGAGTCTCATTCTGTCACCCAGGCTGGAGTGTAGTGGCACTATCTCTGCTCACTGCAAACTCCACCTCCCAGGTTCAAGCGATTCTCCTGTTTCAGCCTCCTGAGTAGCTGAAATTACAGGTGCCCACCACCATGGCCAGCTAATTTTTGTATTTTTAGTTGAGACGGGGTTTCGCTATGTTGGCCAAGCTGGTCTTGAACTCCTGACCTCAGGTGATCTGTCCACCTCGGCCTTCCAAAGTGCTGGGATTACAGGTGTGAGCCACTGCACCCAGCCTGTGGGTCTATTTTGAAAGAGAATGCCCTGTCTCCCACAGTAGCCAGTTCAAATTTTAACAGATACAAATGAGTCAAAAAAGCTTTAACTGGATGCCCATTAAGCTGATTTGAAGTTGTGTTTAAGTATATTTATGCATACACACACACACACACACACACATCCCCACTCTGTTATTGCTCATTGTATTGTTGACTTTCATATATCTGTTCCCCCTACATAAAGTACCTTCTCAATTCCCTCTTCATGTCAACACATGCACATTGCCCACTTAATACTTATTCATTCTCCTTTGGATTTTGGTCCAAATTTAGTTACAAGAGAAACTTGCCCTGAATTCTCAGATCATAACAGCTTTGACAAAATCCCCATCCCTGCCATTTTTTCAGTCTTTCATAGTACTATGCATTTTTCTTCACAGCATTTTTTCACAAGTTCTATATAAATATACATTTCCATTCATAAAGTCATTTCCCGTCTGGAGTACAGATTCTATAAGAACAGAGACTTGTGTCCATTGTCTAGTCCTATTCTATTCTATTCTATTCTATCCCATTCTATTACCATTCTATTCCCAGTGCAGATCATGAATTCCCTGATCCATAGTTGATGCCCAAGAAATATTGTTTGAATGAATAATGAAGTAATTGATCAAAACAATGTTTGTTTAGCTGGGCCATCCTTTAATTTAAGGTTCTGTGTTTAATTATATTTTCCTAAATTATACATTTTCAGTTTGAGTACTTTTCTACATCAGTAAAGACTGGATTTATATAATGAAATATTATCTTATTTGTTCTTTTTTAAAAAACAACAACAGTTTTGTATTCCAGAAATGCATTCAGGGGTGACCTAAAACCATCTAAATAAAGTTTAATACCACCACCCACTCAATCAAATTTATCCCATTAACTCACATTTGTGACCTCAAATTTCAACTATTTTAAGTCTACTTGCAAATCAGCATTGCAAATACACTTTTCTGTGAAACCAATCCGCAAAATCCAGAGTTCGCTCCAGGCAAAGCAAATGTATTAATTGTATGTGTTTTTATTTCTGTGCACAGATTTGAGTATATACTATAGAAATCTTTGAATTTATCCTTCTCCTTTTCTTCTTCCCTTTTTTTTTTTTTTTTTTTTTTGCATTTCAAATAGCTGCCAAAATAATTTAAGAAGACTAGTAAAAAAAAAAAGACAGCTTGTGATTCATGAAAAAAAATGAGGATTTTGGTGACAGGGTAAAACAAAGCTAGGCAATAAAAGATAAAAAATGGCATGAGGTTTGTCCACAAAATAAATGCCACATTTGCTAAACATTAGCCATGAATTTGCCTGTAAAGATTTTAGGAGCAAGGCAGAGTGTCTGTGCAACAAAAACCCATTTTTTTTTTCAGGAGTTGTATAACTCTTCATGTCTCTGATACTAGAAAGAAATTTCTTTCATTGTGGAATACAATGAGCAACATTTTTATAGTAAATAAAGTTGCCACATTTGCCCTGGTGTTCCTTATTTTACTGGAGCGCAAAGAATGTGGTCCAGGTGTTCAGGTCTTAAACATTTATATCAGTGGTTCTCAGCCCTGACTTCATATTGGAATCACCTTTGGGACCTTTGAAACAATAGCAATGCCTGGGCCCCACCCCAGATCTATTAAAGCAGAACCTGGAGGTGGGGCTCTGGAATCAGCATTTTTATTTTTGTTTTTGTTTTATTTTGTTATAGTTGCATCAGTATTTTCAAAGCACCCCTTGCAATACTAACATGCAGACTGGAATCAGAAGCACTCCTTTGAGTTTCTGTTCCAGTGGTTCTCAGTTTTGATTTTTAATTGGAATTATATAGAGAGGCTTATTAAAACTTATCAGGTTCCACATCAAACCAATGAAATCAAAATAGCTAAAGATGGGAGGAGGCACCAGGTTTTTTTTTTTTTTTTAAGTGTCTTAGATGATTCTAGTGGGCAGCTGGGGTTGAGACCCCTGACCTATAGTGAATAGATGGATTGTATATCCTTAAGGCAATTCTGCATTACTATGGTTTGTTATGGTTTGTCCCAGTAAAACTTTTAAGGCTTAAGGGTAACTTTGAAGTTATACCCCTTGAGAAGAACCTAGAGTGTAAAGATGGTAAATTTAATCATTAATGGTTAAATTCAGTTTTATGTGAGTAGGTGGTAAAAAAGCTCTGAAATAAAAGAATTCTATTGAATTCTATAGAATTCATTGCTCTTATGTTATTTTTAAAAAATGGGGAGGGCATGATATTTATCAATTATAATTAAAAACACTTTAACTGGGGCATTAGCAAAGTGCTTCTCAACTGTGAATGATGTTCAAATAGCTTAGAAAAACAAGTTTTTTAGCAACATATTTATGATATATTACTTCAACTATTTTCAGATAAAAACATGGTATAAACTTTCAAAAACCATAAAACCAAAACAATTATAAATACTAACAAACGGTACATGCAATAATATTTAAATTATTAATGTTACTTCTATTTGGTAGATAATCCTGAGCTTTTTAAAATTAAATTCTGGATGTTAGATTTACTAGAAGAAAGATGTCTTTTCATAATTTGTCCTCTACTTCTCATTTTTTATTTATTAGATTTCAAGTATGGTATGCCATTGCTTGAGGCAATCATTTATTACTGCCATTTTTTTTTCTTTTTAACAATGAGATTGTCCTTAATGTGATTCAGTATTCTGATGAGCCAAAGCATTTGAGTCATGCCTCTAAGTAAAATACAAGCAAATTAAAAAATACTGTTCTTTATTGCATATTTACTTCTACACTTACTACTAATGAGCTGCACAAAGGTCAGATGTGCTCCTTATATTTGATCCAAATATGAGAAAAGTGCAGAAAGATTTTTTTTTTCATTTTGTATTGTCTATTTCTGTATATTGTAAAGACTCAACACCTTACTAACTGGCTTTGTGAGTAACTCTACATATGTACAGGATCACATGAGCATATTTGACCTTTATTTTATTACATAACTTAATAAAGATTAATTTTAAATATATTGCAAGTTCTCACCGCAAAAAATCATATTGTGTAAATAACAAAAATAATGTAACAAGTAACCACGTTATGCAGACCAAATGTACTTATTTTAAAATTTAGACAGGTCAACCTGAAAGAAATCAGATGCATATCAAGAACATTCAATGTGCAACATTTTTATTTCAGTGAATAACTTGGGTCAATGTGATTATTAACACACTACTAAATCCAGAACATGGATTCATATAGCAGTAGGAAGTATAGTTGTTATTCAGATAATCCAAAGTAACTAAAAACTCTAATTGAGTAGATATGTCTCTCTAAATATTTTGGAGACTTCCAGGTTCCTATAGATATCAGTATAAAAGATGCCAAGTTATCTTTCTAACCCTCTGGTCCTGCTTTTGCATAAATGAATTAAATGAGATAAATAACATAAGTAAGTTAACTAGGTGAAAACAATAAATATATTTTCCATATACTAATTTTATAGTCAAAAATTGATCAAAATATATTTGTTTAATAATTGTTTTTATGACATTCCTTTAAGATAACCTGAATAGTCAATTTTATTATACTTTAATACTTTATACAGACTTTATTTTTAGAATGGCTTTAGTTTTGCAAAAATTAAGATAGTACGGAGTGTTCTTTTTTTTTTCTGAGATGGAGTCTTGCTCTGTCGCCCAGTCTGGTGTGCAATGGCACGATCTTGGCTCACTACAACCTCCACCTCCTGGGTTCAAGTGATTCTCCTGCCTCAGCATCCCAAGTAGCTGGGATTACAGGCATGTGCCACCCAACCTAGCTAATTTTTGTATTTTTAGTAGAGACAGGGTTTCACCATGTTGGCCAGGCTGGTCTTGAACTCCTAACCTCAGGTGATCCGCTTACCTCGGCCTCCCAAGGTGCTGGGGTTACAGGCCTGAGCCACCTCGCCCAGCCTGCCTCGTACAGAGTGTTCTTATACCCCACACTCACTTTCCCTTATTACTCACTGTAGATTGAAATAGGGCATTTCTCACAATAAATAAACCAATATTCATACTTTGTTATTAACTGAAGCTCATAATTTATTCAGATTTTTTAGTTTTTAGCTAATGTCCTTTGTTTATTGCAGGATCCTATCCAGGGTGCCAAATTACCTTTGTCATGTCTCCTTCCTTAGGTTTCTCTTGTCTGTGACGGTTTCTCGGATTTTCCATTTTTGATGACCTTGACAGTTGAGGAGTACTACCCAGTTATTTTGTAGGGTGACCTTCTACTGGAATCTGTTTGATGTTTCTCTCATAATTAGACTAAGAGTACGAATTTGGGGAAAGAAGATCACAGAGATAAAGTACCATTTTCATCACATCGTATCGAGTACATACTATCAATATGATTCATGACTGTTGGTGCTGACCTCGTTCATCTGGCTGAGGTAGGGTTTGTCAGATTTCTCCACTGTTAAGTTACTCTCTTCCACTTTCCATACTGTACTCTTCAAAAAGAACTTACTATACACAGCACACACTTAATGAGTGGAGTATAACTGTTTGGAATTTTTTTGCATATGAGATCCTTTATCCCCCATTTATTAATTTATTCAATCACTTAATTACATCAGAATGGATTCATGACCTATGTTTTATTCTTTGAGTTGTAATCCCAAACCACTTTGTTTTCTTGCTCAAATTGTTCTAGCTTTGGCCACTGGAAGTTCTTTCAGTTGTTTTCTTTTTTATTTTTTGGAGACAGGGTCTCACTTTGTCACGCAGGCTGGAGTGCAGTGGCAGGAACACAGCTCACTGCAGCCTTGACCTCCCAGGCTCAAGTGATCCTCTCGCCTCAGCCCCCAAGTAGGTGGGCCTACAGGCACCCTCCACCACACCTGGCTGATTTTTGTATTTTTTGTAGGCACAGGGTTTTGCCATGTTGCCCAGGCTGGTGTCGAACTCCTGCGCTCAATCAGTTCTCCTGCCTTGGCCTCCCGAGATGCTGGGATTATTAGGCGTGAGCTACAGCGCCTGGCCTCAGCTGTTTTCTAAGTGCCTTTAAAATAGCACTTCCTTTCTTTATAGCACTACAAAATGCCCCATGTTCATCTTTTTTATTTCTTGACCCAGCCCCCAAATCAGCCATTTCTCCATTTATTTTAACCCACTCTGCTAACATAGCAAAGAAATATATGCATGTCTACTAAGATGTGCATACACACAAGCACACATATTCAAACACATTTAGACCCCAAATCCTTGCAATTATTGATTTACTGACTTTGTAAGCACATTGAGAATAGATGCCTTGAACTTATTATCTGATGTCTTTCTAGCAACAGACAAAATACCAGGCATATAAACTAGTGCAAGATGGCCGTACAGTTTATTGGATAAATAAATAAAGGAATAGTCTATTTCTGTTAATTATATACTATGACTTTTTAAAATTTCATTAAATATCTTTCTATGAGATATTTTTAGGGCTGAGTATCAGTCTATTATATCACTCTTTATTAGTATAAGCATTAAAGATAAAATATATAAAGCACCTGATTCAATGCTGAACTAATAGGATGTACACAAGAAAATCCTTTATCCAATCTCCCTTAGCGTGTTTCTAATATTTAAATTACTTAAATTGTCTTTTGAGCCATTCTGATTATTTTCTTGGACTTGTAATTATCAGACCAAATAACACATAATACAAATACTATACAAAATATTTGTATATATTTTAATTGCTTTATTCCAGCAGTTGTTCGAAAGTATCCAAATACTCTGTTTCTTCACCATCACTGTTATGATACAACGAAAAATTTCAATTTAACAAGTGAAATATTGTATTTTCTCATTGTTAGAAATGACATTTCTTTGCTTACTGGCGAGGCAAAACTATTTTTCATGTCTCTTCAACGTATTCATTTTATTTGATCATTTTTGCTTTTGGCATATATGCTTTAAAATTATTTATAGTAACTCTTTATATAGCAGAAATAAGAATATGAAATCTAAATCCACGTAAATAGCTTTATTTATTGTCTGCCTTTTAATTTTATTTATGCTTTCTTTTGATATACAAACTTCATACAGTATTTATATAATACTGATGTATTACAGTTATATCAGTTAATATTTTCCCTTATGCTTTCTATTTTTCTTGACTTCCTCTGTACATTCTTCTATAACTATTCTAGTTCTCAGGAAGATCTGCCCATATAAATTTTAATGCATGATGTGAGAAGAGGAATTCATTCTCTTTTTCACATTTTTTAGTTTTTATCTATGCCTTTTATTTATCAATACTTTTTATTGAAATAGCTATTGTCTTACTTTTTTTCAACACATTGTCTTTGTTGTATACTCTAGTAAGCAGAATAGTGGTTCCCCAAAGATGTTCACATCTTAATCCCTGGAATTTGTGACTATGTTAGTTACAAAACAAAGAAGAATTATGTCTGAAGGTGAACTTCAGTGATTGCAGATGACCTTAAGATAGGGAGATCGTCCTAGATCAGCGGGATAGATCTGAAGTAATCAAGAGGATCCTTAATGTGGGAGGCGGAAGGGGACGAACCAGAGCGATAGCAGCCTGTGTGGCTTTCAAGATGGAGGACGGAAGCCACAACCTGAGGAACACAGGCAACTTCTAAGAGCTGGAAAGAGCAAAGAAACAGATTCTCCAAAGCTTCTAACAGGAACACAGTCATACCGAACCCTTGATTTTAAATTCGAACGCCTCCATCCCTGTCTATCACTTTACTCTGCTTTATGTATTTTTAATTACTTATCACTATCGCACATTATATAATCAACCTATATGTTGATTTTTAAATTGTTTTTCTGCTTACTCTAAATAAACTCTGAGAATAATAACCTATTCTGTTTTATGTACTAATATATTCCCAATATTTAGACAAGTGCCAGGAAGATAGTGTGTGTTTAGCAAATGTTTTTGGAGTTATTTCACTTATTAAAAGCATACTTGGATTTTTTTCTGGATTTTCTAGTCCACTTCATAAACGTATACAATGTAGTATGTTAGGAAACTATTCATATTCTTTGTCTGCTTTTACAGTTGTGTTGGATTTTTAGTTTATTTTCACATTAATAACATAATATTTTAGTTATAATATTATTTAAAAGTTCTGAACAATCTTCTCTTATTCTACTTTTTAAATGTTTTGCGCTTTTTTCCAGCTGAACTTCAAAATTGTTCTGTTAAAACAGGAAAAAAAAAGCTACATAGGATTCTGATTAGAAATATGTAAATGATATGATCATGTTGGGGATGATCTGAAGTTTTACAATTTATATCGTAAAGTTTTCTAATTTATATCCTTTCATAATTATTTAGATAGTTTGGATTTGGGGGTGGGGAGGAGCAGTTATTAGTTTTATTCCTAGGGGTCATATTTTTGTTGTCACTACAAATTAGATTATTTATCTATTGTAATTTTAAACTGTAAAATAAGAATATTATTAATTTAATGCTCTCATTTTGCTACTAGCTAAGTTCCTGAACTATCTATGTAGTTCTAATGGTTGTCTACATTTTACAGATGATGAAATGAGGCAACTAGAGACAGCTAATTCGAGCTCACATTTATCTCAGTTCAAATGCTGTTTTCCAGGTTCTTTTTCCCATTAGACTGTAAGCTCATATCTTCAGAAGCTGTGTCATTTCATGGCTTCTCTACCCCATCCCCATAGAAACAGCTATTACAACACAAAACAGTGATTCTCAATTGGGGGATGTTCCCTACCCCGCCCAGGGAAAATCTGAAAATATTTGGAGACACTTTTGGTTGTCACACTGGGAAGGTTCTACTGGTATCGAGTGAGCAGAGCCTATAGATGCTGCTGAACATCGTACATCACACAGCATAGGCCCCTGAGCAAAGAATCATGGCTAACACTCAACTAAGCACTTGGATATGCTACACACACACGGACTATTTTACTCATGTTATCCTTGCATTACTTGTCATCAAGTCTCAAAATAACCTTCTGGGGTTAGCATTATCTTCATCCTTATCTTTTCAAAAAAGATGCTGAGCATGGGAAACTAGATTGTAGAGTCATCCAGTTAATAGGTCAAGCCAAGATTCAGCCTTGGGCAGTGTGGCCTCAGAACCACATTTATAATAGTATGTACTACTTGAAGTGTTTTTCACTTAGTTACATTCAAGTTAGGGTCTCCTTCAGTCCTAATAATCTACGAATTATCTTAGAAGAACAAATTGAAAATCAGTAACAATTGGCATTTACTTATTAGTTTAATTGCATAAGGATAGAAAATTGTCCATCTCCTGGGTCACTTTCTTTCCTAGTTAATTTGAAAGTTAATGTTTCACTGTGAAAGATGAGAATATAAAACCAAAGCTCTCTATCACCTGAGTTCAGTACTTTCTCCTGAACTTTTTATGGGGAATCATAAAAGCTGATCATGGGGATATTTGAAGCTTTATGTAATACTTCCCAAGTATGAAATAAAGTAATGAATATTTTGTATTGTTTAGTGGTTGAAAAAAAAAAAGAGAGACAGACACACCTCCCTCTAATAAAGAAAATTCAGAAAAGGGCATGATTTATTAAGACTCTTTATTATGGCTGATGTCATGGGACAGAACAATATTAATAAGAGAACAGATAATTGTACCATGGCCTGAGAAACAAAGACTTAATACAGATTATCTAACCTTACATCATTCTCAAGAGAAAGGGAAGGAGCAGGTGTAACATCTGCACTTGGCTGTGGGGAAAAAGTGAGAATACAGAGTAGCTCACTGACTTGGCCAAAAACATTCTGTAAATCAGTAACTAGAAAAATGTCTGTATTTTTGTTTTTGAGCATTCTTCTTTGAATTAATAATAATTCTTCAGGAACAAACTGATAGTATTCTTGGCAATTCTAGCACTTACATTTTCAAGTGTTTTTTACAAGAATATTGTGCTTTTCCAATGGCTCAAACTAAATATACTTAACTGACAAATAAATATTTATGAAGTATCAACAGTTTATCTAGCTCTCTGCAAATACCCTGTGTTGAAGAAGTTTGCCCATCTACCTAAAGAAGCAGGATGCGTAGTATTTAAGGGATCAACTAATTGATAATAAGAAAAATAGGTAATATATACTAAGATACCTTTTCCACCTTGCAATTGGCATGAATTTTCTCTTTACAACAATCCAATGATATAGGTACCAATTTTATTCACTCTTTGTACATGGGAAAATTGAAACAGAGAGAGATTAGGTGAACTGCCAACTAACACAGAAGCTGTCTGAGAGAGAAACCCAGACAAGGACACAATAGAGTACATATTTTCAATGGCTTTGCCATATGCACAGACCTTAACATCTGTCAATTAGTGGAGAAATGAGAGAATAATGTCCACAGAAATCATTGGAAAATACTAATGAAGGTTCAAGGTTCAAACCGGCCATTTAAAAATAATTAGTATATGCCTTAATCATTGGTCCTGGACTTGGGATATGCCATCTTAGGAACATTTTGAAATTGTGTGTGTGTGTGCATGTGTGTGTTTGTGTATGTGTGTGTTTAGAAGAGTGGAATTTGGTTGCCACAATGATTGGATGACTTCCTGGGCATTCAATAGATGGAGGCCTAATAGTCCTCCTTTATAAACAAGACATAAAATCATCAGTCCTGCACAAAGATGCCTTATCGTGTAACTTGTGTAACTTTCCAATGATCTTTTGGATAATAACTGAAAAACTTGTTTATGATCATGAACATAGAACTCTACTCCTCTTAGATTAAAACCCGAAGTAAATATTTTAATGCACAGTGAAGTTGCAGGAATGCAGAAACTAGTAAATCACAGGAAGGCTGACTTTTGATTTGTTTTGAACTTATACTAAGAGTTGTTCAACATTTAAAAAAATCATATCACCCATGGCAATAGTAGCCATGGAATTTGAGTCACAAATCTAATATCTGTATCAATCGGTCTTTCTAGCTCTCATATTTTGAGTGAATTCACATAAAAAACAAGCATCTGATAATTTTTATATCTTTCAGTGAAGATGTTCTTAGTCAATCACATAATAAAATATCTTTTAAATAAATTATTTTCCTTTAAAGTTTCCCTTATAAGTAGGGCATGCTGTTGGTATTTCCAAATGATTATTTTGTTTCATCTGTGACTTTCATTCCAGAATAAGCAACAGGACATTATACAATACTTGATATAAAAGGGTATGATAGAGCTGTGATGCCCTAGTTTAGATGAATGTATGCAGAAAGGGCATGGGGCATAGAGCTGTTTTATTTATTCTTTTTTCATTATTTCAACATATTTTTTGAGCACCTACTATGTGTCAGCCTACACTACTGTGCAGTGGTCCTAGAACAGTGAATAAGAGTAAATTCCTTATTCTCATAGCCTTTACTTTGTAGTAAAGAAACTAGCACTACTTAGAAATAAGACAAAATAAGGCCCACATATCCTTTCAATGTCATACTGGAACATTGCCTAATAAACTCAACCAAAGATTATTTAATTATTTAGGAGACTGTACTTTGTTTTATTCAGTATGTACTATTGGTTAGGGCTCAAATGTTGTAAAGTTGCATGCTAACTTATAGATTTTCTACTGTCTTTGTGAAAAGTAGAAAGATAAGTTCTGGTTTTATTGTTCTTTGGACACTAAAGAGACTTAATTTAGCAAGCTTATTTCAGTATGGCTTTCTTCTAATATTCTGCAATCAGCATTCCTAAACATAAAATGTATAAAACATGTTCATTGTATATATTGGCATAAGAGTCATATTTGAAACTTATTGAATATTTTAATTTCACACATTCTAGTAAGAGTCACAGTAAAGGGATGAGGTTGGAATAAACATTGAGAGCCTTAAGAGCTAGGCAAAAGAGATTAGCTTTTAAGATAGAAAATCGAGATCAATTATGTTTCTTAACCCGGTTATCTACTTGACAAGAAAGATACTAAGATGACACACAAAACCTGGGAAATATTTATTATATTTTTGTTAAATTTAAGTCAATGGCTATTTGATTTTAGTTAGAGAATCTTCTTGTGCTATTAAGCATAAAATATCAATTCAGCACTTCAAATGATATTCACAACTTTCTCTTGATATGGCAGGCTAATATCCTAAAATTCCCTCATATAAAGATTTAACATTCCCTCCTAAAAGTTTTTAAATTCCTTCATGTAAAAATTAAAAATTCTTGTGCTGGGTGCAGTGGCTCACGCCTGTAATCCTGGCATTTTGGGAGGCTGAGGTGTGTGGATCACCTGAGGTCAGGAGTTCAGGACCAGCCTGGCCAACATGGTGAAACCCCATCTCTACTAAAAACTACAAAAAATAGCTGGGTGTGGTGGCAAGCGCCTGTAATTCCAGCTACTTGGGAGGCTGAGGCAGGAGAATTGCTTGAACCTGGGAGGCAGAGGTTGCAGTGAGCCAAGATCACATGGCTATACTCCAGCTTGGGTGATAAGAGTGAAACTGTCTCAAAAAAAAAAAAATTGAAAATTCTTGGAGGAAAAAATATACTATCTAATGCCTAGGAAGTTTTTGAGAAAATAAGGTAACTTTTTCTAGAATAAGAATGAAGAAGAAATATAATTTTGGGGAGACCAGCCAAAGAAGCATCTATGAATGCCCTCAGAGAACCTTCCATTCCCTGGTGGGCTACAGTTGCAGTTAGAGTATTTGGTGCTCAGGGATTGGGACGTAAGCCTGGATTCAGATTAAAGATCTCAGAATAAAGTTAAGATTCTCAAGGAAGAACATCTTAAGGAGAAATATTAAACTAGAATAATTTGTCTGACCATTAAGTCAGACAAAAAAGAAAATTTATCTCAGCCTAATATTAGGTAGCCTGAGACATTCTATCCCTATAGAGATTTGGGCCTAGATTAATCCTATTTGCGTGGTTCACAAAATGCAGGCTGGGAATTTTAATCTAAAATGAATTTAGGTTAATAGTGCCCAAAGGTAAGTAACAAAAACAAACGAAACATTTCTCTGAGGGAATCAATGAATTCTCACAGATAGATCACCACTAGACAGGATTCACAATCACAAATCCCAAAATATACAAGGAAATATCAAGATATGTGTGAACTACACAAGCAAAAAAACAGCAGAATAAGACCTCTAAAAACTTGATATTAAAATCGTTGGGTACAGTAAGTAAAGTAAAATCTGTACAATGAAATGAAATATAGACTCAAGTAGCAAGAGTTTATCAAATAAGCAGGAGTATTTGAAACAAAACAAAGCAGGTAGAAATTTAAGAAATATTAAAATAAAAAACTGAAAAATTGTTTTTACAAGAGATAAAAAATAATTCGTTATTTGGAAGATACATTTAAAGAATTATTTACACATAACAATGGAAAATAAAGTTGAATGGTAAGAAAAAGTTTGAGTGTTCTGGAGGATAGAAAATGTCCAGCATCAGCCAAAGTGGGGTTATATTTAACTCGAATTAATATATACAATGGGGAAGGTCATATTCAACATGAATGATAATTTTTCAGAAAGTCAGATTCTGAAATTAGAATTCCCAAGTTGTCAGAATTAGGAAGCATGTTTAATTCTAAGCAGAGAAAAATATATTCTTTGCCAGATGTGTTGTGACAAACTACAGAACATCAATGACAAGACAGAAAAATGTTAATACAAGTTGAGGGAAAGAAAGACAGTTTGCTTACAAAGGAACTACAACTAGAATTATAGCTGCCTATTCAACAGCAAAAATTAAGCCAGAAGACAGTGGAATAGTATCTTTAAAAATAGGGAGAGATTTTTGCCTCTAAGAGAAATGCGGGAATATAGGATTTGGAGGGACGGATACAGAGAGCTTCTCTTCTAGAGCAGAGAAATATTTTCCTAATTTGTCTTGCTAATCTCCACTTCTCCAAACCCCAAATATATGCAACAAATATAAATGTCGTGGTTGTTACTTACTAAGCAGTGTTACTGAACGAGCTACCTGCTCTGATTTCAGAAGTAAATAAAACTTAGCCCTAGCCTTAGAGGATATTCTAGACAGAACAATGTTCTCTCCCCATTCCCAATGATGTCCACATCCGAATCCCCTTAATATAGAAAAAGAGACTTTGCAGATGTGATTAACTCAAGGACCTTGACATAGGGCTATCATCTTGGATTATCTGAATGGGTCCAATGTAATTACAAGGATTCACGTAAGAGGGAGACAAGAAAGTCAACATTAGGAAAAGGAGGATGACAATAGCAGCAGAGGCTGGAGTGATGCAATTTGAAGATGGAGAAAGGGACCATGAGTCAAGGAATGCTGGTATCCTATGGAAACTGGAAAAAGCAAGGAAGCAGGTTATTCCCTGGAGTGGAGCCCTCAGTAGAGGTGCAGCCCTGCCAACACCACACCTTGATCTTGCCCTGTAAAACTCATTTTGGACTTCCGGCCTCCAGAACTGTAAAAGAATATGTTTATATTGTTTAAAGTTTGTGGTACTTTGTTCAGCACCAATAGGAAACTAATCTACATTAGTTTATATTCTTTCTGAAGGATCATGTGCTATAGAACACTCATGTATGATAAGAAATAAGTATTATAATGTACATGTATGGCTCAGAAAATAGCACGGAGAATTCTATGAAGTAGAGAATAAAGGGACAGAAACATTGTTATAGAGAAATGAGACTTGAGCCAGCTTTGGAAATCTGTGTGCTTTCCAGGCAAACAAGCTCACCAGTAACCTCTCCCAACTTGACATGCCTTCCCTGCTCCCCAAGCCTGAGGTCTAAATGAGGTGTTCCCTCCATAGGCTTTGAAAGCACATCGGGCATCATCAGACTCAGGGCCACCTTGTGCTTTTTGTTACTGTTCTCACAATGGCAGAAATCCTGCCATCCTGGGGTCTGCGTCTGTGTCTCTTGTAGCAAAGGAGCCCCTAGTAAGGAATGGACATGTGGCATTGTTTGCAGAATGAAGGCGGTGTTAGCCAGGCCACAGAGGTGTGAACCCACTGGCATCTTCAGGGAACCAAGCATGACTCCTTTTCACTAGGGCATAGGATGCAAGTCAAGAACAATAGAGATTGAGAAGCTAGAGCTTGCCTGTGGCTCAGTGTCAGCATTGGGCAGCTCTGATCATGTAATTGCCTCCCTCCAAATTTTCCTGTGTTACCATTGCGGTTTAGTGAAGTGACTTCACTTGGCATTTATGGCCTTGGACCCATATTATGTCTTGAAACCACCTTTCTGATCTAATTTGCTCTTATTTCCTTTTATTTGCTCTCAACCAAATTAAACTCACCTTATCTTTTTCCAGCTCTACATTTTGGTCAAAGCTCTTCTCATTCAACGTTACCTGAACATTTCTAACTCCCCATCCAATTGAATCTCCAACTCTTTACCCTCAAAATTTCACCTAAATTTCCATCTCATACATGAAAACCTTACTGTGTTTCTCCTGTACTCACCCCCAGATATGATCTATTTTTTCTCTTTTCAGTAAAAACCAGTAGCACTTTGTCTTTCTATATGACAGTCTGCCCCTTCAAGTAACAGTCATGTACCAATCTGTGCCACCTTTCTTTTGTCCCTGGACTCAATCATCTTCAAGGGCATTTCTCAATTATTCATTTGATGTTGGTTCTTACCACAACACTGAACAAATTTTAAATACTCTGTGACCAATAAGAATATAGGTGCAGCAAACCACCATGGCATATGTATACCTCTGTAACAAACCTGCACATTCAGCACATGTATCCCAGAACTTAAAGTAAAATAAAACAAAAAATAAAATAAAATAAAAATAAGAATATGTCAGATTAATTTTATTTTGAAACTAACACCAATACAAAATGTGATGACTGTTTTAATAGAAATCCAGTGGGTTATCACTTTATTCCTCTGTTGTTATGTCTAAGGCATGTTAAATGATCTTTCTAAAAGGTTATGCCTAAATTTACCAGTCATACACAATTACATCCATAGTCAAAACATGTTTTGTCATCTATCAGAGACAGTCGACTCTACTCCTAAGGCATTTCAAGTTTTGTCCTTTCAAAACAACAGGTGGGTGTTATTCTCCCAGGCAATCCTGTGTTATGCCTAGAAGATAGCAGACAGCCACATAAATCAGCTGTACTTTTTCATATAATCATTAGAGAAATGTAAAAAACTGCGTAGAAAAAAAGCACCTAAAGCTTAAGAGAATTACTGATCACGAAAGGTTTCACCTTATTTAATATTTTAGGTGTGGCCCCCTTGATAAATTGAAATAGCTTTGGGTTTCTTGTTGTTGTTGTTTTGCTTAGTGTGTGTGATCCGTGTCTAAGGCAATAAAATGCCAAACCTTCACTCACCTGAGTGGCAAAGCCTGCAAAATTCAATCAGGCGGTGATCTCTAGAGTATAGCATTTTCAAAGAATATTCAAAAGCTACCAGCTGTAAACATAACACACACACAAAAAAACAGAAAAACCAAACCATGCATCTCTTAGCTGGCTGTAAATGTACTAATCAGTGATTTGGGGGGAAAAAACGGTGTAAACATGGTGGATATATTTTCGACAGTAATCATAATTCTTGTCCAGATGATGTGAAGGGTTATAAAATAAGCCTGTTAGGTTTCCCAAGCACTTGTGTGTCGAGTATATGTAAAATGCTTCATTAAAACATCTTAGACTTTACAGTGGATATTTTGCTGGTATTAAGCTTGTGTTTGTAAATAGAAGTGCTAATTATTTAGGCATGCAATTGCTCACACGAATAGCCTATGGGTCAGAGTAGTTTTAGACTTTACTTTTTTCTATAATTAAACATATAGCATTTAAAGAACATTTTTTTAAAAAACATGAAAACACAGTATTCCCTGGAGCATATCACATGTGAATTTAGAAGCCAGATTATAACGCAATTTTTGCCTGCAAATAAATGAGTTCAACATTAACAATAATTAGAGACATAAGGTCCTCTGAATTCTAAAAAGTTACCCCCAAATCTAAATATTATTTAATAAATTTAATAGTTGCATAATATTGATTTCCCCAAAATCACGGGTAAAAGGTTTTTCTTGAAGCAGTTATAAGCTATATTGTGGCAAAAAATTAGCCAATATACTTAATCAGGATAAAAGAAAAATGAATAATACAATTTTTAAAACTTTTTTTAATTGGCTTTGGGAGAATTTTGAGAATTTGCCACCATTTACAGTGACATAAAAGAGATAATCATATGTTTCTTATACTGTGATGCAGCCAGCCACTCCAGACTGAACAAACTGGTGTCTTTTTGGTATTCCCATTCGGCTCTATCTGTGAACTTGACTATGACCCTGACTCACCACAGCCAAACCTGAAAAAAATAAAACTACCTATCGGGTACTATGCTGATTATCTGGGTGATGAAATAATCTTGACACAAAATTCCCTCAACACACAATTTATCTATATGGCAAACCTGCACATTTACCCTTGAACCTGAAATAAAAGTGAAAAAAATTAAAATTAAAAAAGATAAGATTTAGAGGAAAATAAATCTAGTCAAGACATAGTAGAGATGCTGTTTGGTTGGCTGTTTTTCCCTCCACCTAATACTCTATCATGAACATTTTTTATGTCATTACATATTTGTCTACCTCATTATATTTATGATGATACTGTGTTTCATTGTGTGAATATGCATAAGCATAATTTATGTAATCTACTGATTAAATATCTTTTTTACTTATAGTAGGGAATAAAATAATGTATTTTTGAACTTTTTTTTTTCGGAAGTAAATTATATTTGCTTGCAATTACGCTTGGCTTTATGTAATACACACTCATGCTGCTTATACAAATAAGATGTTTATTTTTCTCTCTTAAAAAAAAATTCTAGAGTTTGGCAGCTCAGGGCTGGTGCAGCTGCTCTGTTAAGTCCTCAAGGACAGAAACTCTGTCTGGAGGCCTGATTCTAGCAACCAAGCATGTACCATTTGTCCTCAGAGTCTCAGAACGGCTGTCACCTGCAGGCAAAGGAAAGGCAAGTGTGTCCATGTTCCTGAGACTGTCTCTATCAGAAAATACAAAACTTTCTAGGGAGACTGACCTAGGAGATTCTCACTTAGGTCTCACAGGCCAGACATGGGTGACGTGGTAATCTCTAGGTCAAGAAAATATTGAGAGGAGAATATTTTTAACAGGGCACGTTTATGCTCTGAAAAATGTCAGTGTTCTCTTAGAAAATAAGAAGGAAAAATGGATACTGGGCAGCCAACTATCAGTGTCTGTCACAGAATTATACATATGCATAAGAGTATCTTACTCAAGGGTAATTAAGTGTCCAGTAATTCTTGGGACGGATCTCTGGGTATAGCAGTAAGTCTTTAAACAGAACTACTGTTACATACAATTTGTAGTTTAGATCCATATATTTGTCAAATATTTGAAATTACAGTTCTATAAACATTTCCCATATGTAATGGTAGAGGCGGGTGGAGAGAAACTCACCTATTTCTTTCTTATATCTTTAATAACACCCAGGCAACACTCTACCCAAGATTCCTTAGAAAAATAATTAATTCAATTGTCCTTGTGCTAAGAGGGACAAAAGCCTAATCTATGATAATAATGAGAGTTTCCAAGAACTGTATCAGTAAACAGCTGAGATTTCCTTATTGCTTTTCCTTAAAAAAGTCAATTCCACCTCACACGTTATCTCATTCATCTTTACAATGTAAGTGTCATTTCCTGTTCCTTCTGGATCGTGTGTTCCCTAATCAGTCAAATCGCGTCTTCCAGCCTCCGTTATGAATATTTCCATCGCTTGTGCGCTCCAGGAAAACCTGGCCACCTACACCCTCCCTGAAAATGTATTTTTGCCTGCAGTGATCTAGAGAAAGGGGAAGGCTATTTTACTGACCCAAATGCTTCAACTAAATTTGATTTCAGCCTTGGAAGCAAAGAGGCATTCTCCTCTTATTCAGCGTCATTGCCAACTTTAAATCAATACCTCTCCCATTGTCCTAAAACCTCCAAATCTAAAGATCTTGCTATCAGATTATATTATATACTTCTATCCCTCTTCTTCACACTTGATATAGTCACTTAAAGACTCCTGCGTCACTTTCTCTCATTCTTTGAACATTTTAGCTTTTGCCTTTCTGTCGCTTTCTCTACCAATATTTTTGTCTTTATTGAAAATGAATTCATGATACATTATGATAATCCGGCTGATGTCCTGGGCCTCTCCATTCCCCACCATCATCTCCAATGATCCTACTTTCTACTTCAGCTCAGCCAGCTACTTGAAAGGCACACAAATCTTAACTGAATATTAGAAGTATATAGGAGAAATTTAAGAAAATACTAACATCTGGGCTCTATCCTCCCAGATGTTGATTTAATTGTTTTGATTTAAATTCTCCAGGTGGGGCTTATATGTAGCCCAAGAGAATGACTGCCTAGACATTTTTATTCTCAATAATTTCACCTCTTATATTCTCAATAATAAGTGAACCCAAAATATCTGAGACGAGTCTCAATCAATTTAGAACGTGTTTTGCCAAGATTAAGGAAGGGTCCGAGGTGGTCGGAGGACAGCTTGCTTTAACACATTTGAGGGAGACATGAGAGACATCAATCAATATGTGTAAGATGTGTACTGGTCTGGCCCAGGAAAGTGGGACAACTCCAAATGGGATTACTCCAATCTAATAGAGCATTTTACTGCTTTCCTATTGCTACTGTAACAAATTACAAACATTTAGTGGCATAAAGAGCACCAACTTATTATGTTACTCTTCTTGGAGTCGGAAGTCCAAAATAGATAGGCAGGGCTATATTCCTTCTAGCAGCACTAGGGGAAAGTCCATTTCTTTGTCTTTTTTCAGCTAGTGGCTTCCTTCATCCTTGGCTCATGGCTCCTTCTTCCATCTTCGCATTCATCAGTGTAGCATTTTCTCTCTCCTCTCTCTCTCTCTCTCTCTCTCTTGCTCTCTCTCTTTCTCCTCTCACATCTCTTCTAACTCTTCCGCTTTCTTCTTTCCCTTATCAGAACTAGTGATTTCACTGGGCCTACCTAGATATTCCCACATAATCTCTTGAAGATTTTTCATCACGTTTTCATTTCAAGATTTTTCATTACATAATCTCTTCATTTCAAGAGTTTTTTTAAAATCACATAATCTCTTCCTTTCAAGATTTTTCATCACATATAAGGATTTTTGCCATGTAAGATAACATATTCACAGGGTCTGGGGATTAAAATGTGGACATCTTAGGTGGGTCATGATTTTACCTATTATTACATAAGCATTCAAACCATGCAATACAGCCAGTCTTTAAAATCAAACAAATGAATACTTTACCTTGAATGGCAACCCCTTCCTACTGCTATTTCTAAGCTCTTTTAAAAATAAAAATCGATAGAATTGCCTCTTCTGTTTTCTTTGATATATTTCCTCCCATTCTCTTTTCAATTATTTTCAAGCGGACTTTGTTCTTCATAACTCCCATAAAAAACTCTTTTTAAAGCCACTGATAATTTCCACATTGTTAAATTTTGCTATGAATTCTTAGTTCTCATCTTACTTAACAGATGAGAAGAAGGTGGTCCATTGACAACTTCCTTATTTGTTCAGTGTTAAGTTCTAGGGATGTCACTTTCTTCTGGTTATTTTCTTACCTCTCTGGTGAATTTTTCACATTCTCTTTGGCGAGATTTTTCTTTTTGCCAACCTCTAAACACTACGTGTTCCAGAGTGACAATATAAATGCTCTGATTTCTGTGTATGTGCTGACAGCTTCCAAATTTTTATCCCTAGCTTGGAGCACTCCCCTGAAATGCAGAGATACATGCAAATGTCAACTCTGCTATTTTCCTTGAAAATCTCCACAGGCATCTCAAATCTAGAATGACGAAGACCAAATTGCCAATTGTTACAAATAACCACGCCAAACTGCTTATACCATCTCAGTGGCAATTCTCTCCTGCAGAGTTTATTCATCCAAAAACATCGGTGCTACCCTCATAGCATCTTTGTATTTCTGTCTTCAGGTTCCACTGATCAGCATGTCAGTTTTGCCTGCAAATATGTCCAGAATCAAATCACTTCTCACCACATCCACCACTATCAGCTGATCCAAGCCACCATCATTTTTTTGTCTTCATTCAGCAGTCTGGTCTCCTAGCCCTTGCACCCCTACAACATATTTTCAATACAGCAACCAGGATAGTCTTTTAAAAATGAAGTCAGATTATGTCATTCCTCTGCTTAAGCCTGAAAAGGCATCTCCTCTTACTCAGAGTAAGAGTCGAACCCCTTACAATGGCTCACTACCTCACTACCTCTCTGAACTCATCTCTGGCAATTGTTTTCCTTGCCTGTATTGCCCAAGAGAAGCTGAAATCCTGGCAGTTACTCAAACTGCATAAGCAGTCTTCCTCTTCAAGGCTGCACTCTCTTTTCTCCACATAGGAAAGACATTCCTTGGATATTCCCATGGCTCAGTTTCTCGCTTTCTTTAGGTCTTTGCTTGAAAAGTTTTGCCTTTCTCCTACACAGGTATTTCTATTCCTTGACCCTCATCTGTTGTTTTCAATAATACTTCTTTCAACTTGTCATATTATTTATATGGAAATAAACAAAGATGAACCAAATGAGGAAAGCAAAGTCTGTTTATACAGAACTTGCCATGGCCAGGGAGTCAGCCACCAATGTTTGCATTTTGGCAAAGTCTCAAAGGCAGGCAGAGGAGTGGAAAAGCTTCATCATGCAGAAAAGGGAAGACCTCAAACACACCTTAATTGAAGAAGTGGGAAGACCTCAGGTACCCTCTAATTGGAGACTTTAACATGGAGAAGCTGCAGGTGGGGTAATGATAGCTGGATATTCCATGTAATTGTTTAGGGTTGCATTTTTGTTTTTTTCTGGTTGGTCCTATATTGAAAGCAGTGACAAAAATGTGAGAAACTGTCAGTTATTAATGAAATTCTGGCCATTTGGGGCTGATTGTTATAGAAATTATTGTTTAGCTTATGGTATCAGTACTAGCAATAGCAGTCTGACTCCCTACAAGTCTGACTTATAGCAGTCTGGCTTTCTGGGATGTTTATTGTAAATAAAGGATTGGTTTTCTGGGCAAGTTCCTGTAGGTTGTTGGTCAGAGTTCTGTTTTTGAACATGACTTGACCATTGTCCACTTATATGTCCAGTTTCTCATATATTTGTTCTTTTAGACGTATAATAGTTGTCTCTTCCTACTCACATGTAAATCTTGGGAAAAAGACAGTGTCAGGTGATTTATTATGTTAGGAACCAAGATTCATGTTTGTGAATTTTCTTATTCCCAGTGCCTTGCAATAGTCCATGATCAATAAATATTTGAGTAAAAGGGGGCCATATATGGTCATGCCTATTTTCTTGAGTGGTTACATGAAAGATATGCCACATCAAATAGACTGAATTACTTAATCTGAGAAGCCAAGATTCAGTAATTTTGTTTGAGTAGATTTTGTTTGTTTGTGTAGGCTCTCTTGCCTGCAAATGACTTGGAAATGACCTTTCAAACTATGGAGTCTCTAAAGAGAGTTTAAAAAAAACCATGTGATACAAGCCATACTGTGTAATATTGGCTTAATAACTAGAAATCGATTTGCATTGCTTTCCCTCTGTTATGGCTCACGTTTGAAAGCCAAAGTAATAGAGAAAAATAAAGCTATGGTCAATTCTAAATATAATCCACAATGATGAGTTGTTCCAAAGGTCTATGTCCTACCATTTATCATGTTTTGATATAAACCTTTCATCTTCTCTATTTACAAGGATGATCCATGCTTGTTTCTTCTGCACAAAGTAGACTAGAGCACCCCCTGGTGTTTGGATGATATCACTACCCTCTTCAGTATACTAGGGTTTCTATGTTTGCATGAAGTGTTAATATGAGAGAAGTTTGTTGTTGTAATGTCTGGCACTTAATACTGAATTCTAGATCCATTAGTTGTGTTATAACCATCTTGATTTTAGGGCATCATTGATCTATTAATTCTCATCTGAGCTCAGAATTCCGAAAGGTTTTCCCTAAATGTTACCATCTTCACCCAAAATATCTAAACATTTATGCATAGTCTTTAAGTGATATACAGTTATCCCCTTACATTTCAAGAAGGACTCTTTGTAATTCAATATTATTGAGAACACCTACACTGTTCTGAGCTGTGGTAAGTGTTTTGCAGGCATCATTATATTGAATCTTCACAAACTAACTTATGAGGTTCTGTTATTATTTCAAATAATAAATATATTTCGAATTTTATTTCAAATAATAAAACTGACACTCTCAGAGGCTTCATAACTCCTAGGTTTTCACAACTAGTGGTTTGCAAAGGTGGGATTTGCAGCCAGTTCTATATAACTTTATGAACTAGAGAGCTTACCTAGTCTACTATATAGTCTCATTCTTACATGTTTTATTTTGAGTTGTTCACACTCTTGTTTTCAAAAATAAACCAGTCCTCCCCACCACAACAACATCTGTATGGATCCCTTACTTTCTAAAAATGACCATGGGGTCCTTTTAATTAGAACCAAAGTTCTAATACTAACAGACACTTCTGATCCTAAACACAATCATGAGACAGATGAAGTATTTAAGTCCAAAGAACCCGGCAATTTCAGTCTAACTCCCTTCGTCACCTATTGTCTTATTTTAGCTTTTCTCATATGCTTCCTGCCAGATGCTTTTTTGAACATTATAGAATACAGCAAGTATCCATCTGAAAATTTAAAAAATATAAAGTATTTTAAGTGTAAAATTCCTTCAAGGTAATCCAGGGCTTCTTAAAAGTCAAGATCTAGAATGTTGTAGACAGTAGGTGTTCATTAATTATTTTTTGAATGAATGAATTATACGTAAATGAAGAATATACCCATAAATTCAGAGTGATCTGTAAAACTCAAGAAATTGTGTGTGTGTGTGTGTGTGAGAGAGAGATGAGATTTCATGACTAAAAGCTAAAAATCATCTCTATTTGTCTGAGCTCTGGATAACTCAGGTTAGATTCCTTAATCCATTTCATCCAGAACAGAGATTTTATTATTTACTAGTTTTTTGACTTTGCATGTAAGGGTCTAACATTTAAATTTGTGAATTTCCTCATGAAGAGACAACTGAAGAGGTTTTTGCAGAACTGACCTGGGGAGTGATGCTGGAGCTCTCCAGACTGGCCCAGGAAGACTGGTGAATCTCTGACTCTGAGCTAAGTGCAGACCATCCAGAAATACTTGCTGAATGAAGGACTAGATCTTCTAAATTGCCAAGCTGGGTAATTTTTAGAGAAATGAAATTTTAGGACATTGATGCTAAGGTTAGGAGGGCCTATCAATGCCAAGACTTGAGAAATAGTAGAGGATTGGAAGGACTTCTCAGACTGAACTGGATTGTGGATGCTTGAAGAAAAACTTCCACCGCTGTTTAGGGAGTGTGTTCTTCATAATTCTGTCCTCTTATGCTATACTTTTTTTCTCCTTTTAAGCAGCAATATATAGGATTCCTCTCCCAGTTCAAATATAGACAGTCTCTAAAGACCATCTCTCTGATCCCAAAAAACAGAAAAAAAAACTAGTTAAATTACAAAATCACCATTTATTCTTTTTAAACCCCAAAAGAAGGGAGAATTACAAAACCATCATTTATCTTTTTAAACCCCAAAGTAAGAGACACTGGGTTTTGCAAAATGCTTTTGCAAAAATATCTTTTTGCTGGCAAATACCCATCTTGGCTTCATATTTTTTACCACTTGTAAATGAAGTCCAATTCTGCTGAAATTCTGAAACGCATTAATGCATTGAGTGATACTGTTTACTGGGAATAAGTAATAATTTTCACATCTCAAGTTAAAACCCTTTAATTTGCCTCCTAAGAAGTGGCCTAGGTTGGAAAACAATAAAAACATCTCAAAGAGAAAGAAGAAAACACTGAGAGTTAGAGAATATTTTACTAAATTTTTAAAGAATGTTAGCTTTGCATTTGTTCTTGGAAGTGAATCAGTAAGTGAATTTGTTTCTGAATATACACATTCACAAAAAAAATCAGTTTTTTCTGTTTCCATTATATAACTATTGAATGAATATTTAAAAGATATTAGTTTAATATGCCAAAATTATCGACGGCCCAGCATACAAACCAGCCTTGTCTGTTTCAGAAATAGAAGAGACACTGGTGTTTGAGAGGCACAGGGCACTGAAAGGGCTTTAGATTTGGATATATCTGCATTTGCGCACTGCTTCTCCACTTACTGTCCATGTAATTTGGGATATGTTCCTTAGCCTTTCTGAACATAACTTTCCTCAGGTAAAAGAGCTTCTTTTCATAGTTTATGTGAGGATTGTGGGCTATTTTTGTAAAGTCCAATCACAGAGTGTATGCCTTATGAAAAGATTGGCTACCACGGCTGCAATGATTAATAATATGTTCATATTTTCCTTTCTGATTATTGACTATGTTTGGGAAGAGTGATCATTTAAAATCAAATATTGACATGTTAATATTGCTTATCTCTTTGAGGCAGGGGTTTTAGATGACTTTTACTTTTGTATGTAATTTTATTTTTAAGTGAAAAGTATTCCACAAGATTTTGTATATTATACAAACATATAATTGGAAACAGAGCTAATGAACAAATCAATTTTGATTATGAAAGAATTAAAATAAAGTTGGGTTGATATCAGTCTGTAGATCAAAGATGCCTCAATGAAAAATTTTGTTCTGGGTTAATCCAAGGCACAACCCTCCTTTATTAAGCAGTTTGTTATGTCATGCACCAGAATTATCCACATTTGAGTTGATGAACAAGTTTCATTCCCTCTTGGTGCTTCATAGTGCTTCAGAGAGAATTCATAGTACTCTGGGTATTTGGGGGGTGTTTTGAAGACATGATAGTCACATATTGATGCTTCTGGATAGTTGCTCAGTTCATTAGGTTCTCCAAAGGCTTACTGTTAAAAGACTATTTCTTAATCCCACTACTGGATATGTAACAAAAGGAAAGGATATCTGTAGGTTGAAGAGATATCTGCCCTCCCATGTCAATTGCAGGACTATACATAATACTAAAATATGGAATCAACCAAAGTGGTCGTCAACAGATGAATGGATTTTTAAAATGTGGTGTTTATGATTCAGCCATAAAAAAGGAACAAAATCCTATTATTCGTGGCAACATAGATGAGCCCAGAGGACATTATGTTAAGTGAATTAAACTAAATACAGCATGTTCTCACTTATGTGGAAGCTAAAAACATTGATCTCATAGAAGTAGAGAGTAGAATAATGGTTACTAGAAACTGGGGGTAGGGTGGAGGTGGGTAGCCAGAAGTAGGGTTTGAGCTTTTTTCCCACATAAATGTCTTTTGAGAAGTGTCTGTTCATATCCTTAATAGCTTACCAACCAAAAAACATCCAGGACCAGGCGGATTCACAGCTGAATTCTACCAGAGGTACAAAGAGGAGCTGATACCATTCCTTATGAAACTACTCCAAACAACAGAAAAAGAGGGAAACCTCTCTAACTCATTTTATGAGACCAGCATCATCCTAATACCAAAACCTGGCAGAGACACAACAAAAAAAGAAAATTTGAGGCCAATATCCCTGATGAACATCGATGCAAAAATCCTCAATAAAATACTGGCAAACCAAATCCAGCAGCACATCAAAAAGCTTATCCACCATGATGAAGTCAGGTTCATCTCTGGGATGCAAGGCTGGTTCAACATATGCAAATCAATAAATGCAATCCATCACATAAACAGAACCAATGACAAAAAACCACATGATTATCTCAATAGATGCAGAAAAGGCCTTCGACAAAATTCAACAGCCCTTTATGCTAAAAACTCTCAATTAACTAGGTATTGATGGAACGTGTCTCAAAATAATTAGAGCTATTTATGACAAACCCACAGCCAATATCATACTGAATGGGCAAAAACTGAAAACATTCCCTTTGAAAACTGGCACAAACATTGATGCCCTCTCTCACCACTCTATTCAACATAGTATTAGAAGTTCTGGCCAGGGCAATCAGTCAGGAGAAAGAAATAAAGGGTATTCAAATTGGAAAAGAGGAAGTCAAATTGTTTGCAGATGACATGATTGTACATTTAGAAAACCCCATCGTCTCAGCCCAAAATCTCCTTCAGCTGATAAGCAACTTCAGCAAAGTGTCAGGATACAAAATCAATGTGCAAAAATCACAAGCATTCCTATACACCAATAACAGACAACAGGGAGCCAAATCATGAGTGAACTCCCCTTCACAATTGCTACAAAGAGAATAAAATACCTAGGAATGCAACTGACAAGGAATGTGAAGGACCTCTTCAAGGAGAACTACAAACCATTGCTCAATGAAATAAAAGAGGACACAAACAAATGGAAGAACATTCCATGCTCATGGATAGGAAGAATCAATATCGTGAAAATGGCCATACTGCCCAAAGTAATTGATAGATTCAATACTATCCCCATCAAGCTACCATTGATTTTCTTCACAGAATTGGAAAAAAACTACTTTAAATTTCATACGGAACCAAAAAAGAGCCGTATAGCCAAGACAATCCTAAGCAAAAATACAAAGCTGGAGGCATCACGCTACCTGACTTCAAACTATACTACAAGGCTACAGTAACCAAACACGGCATGTTCTCACTCATAAGTGGGAGTTGAACAATGAGAACTCATGGACACAGGGAGGGGAACATCACATACGGGGGTGCCTGTCGTGGGCTCAGGGGGCTAGGGACTCAGGATAGCATTAGGAGAAATACCTAATGTAGATGACAGGTTGATGGGTGCAGCAAACCATCATGGCTCGTGTATACCTATATAACAAACCTGCACGTCCTGCACATGTATCCCCAGAACTTAAAGTATAATAGATAAATAATTAATTAAAATAAAATAAAATAAAAAATAAACACCTTCTGAAGGCAAAAAAAAATAATAAGAATTTCATTTTATTTTGCCAACAGCTTTAAACCAAAGGACATTAATGCTGTTTTAGAACTAGAAATTTTCTATGCAGTTTGTTCTCACGTATGCCTTCCCACAATGATAATCTGGAGACTTAAGAAGTTTACTCTAGATTCCCCAAGGCTACAGACAGGCCAAACTAAATACTTGAGAACACACGTACCTCTGGCAACCAATAATAAACTTTTCTGATTGTTTTTCTTTCTCAAGTACCTAGAGAATATTTTCAAGTCTGTGGAGAATATTTACATAAGAGTCAAGTTCATAAATAATAGTAAAAATTGCTGGATTTTGTTCATACAGGTCAAGGAGTGAAGCAGTAAACCCTAGAAGCAACAAACAAGTGTTTATTGAAAACATATTACATAAGCAATAGTCTCTTTTTTGCTTTTTACTTTTAATTTACATATCATTGTATATATTTATGGTATACATTGTGATTATTTTTACTATATTTTAAGTTCTGGGATACACGTGCAGAACATGCAGTTTTGTTACATAGGTATACACGTGCCTTGGTGGTTTGCTGCACCCATCAACCCATGATCTACATTAGGTATTTCTCCTAATGCTATCCCTCCACTATCCCCCCACCCCCTGACAGGCCCCAGTGTGTGATGTTCCCCTCCCTGTGTCCATCTGTTCTCATTGTTCAACTCCCACTTATGAGTGAGAACATGAGGTGTTTCGTTTTCTGTTCTTGTGTTAGTTTGCTGAGAATGATGGTTTCTAGCTTCACCTGTGTCCCTGCAAAGGACATCAACTCATTCTTTTTTATGGCTGCATAGTATTCCATGGTGTATATGTGCCACATTTTCTTTATTCAGTCTATCATTGGTGGGCATTTGGGTTGGTTCCAAGTCTTTGCTATTGTGAACAGTGCCATGATAAACATATGTGTGCATGTGTCTTTATAGTAGAATGATTTATAATCCTTTGTGTATATACCCAGTAACTGGATTGGTAGGTCAAATGGTATTTCTGGTTCTAGATCCTTGAGGAATTGCCACGCTGTCTTCCACAATGATTGAACTAATTTACACTCCCATCAACAGTGTAAAAGCATTCCTGTTTCTCCACATCCTCTCCAGCATCTGTTGTTTCCTGACTTTTTAATGATTGCCATTTTAACTGGCATGAGATGGTATCTCATTGTGGTTTGATTTGAGAAGCGTCTGTTCATGTCCATTGCCCACTTTTTGATGGATTTGTTTGTTTTCTTGTAAATTTGTTTAAGGTCTTTGTAGATTCTGGGTATTAGCCCTTTGTCAGATGGATAGATGGCAAAAATTGTCTCCCATTCTGTAGTTTGCGTGTTCACTCTGATGATAGTTTCTTTTGCTGTGCAGAAGCTCTTTAGTTTAATTAGATCCCACTTGTCAATTTTGGCTTTTGTTGCCATTGCTTTTGGTGTTTTAGTCATTAATTCTTTGCCCATGCCTATGTCGTCAATGGTATTACCTAAGTTTTCTTCTAGGGTTTTTATGGTTTTAGATCTTATGTTTAAGTCTTTAATCCACTTTGAGTTAATTTTTAATAAGTTGTAAGGAAGGGGTTCAGTTTCAGTTTTCTGCATATGGCTAGCCAGTTTTCTCAACACCTTTTATTAAATAGGGAATCATTTCCCCATTGCTTGTTTTTGTCAGGTTTGTCAAAGATGAGATGGTTGTAGACGTGCGGTGTTATTTCTGAGGCCTCTGTTCTGTTCCATTGGTCTATATATCTGTTTTGGTATCAGTATCATGCTGTTTTTGTTACTGTAGCCTTGTAGTATAGTTTGAAGTCAGGTAGTGTGATGCCTCCAGCTTTGTTCTTTTTGTTTAGAATTGTCTTGGCTATACAGGCTCTTTATTGGTGCCATATGAAATTTAAAGTAGTTTTTTCCAGTTCTGTGATGAAAGTCAATGGTAGCTTGATGGGGATAGCATTGAATCTATCAATTATTTTGGGCAGTATGACCATTTTCACAATATTGATTCTTCCTATCCATGGGAATGGAACGTTTTTCCATTTATTTGTGTCCTCCCTTATTTCCTTGAGCAGTGGTTTGTAGTTCTCCTTGAAGAGGTGCTTCACATCCCTTGTCAGTTGTATTCCTGGGTATTTTATTCTCTTTGTAGCAATTGTGAAGGGGAGTTCACTCATGATTTGGCTCTCTGTTTATCTGTTGTTGATGTATAGGAATGCTTGTGATTTTTGCACATTGATTTTGTATCCTGAGACTTTGCTGAAGTTGCTTATCAGCTGAAGGAGATTTTGGGCTGAGACAATGGGGTTTTCTAAATATACAATCATGTCATCTGCAAACAGAGACAATTTGACTTCCTCTTTTCCAATTTGAATACCCTTTATTTCTTTCTCCTGCCTGATTGCCCTGGCCAGAACTTCCAATACTATGTTGAATAGGAGATCCTTATTTTTTACATTTATACATTCTCCCCCAAAATTCATAATTTTGGGAAATACATTGGGTTTTAATGTGCTACCTAGTCCCCCTCAAAAGTCTGTGATTTAGCAATGAGGAAACTGACTCAGGAATTAGTTACATACATTGCTCAAGGATATGCAGTTAATTAAGGAAAATTGAAATACTGGCTTCCTGAGTGAGGTTCTAGTCTTCTTCAATCAACACTAGGCTTGATAGATTTGGGAGGAGAGCTTTCTGATTAAATCTTGATTTATAAAAGCATTCTCCAACGTAATAATGCCAGCTGTGTTCTAAATGCTAAAAGACTGCCTTTATGTCACAGCTTATTTTGAAATTTATAAGAATAGATGGGACAGAGATACTACTGGAGTATGCCTGCCACATTTGCTATAAAAGAAGAAAGAAAAGATTTGATCTGAGCCTCCTCACTATTAATGCAATATTTTCTCCTCAGCTCACGTTCTACAGTGAGTTGGGCAAGCACTCTGTGAAATTATTTCCACTACAAAGTCAGTAGAGTAAGAATGTAAAGTATATTCAAGACAGATATCCCAAAACTTGATGAAACCAGTAGCCTTTAGATCAATTAGTGACGATCTACTTTTAAAAAAATCCAGAGATCAATGAAGCAGAATAAATAGCTCAGAAACAGACAGTGAGATATGTATGCATTTTTACTTGATAAATAAGGCATCAGTAAACTACAGGGAATGGATTATTTAACAAATGGAGCTGAAAATTTTACTACTTAGGAAATTAAAAGTTTATATTCACCTTTTACCATGTTAAAAAAGTAAATTCTCTCTGTGAAATAAGATGGCTTGCTGGTTGAAATGTAAAAATCAAAGAGTGAAATGAAAGCAGAAACTGAATGTATTGTGTTGTGGTTTAAGGATAGAAATCAAAGTGAAACTGATATTTGTTTATATGAATTGTCAACTTATTTTTTTCCCACTTGGATATTTCCAAAACCCTTTAGTTAAATTTAAAATATGAAGCCTTTATCAAACTAGCTCTCAGTCTTCACTTAAGATGAGTAATTTTTCTTGAAGCATGGTAAAACAGCTGTCTTTCAATCATAAATATTTCCACAGATCTAGAAAATATTGCTGGCTGTGTGCAGGGGCTCATGCCTGTAATCCCAACACTTTGGGAGGCTGAGGTGGCAAGATCACTTGTAGCCAGGAGTTTGAGATCAGCCTGGGCAACATAGTGAGACCTCTTCTCTACAAAAATAAAAATAAAAATTAGCTGAGTGTGGTGGTGCATGCCTGTAGTCCCAACTACTTGGGAGGCTGAGTCTTGAACTCAGGAGTTGGAGGATATGGTGGCAAGCTATGATCAAGTTGCTGCACTCCAGCCTGGCGCAACAGAACAAGACCCCTCAAGACTCTCAAAAAAAAGGAAAAGATACAAAAATATTTTTTGATTCTTCCTTTTTTCTCTTGCTCACCTGTCATTTTTTATCCCCCTTTATAACTTCTCATCAATTTCTCATCAGCTTTTCTCATTGTTTGATTACTTTCCTCAGAGTTTAATGGTCTTTCCTCATCCTTTTCCTCCGCAGTCCTGTTTTGATTTTCTGCCAAGTTAAATATCTACTGTTTTTTGTTGCTGTTGTTGTTTGTAGAGATAGGATCTCACTATGTGGCCCAGGTTGGTCTTGAATTCGTGGCCTTAAAGGATTCTTCTATCTCTACCTCTCAACTTATCGCCCAAAATGCTGGGATTATAGGCATGAGCCACCATGCCCAGCTTGTTTTTCATATATTTATATCCTTAAAATATACTCATTTAGCCAGGCATGGCGGCATGCCTCTGTAATCCCAGCTGCTCGAGAGGCTGAAACAGGAGGATCACTTGAGCCCAGAAGTCCAGCCAGAGCAACATGGGAAGGCTCATCTGTTAATAATTAAAAATAAAAAACACTGTATACATTTATTGATTTTCCTCACTATTAAAATATTCAGTCACTAAAAAATGAGAGTAAAAAAATTATTAACAAAATAGTAATCACACTTACTTTTACATTTTCATCTTTTTCTTTTCAGCCATTCTTTTCATGTATACATATGCAAGTGCATTGTTTGTGTATGTGTGAGAGAGACAGAAGGAGAGAGAGAGAGAGGAGAGAGGGAGTTTAAATCATGATAATGGTAATTATGCACTTTAGAACTGTTTTTGTCCTATTTTGATAACATTATAGCATAACATTATATACTGACTCCTCAGTAGCAGGGAAATATGCATTGAATGGATGGATGCACCATCGTTAATTGAACCTTTCTCCCTGTGGAACACATAGACTATTTCCAACTTTCCATCATTATAAATAGTGCTTAGATTAATAGGCATTTACAAAACATTTGTGAACATCTCCGATTATTACTAAGCATAAATTTCTAAATTACAACATTTTATCTCACATGCCTTTTAAAAAAATTTTTGTCTTCCCTTGGGGAAAATGTAACTAAAAACAAAATCTGCCAACTCCAAACACCTCTCCACAAAGGTCACAGAGAAAGAAAACAATCTTATTTATGTTATTTTTTTTAATTTTATTTTTTTTTGAAACAGAGTCTCACTCTGTCTCGCCTAGGCTGGAGTGCAATGGTGCAATCTCAGCTCATCGCAACCTCAGACTCCCAGGCTCATGCAATTCTCCTGCCTCAGCCTCCCGAGTAGCTGGGATTACAGGCATCCGCCACTGCACCCGGCTAATTTTTGTATTTTTAGTAGAGACAGAGTATCACCATGTTGGACAGACTGGTCTTGAACTCCTGACCTCAAGTGATCCTCCCGCCTTGTTCTCCCAAAGTGCTGGGATTACAGGCGTGAGCCACCGCGCCCGGCCTTATTTTTGAATAAGCATTAAACTAGAATGTGGTGCACACCACAAGCAATCTGCTCAGAGATTGAAAAGACAGAAACAAACCTTACCTTTTTGCATAGCCATGCAGAAGCAACCGTTATATACATGTGTTCAAGATAAACAATACCTAGTTCTCAAGTAAGAGAACTTGGCACCATTTGTCACACAAAGTCCATCCTAAATTCACCTGGTAATTGGAGTGACCATCTGTGTCAGCTAATTAGCTTCATCCAGAGGAGAAACAAATTTTCTATGTCTTTATGACATGAGTTATTTTGCAAATTGGAGCAGATGTCCACTGAAGTTAGGCTCCTAGCCTTCCCCAGAAACCGGGAGATAGGGTTAGGGATGCTGTCTCCCTTCACATTTACATTAGGAAGAGATGGCCCAGGTCCTTGAGAAAGATATTCCTGGGTCATAAAACTGACGAAAGGTCTGACTTTTTCTTTTTTTTTTTTTTTTATAAGGAGTCTCTCTCTGTCACCACGCTGGAATGCAGTGGCATGATCTCAGCTCACTGCAACCTCTGCCTCCCGGGTTCAAATGATTCTCCTCCTTCAGCCTCCCGAGTAGCTGGGACTACAGGCACCTGCCACCACATCCAGCTAATTTTTGTATTTTTAGTAGAGATGGGGTTTCACCATCTTGGCCAGGCTGGTCTCGAACTCCTGACCTCAGGTGATCCACCCATCTCGGCCTCCCAAAGTGCTGGGATTACAGGTGTAAGCCACCATGCCTGGCCCAAAACACACCTTTTATATCATGTCTATGTTTCAAGGAATAAGTGTATGTGAAAGAAAAATTTCCCTTTAAGTTGTTTTTGTTGTTGTTGTTGTTGTTTTTTAATACTTTAAGTTTTAGGGTACATGTGCACAACGTGCAGGTTTGTTACATATGTATACATGTGCCATGTTGGTGTGCGGCACCCATTAACTTGTCATTTAACATTAGGTATATCTCCTAATGCTATCCCTCCCCCCTCCCCCCTCCCCCCACCCCACCACAGGCCCCGGTGTGTGATGTTCCCCTTCCTTGTGTTCCCTTTAAGTTCTTAACAACTGTACTGTAAGCCTGGAATGGACCAAAGATGGTTCCAAAATCGTTGGTGGTCTTTCCATTGAGAAGAGGGGCCTGTTTTTCTTCTCCTTGACCTGGGACTGTCTTTGACCAATTGCATATGGTGAAAGTGACTCGTATTTTTCCCCCTTTGGATTCTTAAAGCTCTCAGCTATTCTGCTGACAAACTCCCTTGGTGAAAAGATAAGGTGGAGAGGCCATAAGACCACATATAGGGGAATCATTGCCAAGGCACCAGGCAGTGAGGAAAACTGTTGACACTTTATACACTAGCTACTAACTGAAGAGGATGCTACAGGCCAGCTGAGCCCTGCCTAAATTCCTATCCCATGAAATAATATCTAAAAACAGTCCGTGTTTTGAGTCACCAAGTTTTGAGATTTTGTGTTATACAGCAAGTAAAGATTTCAGCCATTGTGGGTTCATTGGCTCAATGCACAGCAAGTTAATATACTGAGTGAGATACCAGAGATTGCGGCAGACAGAGTCTAATAATCATATGAGAAGGGAGGAAACCTCAAATCCTCCTCTCCAAGGAGTATGGGGCTGGAGGTTTTAAGGAGCTAGGAGTGGGCAGAAATGTGGGATCCGTGATTGGTGGCAGAGTGCAGAATGAAGTCTTGGGGCGGGGAGAGGAAGAAACTGCATTATCATCCTGATTTCATTCTTCTCTGGGGCTCTTCAAACTGGTAGCGTCAGGCTTCTGCTGGCATCCAGGATCTGAAGAACATCTTGAACAATTCTTAAACAAAAGCCTTATGATTCTAACTTTGGAAATCCTATCTATGGAAACAGTGGGCATGCAAATCGTCCGTATCTGGTGCTATGTGGCTTTTAGTTACAAGGAAATGGGCCAAAGGGCAGACTGATGAATGCTTAATTATAACTGTATTTCTGTTCAGAACCTGACATGTAGTTCTTGTTAACCCTGTGAATACAGTATCATAGTCAGAGCAGGGCACAATGCTGAGTCATGTTTTTTTTTCTTTTTTCTTCCTTTAATAAAAGTAAAAGAGCACTGTATTAAGATTCAGGGCGGGCTGCAGTTGAACCAGGAGGATAGGCTTCCTTTTCCTCTGAGGGTTTCTCAGCTTTAAAGCTGGAGAGCAGTTTGATTTCCAAAGTATTTTTTTAACTTTAATATCTAATAAAATACAGTTTCTTTTTCAAAGAGGATCTCCATGTAGCCACGAAAAAATATCTACTTTCATATCAAAAATTAAAAAAGCAACATAAAAAAGTAGCCCAATTCAGAAAAAAAATAGGGGAAAAGATTCATTTGTGATGCTCACACAAATGTATTTCTACCAGGTTGCAGATTAAAAACAAAGGAAAAAGATCTTCAATCACAGACCTCCTTCCGTCTCAGGAGGGTTTCAACAACTCAAGTGCAAAATAGAGAGATCAGTAAAGAGAGAGGCAACCGTAGACAACCAATTTAATAACCATAGAGACTGGTGGGGAGGAGGGGGATGGGTATCAGAAAAACCAAGCAAGAGGGAAAAAGCTGAGTATGGAGATGGATTGGGGTTGTTTGCTCAATGCCTGTGTTAATAAAATTTATTCTATCTTTTAAAAAAAGTTAAATAACAAATGCCAATTATTATTTTATTTTAGCCCACTGGGTAAGAAAGGTTATATAAATTCTTCCCTGAATCAGGAAAATGCTCAACTCTGATATTTTTTATTTTTCTAAAAGGTTCTTTTAGTTTTCAGCATTTTCATATGCACTTTATTGGCATTTGAAAAGGAATCAGCCAGGCACTGTGGCTCATACTGGTAATCCCAGCAGATTGGGAGGCCGAGGCAGGACGATTGCTTTTGAGATTAGCCTGGGCAGCATAGGGAGACCTCATCTCTAAAAAAAAATTAAAAATAGCTGGGCGTGGTGGCTCCAGCCTATAGTCCCAGACACTTGGGAGGCTGAGGTGGAAGGGTTGCTTGAGCCCGAGAGGTTGGGGATGCAGTGAGCTATGATTGCACCAACTGCCCTCCAACCTGGGGGAAAGAAAGAGAAAGGAGGGAAGGAAGGAAGGAATGAAGGAAGGGAGGGAGGGAGGGAAAGAAAGAAAGAAGGAAGGAAAGAGAGAGAGAAAGGAAAGAAAGAAAGAACGAAAGAAAGAAAAAGAAAGAAAGAACGAAAGAAAGAAAGAAAGAAAGAAAGAAAGAAAGAAAGAAAGAAAGAAAGAAAGAAAAGAAGGAGGCAGGCAGTTAGGAAAGGGGCAGGGAGTGGGTTTAGCAATGTGCAATGAGCATCTAATAAATTAGAGTTGCTCTTCAAAGAGGATCCCCATATAGCTATGAAGAGTTAGCTACCCATAGGCGTATATAAGTAGGTGTGGGGGAGATATACAATACATGGTGATTTGAAGGACACGAAGGAAGCTCAGAGAGCAATAGTGTAGGGTAAATCTCTTTCCCAGAAGGAGCGTGGGGTGGTTGACACACTTCTGTCTCACAGCAGGACTGAGCTAACACAGCGTGGTGTGGCACAGGGGAAGATGCGTGGGTGCAGCCAGGAAGAAAGAGGTCAAGCAGAGGCCGGGATTCAACCACCCCGACAATAAAGGATGACAAGGGCATTGCCGGTGATCAAATGCCTGAAGGACAGAATTTCTGAATGGCAAAGAAGTAACATGGAGTCTGACCAGACCAGAATATGGGCACCACAGGGCCCATGACAGAAGACCAGAAGGAAAAAGAAGGCTAGGCCATTCGATGTTTTGTGGTTTTGTTTATCTGGTTTGTTTTCCCATGCTTAAGATGTTGAACTTGTCTGCAGGGCTGGGAAAGAATAGTTCTGAATTTGAGGATCAACTTTGCCATATTGGAAGTAGTTTCCTTCACTTTTTTACTTGCTGGGTCCTATTTGGTGTTCCCTTACATAATTTCAGGATCTTTTCCCCTGTGGAAGTCAAGTTGCTACCATCAGCAATAGCCAATCCTGGAGTGGCAGGAATTCTTGCTGTACGTGGTGACCTAGTGACCTTAAAGTTGCTATCTGACTACTGGGAACCTGGTAAGCAGCCTCCGCACTCCCAGCTGTCCAGTGTCCTCACTCTCTGGTCTTACAGTCTCCAAGGCCCCAGGCTAAGTAGGAACCCAGCCTATGAATAAGTCTCCCAAGGGTTTTCTGGCCCCGAGGTTATCCCCCTGAGACAGGTGAACAAAGCCTTCCCTCCTTCCAGGGTTACTTGTGAAGCAAGGAGGGCCTGAGTTTCTCTCCCACCCTCTCACTCCGAGCAGACATTCAGGCCTGGCCTTGAGCCTCTACACCAGGAATCCCCTCCTTCTTCTTAGACTCACCATTGAACACAATGCTTCTCTTTCTTCCCGGAAGGTGGCAGCGCCTGAAACGTCTCAGAAAGCTTCCAGCCTCTGCCTGCTGGGCCTCGGCAGCAATTTGGCTTTGTTTCAGCAGTTGGATCACAGTTGAGAGGAGGGGGTTGCAGGGATACTGACAGGGAAGTCCTTCTCAGGACAAGGAAGGAGGCCTGGTGAATGGAAATACAAGGCCTACAATTGGAGTCCAAAAAAATAGAATGTTATCCCACAGGAGAAGGTAATAGATGTCAGGCACTAAAAGCAGTAAATCATCTAGAGGTTAAGAGGGGAATGAGAAGGGAGTCAAAATGTAGCAAAGATGGATGAGGAGGTCACTTTAGTGTTCAGGGAGAAAAAATGCTGTGACCAGTGAATCACAGGGAAGACTTGAGACATATATTATACACATATTAATCACAGAGAATATATATATATATAGTCTCCCTAATTCTAATTCAAGGTACATATATATATATATATATATATATATAGTCTCCCTAATTGTAATTCAAGGTACGTATGTGTATATATATATATATATATATATATATATATATATATATATATATATATAGTCTCCCTAATTCTAATTCAAGGTACATATATATATATATATATATATATATATATAGTCTCCCTAATTCTAATTCAAGGTACATATATATATATATATATATATATATATAGTCTCCCTAATTCTAATTCAAGGTACATATATATATATATATATATATATATAGTCTCCCTAATTCTAATTCAAGGTACATATATATATATATATATAGTCTCCCTAATTCTAATTCAAGGTATATATATATATATATATATATATATATATAGTCTCCCTAATTCTAATTCAAGGTACTTAATGTCAATGAGATAATATAAGATATGTGTGTGTATTTATATATGCATGTTACTTCATTGAGACTCTGTGTTCTTATAATTTAATATCTAATTCACAGAATTTTTAAAGGATCAATGAGGTAAAGAAAGAAAAACACCAAAAACATGGGTGGGCATGCAGTTCAGCTACATTCCTCGCTCTTGTCTCTTCTTGTTAGTTGTAAATGCCTTGAAAGCAAAAACTGTCTTGTCCATCCTGGATTCTCTAGCACTTACAGTACTGTAGCTTAATAACTGTTTCACGATGCATGAGACTGCCATTTTGGATACAGAATTAGCAGAAGGGGGGTCATGGTGAGAGCAACAAGTGGTACAGTATGAAAAAGAAGAAAATATTATTATTCTATTTGGTTTGAAAAGTAGCTAGAATAGGCAAGATTGATATCTAATTCATTATTTGCCCAGTATTGTGCTAAGGACTTGATGTATATCAACTCAGTGAATCTTGACAGCAACCCTAGAACTCAGGCACAATTTTGACTCCCATTTTACAGATGAGGACCACGAGACATTAGGAGGTTAAGTAATTTGCCTAAGACCACACAGGAATAAGTGACACAGCTGGGATTTGAACACAGCTGCCTTCCTTCATTCCTGGGCTCCAAATCTCTACAACATACTATTTCTGGATGAAATGGTATTATGCTTATCCAAGACATAAATGTTTTGGCAAGGTTAAAACATTTTGGAAAATGTAATGGGTACTTAACTAATGTTCCTATATGAGAGGAAACAATTATCAAAAGCTAATAGCTTAAGGAATCATCACATTTTTTATTTTTTATTTTTTAAATGGAATCTTCTACACACTAAGGCATACTGTTATTTTTGAGCAGTCAACGAGATAAGTATTTAGAAGCCCTCTAGAACACAACATTTTCAAAACATCTGGAAATTTTGTGTGCTGTAAATAACATTAGTGATTAAAGTTTGGACCAATGGATTAGAAAAATAAATGGAAAATATTTTAAATGCATATCCTAAAACAGTTATCTAAATCTTACTACGAAAAAAAGATATAAGCATACTAATGTTTTTGCTTTCTGTATTAATGGTAAAATTATGAAATTACCTCTTTTCCTTAATTCAGTTGAAGATCCATTTCCCAGGGCTATATAATTAATCATAAAATAACCTGTTGGTAAGATTCACAATGAATACCTGATGTGGAAAAATTATTATTTTAATATTTTATTCTCTATTTTTGCTTATTTTATTGATGTGCATATTTTACACACAACTCCAAGGAATTTTAAGGAGGAATATTATACAAAGAGAAGTGATCCACTATTTCTTCACTCTAGCATTGGGCTAGTTACTTTATATACTTCTTTCCTGCAGTAATCCTACCTTCATTATATGAATGAGAAGAGATTGAGTCTGAGGGGCTAATGAACTTTTCTAAATTCGCTGCTTGGGGGTGTGTATGGAATGATTCTCTCATTTGACTCTTTCAAAAGTTGGTCCTCTTTTTACTATATATATTGCCTTTCATTGTTGCAACACATTTAATGTTCCAAATTCACTAACACAATGAATATTATACCCTATTATAATCCCATCGGACCTTATGGCCTATTATTCTATCTGACAATTGGAAAATAATAGATAATTACAGTGAGATACATTGGATTCTAAAATTTGCTTCAAGTCATAAAACCAACTAGCTACAATGTGAATACTTAACATCACTTCCTGTGCCTCCCCTGTCCTTTCCATCACATGATTTTTTTCCATGCAAATACATTATAAAACTTTCTATTGCATGCAATTTGCCACCAATTGAATCATTTTGTAGTTGTCAATGTATCTCTTTCAGAATATTAAAGAGGCCTGTGCCATGTTAATTACGCTAATTTGGGGACATTAACTTTATAATTGTTATTATACTGGTTATACACTGATGTTAAACTGTCTGATAAAATTTACCTTGAAAATTGTAAGATAATTTTTCCTTCCCGTCAGTTAGCGTATGCGAAGGCATTTGGACTTTCCTTATAGGCAATGGGATGTCCTTACCGAGCTTATGGGCAGGCCGTGATGGGACTTGACTTGCGTTTTAGAAACAACTAAGATAAAAGTATAGATGACAGCTGTTGGGAAAAGACTCTGCAGACAATGACACAAGTCTAGAAGTCTTTTCCAATTATGTAGATAAGAGATGAGCAGATAGTAAAGGTGGAAAGTTGTAGAAAGATTTCAGATACTCGAAGTGATGCCATAATAAAAACTAGATGTGTTATTCTGTTTTAGAGAAAAGAGGAGAGAAATAATAAATTGAGTTTGGGACATTTAAAGGGCTTTCTAGGTAAAAGAAAAAATAGTTGATTAGAGACTGGTATTTAGAAGATGGGGCCTATGGATTTCTTCTCCAAGGTGCTCAGTTATTTTTGCTGTATTTTTCCTTTTACGAATGTTTTGACCTGAAAAAGCAAAATTGCCTAGGATGAATGAGCACTTGGGTATAAGAGAATCACCAATATGGAAAAAAGGAATTGCTGGGGGTGGTGGCACATGCCTGTAATCCCAGCTACACAGGAGGCTGAGGCAGGAGAATCGCTTGAACCCAGGCAGTGGAGGTTGCAGTGAGCCAAGATTGCACCACTGCATTCTGGCCTGGGTGACAGAGTGAGACTCTGTCTCAACTAAAAAAATTTACAAAAAAAAAAGACAACTAAAAGTTTTCCCAACTCATGGTAGTTAAGTGTGTCATTTTAACATATAAAAATTCGTGTTTAAACTAGACATTGCTGAAAAAATAATTCACTTTCCTTGAGAGAAAGAGTGTTGAGCTATGAGTCCAGGCAGCCTTTTTATAAATCTCCTGATTCTATTGAGTAATCAATGAATTGTTCTGAGATAGCCTCATCTTTGAATTGAACTAATAACATTATCAGTCTCATAAAAGATTTAATAACAATTCATATAAGCAGTAGAGGTCCTAGCATGTAATACATGCCCCCAGAACATTAGACAATATTATTTATTATTTCTCAGAAGTAGAAATATATATTTAGCTACAGAAAATTTTTCAAACCTGGCTGTTATATACATAATATTTATAACATATAGATTTGCTTGAATTTATAGTACTATCTTAAATTATAAATATATTATCTGCATTGAATATTGGTATAGGGATCCAATGATTATAAGGTATATTGTTGTTAAATAACATAAATAACATAGAGTACTTTATATTTTCAAAAATTAATGCACTGTTTGTCTTTACAAGGCAAATCTTGACATTCTTTCTCAATTTGGAGAATAAAAAATTATCAGGCTTTTCAACATTCTTCTACAAGTTAATAAAACAGAAACAAAAGGAGACTTGTGAAAGAATGTCAAATAATTAGAAAAATGTACAATTTATTAATATAAATGTATAAAGCAAATAGAACACATTCATTTAAGCTAGACAGACGTCGACACAAACTTTCAAATTGGATTGTCAGTTTCATCAAATTTGGAATAAACAGAAAAATACAGTATTTACAGATTTTAGTAAAACTAAACAGAAATGGTACAAGAAGGAAATTTATTTTTCACAGAACAAAAATGACAATTTTGACTCAGGTACCCACATAGGAGCAGGTGAAGTTCTCAAAGGACAACTTTTTTTGTTGTTGTTTTTTTGGTAAGCAAATGAAAACCAAGACATATTTTTCTGCTCTTTTATTTATATTGATGAAACCTCAAAGTCTGTACTCAAATACTTATTAAAATATATCCATACATATATGATTTCTTGTCAAAATGCATCATTCTTCTTCAAATACAAAAACAAAAATATTTTCACTTTCCTAAAACCATCACTTTTTCTTAGATCACACTTTTATCTTTCTTCTGAGTATAGCCCTGGAAAAGCAGTTTGAATGCAAAGCCCCTTGACAAAATATCTGCTTTTTAAAAATGTTAATTTAATACACAAGAAAAAAAAAGCCTCTGGGAGAAGAGGATAAAGAAGTTAGGATTTCTAACTCCTAGGCTAAAAAACAGCATATCAGAAAGCCATTCAATTTCCTTTACAATGCTGATTAAAGCCTTCATTTTAATCTTCATTATAAATGGAGGACATTAATCCCTAAGCTGTTTTTAAACAATTAATAGTAACCTTCTTCAACCCTATCCATGATTTCCCTGAAAAGCAATAGTTGAGTTCTATTTATTCAGTGTAATGGACTGGCATTTCATTTTAAATAAAACCATATAAGCATGTCTCTATGTGAGATATAAATGTTACACTCATCTATGTACATAATGCTATGTCGTGGAGAAATTACAGTAGTAAAATAATGCAGTCTTTAGCAATGTCATTTTGAAGTAAATGATAAAAAGAGTAGATGCTTGAACCACCTTAGAAAACAAATTACTATACTTTCTAGAACAATCAAAGCATTGGGTTTAATATCTCATTCTGCTGAAATAGCTTATAGAATCATAAATAGCTGATGCACAGTTCCTGTAATTAAGATTAGGCAGTTAAGAACAGTAAATCAAAGTTTCTTTGGGGTCCATTTTGAGAAAGTAATATAGATTTTTGTCATTTGCATGGCTTTATAGTAAAGTTAAAAAAACATACACAACTACACATACTGACTTCTGGAGTAGACGCTCGGTGACTTCTTTCCGGTGTGATAACTTTTTTGGGTTGTGCGATGGGAAGGTATCGAGTATCTGTAGCTACTGCTCTTTTCGTTGCAACAAAAAACGCAGCAGAACAGAGCTCCTCCAACAATCAGCACCAGTGCCGTGGTCCATCCTAAGTAGAGAGCTTCTCCAAGCTCACGTTTTTGGGCAACATTCACTATTGAGTTATAGAAATCTCTGATGATGGCATTGGCAACCCAGCTCACAGGGATGAGCACCACCATGCCCGTGATGATGAAGATGATTCCAGCCGTCAGCAGAATGTGAGCCTTCACCTTCTCATTGTCCCCCGTGCACCTGGTGCATTTCATGCCAAGGATGGCCATCATGAAAGCCAAGAAGGACATCACGGAAGCAGCACACATCAGTCCTCTGGCTGCCTGTAGGTCCGGAGAAAGAGCCAGCAGGGAATCATAGATTTTGCACTGCATCCTGATGTTAGCCTGCCTCACGCAATTCATCCACAGTCCTTCCCAGAAGTTTTCAAAAACCACGATGTTGTTTTCAATGAAGGCCGACACTCTCCACTGAGGCATGACAGTGACAGCCACTGTGCCCACCATTCCAACACCACCAAGAAACAGCCCAGCGATTTCTAAGGCATGGGTTGCCATTATCCTCTGGGATGAGTTTTAGCCAGCTGGACTCCGGAACTGCTACTTCTGCTTTGAAGCAGGGTTCTCTGTGCCACAGAAGAGAACAGTTTTTCCTGTAGTAATGAACTCGGAACCCAGTGGTTTTTCAAATAAGAGCTGCTTTGCTACTTCTGGCCAGATAGTATCCAGTGCTGGCTGGCTGAGATGGCCCTGCTATTGGCTGCAACAGGTAAACTTACAAATCAGGTGTGGCAACTTTCTCAGCCAATAAAAGGTGGATGGTAATCCAGGTGTGTCTAAACCAACACTTGGGTACTTGGAACAGCTAGACCTGCACATAAACATTCTTTATACTTCTCGGTCTTCCAAGAAGACAGCAGTATGTTTACCTGTAGGCATAGTTATAAGTGGTTGCATAAGCATCAAGAAATGAGCCGATCCCTTGTAATGTGAAAGGTGCACCTTGTACAGGCAATTCTGAAACTCTTAATAAGAGCTGCTGGGACCAAGGGATAAAATAAATTATCTGCCGAAGAATTCTGCAACGCTGTTGAAATGCCAAAGTGAAACGAGAGTAGGGGATTGAAAGATTGCTTTTACCTGGGAAGCCACATTCTTTGGGACACATGTGATCCAAGTGATTGATTTAATTTTTCTACAACTTCAAAGCAAGCTCTACTGTGGTGAAATCAGGGAACAGATCATGCCAGAGGACAAAATAAGCTAAAGTAATTAAATACACAAGGCTGTCCTTCTCCTTGGCACTGAAAACATATTGGAGTTCTTTAAGCCAGAAAAAATACTCATTGACACTTTTCTGATAATCTTCACTTATAAAAACATTTTTTGCCAAAATAAAAATCACCAGATGATTATCTTATGTATCCAGCACTATAGCATTAAAATAAGCTTATGAGCTTATTTTGTGGTGTTATTCTTGCTGCTTTGAATTCCTGGGCTGAAGGAACTAGAATTCTGAAGATGACACAAGACCCTTGGGCCTATACAAATGGCTGATATTTCAAAATAAGATATTTACAAGACAAGGGAACTATATTTACCAAACTGTATTATATTAGGTATTAACCAAATATGTTTTCCTACCTTTTAATATTATGTCTGCAGTAGGACATAGAAACCCCTAAACGCAAGACAATTTGAACTTTCTTCTCAAAATAATGATGCTCTAACAGTAGTGCTATACTAAGCATAAATGTTTATCTGAGAAAATTCGACTAGCAATTTTCTTCTGGAGATCACCTTAAGCTCTCTGTCTGATCTTTCCAAAGTTTAAGCTGCCACTTCATTTTCTTTTCTTCTTAACATCATAAAAAATGATTTTCTCTTTACAGTTTTACTTTCTCTCTGTTTCATTGGACTACCTTAAATCCAAATATGGGAGAAAATCGTTTCTGCTCACTGATTAAACTTTGAGAGTTTCATGGTTCAAAAAATCTGAGTCATTTGTGGATATTATTAAAACAAAAACTATATGGTAGAAAGGGCAAAAGGAGGATCAAGTAGACTGTCTTCTAAAAAAGAGGCAGGACAGACGCACAGTAGTATGAGTTGTTATAATTTTGTTAAACAGACGTTATAAACCTTATAAAAAGTTAAAACTTAATATTTACAGAAATATTCTCATTTGTTGACCTGTGAGGTGCCAAACTTCAGGGTGTCCCTTAGGCTGATGCAGAAAATATGCAGCATTTGGCCGGGGCGGTGGCTCACGCCTGTAATCCCAGCACTTTGGGAGGCCGAGACGGGCAGATCAAGAGGTCAAGAGATCGAGACCATCCTGGCTAACACGGTGAAACCCCGTCTCTACTAAAAATACAAAAAATTAGCCTGGCATGGTGGCGGGCGCCTGCAGTCCCAGCTACTCGGGAGGCTGAGGCAGGAGAATGGCATGAACCCAGGAGGCAGATCTTGCAGTGAGCCGAGATCGCGCCACTGCACTCCAGCCTGGGTGACAGAGCAAGACTCTGTCTCAAAAAAAAAAAAAAAAAAGAAAAGAAAATATATGACATTTTCTTCATCAAGTTTCTATCAGTTACAGATTTGTGGTGGAGGGAGACTTAGATTAATCTTGGGAAAATAAGATTTTAAAAGTTGAGATTTTAAACTTTCAAAGTTTAAGAAGTGAGCAGAAAACATTTTCTCCCATATTTGGATTTAAGGTAGCCCGATGAAGCAGAGAGAAAGTAAAATTTCAAAGAAAGGATCATTTTTATGATGTGAAGAAGAAAAGAAAATGAAGTAAAGCTTAAAGATTTTCCTTTTGTGCAATCCACAAAAGGAAAAATGACATATAAACAGAAGATATTTTTCATCTTTAATTGTCAAACTGGGAAAAAGGAGTGATTGACAGAACTGAAAAATGAAAAAGAAATAATATAACTGGTTGAGATAATGACTACGTGAAGCTACATTTTAAGGGATGTCAAGGCATATATTGCTTCATTGAAATTTCTTTTCGAATTCCCGTGTGGCATGTTTCTTAGGAGCTCTGTTTAAATATTGCTGACTATCCACATCAACACAGGAACGCATGAGACAGAAGCAGAAAGCTCTGCCTCTGAGTGCCTCAGCCGTTGTGGGAGCTGCTTCCCAGGTACGCATTCATATTTCTTGGCTTTGTGTATTACCAAACCTCTCTTCCCTTGAGGCTTGAATTTTACCAGGAACTTATTTTACATAAAAATATTTTCCTTATTTCAAAAATATTAGGTACTTTACTATTGAAATTGTTCTAGCCAAAAGATGAGGATCTGAGTGGGAAATTAACACTAGGTTCACATTAGAATTATTGTACAGTTAATTCCCTACTAGGAAGTGGCCCAGGGTTTCCAAATAGGTTCCTTATCAGACAATGATACAGTTAACTCCATAGTATTTATAAATAACCATGTCCTAAAAGACACTGGAATAAAAAGACAGAAAAAAATGGTAATATTGAGTTTGCTAAAGACAAAAGGGGCCTAAATTCAAAGATAAAAGGAAACTGTTATCTACTTTTCTGTCCTGCTGAATTGATTAACTTGGCTACAAAATTCAGATAGCAGTAATAGAGATATAACAGATTGATAACATTTTTACTCTAATTTAGAACTACAGAGCAAAATACATCGATTATTCAATAGTTTGTACTTCCATTTCCATGAAGAACCACAGTACTACCAAGAACCCAGGAGAGAAATGAGAGCTCATGTCAACCCCCTCTCCACCCTCCCTCGGGCTTTTCTGTCTGTCAACATCATCATAAGGCATGATTTAAGTTTAGCAATTAAATTTGCTAAACTGCATTCAGCCCTGATAATAGCATAACACAGGCAAATGCTTTTTCTTCCTAAATGATAACATACAAATCACTATCAGATTGTCTTATGCCCATTAATCCTTAACCTAATTCAACTCCACAGTCTTGGATTTCTATTAATTCTTATCACTGTTTGAAATAATTTTTGCTTCTGCCTATCAAGCAAAGGTCAATTTCTTTTGTTTTCTGGATTTGCTTTGTAGTTTTCTGTTGTGATGACAGTTTTTCAAGGGTGTTTATTTTTAACTATGTTCCACTGTTAATTAACCATACTTGGCCAACCATCTTGTCCTGAGAGAATAAGTGAACATATCAATAGGTCTCTGTGTTGTTCCGAAAATACTGTTGTGCATTGCTGTATGTTCTCTTGAACCATCATCTTGTTTGTTTTTCATGATGGCCAGCTATGCTTCCAGTTCTCTATCCATTAGCAGCCCTCTCTTTTTACCATGTCTCTCTTTTTTCTTTTTCTTTTTTTTTTTTTTTTTGAGATGGAGTCTCACTCTGTCATCCAGGCTAGAGTCCAGTGGCTTGATCTCAGCTCACTGAAACCTCTGCCTTCCAGGTTCAGGCGACTGTCCTGCCTCAGCCTCCCGAGTAGCTGGGATTACAGGTGCACACCACCACAGCTGGTTAATTTTTGTATTTTTAGTAGAGGCGTGGTTTCACCATGTTGGCCAGGCTGGTCTCGAACCCCTGACCTAAAGTGATCTGCCCACCTCAGCCTCCCAAAGTGTTGGGATTACAGGTGTGAGTCACCATGCCCAACCGCTCTTTTCACCACCTCTGTGTGATCTATTTTCAGTTGCTCTGCTTAAAAATGAACTCCTTACTGCATAGAAATTGCCTAGTATCTTAGCCAATTCAAGCTGCTTTAACAAAATACCACAGACCAAGTGGCTTGAACAATGGAAATTTATTTCTCATTCTTCTGAAGTCCCAGATCAGGGTGCCAGTGTCACTGGGTTCCGGTGAGGACCCACTTCTCAGTTTATAGAAAGCTGTCTTTATGAGATGACTTCACATAGCAGGGAGAAAGTGTGAGCTCCAGTCTCATTCTCTTCTTATAAAGACACTAATACCGTCATGAAGATTTCACTTTCATGACCTCCTCTACAACTCTCAAAGTTTCACTCTCAAAGACCTCACTTCCAAATCCCATCACATTGGGGGTTAACATTTCAACATATGAATTTAGTGGGTACACAAATATCCGGTCTGTAACATCTAGCTACTAACAAATTCAAGCAATAAAATTTGCATAATTCTGAAGGGTCTACTGGTGCTTAAGAACTTCACCCATATTATATCACCCATATCAATATTTCATTTTTCCAAGATGAAAAAAGAATGGTGAACATGAATTAAAAAATCAATAATAGAAATAGTGTCATGGACATGTTTTTACCTTTCTTTCGCTTTTCATTGCATTAAAAAAATTAAAACCTAAGTATAGGATGAATTCTGATATATTTTGAAAGACAGGTCTGTGTATTTCATGTGATATATTTGATGTCTCTACTAAAGTACTGGAAATCCAGGGAGATAACTGAAAAAAGCAAAACTGTATACTGTGGAAATTTTCCTATAAATTAATGAGTAATTTATATATGGAGAATTGATGATGTGAAATACCCTAATTCTAATGATTTCAGGAAAAATTTTAAAAAAGAAAGAATTTGCTGGTAATAGCAGCTACTGAGTATTAAATGTTCTCTATACAATACATTCTTTTTATCACTCTACTTTATACTTAAAACATTTTTAGAAAGCAGGGGTCATTACTCTCCTTTTATAATTGAATAAATTAAAACTCAAGAGAGACTGCCTTTTTTAAGGCCACACAGACTTTGCTGGTTGAATCTACAGAAATGGAATTCAGAAGCAGACCTAAAGCCCACATTCTTTTCTGTATTGCCTACCATCTCCTTAAAGAGAACTAGGGAAACAGAATTTCTTACATTGGCATATATGGTCAGAGTTAATTAAGATATAAAATATGTTCAAAACATTTTTCGTCCTTGCTTAGCACATTGTTGTAAAAATTTTGCATGGCCAACCTTCGCAATTTTTAAAACATACCTGCTTCACTGAAATTTGAAATCTACCTCTTTAGATACTCTATTCAAAGGAGTTTCTACTGGGGAAATATTGGCAATTTCAATAAAATTATTCCTTGTTTAGAATTTGAGAGAGTTCCCTGTGCTGAAGGTACCAGTGGCACCCCTTTTTCCTTCACTTCCCATGCTTGTCCCCATCTTCGTGATTCCTTAATTACAGACTAGGTCGTGATACTGAATGACCTAACCACCACTGAACAAGTATTTGGCTAAAGTAAGCATTAAACTATTTCAATGCAATGAAAGTGAACAGTTACATGTGTCTGTGCCCTCAGCTAATTATAATACAGAGAAACTTTCCTTTGTATTTTATAGGGACTTCTTAGTGACCAACAGAGGAATGATTCTATGGTTACCTTCATTAGTCCATTAAAATTGCTTTTTCAGGTGACTCACTAACAACTTTTCTTTTTACCTTTTCCAAACGCTAAAATTAAAAAAAAAAAAACATTTTTAAGTTGTATAAAACTGTTTTCCACATGGTTATTTTTGGAATTGCTTGAAAAACAAATTTTTTAAAAAAATCCCTTAATCTCCCATAATAATCCTTTCTACTGAAATGTAAAGCATATGAAGCATTGAATGAGGAGAACAAACGGTCCATGACAAAAGTTTCTGGCCAGGCAGAGACTGTAATTAGTACTAAAAATGATAACATCAGATAATGAACAGGACCAAAACAGAGCACTTTTCATAATTTTATTTTGAATCCACAGCAATTCACAAGTTTAAGTCATGTTAATTATAAAAAGGAAGAGAAGAGAAAAGGCACATAGGATAATAGATAATATATTTAATATGACTATGCTTAAAATAATATATTTTAATAAATATTACTTAATCCTAGTCATAAGAACTACTTAATAATTACTAAGTTATATGAACAATTAAGATTAAGTGATATCATATTAGTTAACCATATGATTTCAGCCTCCCAACGCCCTTATTAGAAAAGCCCTTTATTATGTCAGTTTTACTAGGAAACTGGAATTTACAAAGTTTAAATAACTGACCCAAATCCTCACAACAAACTGGTAAAAAAAGCCAATATGGGAACTCTATTCTGTCAAACACCTGAGGCTACACTCTTGACCCACTATGTGCTACAAGTCATTATAGACCTACCTGTAAACCTAATTGAAAGCTTGTGTCAATGTGTAGTTTTATCTCTTATAAAGCATATAAGTTTTGGTAGATCAGAAGGAGTTCTCTGAAACAATGTCCTTCACATTGTGAATTTTCAATAGGATTTTGAGCATTATAAGGAGAAATGAAGTGTTTCCATTTTCTGCAGCAACATGCATTGTTTAATATGAGAAATCATAAGATATGAGGGAAATCATAAGATATAAGGGAAAAGTCCACACAAATGGAAAACACATACAAGGGTGCACACACACACACATACACACACACACAAAATGTCCTTATAAGCAAACAATGAATATAGGAGCACAAGAAACAATTTCCCTTGTAAAGTTGAAGTTAACAGGACAGGGAACAGGACAGGGAAAAGTAATTAACTGGGCAAATAGAGCTAAGCCACATTACTGATTAATTTGCAAAACAATTAACTTTCCACTTAAAATTCAAATTAAGATTCTGTCTGCCTTAGGCAACCAGTGTTTGCAAATTTTAATAGGGCTAGACATTAAGTGCCTTACTTAAAACCAACTTTACATGGCACTGGGTGAGAATATTATTGGAACAAGCAGCTCATGGCATTCTTGGGTTTCAGTTATTTTTTTAAGAGAAAATATTACAATCTATAATAATATGCTGGATGCACTAAAATTTTTTCAATGAGAATATGAGTAAAACTAAAAGTTATTCAACTCCTCATCTCAAATATTTATAGAGATTTTGTACTTTCTGTAAAATTTTCAAGACGATGTCTCATAAAACATCTTCTGAACACTTATTTTCCAACCGTTCAACAAGTATACTATGTACCAGGCCCTGTGATAGACTCTGGAAACCAAGAAATATGAGGCATAGTTTCTTTTCTTTGTAATTTTACATCCACAAAACTGAGGGGCTAGTGGAAGAAAGAACTGCTGAGTCAATTAACTCTGTCATTGGTTAAACTTGTTAACCAACTATTCTTTTCAACTTGAAAAAGCATACAAGTAGCCACACAGACAGGTGAGAACAGCCACCCTTCACTCCATTGAAAAAAAAGCAGCTTCCAGGGTTTTGATGTTTTCTAAACAAGATCAAACAATCAATGAAAAGCAATGCCAGGAGTCTATAAACATTCAGCAGAGGTAAGCTGGCTGTCTCACATTTTCACACACCTTTCTGGTTCATGCAGCTCCTATTTCTTGTTCTTATCTTTCTTTTTCTCTGACCTACGTTCCAGATATCTTTAGAGTTGCTGCTATGGGGAGCTGTATGTGATTATCTGACTGGCTTCTGGGCATCTTTTTCATAGTTTTAACTGGACTTTTGATGTCTCACACTGGACAACAACATTCTATTTCATTCTTATGTCACCAAACTGGTTGGTCCCAGCCCACATGGCCTCCTTCCTGGTCACGAGCTTGGAACAGGGAAACACAAGTTACTTTTGTACATGGCAACAGGAGAGAATATTAGACTCAAAACAGATCTAAAAGAACATCTGATGTGCACTTCATTCTGTACATGAGGGGCTCAAAAGCTCCAGGAAGTCAGGAACCACCTCTGTTCTATTCATCTTCGTGTCAAAGTAAAGTACTTGTGTAGTGCCTGGCACATAGAGAGCACTCAGTATTTATCTAATACCACGCAAATCACGCTGAAATCTCTGTGCCCAGTTCTTGATATTTGCTTGGTAACTCGGAAACTATGACACCGTAGACAAGTAAACTGCCTATTGCTTATTTATGTATTTGTCTTTTTAAAAATCTCCTAAAATAGAATATAAATATCATGAGCCACATGATTTTGTCTTGCTCATAAATGTATTTCCAACTACTAAAACATCACCTGGTTCATAGTAAGAGCTCAGGAAATATTCCATAAATAAAAGAAGAATGTTAGTTAAGAAAAATAACCTATGTACCCAGTATTGTAAAAAAAAAAAAAAAAACTCTCCTATATATAAGTTATATAATATTTTCAGTTTATTTTTTCAGGTCGATGCTTAAGCAGAGAAGAGCCTAAAATAAAACTCACCTTTGGCTGTATCAGCCCATCACTATGCCTCTGAATATGCCTTCTTAAGAGGTAAACTTATGTCCCAGTGGGTTCATGAATTTTACTTCAGCTTTCTTTAAGTTTCCTAAGTATGCCCTGTGAACTGACCTTCATTTTCTCATTTATTCTATCTCATTTCTCTCTTCTCAGTATGCAAATCCCATTTTTCCAATGCTTGCTATTATTAATCCAATATCCTTCCAATTACCATGGCAAATATTGATGGACTAAGAGCCTAGGCTACCATTTTTGTTTAATATATAATTTTACTATACCAAGGAATCATTAATTATAATTATTTTTCTCTAAGTATATTAACACAAATACAGACAAATACAATATAGAATAATACATAACTAATAAAAATTAATACACATATACTTTTAAATTTTAGAAAGAACTTACATGTATATTTTATGCAAATAACTTATATGTATGTTTTATGCACTTTCTCATTGAAGTAAGATTTATTTTGCTGTTACTTTTTAGGAGATGTTTGATATCCTAGGGAATTTTAGTGTTTTTTTGACCATCGCTAAATTGGAATTCTTATTAGTTAATGATGTTGCTAGGAATGGAATTTCATTTGGAAGAAGCATTAAGCTACTTAAATAGCAATCTCAACTGTATCAGCCTACCTTTCTCAATTTGCCTTGTGATTTAATGTAAACTCGGAAAAGGGAGAGAACTTCGACTACAAGTAAGTGAATGGTAAGTTCATCAGCTAGCCATTATTGGTGGCTTCTTTGGCTTCCAAAGAAGAAGTTAACTTAAGTATAAACCTTGAATCTGTGACTTAATGTGGAAATAATTAGAAATTTGCATGGATTACCATTGTTCCTGTGTTTCCCTTACTTTTCAATCAAATATTGTTTCAAATTTCATGCTAGCTTGAATAACTATTTTTATAATAAGCAAAACAGAAAAAGCTAACTTAAATATATGTTTATTATATCAAATTTTTGATAATAGCTATCCCCTGGATAGTAACCCAGATGTGTCTATGTGTTTGTGAAAAGAAGCCTATGGGGTATGATGTCATGAAAAATCGCTTTCAGATTTTGCTGCGTATTCTGCTATGTTGGTAGAATTCAGTACATGAGACTATGTTCACATAGTACAAAAATAAATAACATATAGTACAATTTTGCATATAACATCTATCTAAATTCAAATATAGTTCTTATCATTCACACTTGAGATCCAGATTCCATTTAAATAATATTTATTAATCTTCTATCACATGCAGGAAATGTTACATATATTACTGTAACTAAATTAGGTTACTCTTCAACTTGGCAATGAAAAATCCCCTTTGGCATAGACTTTGCTATTAAAAAAGAAGTTGGTGCAAGTTTTACAAAAGAAGGGAAATTTTTCCTGGGGCCATTCATAGTTGACACTCAGAAATTATAGTGGAGGAACACCTAGAATAGAACAGATTAGAAGAACAAGCAGCTGCATTTCCATACCTCCAAGCTCTATTCTCACAGTCTGTAATCTAACTACATTGAACTTCACTCATCTACATGTTTGTTATTTCTACAGCCACACTTTACCATCTTGACTCTAGGGTTGAAATCCCAACTACTATGAGCCTTTTCTTTCAGACACTGGTCATTTTAGAAAATGTAAAATCAATTAACCAAGTTCAATTCTGAAAATCTCTCGAGTGCATTTTCCATGTAGAGAGAGAGTTCTCTGGCATAAATAGGTTCAGTAATTAACAGCTTGACTCAAATGTCATTTTGAAGGATTCATTAATTCACCTCTTCTTTAATTCATCATATGTTGATTACTTAGTAACTACAGGGCAGGCTCTGTTCAAAGTACTGGAGACCAGGGCCGGGCGCTGGCTCACACCTGTAGTCCCAGCACTTTAGGAGGCCGAGGTGGGCGGATCACTGAGGTCAGGAGTTCAAGTTGAGACCAGCCTGGCCAACATGGTGAAACACTGTCTCTACTAAAAAAAAAAAAAAAAAAAAAAAAAAAAAAAAAAAATTAGCCGGGTGTGGAGGTGTGTGCCTGTAGTCCCAGCTACTCAGGATGCTGAGGCAGAAGAATCTCTTGAACCTGGGAGATGGAGGTTGCAGTGAGTCCAGATTGCACTACTGCACTCCAGCCTGGGCGACAGAGTGAGACTCCATCTCAAAAAATAAAAAAAATGTACTGGAGACCAAACCACGAAGAAGGCACAGTTCCTCCCTCAAGGAGCTTGCAGGCTAATCAGGGGAGAACAGTTGCTTCAGGCCTGACTGCCATTTAGAACCAGCCTTTCAGTTGAGCATAAAAATCACAAGATTTGTGACAAGCTGTTCCAAACACAAATGCCTGCAGGGACTAGGGAGGAAAGAGAAAAACGTAAAGCAGGACAGGTAAAAATTGTGTTTGTTCCTCTAAATGAAGCAAAAGCTACACAAATGCAGTTGATTTTGGCCTCATGGGAGTGGACTCTAGTGTTACTGGATCTTTCCATTCTTAACAAGTCAGAAATCTGTATTTTTTTAAACCCTTCTTTGTTTAATGTTGCCACTAGTATGGGGTTTGAACAAAACATGTGGGACAAATTTGGCTCAAGGTTGGCCAGTTTCCATGTGTCAAAAACCAGTGACCTCTAGATATCAATTGCCATCAGGAAAGCTCCTTATTTGAATGGGCACTGAACCCAGCCATGTTTCAGATCCTCAGTCAACAACAGGAGAGCAGAACCTGCTGCTTCCATGGAATGTTATAAGAATTAATGGCCCTGTGAAGGACTTAGATCTCCTTGGATAAAGGAACTGTGCAAGTAAACATTGTAATCAGTAATATTATGTTGTACTGGTTGACCCAAACCATGGCAGGTCAGTTCTGCATGTTACATACAGTGGTGGAGAAATCAGTTAGAGCTATTCACTATCAACTTCTAGAACTTTCCTAAACACCTGTAATTTATCTGTAAATTACCTAGAAGAGTTTGTAAGTCTCTTCAGAAAAATGCAAATCTGATTTCTAAAACCGTCTTAATTTTAAAAGGTAATCTTAATTATTTACCAACTACTCATAAAATTTTTGTGCGGACTTGAAGTGCAGTTAAGTATGAGAAAAGGAGATTAGCTGGTACATGCACACGTTCTGTAACAGAACACAGCCTGTCTGCTGGAGAGATGACAGTGAATGAGTCCCCCATCCTGATTTTCCCACAGCTTAATAACCTCCAAAACAAGGAAGTGGACATAGCGAAACTGGTCTCCATAGATTCACTTTTCCCATAACAGAGATTCTATTTTAATAAGGCTGTTAGTCAGACAAAACCCCTATTGACCTGTGGCAGCACATTGCATGCTTTCTCTTGTTTCCCCGGTTTTACCAGTGCTTAGGAAGCAAGCCAATATCAAGTGTGGGTCAGGCTAGTAGCTGGAGATATGCCCTGTGACTCATCTTTATCTTCAGTGTGCTTCTTTGAATATTGCACAACTGCCCATGACAGAGACACATTTTAAAGGGATCCAGACTACTCAGGCTTGAACAGAAAAGAAAACCTAGCATATGTTGAATGAATAATACAATCCAAACCAGTGATTTTTTAAAAGTCTCCTCTCAAATATTATGTATCAGGGATGTAAATTAATCAAGACTGCCTTTCCCCCATTAAAGGTCTGTGAACAAGTTGGGGATAAATCTGAATAACTACATATGTAGTTACAACAGATTTCTGGGATCTCTGCCCTGATTGGAAACAGTTTTGTCTATGTCCCATGTTATAATATAAATGTAAATAGAAGATGTTGGCCCTTGAGTCAAACATAGGATTCTTGAGCATTTCAATTACAAGCACTTTGCAGCATTGCTCCCTTGTATATACCAACTTGAGAAATAATGGCTCTGCCCCAAGTTTAAAAAATATCAAGCCCTGGGAAGAAATTTGCCCTATAAGAACATATATATGGCTACTTTCACCTTATGATAACAGGATGATGTCAATCACCTATTAAAAATAAGTAGGGTGGACGCAACGGCTCCCACCCATAATCCCAGCACTTTGGGAGGCCAAAGCAGGAGAATTGCTTGGGCCCAAGAGTCTGAGACCAGCCTGGGCAACATGGCGCAACCCTGTCTCCACAAAAGATAGAAAACTTAGTGGGGCATGGGGATGTGCACCTATAGTCCCAGCTACTCAGGAGGCTGAAATGGGTGGATCGCATGAGCCTGGGAAGTCAATGCTGTAGTGAGCTATGGTTGCACCACTGCACTCCAGCCTGGATGACAAAGCAAGACCCTGTCTCTAAAAAAAATAAAAAAGTAAATAAGTAAATAAACTCAGCTAGATAGCAAAAAAAAAAAAAAAAAAAAAAAAAAAACCCAAACCTCATAAGCTCTTTTGCTGGAATTTGTCACGTAGCTGGAGATACAAAGTACCCAGTCTTGGAAAAGATTTAAGAACTATGTTTAAGCTTGCCATCAATGTACAAACATTAAAATAATTAGAAATTCACATGGCAAATTTGAAACTAAACTAATAAAAAGAAATTTCTGGTATTTTCTGCCACAATTAAATTTTAAAATATGGTAAGATTGATATACATAATACTCTCGCTTAGGATCTGGTCTATTCCAAATAGAATTGTTCTCACAATAGCAATGTATTTTATAGTGACCATACAGTCATGATGATCATCAAAGGGACAATAAGAATACACAGATAAAAAGAGTACAATGGGATTAAACAGATTGTGTTTCATAGATTCATTTCTGACTTTCTTGCTAGTAATGGAAAAGTAATGCAGACTTACTTCATTTCCAAAACAGAGACTTAGTTATTTGGTTACAAGCTCATTAAAATACCAGATTTATTATCATGATTAATATATATATATATGTATATATATAGTATATATATAATTATATATAATATGTATCAAATATGTAATTATATATACATATAGAGGATATTATTAAAGTGATTGACAGTTAATATTTGAATTATGTCTCTATGTAAAATTGAGGTTTGAATAACACCTTGATTTGTATCCAGTAATTTGAGTTGTAGAATTTATTCATCTAAGCTCTAGAGAAAAGGCTGCCATCTACTGAAAAATTAGGGTGTCTTCTTGGAGTCCAAGGATAGTCCCGAGAAAACTCTACTACCATTGTGGCCATTACTTTTTCTAAAAGCTACAAAATGAAAAATGAGGTACCATGATTATTCCCCCGGCATTTAAACAAATAAGGAGAGGGATGTATGTGAGACGGAGGGGCAAACACGTTTGGTGTATGGAGGGTTCACCGTAAAGTGAAGGGGTGAGGGTTGGGGAATCACTCAATAACAGTACTTAGAATTACCAAGACCTGAAATCTGGGAAAAAATTGGTTGGTGGACTAAAATATAAACAAGATGAAAACATTGAGATAAATGGGGGGAAAATTAGAAGCTCTGAAAACAGAAACCACAGAAATATAGATGGGAGAGAGAAAGTGAGATAGAAATAGAGGCTAAAAATAGGGAGGCATTAGTAGTTCTGAAGAATGGAGGTATACAGTTTATCTGACACCTTCCAGCCCTGTCTAGCATGTCCTTCTGTACTGCAGAGACTCATGAGTGACATATTTCACACAATGCCTTTCAGGTTATTCTGGATACTATTTTGACTTCAAATATTAGTTACATTTGCAAGAAATTTGTTTTGACCCTGAGTTACATAGAAAGAGAGGATGGTTTCAGCACGTTCATTTCGTTGACCTGGATGGTGACAGAGGAGCCATGTTCCTGGAGCCAGCAGCTTTGTTAATGGTTCTCTGACATGGAAAGAAGCTTCCAGATACTTCAACGTTTACATCATGGTAGAAGCAGTACCTTCTGGGTTGTCCAGTATTGCTTGTGGTTTTGGGGATTATTCCTGAAGGCTGAGGCTAGTCTATTTGTTCACTTTCCCCAATAATTCTATGAACTGTATATTTGTTTGGAAATACTTTTCTGTGGACACTAACTAGAATGGATTCATAGGTCTCAGTAAAAAAAGTTGACTGGTACAGAAGGAAATACACTATGAACTGTATATTTGTTTGGAAATACTTTTCTGTGGACACTAACTAGAGTGGATTCATAGGTCTCAGTAAAAAATGTTGACTAGTACAGAAGGAAATTGTTGAGTTGGTTGGGACAAAAAGAGATCTTTCCATTTTTCATATAGTATTATTGAATAGGGCTGTGAGCTTGTTTCTCACTCAGTTGTGGAATGTTAACTGATTAATCTCACAGGGATTCTTCAGCCTTAAACTCTTATTAGTGGGTTTACTTTGAACATAAAAATATTCATATCCTATTAGCAGACAAATTCATTAGGATTCATCAAGATCCAAAACCTAGTCACATAGGAAACTTGATGAAGTCAAACCAGCATGACAAAACTTCCTGCTTCCAGGTTGACCCTTAACATTGATAACAGCTTTTGCTTTATTTTGTTTCTAAAGATGATTTCAAAAGCAATTTATGGTTTTTACTGGGACTAGAGTTTCATAAAAGAACATGGCTGATAGTGGGTCACCAATCTGAATGCACAGTCAGCTAAAGTAGTAGGGAAAAGCTAAGTGCAGTCAGAAGCAGAAACAATGATTTAGAGCTATATGGGTCATATGAGGCGGAGGAGGTAAGAAAAATGACTTTTCACAATATGACAAGGAATACAAATATGCAGAAGGAAACAGATTCTCTAATAGATGATTAAATAAAATGAATGCAGTATGTGCTATAAAATTTAAGGTAAACAATAATTATTATAGGTCTATTGAAAGAAAAATAAACGGAAAGCTGAGAAATGCATTGAGCTGAAGGACTGAGCAGAGCCAGTCCCAGCAGAGCCAGTAAGCCCAGCAGAGCCCAGCAGAGCCAGTAAGATACAAAAGGCCAGGCATGGTGGCTCATGCCTGTCATTCCAGCACTTTGAGAGGCAGAGGTGGGCAGATCACCAGAGGTCAGGACTTCGAGATCTGCCTGACCAACATGGTGAAACCTTGTCTCTACTAAAAATACAAAAATTAGATGGGCACAGTGGTACGTGCCAGCTACTCAAGAGCCTGAGGCAAGAAAATTGCTTGAACTCAGGAGGCGGAGGTTACAGTGAGCCAAGAGTGCACCGCTGCACTCCAGCCTGAGTGACAGAGTGAGACTCCATCTCCAAAAGAAAAAAAAAAAGTTACAAAAGAAAGATTCTAAGCAAATGCCCATAAAATGCACAAGTGCTTTAAGTTGAAATCAGTATGTTGTTTTCTAAGGCACTGTGCTTTTAGGAAAAGGAAGTGAAAAAAAGGTATCTCCTTGTTAAAATCCACAAGTTTCTTAGAAGTGGCAATTTCATGGAGGCATCACAGTACTCCCCTTCAAACTATACTATAAGGCTACAGTAACCAAAACAGCATGGTACTGGTACAAAAACAGACACATTGACCAACAAAACAGAATGGAGAACCCAGAAATGAAGTCACATGCCTACCACCATTTGATCTTTGACAATGTTGACAAAAATAAGCAACACAGAAAGAACTTCCTATTCAATAAATGGTGTTGAGATAACTGGCTTTGCCATATGCGGAAGAATGAAACTAGACCCCTACCTTTTACCATATACAATCATGAACTCAAGATGGATTAAAGATTTAAATGTAAGATGTCAAACTGTAAGAATCCTGGAAGCAAACTTAGGAAACACCAGTCTAGACATCAGCCTTGGGAAAGAATTTATGACTAAGTACCTAAAAGCAATTGCAATAAAAACAAAAATCAACAAGTGGACTTAACCAAAATAGAGAGATTCTGCACAGCAAAAGAAACTGTCAACAGAGTAAACAAACATTCTACAGAATAGGAGAAAAATATTCACAAACTATGCATCTGACAAAAGTTTAATATTCAGAATCTATAAGAAACTTAATTCATCAAGCAAAAAACAAATAACTCCATTAAAAAGTAGGGAAAAGCCATGAACAGACACTTCTTAAAAGAAGACACGCAAGCAGCCAATAAACATGAAAAAGTGCTCAACATCACTAATCACCAGATGAATGCAAATTAAAACCATAATGGGATACCATCTCACAACAATTAGAATGGCTACTATTAAAAAGTCAGAAGACAACAGATGCTGGCGAGGCTGTGTAGAAAAGGGAACGGTTATACACTGTTGGTGGGAATGTACATTAGTTCAGCCACTGTGAAGAGTTCACTGAAGCACTGCCTACAATAGCAAAGACATGGAATCAACCTAGGTGCCCATTAATGGTGGATTGGATAAATAAAATGTGGTACATATACACCATGGAATATGATGCACCCATTAAAAAAATGAAATCATGTTCTTTGCAGCAACGTGGATGCAGCTAGAGACCATTATCCTCAGCAGGAACAGAAAACTAAATGCTGCATTTTCTCACTCATAAAAGGGGGCTAAACACTGTGTACTCATTGACATAAAGATGGCAATCATAGACACTGAGGACTACTAGAGGAGAGAGGGAGGGGTGCAAGGACTGAAAAACCATTGGGTACTATGCTCACTATCTAGATGGCAGGATCAATCATACCCCAAACCTCAGGATCAAACAATATACTCATGTAACAAATCTGCACAGGTACCCCCTGAATCTAAAATATAAGTTAAATTACAAAGAAAAAAGAAGTAGTATCAGGTTCTCAGTCACTGCATGGAAGATAAAATAGATCTCACATGGGAAATCCAGATCTTGCTGAAGACATCCAAGTCCCTTTATGTTCTATAATTTCAATAACAGCTTCCAATGTGGGAGCTCTTTTACCTCTGGGAACGTTAACCCATAAAAAAATAGAGCAGAAGTGAGACTCCAATCTTTAACCTGACACAGAAACTTCTTGTAAAAGTCAGTAGGCCTTGAAAGAAAGTTAATATGCCACAGAATTTGGCTTTATGGCTTTGATGGTGTGTGAATACATTTAAATGAAAAGAGAGACTGTCAGTGGCGGAGAAGCTGAGGACTAGGAAAAGGACACCATGTTGCCACATTAGTATGTGATGTAATTTTTTCCATCACTATTTTCTTAGACACAATATTAAATTGTAATGTTACTTTTATTTAAGCCAATCAGTATTACATATTGTATGATTTAATGCTGTAATTCAACTCACCTTTCCCAAGAAGATAGTTATTAATGTAATGTTTAAATTGTTATCACTCTGTGTACAATTATAAAGATGATGTTATTCTTATTTTCTAACAGGAGGAAGACTTTTTCCAGCCAAGTTACTTTAGCCATTTCAACCCCTTTCTCCTTAATGGGAAGCAGATGGCTATTGATTGATTCCTGCAGAGAATGTTGAAACATTAGATCCAGTAGAGAATGCCAAAGAGCTGCAGCAATTCATGGGTAAAAGGGAGAGTTTTTCAGAGATATTACAGGGAAGTGTTATTTTTTATCTTCCATCTCTCAATTAATAAAGATTTGAGCAAATACATAAGCCATGACCAAAATTTAACAAGGAGGAGCCTGAGGATAGCAGCAGAAACCCCAAAGTGATTAAGTGAAATGAGAACAGCATGAGATTTAGCAGGGAAAAAGTTTGCTTAATTCTACCAGGTTTAAATTCTTGCCAGTTCCTTGAGAAGGAGGAAATGAAGAAGGATTCAATGTTCCTCTAGGTATCCTTTACAGGGCTGTATTCGATATAAACATGTTTTATTGCAGGCAATAGAGCAAATCACCATTTGATTAGGGTAGAGAGCAGATTCTATGCCATCAGTGCCTTGAACTTTGTTCAGTGCCTTGGACGTTGTTACAAGTACAGATGTGTTGGGTTACCTCTACTTGCTTTATAGAAACAAAATTTTCTCTAACATACCATAGATGTAGGTTGAAAATGTACGGTTATATAGCCCCATCACTCTGAACTCTATGTTTCTATACCTCATCCAATACAATGGCTCAGTTCTCTCCCTGGGTCCCTGCTCTTGATTATGAGAATAGTATGTAATTAATTACCTTTAGGAGAAACATAATGTTTTAATTCACTCTACAAAAAGGATTCTTTGTTAATAAAAACATAGATGCACTTTACTATTACTACTGTTACCACTAGTCAATGTCAATGGCTACTGTTTATTAAGAACTTACTTTGTGACAGTCATTATAATCCATGAGTGTACATTACCATAATTGGTTAACACACCTCCAGGTGGTAAGTATTTTTATTATTAGCTCCACTTACATATAAGGAAACTGCAGCTTAGTGAATTTAAGAAACTTGCTCGAGGCTACACAGTTTGTAAGTGGTGCACATGGTTTGAACCCACTGAATCATCCCTTTCATTGACTACTTTGTTCTTCCAGAGGAAGCAGTAACTTACAAGTAATTCAAAGTATTATTGCTTAATCAATGACTAATCTCCTGAACCAACTTTCAGATATTAAACACAGACAGATATACAGATGTCTTTTCACATAGCTATGTTTTAATCTTGGAAAGAAATATAAATATCCCATTTCGTCCTCATAATAGCTATTGAGGAGGATATGATAGGTTTTATCATGTAAAATTTATCATGGGGTAATTGAAGCTCAAAGATATATAATCTGTCTAAAATTACACAGCTAATATTTGGCAAAGCTTGAGTCTTCCAAATTTAGACATTTTTTTTTTTTTTTGCCAATCCACAAGGTTTACCCAAGATAGTCTTCCAATAAAACTATGCCCATCTGTCTCAATCCCTGATTGCTGACCTCCTGAGATATTTTTAAATCATGAAATGCTTTCAAACTGATTAGCTAGTATTTATAAACTAGTGAGCACTAACCACCTCAGAAAGGAATTTGAGACTTGTCTTAAACACGGAAATGATCAGGTCATTGCCATCAGTGTGGTCCCTATGATGACAGCAGTATTTAGAAAAGTATATTTCAAATGTTTATTAAAGTCATAGAGAAGAATGATGTACTTTACATTGCATCTCATTTGTCAAGAGTGATTATGATCTGAGCTTTGCAAATCAAGATCATTGATGAAATGGAGGAAGTAATCGATGTGAAAAATATTCTGCATGTTTATGTGATCAAACACCAAAGGTTCATGGTTTTACTTTTCAAAATGAGCTTCTGCATATGGGCAGAAGTATACAGTACAGTGGTGTGCTGACAGTAAGGATGAGGGGAGGTGCCAGGGACATATCAGGGACATATGTGTCTGCGGAGTGACAGGAAATACCTTTCTGAATTACCAACTTTCTCAAAAATTGAGGAGAAATAAAACTAAATTACTGAACTGGTGCTATAAGATACTCATTAGAGTATTGAAACAAATACACAACATGTTAGAATGAAAAAATATTGCATCAATTACAACAAAATAAGACATGGGATTTCTAGGAGATTTCATGACTGCAAATGAAGGTGTGGCTAAGGATTCACCTGCCATCTCTCAGGGACATGTCTCTCTTGGCTTTTGGGAGCTATCACTCTGGAACCCGAGAACTAATTTAGGGAAAATCTGGAAAAGATTTTAGTAGAGGAGGAAGCTTTGTTTTTCTTTCAATAAAGTCAGTGAACCAGGACATGGAAATTTCTGGGAAGACTTAATGTGTCAATCTAAAGGAAAAACTGAGGCCAAATTAATATAAGTAGAGAGTTTATTTGGGCCACGTTTGAGGACTGCAACCTGAGAGGATAGATGCAAATTGCCTGGAATATAGACTCTGATTAGAAACAGTTAAAAGTGAGTTTAAAAAATTTTTGTATTTATGTATTTTCTTGAGACAGGGTCTTGCTCTGTCACTCAGGCTGGGGCACAGTGGTGCAATCTTGGCTCACTGCAACCTCCCAGGTTCAAGCAATTCTCTTGCCTCAACCAGGCAAGTAGCTGTGATTACAGGCATGGACCACCTCACCTGGCTAATGTCTGTACTTTTAGTAGAGACAGAGTTTCACCATGCTGGCCAGGCATGTCTTGAACTCCTGGCCTCAAGTGATCCGCCAACCTCAGCCTCCCAAAGTGCAGGGATTACAGGCGTGAGCCACCACACCTGGCCCAAGTACATTTTTAAAAGAAAAGAAGAGGCAGTTCCTAAATGTTTTTTTATTTTTATTTTTATTTTTTTTGAGACGTAGTCTCGCACTGTTGCCCAGGCTGAAGTGCAGTGGTGTGAGCTTGGCTCACTGCAAACTCTGCCTCCCAGGTTCAAGCAATTCTCCTGCCTCAGCCTCCTGAGTAGCTGGGACTACAGGTGCGTGCCACCATGCCCGGCTAATTTTTGTATTTTTAGTAGAGACGGGGTTTCATCACATTGGCCAGGATGGTCTCGATCTCCTGACCTCGTGATCTGCCCGACTCGGCCTCCCAAAGTGCCGGGATTACAGATGTGAGCCACCATGCCCAGCCCCTAAATTGTTTACCAAGAATTTACATGAAAATAACATAAGCTATTGATTGACTATATATTGTTCTTTATCTCACAAATTCCAGGAACATGACAATAATGGACAGGGCAGCCAGTCAGGAACAAAATGACTTTAAACCATTGTCCCTGAGCATGGGTGACGAGGGAGAAAAACCTGACTGAGGTCCCATCCTCATGTCTCTCTGGGCTTAATAAATTTCACATACTTCACAGCCCAGACTGCTCTCAGTGGTTTTGCTTTTCTTGTAAGCATCTCTCTCAGATGAGGGACTTTTTGATGTTACGGTGTTCTCTGAGACTCCCAATGACTCCAAAGTATTTAACCTTTCCAGCTAATATTAAAAGAATCTGAAGAGACAGCATTAAAAACTCAAAGGTAAAAAAAAGAACACTTACCATTGGTTTATTCATTAAGTTCAGATTTTTAGGACCCAACTGGATAGAGCAGATGGCAAATGGAGGTTTCACTCATTTACCACTGCTGAACTACCAGAAGCTGAATGGAGTTATGGCTTATGAAAAACTGCTTAACTATTTTGTGAACCCAAACCTTCAACTTTAGAAAAATTCAGTCTTTAATGCATACATACCTAAGAGCATGTCTAAATTGTGAAGCATCTGTATGACGATATTTCTTTTTCTTTTCTTTTCTTTTCTTTTCTTTTCTTTTCTTTTCTTTTCTTTTCTTTTTTTTTTTTCTGAGACAGAGTCTCGCTCTGTCGGCCAGGCTGAAGATCAGTGGCTTGACCTCAGCTCACTGCAAGCTCCGTTCTGCCTCCTGGGTTCATGCCATTCTCCTGCCTCAGCCTCCTGAGTAGCTGGGACTACAGGCACCCGCCACCACGCCCAGCTAATTTTTTTTTTTTTTTTTTTTTTTTTTTGTATTTTTAGTAGAGACGGGGTTTCACCACGTTAGCCAGGATGGTCTCAATCTCCTGACCTCGTGATCTGCCCACCTTGGCCTCCCAAAGTGCTGGGATTACAGGCGTGAGCCACCGCACCCGGCCCTGTGTGACTATATTTCTAAAGAAACCGAGCAGAGAGAAAATTTTGACCAAGACAAAACATCCACACAAAGTAGAGATATGTAAATTGAATACAAACTTATCTGAAACTTCAGTAAATGCTTTCACTCTAGTTTGCTTCATGAGAATACATTGGCTTTTCTGAAACTACAGGTATGAAAAATGACAATCTCTGTCAGCACTGTGCTTCTCGATTGAACTGACAGGCCTAAGCTGAATGCACTCAAGTTTCTCTAGAATGACTCCAGTAAATAAAAGTTACAGCTCTGACTTGATTAGTAATAAACACTGACTAGAAGGCTCCCTGTTTTTATATAAGTGATGGTGACAATGGCCATATTTGTTTTGGAGCAGATAATGTTTTTAATTTTTTAAAGAAAGCGCTACTCAACCAAATAATAGTCACATGACCTACACAAATAGTTTTCTGATCATGTGACCATTGCTGATCTTAGATACATGTTGTTCTTAGATACAGTTTGTTCATGACCTTGTCTCTGCCAAGAATGGAATTAAATTATGAAGCCCCTACTGTATAATAACAACTTTTCCAAATACTTGTTCAACTAACTATCACACCTATACCAAGATCTAAAGAGTATAATAATCATCAAAAAGGTAAGAAAAATTAACTAAGGTTAAGTAGCCTACGCAAGTTAAAACATCTAGAAAGACGTGATTTAAAATGGGGTTTTTAACTCCTAGTACAGAGTCATCTTTTGGGGGCATCTTCAACTGAAACAGACTTCAAATCTATGATATAATATGAGTTCTGGACAAACCTCTGTTTATCACTTGCAGTCACTTAGCATCACTTTGTTTAATCAAAACTGCATCTAATAGTTTTATTTAACATATGATTTTCTATTACACTCAGTATATGAGTGCTTAATAAGTGTACCTGGCTATGAAAGTTTATTATAAGAAAGTATGAAATGCATAGTTAATGCATATCTTTAAGTAAATTGTAAAGGTTGAATATCCTGTTATGCAAATATTTAGCAGCCTCTTGGTGCTTAAATTCTGTTTCAAATGGGGAAAGTGCAGATGATGCTATGAAGGAATTCTGATAGATGATTACACACTCTTTGAGAACACTAGTTTTTAAATTTGCTGTGCTCCTAATCAGGATCAATTTATCAAAACTCCCTTAACTGCGAAGATAAATAGTGAAACTAACTGCCTTAATAATAGCTAGTTCCTTCTAAACTTCTTGAGGCTACATGCATATTTCCATGTCTTTATTTAATATATACAAAATTTATGTGAAGGACACCTTTATTATCTTGTTGTACTTAATATAATAATAATAATGTATACAGACAAAAAGGAGGTGCCTTAGTTCTGAAAGTGCATTTTTCAAGATCACATACTAAACATGTGTTCAGAAAATAGCTTCAGAGAAATTATGATGATGGTTAAATATTTATATTATTCTCTTCCTGTTTACTATAATACCTTCCACTTTTCCTGTAATTAAGTACTGATGTTTGCCCTGCATAATTATTAAAAAGTTTTTTCTTAATGAAGGTGTTTAATTTTAAGCCACATTAAGAATTATCTCCATACATGCTTTATTATGTGTTACATGACAAATCTTCAAAAATATATTCTATTCCTCATCCTGTTTTTTTTCAGAACAGCAATTCATTTTTCAAACCAAAACATATAAAGATGACTTACAGAAAAAAATACCCTAAAAAAACAGAAGCGAAGACTGTTAGAAAAATGACTGTGTATTTGGTTTAACTAAGTAGGATAATCAAGTTTGTTACAAAAATAATGTCAATAGGAGACACTCTCAGAGTTCCAATGCCTGATAGGTATCCTACTAAGAGTTTATTCATTTGCTTATTCTCTTATCTGCTACCTGCAAAGAAGACAAATTGATATTTTCACTTAAGTGATTCCAGATGAGTAAACCCATTAAAAAGAAAAAAAGTCAATGATTGGCATACGTCTGCAAATTTAGAAATTTTCACACATGCAACTGTTACACTGCACTTCCCACGTTCTTCCAAACTGGAAACAATAATATGTATTATTTTATGTAAATAATTAAAAACTGGAACAAGTAGGCCACAATAATTAATTACTTAACTATTTTCACTTTGCTAAAGCTGTCCTTAACAAGTGGTCTATTACCTTCATTAAAATTGTAATGAATTTTATCTCCCTTGGACCTTTTAGTGGAAATGAAAAATAACATATAAATAAGTAAATATTGAAATTATGCTTGGGATATGTCATATTCAAAAAATTGCAGTTTGCTGGTATATTAAAAAATTCTGTACTTCTTTGAGTGACACCAAATATTTGTTTGCAAATAACCCTATATATTTGGAATGGAAAATATTGTCAGCCATGCTGTCACTTTCCTGCTCCACTGGCACAATTTATTTTCAATTGATTTTTGTTTACTACTCCTAGATTTGGCCTTAGAATTCCTTTCAGAACAATTCTCTAGGGATCAGTGGCTTTGTGTTTTAAAATCTATTTGCCATCACTGATCTAAACTGTAAACGCTAAGAGAGCTGAGAACTACCATTCATGGTGAAATAGTCCAGCCATAGGGAAAAGGTAGAACAAGTGCCTTATAGCTACAGTCCTTGCCGGAGAACTCTTATGGGCTGTTGAGAAGGCTAAAGCAACTTCATCTTGGATGCTAATCGACCATGTGGACTTCTCCTTAACCCCAATTCTGGGAATGCCTCTAAGATTTCTACTTTCATTTATTTAGCAAATCCTGACCTTAGGTCAAAACAAGCTTTTTTTTTTTTTTTCCCCTTGAGATGAGGTCTTGCTCATTTGCTCAGGCTGGAGGGCAGTGGTGCAATCATGGCTCATTACAGCCTCAAGCAGTCCTCTCACCTCAGCTTCCCAAAGTGTTGGGATTATAGGCCTGAGCCACCGCACCCAGCAAGAGCTTTGATGTTATCATAAACGCATACTCACCATAAATCTTGCCCCTAGGCAAATTCTGGATGGTATAGAAGCCTTGAATGTGGAGAGTAACAATGCAGGGATCCCCTATCTTGTCTCTCAGCCGCCTGAAACATGGCTTCTGTTCCTAAGTGTCTATTAATTGTTCTTTCTGAGATACTGGATTTGCCAGCCTCTTTTTTTCTGCCTCTCAGCTTCCTTGGCCTTTAGAGGTAGTTTTGCCTAGACCTGCTCACCAAGGAACGGCTATGATTTGGGAGTAGGTAGATATCAAATAGGGAATTTATTGAGGTATGCACAATAGTTCCAGAGCTTAGCTCTGAAAAGAAGATTGAGTTATATTTAATGAAGAAACCAATCTGTTTGTTTGTTTGTTTGTTTGTTTGTTTTTGTAGAGTCGGCGTCTCGCTCTGTTCCCCAGGCTGGAGTGCAGTGGCGCAATCTTGGCTCACTGCAACCTCCGCCTCCCAGGTTCAAGCAATTCTCCTGCCTCAGCCTCCCGAGTAGCTGGGACTACAGGCACGCACCACCATGCCCGGCTAATTTTTTTAATATTTTAGTAGAGACAGGGTTTCACCGTGTTGCCCAGGCTGGTCTGGTGAGCTCAGGCAATCCGCCCGCCTCGGCCTCCCAAAGTGCTAGAATTACAGGCGTGAGCCACCGCACCTGGCCCCAATCTGTTTTTTAATCTTTACACTGTCCTCAAGATTCTGAACATGACCATGCCTCAAGGCATTGGTATAAGCATTTTCTTGTCATAACTGTTGGTATTTATTCAGTTCCCACTGTGTGGCAGGTAGTGTGTGCCACACAACTATTATCTCTTTAACATTTGCAACAATGCCTCAAGACAGCTCATGTATTATCCTACTTTCATAAATGAAGAAAGGTAGTTGGCATTCCATTCTCTTTTTACTATACCAATCACTTTGCATTGGTGAATAATAAAAAATATTGATAGAAAACACATATCAGGGACCACTAGTTATTCGGATGATTGTTATCTTTAACCTATGTATAGTTTGATCCATTTTGTCAAATTTACATTTTAGAAAATATTGAGCTTAATGGTCAGAGAGTTACAATTCTCACCTCCTAGGGTAAAAGGAGCCATCTGTTTATAGGTCCTCATGTCCTCAACCACAGGGCAGGGGACTGACCCACCAAGGCAAAACTGATCATTCTAAGGAACAGAGAGCTCATAAGGTTAGCACACCTACCCTGCTTAATGTGCCACATTTAAGCATATTAAAACCAAATAAAGAAGCCATGAGCATTAACCCATTTTTAATTAATAGTGTTAAAACTTAAGTTAGCCAAGTTACACTTCTATCAGCTTGTTTCTAGAGCATATTATGTTAAATCATATTTTTAAAATGATAAATTACACTCTGAAGTTGTATAAGAAATAGAGGAAAGTAGGGCAGATGAATTCTAAATATGGTCTTAATTTATAATCTATGATTATTTTACTTAGTTTCTCATGTTCTTACCCACTTGAAAAAAAATTGGTTTTGCCCACAGCAAAAACATTTCATGTTGAAGGAACAAGGACTGTATCTACAGAAGTTTATGAGCAGGAATATGTTGTTTTCCTACTTGTCAACACGAGTCTCCCATAGGAGTCTCTCCTTTTTCCTTTTTAAGCCAAGTACTTAATTATGGCCTTGTAATTACTTATTCTTGTCAATTCACATCAAAACAACATAGCTACAAGGGATTTGTTTCTTGATTTTAGAACTCGATTAAACAGAGTCCATTCATGAGCTCCCAGTCCTGCTGAGTGGTCTTTCACTTCCTGACACATAATTAATATCAAACAATTTTTTCTAACCTGGAATGTGATTTTGGTGCATCTAATCAATCAACATTGCTCATGAAAATAGATGAACAATTAAGACCACTAAAAAATGACTCAGCCTTTAGGGTCTTTAAATGGTTGTGTTTTTCTGAATACATTCATTTTGCAGGTAAGCAGCCAAGGTTAATAACTGAGTGATGTGGAAAGAGCACAGGTCTACAGTATTAGTCTGAGATCTTGCATTGATTATTTTTAGCATTTAATAGGAAGCCATTATGCACTCAGATCTGTCTGGATTGAGTGCTGATGGTACAAGGTAACCTCAAACAAAATAAAACACCTGAGCAGCCACTTAGTATGTTGTGTGAGATTTGTTTTATTTCCTTCATACTTTTATTAAATCTGTGATATATGGGGATGCCGTGGTTTAGGCTGGATGCTGTTATTTATAGACATTTCAATGGCCAGCAGTGGGAAAATTGCCTTATAAATTTCCTAGGACAAAAAATGTGCCTTAAATATTTAAACTGTTTTCCTAAAATTGGTGACTTGAGTCAACTGTTGAGAGTAAATAGCTCCTTTCTTTGTAGAGATTGTGGTGGGGTGAGGATGCAGTAAAGCTTGAATGGGAATTTAGTTAGATAAAAGTAAAACTCATGATCCGCCTGACTTGGCCTCCCAAAGTGCTGGGATTACAGGCCTAAGCCACCAAGTTCGAGACCAGCCTGGCCAATATGGGGAAACCCCATCTCTAAAAACACAAAAATTAGCCGGGCATGGTGGCGCGCCCCTGTAATCCCAGCTACTCGGGGGGCTGAGGCAGGAGAATTGCTTGAACCTGGGAGGCAGAGGTTGCAATAAGCCGAGATTGCGCCACTGCACTCCAGCCTAGGCGACAGAGCAAGACTCCATCTAAAAAAAAGTAAAGACTCTATTGTGAAATTGAGATTCCATAAACAGGAGCAAAATTGCTTCTAAAAATAATGTAAAAAATTATCAATTTTGAAATGAATGAGGTTGTGTTCCAATATTGTGTTTATTTCCTCTTAGAAAAGTGTTAGGGACAAGCTGCCCCAGGAACCCCCCACTCCCTCAATGTAGCTGACCCTTACCCTGAATACTCTGCAGCTGCATTCCTGAACCCTTATCTAGGTGCCACAGCAAGGTAACCAGATTTGCTATGCTGAAGCCCTCCAGGCAGCATGGGGGAGGTCATGAGAAATGTGGGTAAACCTATGTTACACCCTTTTGTAAATTCCTGTTTTCATAATATATTGTAAGCCAGCCACAAGATGATATGTGGTAAAGTTAACCAACAAACAACTCCAGGGCCTCTCTCCCTGGTATAAACCCCTCACTTTGTAAGCTCAGGGCTGCCTCCTCTGACTGTGGTGGAGCAACCCGGCAGGTTAATAAACTTACTCGCCTGACCTTGGGTCTCTCTCTCATCTTTTCTCTCGGCTAACCTTGCAAAAAGCTGTTTTGTTCAGGTCTAAGGTTTAAGGGGAGTTGAGGCTTTACATTGTATAGAAAAGGCATGCTCAGGGTCAGCTCATTATGGGAAAGAGCTGGCTATTACAAAAGAGCTTAGATTGGAGCGGAAAGAAGAAGGCTGAGAGGACCTCTTGAGGCTGGGCATAGTAACTCTAGGACTTGCTGTATTGTTTGTTGGTTTTACTGTTTTGCAATTTCTATCTGATATCCCAATACACACAAACACATTCTGTTCTTAGTTGTGTAGAGGTGGTATTAAAATACTGCTTGTGCTTATAAGGAGGGTGTGTCAAGTTCTATGGGTTTGCTTCTGTTTGAAGAAAGTTGATCCAAGATGATGAAGCTGTATTTAAGAAAATCTGAATTCTCTTCTGAAGCTAGACAGTGGGCAGTGGGATTTGGTATAGACTGGAACTTCTAGAGTCGAGCAGGACTCCAAGACCATTGAAATTTAGGTTTGAAAGAAGTGTCTGATTATTCAAAATTTAATGTAGGCTTATAAATATGAAAACTAAGGTTTAGAGGCAAGAAAGCTAGTAAGTGACACAGAAGTAATATTCCTATTTCAAATCTTAATTGTTAAGTTTGATTCAGATTATGATAAACTAGCTTGCAGCAGAACAATCCTCCCATCAAGAAAAATTTTATCATCTCTATTAGGGAAAACAAAAACAAAAACCCGTTTGAAGGCACAGGAGAGCAACCAAGATAGCTAGGACTTGAGTGGCTAATATCCTACAGAGAAGAGACACTCACTAGAGTGAGCTTAATCTTCTGCAACACATTTCTGCTCAAGTCGTTTGATAGTTTATAAGACAGGTGGATGGAAAGGCAGAGAAGTCAAGCTAAAGCTGACGCTAAAAGGCAAAAATACTGAGAAGAGATTTTGGCAGTCATTGAGATTGGAGACTTCATTCATATTCAGCATTACCAAAGTGGCTAATAATTGAGAATCCAAGATCCTGAAAAGAAAAGTAACATAGAGAAGTGAGCTCAATGGTTGAGCCACTTTCCCCTCAAGGCATTAGTTCATTCAGATGTGGTTCAAACCAAGAGCTGGAGAAGCTTAGTACAACAGCTGCTCCTAAGAGACTGGAAAGCTACACACAACTGTTGGCAGTTTTCAGAACTGGATAAGCATTGGATTTCAGTGTGGAGGGTCTCCAGTAAACAAGCCAGGCTTTCAGCTGGTGCTCCTGAAAAACTACATTCTAAAAGTTGAGACAGAACATATGAGATCTTACAAAGGCTTCAACTCACCCTTAAATCAGCTCAAACACAGAAAGTATTCATACAATATTCATCTACCTGCCTATCAAAAACTAAAAGGAATCATCTAGAGAAAATAACATCAATGAAAACCCTCTACAAAATTTTGTATTAAATCACAAGTGTCAGTGGATTAAAAATGTGACAAAGAAAAAAAGAAAAGAAAAGATAATGGAAACCCTCACAGGTGGTCCATTCAGTAATATGGAAACTGGACAATGCCATTGCAAAAATGTCATTCTCTTATATGAATTTAGATGTACATTTGTTGTTGCTGTTATTTAGAGACAAGGTCTTTAGAGACCCAGACTGGTCCCAAAACTCTTGAGGAGTTGAGGATCAAGTGATCCTTCTGCCTCAGCCTCCTGAGTAGCTGAGAGTGCAGGAATGCACCATTGTGCTGGCTTAGATGTAAATTTTTTTATTTTTTTGAGACAGAGTCTTGCTGTATTGCCCAGGCTGGAGCAAAGTGTCGTAATCATGGCTCACTGCATCCTCAACCTCCTGAGCATAAGGAAGATGTAAATTTTTAAACCAAATGTTAGAAAATTAAAACTTGCAATGTTTGAAAAATTAATGTATCACAAACAAATTGTGTTTATTTGAGGAATGCAAATTTTGTTTAAATATTTTTTAAGATAATTATATTTTCTACATGAAGGAAAAAGGAAGTAGCATAAGATATTCTGAATAGGTACAGTAAACACATTTTGTAAAATTTAACCCTCATTTTCAAAAAAAAGCAAACAAAAAAATAGCAAACTGAAAATAACAGAGAATTATCTTAATCTGATAGAAGATATTTATGAAAAACAGAGCAACCCTTTTTCTCAATGGTGATATACAGAAATCCTTTGCTTTTTAGTCTGAGAAAGAATTAAGAAGTTTAAAATTAGTTCTGCTATTTAATTTTGTACTAGCAGCTCTATCCAGTGTAATAACTCAAGGAGAAAAAAGAGCATAAGAACTTATCAGGAGTAAATAACACAAACATTATTCAAAGCAGTCTGGCTATATATGAAAGTAATCCAAAAAAACCATCCTGTTAACCTATCAGAACTAATAAATAAACTCAAAGAAGTTACTGAATACAGGGCAAGCATGGTTGTTCATGCCTGTATTCAGTAACTCTCAGCGCTTTGGGAGGCCGAGATGGGAGGATTGCTTGAGAACAGAAGTTGACCAGCCTGAGCAATATAGCAAGACCCTGTCTCTACAGAAAAATTAAAACATTAGCTGGGCATGGTGGTGTGTACCTGTAGTCCCAGCTGCTTGAGAGGCTGAGGTGGGAGGATCACTTGAGCCCAAGTGTTTGGGGCTGCACTGAGCTCTGAATAAGTCTTTGCATTCTTGCCTGGGCCACAGAGAGAGACTCTCTGTTGAAAAAAAAAAAATAGAGAAAAAAGGTTACTGAATACAATTAATACAAAATCAATGTCTTCCTTTGTATCAGCAATAAAGTTTAAGAAAACGAAATAAAAAAAGTCTTTACAATTATATTTAAGCAAATATATAACTATGAATTTAATTTTAAAAAAACTAAATAAATGCAGCATGCATTTACCTTGTATGTTGATTAGAAGATGCAATACTGTTAAAATGTCAGTTCTTCCCAACTGATCTATAGATTCAGTACCATCTCAATCGAAATCGCATAAAAATATTTTTTAGAGACTGTCAAGTTGATTCTAAAATTTGTATGCAAATTCAAAAGTCAAAAAATAGCTAAGACAACATGAAGAAGAATCAAGCCAGAATACTTAAAATATAGGATATCAATACTTTTTATAGAGCTGGAGTAATTAGAGTAATGAAGGTATTGGTATAATGGTAGATAAACTGACCAATAAAAAATGAGTCCAGAAGGAACTAACATGTATGAATATTTGATTCATAACAAAGGTTTCACTGCAGAGTAGTCGGGAAAGAATGGTTTTTCAGTAAATGATGTTGGTACAAAGTGCATATTCATAGGGAAAAAATTGGAACTTGTCTCCCTATATTACACTATGCATAAAAGTAAGTTCAGGTGTACTCCAGATTTAAGGACACTAAAACACTAAAACTTCTAGAATACAAAACAGATTAATTTCATGGCTTTAGAGGTAAGCAGCAATTTTTAAAAGACCAAAATAAGAATTAATATAAAGAAAATTAAAATGGACCATCTTATAATTAAGAACTTAAAAATACTAATAAATTAGTGAAAAAGCAAACCTCAGATTACAAAAGTATTTGCAATGTATAAATTATATATAAACATATATATTATGATAAGAGTAAAAAAAATCACACAAAAAATCAGCAGGAACTTGAACAAACACTTCACAAAAGAGAATATCTAAAATAGTCAAAATACTAAAGAAAAAGGCAGTCAACCTCATTGGTGATCATAGAAATGCAAAGTAAAACCAGGTAGACCTACCACAGACACACCAGAATGACTGAAATTAAAGCAAGAAGAAGCCATGTCTAGTGGCACACACCTGTAGTGCCAAATACTCTGGAAGCGGAGGCAGTTCCTCATCTCAAAAAATATTTAAAAATTAAAAAAAATTTTAAAAATAGTGAAAAGAGCAAGTGCTGCTGAGCATGTGATGTGAACAACTAGATCTCTCCTATACTTCCAGGAGTGTATCAATTGACCACAGTCTGCAAAAGTATATGTCAGTATTTACTAAAGCTGAATGTTAGCATGCCCAGTATTTCAGAAATTCTCCTAAGTATATACTCAATAGAAATGTAAACATATATGTACCTAAAGATATATACAATAATGTTCATAACAGCACTATTTGCCATAGTTAAAAAAAAATGGAAACTGCCTAAATGCCCACCATACCAGGGTACATAAATAAAATGGTTATATTAGGTTGGTGCAGAAGTAATTGTGGTTTTTACGATTAACAGTAATGGCAAAAATGCAATTACTTTTGTATCAACTTAATACATACAATAATATGTATAATTCAGCAATGAAAATGATCAAACTACATGCATGAATCTTACTAACATAATTTTGAACGAAACATAGGCATCAATGAGTACATACACTATATGAAGTACAAAAATAGGTACAATTGATGGTAAAAGGCATGGCCATGGTTACCTTTGGAAAGGAGAGACCTATAGTTACTGAGAGGGTGTTTCTGGAGGGCTGACAATGTCCTGTTGCTGACAAGATCTGATTACACAAGTGTGTTTTCCTTTTGGTGATTCGCCAATCTGTAGTGTGCATATTTTCACCTTTCTCTTATTCTCTAATACTCGCATAAAGAAATTTGCTTAAAATAATTAAAACCACAATGTGGTGAGTGCTATAATTCCTTCCACAAAGAGCAATCAGTATGTTCTTTTCCAGTAAAAACCTGCGCCAAGGAACATAGAGACACTGAATTGTGGGGTTAACTCTGCATGAAGGTGTCTGGGAGAGATACGGTTTTGATCTGTGTCCCCAGCAGCTTTTATGTCGAATTCTAACCCCCAGTGTTGGAGGTGATGCTTGGTGGGAGGTGATTGAATCATGGGGTGGAGTGCTCATGAATGGGTTCGCGCCATCCACTGGCGCTACTGAACGGGTTAGCTGGTACTCATGAATGGGTTAGCGCCATCCACTGGTGCTATCTCCCAGTCTCAGGTATTTCTTCATAGCAGTGTGAGAATGAATTAATACCGAAAGACACTTAGATAATGCGTTAGGTAGGATTGTGGAAATAAATAGATATTTTCTTGGCACAAAGAGAGGAGTGTGTAAAGAAACAGCATGCATTAAGAAACTTTCCAAGACTAAAAATTCTGGGAATGCAGCGTCTTCCTGCAACTGCTGAATTAATTGTTAAAGTTTTTGCCACTTGAAGATCTTTCCTCCATTTTATCAATCTACGGAAGAGAAACGCAGTAAAAGATAATCTACTGCTCACGGGGCTTATTATCCATGGCCTCCCTCCTGCTGACCATCGACTAGACATGTGGCTACTCATTATCCCCAGAAAGAGTGCTCAGGGAAGGAAGGGGAAAAAGTCAAATTAGTTAATTAAGCATCTCTGGCCAAAGGTTTGGTAGTGGGAAGAGGTTGAAACTAATGACTAAAATAAATCTGTTAGATTTAATGAAACTCTTAGTTTTGGCTTCCCCTGACTATATGGAGAAATGAGAATTAGGCTTTAATTTGCTTTTTAATAGTGTCCCATCTGACACAAGCTCTTATGCACTTAATTCAGCAATTAAAAGTTTTAATGTATAGAAGATGCTAAGGAAAAGAGTGCCCATTTAAACTTGTCATTGATTCCCTGAACAAATGCAAACTAAGATAACAAAAACCACACTTAGAAGTCATTTTTTTAACAGCAAACTTTATTATTTTACTGAAATGCAATGAAATAATGACATTTGCTTTCTGTAGTCAATGACATTACATTTTTTTAAAACTAAATGTCGCTAATTTTTATTTTCAAATTATAAAACATTTACCAGTTTAAAAAATTATAAACAATGTCTGTTTTCATTGGAATTGTCCCTTGAGTCATTCAACTTTAATGGATGCATTTTACAATGGAGAGCATTTCATTAGATGGGAATGTGGTTCAAAGCTACCCAAGAAAGATATCTTCTGCGTTTGAAAGCCAGTCCATTGATACGTGACTTACTGAGGATTGAAAAGGTTTATTGTAATACAAGTTTTACTGTAACAATCACATAATTAAGATCACACATTACTCATATCAACTGGTCCACCAATTCATCATCAGTGAACAGATTTTTCATTGACTGCTGGAGACTCTGATATGTTGGGATCTACATATGAGTAAGCAAAACATGGAGAAATGGTCAAACAGCAGCAGTCCATGAAGCACAAATTGGAAATATTTGCAATAGCGATTCACAGTGAAGAGATGACAGAGGAAGGATGATAGGATTTATATTGAGATAAGAAAAAGTAACCATGGGGAAAATAGCACTATTAAATAGAAGGCATCTATTTCTGAAATCTGAGAATATCCATTAAAAACCCATAGAAAAAAAGAGACAGTACTGCATACCATGAACAAAAATAGATAGTATCTGTGTGGATCTATGAAGTAGTAAATTATCATAGTAATAGGATGTTAATATATGCTTGATGGAGACTTTGTACTTTGAAGACAGAAGTTTGAGCAAATAATGACTTAGACTTGAATCTGAAATAGCCTTCTAATATGATTTGGCTATGTCCCCATCCAAATCTCATCTTGAATTGTTATTCCCACAATTCCCACGTGTTGTGGGAGGAACCCGGTGGGAGGTAATTGAATTACGGGGGCAGGTCTTTCCTATGCTATTCTTGTGGTTGTGAATAAGTCTCACGAGATCTGATAATTTTATAAATGGGAGTTTCCCTGCACAAACTCTCTTCTCTTGTCTGTCACCATGTGAGAAGTGCCTTTCACCTACTTCCATGATTGTGAGGTCTCTCCAGTCACATGGAACTATGATTCCACTAAAACTGTTTTTCCTTGTAAATTACCCAGTCTCGGGTATGTCTTTATTGGCAGTGTGAAAATAGACTAGTACACCTTCTATCTCTGAACTGAGGAAGTTACTGGTTTGCATCAGTTTGGTACCATCAAGTTTCTGAGTGGCTTATATGGCTAATTAAGGGAAGACCTTTAAAAAAGTGAGATAATAACCCACCTAATTACTATTTTTAAGTGAATTTCCAGGTATGGCATATATGGCTAATGAGCAGTACCATGATCTTGTCACAATTTTCAGGTTTGATATTATCTGATCATGGGAATAATCATTACATGGATTTCTACCTTAGTAATAAGAATAGATTGGAATTGGGAGCACAGATTATTTTCATCTCTGCTATCAACCACTCCAGTGACCCTACGCTTTCAAGATTGTTCAATTATATAGAATCACAGACAAGAAGGATACAGCAATAATTAACCTGGTCTCAGGTGATCCATCCTAGATGAATTAGTCAAGATTTATTTTAAGGAATATTAAAGAATTGGCTTACATGATTGTGAGGACTGGCAAGTCCAAAATCCACACAGAACAGGTTGGCAGCTGGAGACCCAGGGAAGAGTTGATGTTGCAGCGCTAGTCCAAAAGCAGTCTAGAGGAAGAATTCCCTCTTTCTTCAGGGGACCCCAGTCTTTTTCTCTCAAGGCTTTCAATGAATTGGATGAGATCCACTCACATTATGGAGAATAATCTGCTTTACTCCAAGTCTACTGATATAAATGTGAATCTCATCTAAAAAAATTCTTCCACAGAGACATTTAGACTGATATTCTGCCAAATAACTGGTACTATGGCTTCGGCAAGTTGACACGTAAAATTAGCCATCACATTAACATTCGTACTTCCTAATAAAAATAATCTGATTTGGTCAGTTTGCTACTCTCTAATATAAAATACTAAATTGGGAAATGTTTTTCACCAATGTGTTAGAGGATGTTGGCTTCTTTCATGTCCACTGTGTAATACTCTTTATACTTTCACTGATCCCTGGGATCTTTGATTGTGAGTCAGGAATCAGGGGAGGGTTTGGAAGATTCCTATGAATCATGGCAAATGATGCAAAGAGAACTGTTAGGAATCATTTCCTTAGAAATGGGCAGAGAATAAGGCAGGCACTTAGAATTTCAATACTTTCTCTCAAACCTACATCCAAAATGTGTATGTCAATTTGCAATTCTATCAGCAATAAATGTGCACTGAATAGAAAGTTAGAATGATATTAATCCCTTTAAAATTTTCTCATTTCTCTAACAGGTATAAAATGAAATGCCAAATTGTTGTCATTTTCATTTATTTGAATACCAGTGAGGACAAATTTCCCCAAGTGTTTTTTTGTTTTCCCCTTGAGCAAATGTTTATTCATATTATTTATCCATTCATCTGTTAAAATGTTACACTATTCTTTATACATTTGAGTGAGCTTTTTATGTACTGAAGATATTAACCTCTTTATACCTTTATCATGTCGAATATAAGCACTTCACATTTAGAAACTTGTCTCATATTTTAGTTGTATTTATTTTAATTCCAGAAGTATAAAATCGTGTATTTTCAAATCTTTCAATTTGTTCTTTATTACTTTTTTTTTGTTTCAAAATGTATCATTCCTCATTCCTTTACACATCTAAAAAATATTCTCTTTTATTCTTGGCTTATATACATATATATATACATATACATATGTATATATATATGTACACTTATATATACATATACATATGTATATATATATGTACATATATATACACATACATATGTGTATATATATGTACACATATATATCTATATCTATATCTATATATAGATATAAAGTAAGTTTCAAGACTACCTACAGTCTATTTGAGAGAATGGTATCTACTCCATTAAACACTCAATTTTCTTTATTCCTATATACTTGTGAGATTATATATTTGATTAAAAAGTAAGATATATGTGTACAAATATGTACGTAAACATGTATATGCAATTGTATGCATATTTATCTACTAGTACATACATATGTATATATAGAAATGTCTATGTCTATCATTTATTTAAAAAGAAACCTCTTTCTCTTGACAAGGAATTATCCATCTGACAAGGTATTAATAACCAGAATATATAAGGATCTCAAACCACTGAACAGAAAAATAATTTAACAATTCAATTAACAAATGGGCAAAATATCTGAATAGACATTTCTCAAGAAAAGACGTACAAATAGCAAATGAGTATATAAAAAGTTTCTCAACATTATTGATAATCGGTGAAATGCACATCAAAACTACAAGGAGGTATCATCTCACCCCAGTTAAATTGGCTTTTATACAAAAGACAGGCAATAACAAATGCTGGTGAGAATGAGAAGAGAAGGGAACCCTCGTACACTCTTGGTGTGAATGTAAATTAGTACAGCCAAGATGGAGAACAGTATGGATGTCCCTCAAAAAACAAAAATATATTTACCATGTGATCCAGCAATCCCATTGTTAGGTATATACCCAAAAGAAAGGAAATCAGTATATCAAAGAGATATTGCTTTCAATGGCAAAAATTGTAATTACTTTTATACCAACCTAATATATGCACTCCCATTTTTATTGCAGTAGTATTCATAATAGCCAAGATTTGGAAGCAACCTGAGTGTTCATCAACAGATGAATGGATAAAGAAAATGTGGTACATATAAACAGTAGAACACTATTTAGCCATAAAAAAGAATGAGATTTTGTCATTTACAACAACATGGATGGAATTGGAGATGACTAGATTAAGTGAAATATGCCAGGTGTAGAAAGTCAAACTTTGAATGCTCTTGCTAATTTATGGGAACTAAAATTTAAAACAGTTGAACTCATGGAGATAGACAGTAGAATGATGGTTACCAGAAGCTGGGAAGAGTAGGGTACAGGGGAAGTGAGAATAGTTAATGTATACAAAAATATAGTTAGATAGAATGAATAAGATCTAGTATTTAATAACTCAACAATGACTACCACCAACAATAAATTATTATACATGTAAATATAACTAAAAAAGTACAATTGGCTGGGCACGGTGGCTCACGCCTGTAATCTCACCACTTTGGGAGGCTGAGGTGGGCGGATCACATGAGGTCAGGAGTTCAAGACCAGCCTGGCCAACACGGTGACACCCCGTCTCTACTAAAAATATAGAAAATTAGCTGGGCGTGGTGGCGGGCACCTGTAATCCCAGCTACTCAGGAGGCTGAGGCAGGAGAATCCCTTGAACTTGGGAGGCAGAGGTTGCAGTGAGCAGAGATAGTGCCACTGCACTCCAGCCTGAGCAACAAGAACGAAACTCCATCTAAAAAAAAAAAAAAAAGCATAATTGCACTGTTTGTAACAGAAATAGATGATAAATGCTTGAGGGGATGAATACCCCATTTACCCTGATGTGATTATCATGCATTGTATCAAAATATTTCATGTACCCCATAAAAATTTCAAAAAAGAAAAAAAAGAGACAGAAATTTCTCATCAATATCCATTTCAAGGTGCATCATAAGGTTGGAAGTACACCATTTTCTAAACTTACACAATTCCTATTTTGTTCAGGAAAACATATGCTTAGTTATAAATAGTCATCCCTCCTTACTTTCCTGCAATAGGAATAGAGATGCGACCACGCCCTGGTCAATTAGATGTAAATAGAAATCAATGAATGGGGCACCTGAATAGCAATTTAAAGGGAGCCATATTTAGGTGGTCTATTTCTTTAGCTGTTTATCTTTCTCCTTTTCTCCTTTGTCCTATCTAGAATAAGCATCTGATACCTGAAGGTAAAACAGCTCTCTGGGGGAAGTGAGAATAAAAGCCACACACTGGGGTTGGTGTAACAGAAAGCTGGAATTATCTGGGTTTTTAATGGCATCGTGGAGAAGTCTTACCAGCCTTGACTTACCTATGTCTCCCCCAGTTTTGGTATGCAAGAAGAAAGACCTTTGTGTTGTGAAGCCAGGGTAGGCAGTTTTCTGTTTTCTGCAGCTCAATGCAGGCCTAACAAATGCATTTACTTCTATCTAGGACTTGCAAGGCTTTTTATTTATCTATACCACTGAAAATGGCAAATAAATCATGTTTCTTGCTTCTAAAACAATTACCAGTTTTGTCTTTAAACATTGCATAAGATAATATAATGTTTATAGAGACAATTTAATTTTAAAGAAACAGGGAAGTTAAATAAAACAATGCATATTTCATCTCTGTTATAGAAAACACATTGATCTAAGCCATGGGCCCACATCTATAATTAAGCCATAGCCCTTGACACAAAGTGTTCGCATTCTAGTGGGTAAGAAAAATGTATATGGATAGCTGTGACACTGTCTGACAAGTGCAATAAATATAATATTTCCAAAGCTCAATCCAAACCCTTCTCAAAATCATTTTTTCTTTATTTTTTCTTTATTTCTCAAAATCATTTTCCTTTTATCACAGGGCAGCATTATTAACTCAAGTCCCATCACTCACCCAAGACTCAAATTTCAGGATCTTGCTTCTCCTTCATGCTTGCAATCAATCCAATTTCCCTTAAATGTGTACCACATCTATCTCCATTTATGGTACCACTGTTTATATTCAGCAACCACCTAAGAATTATTGCACTAACCAGTTGACTGGCTTCTGTATCCTTCATCTTTTTTAACTCCTTTATGTTTTTATACCTGTTACCACAGTCATAAAAGTTTTTTTCTTTAAAATCTGTTTTTGTTTCCCAACATCTACCAGATAAAACCTAACTCCTTAAGGTGACTGATGTGTTAGTGAGAGTTCTTCAGGGAAACAGAATGAATGGAGTAGTTATAAATAAAGAGATTTATTATGAGAGGTTAACTTATGCCTGTAAGGAAGCTGAGAAGCTCCATGATCTGCTCTCTGCAAGTTGGAGGGACAGGAAAATCAGTGGTATAGTTCCAGCCCAAGTCCAAAGGCCTGACACCTGGGGAAAAAAAGATGTAAGTCCATGTCCAAGTCGAAAGGCCAGAGAACCAAGAGCTCCAGAGGATAAAAGAAGAGAGATGGTCCAGCTCAGCAAAGGAAGTGAATTTGCCTTTCCTCTGCCTGTTTGTTCTATTCAGGCCCTCAACAGATTGGATCATGCCCACCCATGCTGGGGCAAACCATCTTCTTTACTCAGTCTATGGATTCAAATACTAACATGCTTCCAGGCACACCTTCATCGACACACCCAGAAAGTAATGTTTTACCATCTTTATGGGCATCTCTTAGACCTGTCAAGTTGACAAATAAAATTAACCATCACATCTGATAAGGCCTATAACCCAAACTAGGTGCCCACAGCATAAGTGCCAGCCACCGTGGGCAACTGGGAGTTCCCGGAATGTGTCATGCTCTTTCAGGGCCCCTCCGGAATGTGTCATGCTCTTTCAGGGCCCCTCCCTATGCCATGGGAACCCTTCTATTCTCTTCTCTACCTGACTTGTAAGAGTCTTTGTGGAAGCTTTTCTTTTCTTCCCTGGTAACTTTAATTCTCTACCCTCTCCTGGCTCATAGGACTTTCTTCATTTTTTCCTTCCTTGTCCCTCTCTCTGCCTTCCCTTCTTCCGCCTCTTTCTCCTATTCCCTCTTTCTTTTTCTCCATTTTTCCCTTCCTTGCTTTCTTTTTTACTTTCTTCCTTTTCTTTCTTTCTTCCTCTTCTCCCTAATCTTTATACTAGAATAATTTGTTGATATATTTGTGCTTCGTAAAAGTCCATGAGGTCCTTGCAATAGGTCACTTTGTGTTACAAAGAACCTGGTTTTTATTTTTTATTTTTTGATCAAGATGTTAAGATCTAATTTCAAAACATATGGAAATAATTGCATACATTTAACATTACTGTTAAAAAAACTCTCTTAAATCCTTTAGGAAACAATAATATTATTTTTGAGACAGGGTCTCACTCTGTCACCCAGGCTGGAGTGCAGTGGCACGATCATGGCTCACTGCAGCCTTGACCTCCTAGGTTCAAGCAATTCTCTCATGTCAGCTTCCTTAGAAGCTGGGACTACAGGTGCGCCCCGCCATGCCTGGCTTAGTTTTATTTTTGTATTTTTGTAGAGACAGGGACTCACTATGTTGCCCAGATGGGTCTTGAACTCCTGGGCTCAAAAGATCCTCCTGCCTTGGCCTCTCAAAGTGCTGAGATTACAGGCATCAGCCACTGCACCTAGCCAGTATTATTATTAACAGGAGTAATAACTAATACATCAATTACATTACTATGTGACAAGCTTTGTGTTTGAGCAAATATTCAACATGTTTTTGTTTGTGTGTGCACAATCTGGACAATTATATATGTTGATAAATATATAATGTACATGATTATAGGCATTACATGAAAAAACATGAGAAAATATATAATTCGTTTTTTAAATGTGTATAATTTTTTGTTGAATTCAGTGTTAAATTTGTGTAAGTTAAATACATATATATTGTGACTCACTTATATTCTGTCTGGTTTTTCATTGCCCCAAATTTGATTAAAATTTATTCTTCAATCTTTCTGAAATGGGTTTAGTTTATAGAATGAGGAGTAAATCTAATAAAGCTATTCAAGGCCTCATCATATTTTCCCCAGCCTTAAAAAAAAAATCCAGAGAATAAGATCTAATTTCATAACATATGGAAATAATTGCATACCTTTAACATTACTGTTAAAAATCTCTTAAATCCATTAGAAAATAATAATATTGTTTTTGACACAGGGTCTCACTCCGTCACCCAGGCTGGAGTACAGTAGTGAGATCACGGCTCACTGCAGCCTCCAACTTCTCTTCACCAGCAAACAACCCAGGCCTAGATCTCCAAATTCTGAAATACAAAAATGCTGCCCTTTCTCATCTCAGTATTCAGAAGGTGGCAAAAAGCACTCTCCTTTTCAATCTTCAACTCCCTACCCCAATACAGATTTTCATACTGGCCTTGACTCAACAGCAGATCTTCTCTGCGCTCAGCATCCAGGGCTGCCCAACTTACACTCAGAGGGCTAATTAATTCCTGCCCCCTGGTGGTAAAATGTGTTGTCTTTAGGAACGTGAAAGCTTGGCTGCCCTAAGAGAGGTGAGAGACACCTTTTATTCCGTCCTGAAGAGATAATGGCCACAAAACAAGGTCTGATGTAGTTTCTCCATAGGCCACCCTGCTAGTATAACCTCTCAGTTACTCTCTCTGATTTATGTTTCCTCTTTAAATTCTGATTCGGGTATTTTGATGATCTGCTCAAACGGCTCTTGGCTCAAGTCATTCAGCTGGGCCCAGGTTTGATAGCAAATATGCTTGCAGAAAACCCAAGCTAAAGACATGTCAAACAAACTGGGCATAAAACACAACATCGAATCCTATTTTTTTTTTTCTGAATCTCCAACTCCCAAGTAATGTGTAGTTAAGGAGCACAGACAACAAGTTAATTCGGTGCTCCCCATAATTCCCAAGCCATGTTCAGGGCCCTGCCTTCTAAAACTTTCAGGGGTTACCAAAGTATCTCTCTCAATGGACCTGTGCTTCCCATTTCGCTTGCTGAATTTGCAGGGAAGCAATACAGTGTCAAACTGTGGTTCTCAACCCAGGTGATGTGCCTGCCTCCCAACCCCACCTAGGACACATTTGGCAATTTTCACATTGTGTGCGTGTGTGTGTGCGCGCGCATGCGTGTATATGTGTGTGTGTGTTTTGAGGGTACCAGTGCTACTGGCATCTAGTGGGTAGAAACCAGGGATGCTGTTAAGCATCTTATGATACACAGTAAAGTCCCCATCTTCAACTAATAATTCAGTCCAAATATCAATTGTGCTGAGGTTGTTAGGCCCTGGTGGAGAGGTTTAAAGATTCTGGAGTTAATCAGACTTGCTTTGTATCCTAAATCTGTCTATTAGGTTCTCTGAAACCTAAGTATCGTCATATATACAACAGGAAAAATAAGTTTCACCTTAGGGTGGTGTAATGGCTAAATGAACTCATCCATACAAAACACTTATCCACTTATCACAGTGTCCACAGAATAAGCACTTACCATATATGTTGTTATTATCACTAATTTTATTAACACTTCTCAGTTCAAAATGAATAAAGAACTTTTCAAATTAAAATGAAAGACATATATTAGAATTCTAATAAAAATGTATTTGATACAAAAAAATTTACATACAATTTTTACCATCCTGCAGTAGAAGTGAAATGTTTCTTGCATTGCTACTCATTGGCACAATTGTTGGCTTTTGGTAACTTTTTTCATAACTGAAAATTGTTGCTCAAATATTTCTGCTATACCAAAGGAGTAACTCAGTATATGTGCAAATAAGTCATTTAAAATAGTTACCAAATACCATCAAACATATTATTTCTCTCCTGATTCAGTTCCCTTGGGTCAAAAGTCCTTATTCTTGGAGCTGGTAGAAAGACTTTCTCCACTGACACTATAAACGTTGTCTCTCTTGAGATATCTTATGTTTGTGTCAAGCTTGCTATCTTTAGGTACTCATAAAGTCATCAGTGTTTAAAGGAGCAGACCATGACAGGGTCCTTTCCACAGCACTGGGCCATCTCTTGTCACGGGCACCCAGGTATCTCATAAAAGTCTATCATGCAAGTAGTGTCTTCAATGTCTTCTCTCTGGTTCTCATTTCTTACAAGCGATTTCTTGAATTCTTGGAAAAAGTTTTTCATAGTAAAAAGAAATAATTCAAACACAGCTCTGTGTCTACCCTACTTTTCAAAAATTAACTCCTCTGCAACTTCATTTTAACAAAAACCTGCAAACCAAACAACAACTTTAAAGGTAAACTTTGATTAAACACAAGAATTTACATTCCCAAAAAACAAAGAACTTAATCTCTTCACTGTGAGCTACTAATAAGATAATGGAAAATTGCTTTATATTTTTATATCTTAAGGTGTACCCTGGATGATTTGTATCATGTAAAGACACAGACTGCCCTGAAAACACATTGAAGTTTCTCTGAGGATAGAAATTGATTTCAATTTTTCTCTTCTTTCTCTATCTCTCCCGAACACCCCCTCCCCCACCACCCCACCACAATTTAAGTGTCTAATTAGCTAGAGCATTTTGTTACGTATAGCATTATTTCAGAATGTACTCATATAAAATTTGAGCATTGTCTACACTTTTGAATGGGTTGCAGTAAATCCAACCCTATGTTGATTTACAACTCTTGCAGTAAAATCATGGGATTAGAGCATTCTGCATTGGAATGAATCTTGTAGATCAAAAAACACTGAATTGGAATGTATTTTGTAGGCTATTGGGTTCTAAATTTGGATATAAGGAAAGCGAAGGAAAGAAATGAGATGATACAAGTAGGCCCCACAGTGAGAGGGGACTGTGCTTCCTAAACTGAGATGGGAGATATGTGAGTTACACATGAGTTAATAAACTAAATACACATATAATTGGCTTACTTAAGGAAGAGGTCTAAGATACAGACCCTGTGCATAGTATTATAAAGATTGTATCATAGACACATGCCATCTGGGTTATTTGTCTAAGTACCTACAACCAAAGTATTCTCCAACAGAGATAATTAGGGGAAAAGACAGGACATTCTATATGATTTTTAAGAAAGGAGAATGAAGTGGAACAGAGTACTCGTGAAAGGTTCATACTTCAGAAATAGACGGTTAGCTATGGTTTCCATAGAAGAATAAAATAAATGATAATCTGTCAGCTTAGATTGCTCTTAGAAAGCAAAGAAAGCAGTGTGGTGATTCCGCAAGAGCTAAAAACAGAACTACTATTTGACCCAGCAATCCCATTACTGGATATATACCCAGAGGAATATAAATCATTCTACCATAAAGACACATGCATGCAAATTCTCATTGTGGCACTTTTCACAATAGCAAAGACATGGAATCAACCTAAATGGCCATTAAGGACAGATTGAATAAAGAAAATGTGGTACATATACACCATGGAATACTGTGTAGCCATAAAAATGATATCATATCTTTTGGGGGAACATGGATGGAGCTGGAGGCCTTTATCCTTAGCAAACTAACACAGGAAACTACAATCAAATACCACATGTTCTTACTTATAAGTGGGAGCTAAATGATGACAACTCATGGTCACAAAGGGAACAATAGACACTGGAGCCTACTTGAGGGTGGAGAGTGGGAGGAGGAAGAGAAGCAGAAAAAATAACTGTTGGGTACTAGGCTTAGTAAGTGGGAGATGAAATAATCTGTACAACAAACTCCCAATACATGAGTTCACCTGTATAACAAACCTGTGCACATACTCCTGAACCAAAAATAAAGCTTTTCTAAATAAAGAAAGCAAAGAGCAGACCCAAATAACATTTGTAGTACCTGAAGACTTACGTGCAAAATAGATCAATCAACAGAGATATGCTGAATGAATTAACAAACCCAAAGAAAAGTTTTCTGTGTTTTTTGTTTTTCACAAAAGACCCTGTGTCTGTCTGATAATATATTTGAGGGAAGATTCGCATTTTGGAGGCCTTCATATTACAGAAAGTCAACGCTTACATGTATTATTTTTATGTCTATAAAAATAGCGACTGAGCCAACATGAGAATCATAATAGTGTTTCCTTATTATCTTCTGTGACCAGTTTCTGTGTCCTTAAGGAGGGGCGATATGAAAATATATTATCAGTTATTATGTGCCTTTGTCTTGTTTACCTCTCAACCTTCTTGCAAACTTCTGATAAAATATATGTGTGCAATAAATATTTGTTCATTGAGAAAGAAAGGCTATGGAAAAAAAGAGCAGGGAGAGATAAAAGTAAGGCTTTGAGTTATCAAAATGAAGTTTTCTAAAGCAAATTTTTTTGTTTCTGAATTCTGGAAATACAAAAGAAAACAGACAAATGAACAAGCAAACAATGAATAATTTCTAAAGTTTTCCAGTCTTGGGTTCTACCTGAGTATTATTTGTCCCATACAGAAAATCTCACTTTCCCTTCTTTCCCTCTAATGCCCACCTACTTCTTCCAAATCAAATTAGTCTTTTTTAATCATGCTAAGACACCACCATGAATAACTTATGGTTGTTTTATAGAATTATTTATTGACTTTCAAGAAGATGATTCTACCTTAACTGCTAAGTTCTGCACCGAAAAATTGAGAGTCTGTAGTCTCTTTAAAAGGCAACTAATTTAACAAGGAAAGATTCACCAATCTCTTTCCTGTCATTTTCCAGAAAAAAAAAGTTTTGAATAATTTATTACCAGTTTCCTATTAGTAAATCAACACACGGCATAAATAAATAATTCCTTGTAGCTGGGGTTTTCCTTGTCATTAGAAATAGATAACCAGGGCCTTTTATGCTTGATGATAAATGTTTTTCCAAATATTTTGATTAAATTTTTTTTTTTTTTTGAGATGAAGTTTCGCTCTTGTTGTCCAGGCTGGAGTGCAATGGTGTGATCTCCACTCACTGCAACCTCCGCCTCCTGGGTTCAAGTGATTCTCCTGCCTCAGCCTCCCAAGTAGCTGGGATTACAGGCATGTGCCACTATACCCTGCTAATTTCGTATTTTTGGTAGAGATGGGGTTTCACCATGATGGCCAGGCTGGTCTCAAACTCCTGACCTCACATGATCCACCCGCCTCTGCTTCCCAAAGTGCTGGAATTACAGGTATGAGCCACCACGCCCAGCCTTGATTAACTTCTTAAATAAAATCAAGTGTTTACTCACTTTACTCTCCCATGGATTCAGAACACTGGCAGGTGGTTAAAAGTATTGTTAGAAATTAATTGATCCCAGGCCAGGAGGGGTGGCTCTCGCCTGTACTTCCAGAACTTTGGGAGGCCAAGGCAGGCAGGATCACTTGAAGTCAGGAGTTCAAGACCAGCCTGGCCAACATGGTGAAACCTCGTATCTACCAAAAATACAAAAATTAGCTGGGTGTGGTGCCAGGTGCCTGTAATCCCACCTACTCTGGAGCTTGAAGCAGGAGAATTGCTTGAACCCAGGAGGTGGAGACTGCAGTCAGCTGAGATGGCACCACTGCACTCCAACCTGGATGACAGTGAGACTCCATCTCAAAAAACAAAAAGAAATTAATTGATCCCAGAAATCTCATCTAATATCCACAATGAAAGTTTAGGGTAGTCAAGATATAGGCCACACTTTTAGATGTCAGATATTGAATCAGCTATGTCAATGTAGACATGATCTGCTCTATGGTAAGATATGTTGTATGCTGCTTGCTATGCCTACTGTAGGCGCTTAGTAAAGATAGGGGGATGGAAATGTAAATACATGTATAAATTCAATCTTGGATTGCAGGTTTCTCCTCAGAAAAAAAGTAGAAAAGTGACAGTTTTTCATGATTTAGCACTGATTAACATGATTCACAGCTTCTTTCTTCTCTCTCTCTCTTTTTCTTGGTGGCATAAGGACAAACTTTATTGAGAACAGCACTAGTTCTCTTTCTCCTGCCCGGTCTTGGTTCCCTAGACTATCCCGTCTGGCGGGCAGCAATGAGACCCACTTTGGCCAGCAGAGGCATCTCTGCAGATGGTGGAGGGCTTGCCGATGTGCTGGTGGCTGCCACCTCCCTCCGAAATGATGCTCCACAGGGTTCATGTTCACACCCCACCCCGTACTTGTGGCCAGCAGTTCCTCTTTGCCTTATATCTGTGGTATGCCCAGCCAGCCTTCAGGATGGGTTTGTCAATTTGGCCACCTCCAGCCACCACACCAACCACAGCTCTGTTGGCTGAGGAGGTAACCTTCTTGGAGCCAGAGGGTAGCTTTACACGGCTCTTCTTGGTCTCAGGATTGTGGGAGATAACTGTGGCATAGTTCCCTGATGCCTGGGTCAGCTTGCCATGGTCTCTAGGCTTCTCCTCCAAGCAGCACATGATTGTACCTCTCAGGCATGGTATCCACAGAGAGAACATTGCCAATGTTGAGCTGGGCAACATTTTACTATTTCATATTAAAATGAGGTTTAATATTTTATAATAATGGTGCTAGAATTTCAATTCATAATTTGAAAATGTAACAAGCATTTTTTTAAAGACTCTGTCTCTCAAGCCCTCCACAAAATGTGACCTCTTCCCACAATCAATTGAGACTTGCAGTGGCAAACCCCTCTCTTGCTGAATTTGATTGATCCACCTTCCATCCTGATTTCCACAGAGACCCTGGGCTGGTGCTGATGGAGCATTTTTTGTCATGGGGGAGGAAATGATCCTTTCAGAACATTTAGCAATAAAAGCAGTGCAAAAATAAATCAACGTCCCTGACCTTTCTCTCTCCCTATTTTTGGCAACAAACCTTTTACTCCAAGTTGTCATTTTTCTACCCATGCTCAGAATCACCTTCTTATTCTCCAGGTGTTCCTAAAACTTCTCCATAAATTTCTCAGTGGCGTCTCCATTTCTTTCTATTTCCAGTTATGTCCCCATGGCTGGCTTTGAGACCGTTAGTATCACGTATTAATTATTCATCTTCTGTCATCTTCCTACCTTACATTCCACTACTGGTAGTAATTTAGCTGATTATTTTCTGTATTTTCAGTAAAAGCCTTGTTAAATGAAAATCCTTAAACATGTATTCTGTGAACAGGTTCTCACCATTATCTATAATAATAATATAGATTGAGTATCCTTAATCTGAAAATCCAAAATTCAAAATGTTTCAAAATCCAAAACTTTTTTAAAAAATTGTATTTTATTTTAGGTCCTGGGATACTTGGGCAGAATGTGCAGGTTTCTTACATAGGTAAACGTGTGCCATGGTGGTTTGCTGCACTTATCCCAAAACTTTCTCAGCAGTGACATAATATTAGAAGGAAATGCTCCTTGGAACATTTCAGATTTGGGATTTTCAAATTTGGGATGCTGAACCATTGTAATGCAAATATTCCATGATCCGAACAAATCTGAAATCCAGAATGCCTTTGGTCCCAAGCACTTTGGATGAGGGATGCTCAATCCGTAATAACAGTAGCTGTGGTAATAGCTATCTTTCACTAAGTAGCTACATTATTCCTGGTACATTTCTAAGCTCTTTAAAATATACGTATTGTCTCATTTAGCCCTTACCATCACTTGATGGAGTTTTATTGCAATCCCTATTTTACAGACGAGGAAACTGACATGTAGAGTCTGAAAGTAGCATCTCAGGCCCCATGCTTGTAGGCCTACAATTCAAACTCAGGCTCTTCTGCCTGGAGACTTTATGCTTTACTATTCTATACCGCTCCTAGATGTGGGAGAGCTAACCCACAAGGTTTACATATTCTAAATTTTAGCAACTGATGTCAAATTGACCTTAAAATGGACGCTATAAATTTAACTCCCATTATAGTTAGTAATAGTTATAATTAGTAAGCATGAATAAGACCTGCTATTTGATAGCAAAACAGGTGACAGTAGTCAATAATAATTTAATTGTATATTTTAAAATAACTAAAAGAGTATAATAAGATTACATGTAAAGGGATGGATATCCTATTCTCCATGATGTGGTTATTATGAATTGCATGCCTGTATCAAAACATTTCATGTACTCCATAAATATATACACCATGTAGCTACAAAAATTTAAAATTAAAATTAAAAAAAATAATAAATTTAACTCCCAGAAATATTGAACAATAGTGGTGCTTTCAGTCTTTTATTTATATCTACCTACCAGATCAGGAAAACCAAAATCTCAGGTCTTAAAATGTGTATTCCTGGGTGTTGAAGGCCGAACGAATGAGGGTCATGATCAACTCAGTATACCACTGAAGGCCATATGAGTAAACAGCAAACTGTTTCTCATGAAAGCAGGATGTTGGCAAACTGACAAACTGGGTCTGCCACCCAGAAGGAATGCTAAGGGCTGCCACGACCCAGGCACAAGTGTTTCTTGTGATTAGGCACATCTGAAGCCTGTTAGCAATAAAGTGAACCTGTGATCAATGAAGCAGCTGACCAATTGTTACCTCCTCCTCCCTGCTCTTTCTACTCAATAAATACGAAGGGCTGTAGAAGCTCAGCACGGCTGCCTTTGCTCATTAGGAGAAGGGAGCCCTTTTCTTCTTCCCCTGGCCCCTTCCTTTAAAATAGTTTCTTTTGTCTGAAGCTTTCATTTCTATGTTCTTCCTCCTTCGTTCAGTCTCCTAATGACAGTCTCAGGTAGTAACAGTAGTAACTGCCGTAGTGATAGTCTCAAGTAGTAACTGTGGAAGTCTGCCATACCTGGGGGCAAATTTTAGCCATAAAAATATACTGTATTCTTCAGTGCATTAGTCTGAATTGTTGAATGTTGGAAGTGAAAGAATACAGAGTGGTACTATAGCCTCCTATTTTATGATGGTAAAACCTGAGTATCTGAGGGTTAATATGACTTCCATAAGTTTCCACATAGAAATACAAGGTTTGGGGAGAGCTCAGATGTTTTCTATCTTTTAAAATGCTATTTCTGCTCATCAGCACTGCCTCCTATAACCACTTCTTTAGAAATTACACTTAAGTAAAGGATTTCATGTTGATTATTTGATAGATGTGCCAAAATACTGTGCTGGACATTGAATGCTCATGCTAGAGGTCAAAGAAGGCACCTAGGAAGGCAGGATGTAGGATAATAAGTCCTCTTTTCTAACCTCTTGTACTATTCTCATGAAAAATAAAATACTAAGAGAATAGAAAATGAAGGAAAACCCTATGCGTAGAATCAGCCCGTACGTTTCTGGCTACCCACCAAGCATACTTATTTTAGCATTTGTTTATGATACAGACTTTGTGATTACAAAAGCAGCCATAGATTATCCAAACCACTAATGTGAAGACGAGTAACAGAATTGTGAAATTGGAATGCATCCCAGAATTAATTGTAGATAAAGGCCTATCATGCCATATGACAGACAAGTGATTGAGGACTAGAGACGTTAAATTACTTGCCCAAAGTAACACTGCTAGTTAGTATCGAAACCAGAATTTGAATTTAAGTTTTCTAAATGTATACATTTCCATAAAAGTAAGAATCGATCTACTCAACTTGTTCAACAAATGACTATTAAGGGATTATTAATTGCCAGACAATAATCTAGCCATTGACAATTTGATGGCAAGACAGATATCTTTACTATTTCCCTGGCATTAATCACCAGTGGGGTTAGAGAATGTGGAGAATGACACCCCCACCTCCAAGTCTCAGCTCTCAGTGTTGACGTCCATGTGGCGGGAACACCACTAGGAAAAAGTTTCTGACCTCCCTCTGTCCATTAGGCAGGTAGAGGGAGGTTTTCTTGTCTGATCAATGGGCTTGGATATGGAATTAGGCATGCTTAATCAGCACCTCCTTTCCTTCCCATCAGGTAGCTTCTATTCTGCTCTACTTCTCTCCTAAGCGTGATTAGGACTCCAGTGGTCTAGCACCGTCTGTCTCTAGGTGAATGTCTTAGCCCATTTGGGCTGCTGTAACAGAAGTACCATAAATTGAGTGGGTTATCAATAACAGAAGTGTATTTATTATAGTTCTGGAGTCTGGAAAACAACCAAGGCACTGGCAGACCCAGTATCTGATGAGGGCCAGCTTCCTGGTTGAAGACTGCCAACTTCTTTGTATCTTCACACGGTGGAAGGGGCAAGGCAGTTCTCTCTGATTGTTTTATAAGAGCATTAATCCCATTCATAGACGGCTTCTCCCTCATGACCTAATTATCATCTCCTAAATGCTCTATCTCCTAATACCATCAAGTTGGGGGTTAGGATTTCAACATATGAATTTTGGAGGGAACATAAATATCCAGGCCATAGCAACAGCTCAATCTATTTAATTCTGGAATTAATATCAGGAACACCTCTTACCTTTATATAGAGTCACCTATCTCTGTGAGAAGTAATTTCAGTAGTAAAAACAGCAGTTTACTCTTATTTGCTGACTCTTTTATTCTATTTTTCATTTGGTTCAAAAATTGCTGAGGGAAAGGAGTGTTACATTTGGGATCGCCATCAAACCTAACACAAAAATTCAGATCAATTTTTATGTAGCAAAAGTCGAAGGCCCTATAGAAACATGCAAGGGTAGTTTAGAAGATATGAAGGCTGTACTACCTAATTTTAGGTCATGTAATTCTGATTTGCTATCTATATTTTATTTGTGTATTAGTTTGCTTTTTTTTTTTTTTTTTTTGAGGTGGAGTTTTGTTCTTGTTTCCCAGGCTGGAGTGCAGTGGCATGATCTTGGCTCACTGCAACCTTTGCCTCCCAGGTTCAAGCGATTCTTCTGCCTCAGCCTCCCGAGTAGCTGAGATTACAGGCACCCGCCACCAGGCCCGGCTAATTTTTTGTATTTTCAGTAGAGTCAGGGTTTCATCATGTTGGCCAGGCTGGTCTCGAAATCCTTACCTCAGGTGATCCACCCACCTCAGCTTCCCAAAGTGCTGGGATTACAGGCGTGAGCCACTGTGCCGGGCCTAGTTTGCTTTTAATAATGGGCCCGTCTTGCTTTTGAAATAGGCATCTTTTATACTGAAATGATATTATAATTCACTAGAGAGAGATTCATTACAATGTGTGCCTATTCTAAACCTCACCCAAGAGTTTCTTTGCTCACATAGGTATAGGATAGTGACTCATACCACGGACCTTTGAGGCATAATTAAAGCAAAAACCTAAAATATTTTCTTCTTTAAGAAAAAAAACAGTCTTCTGGTCAACTACGTATTAAATGCACTTATGATTTTTATAGATGTAGCCTAAAATGACAAGTATATAGCATAAACTCTAAGAGTTAGCTCAGAAGAACAAATGCGGTCTGTGATGGTTATGAAGGTATGGTCTGTTTTAAACGTTACTTGTTATGTTCTGTCAACAGGGGGCACTAGAGAGTAACAGGCAGGAGGAGAAAGGAACTGTTCCTTCTTTGCCTTTCTGTTTCTGTAATGTCACTGTGGCAATGGCAGTTGGTTCCAGTTCCCCCCTCCCACCTTCTGATTTGAAGAACTAGTCTCATTGAATTCCCACCAGAGACCAGCACACCCCAACAGCAGTGCCCCCTCCATAGAGGTCTGGCTCACCATTCCACAGGGTCCCCCTGTTCCACCGTCTGAACTGTGCCTCTCTTCAGAGATCAGTCTCACTCCCCTAGCACTTATTGGATTCTAGCAACCCTGACTTCTTCCCTTTGTCCCAGATCTCACGGGTGAGGCTGCTTCCTGCAATTACTATCCCCATCATCTTGGCATTTCCAGTCCTCTAATACATGCCTAACCAATTCTCTATATTATATTGCCCTGGTTTCTGTTTTCCTGCGTGGACTCTGAGCAGTTGCCCAATGCTAGGCATACCATATACATTTAGGAAAAGTTAAACTCCCAAATGGGCTTTCTCCAACCACTCTGGATCCACAGCTAACATTCAATATCCAAGTCAGTTCTAGAACATGTCAGCATCATCCACTCATCAAATCAGTAGTCATGTGAACAGATGGTGCTCAGTAGCACTTCTAGAAGTAAAATGTTAAAGAAGAAAGTTCTCAAACAAAAACCCTTGACCATCATACTTATTGCACAGTATCTTTGCAATTAGGGCAAGGGTCAAAAGCCGGCAATATGAACTGGTTTCTGAGAAATAAGCTTAAATTATTTATGCATTCTTTAAAATTGTTTCTAAGTTACATTATTTTACAACTAAAGTTGCCTCCAGACAAGAATAACGAGAGAGAATGAGACAAAGAAAAAGGATGTTTGGGGGTACGGGGCAAAGGAAACAGAACTGCTTGTTCTTGCCTTATGTTGAAATTCCATTCTTCAGACTGATTTAGCAACTATAATAAAACTCACTCAGCAGTTTGAAAAACTAAATAAAAATTATCCTCATTGCTTTTTCTGAGCCTGTAAAAGATTGTAGTTTTTAATGATAATCCATTTGTGGAGTCTTCCATTGCCCACTATCTCTCCCTGTGATCAGGTTATATTCTGGTGCCCGGCTAAAATCAACTTTTGATCTTCAGCATTCCTTGAGTTTCTAATTATGATGATCTCACCTATCAGTGTGCCTCTCCTTTCTTTGTTTGCATTTTCCTTTTATTTTATGGCTGTAGAAATAAACACATGTTATCTCTGGATCTTCATATCAGGAGGGGATATATGACTTGATAAGCTTTCTCATCAGCTGTTGAAAATAGTCAGATTCCAGCCCAACCAAACTGGAGTTAATATGTTGCTTGCAAAAATATGTCAGACTTTTTATTGTGTTACTCTTTTAAAAGGTTAATAATTGTAGAGTTTAAATGGTCAAGGTTAAGGTGAACCTTATTATTACCTGATTATGATATTTAATGTCTTTAGTTGTGAAATCAGTTCCATCAGACATGGGGCCTGGTGTCTACTGAAAGCTTTAATGATCTGGCCCGGGGTCCAGGCAGATTTTACTAGTACACTTAGGTACATGTGTTTTACAAGAAGGGTGGAGTCTCTCAGTTAAAATGACTGCAGTTTGCAGCTTCTCTTCCGAAAATTAACTCATGGAGGAAATTCTGGTCTCCTATGGCACTTCCTCTGTTTTTCTTCTTTTGAAACATAAATTAGCATTAGCCCAAACACAGGGTCTTGAGGAAATATGTAAGTTAGGTATAAAGCTTCCATTGGTAGCTCTTGGCAATTCAGTAATTAAGGTGTAACAAAACTAAATGCATCTCTACTGATTTAATGGCTTATTTGTGACATGTAATAAAAATATGCCTGTATCTTTAAAAGTCATTGCCTGGGCTTGGATGGATTCGATAAACACTTTGGGAAGGGAACATGCGGAAGGAAGGCATAGTTAAACACCATAAAAAATTTTAACAGAGGTTGGGGCCAGGAGTGTTGGCTCATGTCTGTAATCCCAACACTTTGGGAGACTGAGGCAGGTGGATCACCTGAGGTCAGGAGTTCGAGACCAGCCTGACCAACATGGAGAAACCCCATCTCTATTAAAAATACAAAATTAGCTGGGCATGGTGGCGCATGCCTGTAATCCCAGCTACTCGGGAGGCTGAGGCAGGAGAATCGCTTGAACCCAGGAAGCTGAGGTTGCGGTGACCCGAGATCGCACCGTTGCACTCCAGCCTAGGCAACAAGAGTGAAACTCTATCTAGAAACAAAACAAAAACAACAACAACAACAAAAAAAAAGCACAGTTTATATCTAGAATGATAGAATCATCATATTTTAGAGGTGTAAGTGTTCATTAAATTCAACCTCTTCTTTTTTTCTGGTAGGGAATCTGAGGCCCAGAGACAAAATGTGACAATACCAGCACTAGAGAATAACCTCCTATTCCCAAGCCCAGTCTCCTTTTACGACTCTGTGCCCTGTCTCTTGTCTCCAGTCATCTGCCTGACTTGGCTGCAGTGACAGGCATCATCTCTACTTCCCACAAATATGTATGTGGTCCCACAGGCCACCAGGCAACTATCCAAATGGCCTTTAGATTTTATGTAGAAAAGTTGAAGGACTGTTCACTTGCAAGAATTCATTGGTTTTATATTTTAAAGACTTAAATGATCCGGGAAATTGCTTTCTCGGTCCCATGTTCTGTCTCAGGATAGCAAAATATATAGGGCATCCCTGCGATTGGACACAGACTTCTAAAATCAACACGATGTTTCTAACAGCCTTGTTCACTGATACCCTCAACCCTATTTGGTAGTGATCATGAAAACCCTCTGCCTTTAACAGTTTATTTTAGAATATGTTGCATAGCTATTTCTGAAGCTGTTTACATGGAGATAATGATAAATATGCACCAAGTTTCATGTATGGAATAAAGTTTCATAACTTGGTAAACAGATGTTGACGGCATGGAATGATGTTTTGCAATCACTGAAAACAGCAGAACTTCTGGGCTTGGGACTCTGGGGTTGAGGTCCCCTTATGCTTTTGATTACCACAGAATGTGAGCCTACACTGGAATCAGAAGAATAAAATTGTGCCCTAAATTTAGATTAGAGAAGGATTTGGGGCTGGTTTTGTGTCTGGTTAAACCATCATCACCTAAAATTATTGTTTCAGTGTGTGCTTCCTGGAAATATGTATCCCAGAATATTTTTTGAATTTTTATTTTTAGAGACAGTCTTGTTCTGTTGCCCGGGCTGGAGTGCAGAGGGGTGCAATTATAGCTCACTGCAGCCTCAAACTCCTGGGCTCAAGTGATCCTCTCATCTCAGCTTTCCAAACAGCTGGGACTATAGACATAATCATGCCCAGCTAATTTTTATATTCTTTTCTTTTTTATTTTTAGAGGTGAAGTGAAGTCTTACTACTTTGCCCAGGCTGGTCTTCAGCTCCTGGCCTGAAGCCATCCTCCCATCTCAGCCTCCCTATTAGCTGAGATTACAGGCTCAAGCCAACATGACCAGCTCTTCCAGGAATTGTGTATAATAATTTTTCTGCCACGGTATGGCTGTGGTTGAGAAAACCTTCACTGTGCCTTCACATTCAGGTTGGTTAGGTACTTTTTAGACTAATGAGTTCATGCATTCTCTGGAATGAGTAGAGAAATGTTCCTTGAAAACCACCACAACTATCTTGATCAGATAGAGCTGTCATACCTGGTCCCTGGAATACTTGTGCTTTTATATTATGTTTCTATTAATATTTTATAACACTACTATGGTTTTTTTTTATCTAAAAGCAGAGAGAACTGTAGATGTTCTATGCCTCTGGCTGGATTGCACTGTTACACTTAAAATCTCTATTACCTATCTTTCAAGAGAGGCAAGGAAAAAAAAGGAAAAAAAAATACGCTGGCTAAGTTCTCTCTTCTTTATCAACAGTTTTCTAAGTTATGGAGATAACATTCTTTATTATGATAATTATGCCCATGTCTTAAACCAATAATTAAAATAGAAAAAAAGCAGTAAATATGTATTTTCAAAAATAGTAGAACTATGACTTCTGGATATATACATAACAAGTTTAAGAATCATGATGAAAAGACATATATGTGTATTCATACACATCTATAAGCTCACATACCTATTCACAATTATTCATAAAGTTAGCATAGTTATTGCCTTTATCTGATTCCAAGATAATCTTCAAAGAACCCATTAGCTTTAGTAGAAATTCAAACATTAGTCATCATCCACATTAAGAGTTTGTAAGAGATGGAATTCAGAGAGTCAGATGTGACTTACCGTGGTGGGGAGGCCTGGGGCAGGATGAGATTAATTCATCTCCAGTTTGAGGGTCTTTCTAGTTTATTGGGATGCCAAGGTTATGTGTTTTCAAGTCAATGATTCTCATATGAGGCCAGGAAGGGGAGTTGCTGGAAAATGTTTAAACAATCCTCTTCCCTGCCCTTTCCTTTCCTTTTACATGCTTTCCCTTACCTTCCTTTTCCCATTCCTCTTTATCTCCACCCCATTTCCTTCTCTCTTCTTGTTGATGGCGGTGGCCCATGCTACGTGTTCCAAGCCGGAAATTAAGAGCACTCTTGACTAAAGTTATACCTTTTTCTTTGAAAATTTACTTGTTTATTCCTATTCTAGACTATTTCCCTCGAATTCAGGCAAGATCAGGAGTACAAGTTCTAAATTTTATAAGGTTCTTCCCCCAAATTTTAGTTCTGTTTGGAACCAGTTCTTAAATATTTTAATTTGTAGATATTGCCTCCATGTGAGACATTCTCATGTGCCTTCTTGCTCTATGTGTTGTGGAATGAAAATGTATGTAATTCAGTACTTCAGGAAAATGTTCTTTCCCAGAGGGAAATGCTACCTATGGCCAGGCACAGTGGCTCACACCTGTAATACCAGTGCTTTAGGGGGCCAATATGGGAGGATTGATTGAGGCCAGAAGTTCCAGACCAGCTCTTCAAAATAGACCCCTTCTCTGCATAATAATAACAATAATAATAATAACAAAAATTAGCCAATTGTGGTGGCGCACACCTGTGGTCACAGCTACTCAGGGGGTGAGGCTGCAGGATTGTTGAAGCCGAAGATTTTGAAGCTACCGTGAGCTATGATTGTGACACTGCACTCCGGCCTGGGAGACAAAACAAGGTCCTGTCTCTAAAAAAATAAAAAATAAAGATTATGTATGCTGGGCACAAATTGTTCCTGGCATCTTTCCTTTAGTTTCCTAACTTAAGGCATCAAATGGAGTGTAGATGGCACAATCTGATCTTGGAGTACCAATGTTGAGAGGTAGGAAGATTGTAATATTTTTCTTGGGCCCGAAATATTTATACTCCCCTTATATACTTCTTGTTTCATCATCTATTGTTTCTCCTCATAACATTACACTAAAAAAATAAGGAAAATAAGGGTATGTCTGCATTCTGTCAAATAAATATCTTCCATTTCAAGTTCAATTTGCATCCTAAGTGTGATAACAATAGAAAAAAGCCATAATGGAGTGGAGTGATGTCGTCTGATTTACTTTACACCATGAACTCCTTTTCAGATAAATGTAGACTGGTCGTGCCCCTACAATACAAGTCTTCATTAATTAGTTATTTACCAGTTACTTATTGTTAAACCACCTTCCCTTAAATGATAGGTAGTGTGACCTATTTTAGGAGGCACTGTTTTGGGTCCGGAGAAACCACTCTTTGTTACTAACTGGGTTCTGAACACTCTGAAATGGCAAAAAGTTGCAGGCAGGGAACACATATGTCACCTTTATTTTTGACAGTAGAACTAGGTGTGTTAAAACAAATGGCTTTGCCAACACTAAACCCTAGAATCAGACTGAGTTACCCATGTCAGGGTAGCATGGGTCCAGGAGAAGTTCCCTAAGATGGGGAAAGTAGTGGGAGTGGACAGCCCGTGGGCAATTTGTACATGAATAAAGAAGGGTTCCCAAGAAGGGGAGGGTCAGGGATGAAAGGCACATTCTTCTCGGATATATCAATCATAAAGATGTCTTCATCTCTCCAGAGGCTGAGTGAATAAAGGGTTAGAGAGAGGTCAGAAGGACATTTAGGGGAAAGTCATTCCTCATAGGAAACAGTAGTGAGAAAAAAGCTCTTTTAATACCCTAGACTACTAAAACAAAAATAATTTAGATTCTGGCTCTAGCTTCCTAACTAACTAGCTCTAAAACCTTGGATTGTGGTTCTCAATCACATCCTCTACAGAAAAAAAGGCTGTAGAGTTGGCGAATTTTAGGGCCTCTTCCTTTTTATAATACAACAAAATTACTGTCATTTGTCATTTGTTGAGCACTAGTCCTAGGCACTGTGTCAGAGCATCTTACACTCTCCTTTATTTAATTCTCAGAAAGTCCATCACTCTATAAAAATCCAGAGGGTTAAATGATGGTTTATGTCATACAAGTTAAGTAGAATAGTCGGGATTGCAACTCAAGGTCAATGAGTCACTCTGCTCTGCTCATGATATGTGAATTAAGGTGCCATACACAATACATGAAGAAAGAAGCACTTGGTATCTTGGTATTTTTCTTTGAGTCTATCAGCCGCCAAATATTTCTCAAAATTACTCAAGATTTATATTACAACCAGCTATTGTAGCACAAAATAGAAATTGAATATCTTCCCCAATCTGGGAGAAAAGAGCTCAGAAACGACTCCTACTTATTAGAGATTACTGAGTAAAGTTGCAAATTGATGAAAAAGACTAGACTCTGTAGTAATACATCCTCAGTGCCTTCACTCCAGGTAAAAAATGGTTCACCGTAAGAAGTCACAACTGTGACAATAATAATCGTCATTATCATAGTTGTTGCCTGAAAGATAGAATTCTGGACTTAAAATCTTTATTTTTTCTATTTTGAATGAAACCATTCCAGATTGAGAATATTTATTCTTTAGATAAAGAAACTTTAACATAATTCTTTGCATTAAATAGCAGAATCTGAATTTAAATTTGGGGATTGTATATTTTTGATTTAAAAAATAAGAAAATTACTTTCCACTTTTGAATAATTTTTCCTTTAAATATGTGAGACCCTGGAATTTGAGGCAGTAAACAATTGCATCGCCCAGAGTTTTCTGGACTCCAGACTGTAAGACACTGAAAACAAAGGTGAGAGCTGAGCTTCAAATGCTATTCTGATTTTTCAGTCACCTGACTGTAGATAGATAGCTTGGGGACTCGCTGAGTCCTGTCAATCAGATTAAACTCACAGACAGAAAGAACAAGAACCATGGGCATAATGAGTAGTTGAAGACAGGAAACATTTTATTAGATCAGCTCTGAGACAACACCTATGCACATCTGATCAAGAATTCAGTTTGCTTCTGATTCTAATTCTGCAGTAATCTAGAAACCATGATTCCAGCCAGCACTGATATAAGTGGAAATTTTAGCATGGACAGTACAGTATTGGGGGTTATGGATAGAGTTCCATGATCTTGGAATATTCTCTCATAATGTTGGGAGTGGCAGTATGGTTAATTGAACTGTCATGTGAAACCTCTGCTCATTAAGGGCCTCCTGGTAAGTGGAAACCCTTTTCCTTTAGTGAATCGCATGTAGCACACTAACTGTATGATGAGAAATTTGATAGGCAGCTTGTGGTGAACTCAAAGAAAAAAAAATTAAGAAACTCAATGGAGGCAGGGCACGGTGACTCGGGCCTGTAATCCAAGCACCTTAGGAGGCTGAGGAAGGCGGATCACTTCAGGTCAGGAGTTCGACAGCCTGGCCAACATGCAAAACCCCATCTCTACTAAAACTATAAAAATTAGCCAGGCGTGGTGGTGTGTGCCTGTAATCCCAGCTACTCAGGAGGCTGAGGCAGGAGAATTGCTTGAACCTGGGAGGCAGAGGTTGCAGTGAGCCAAGATCATGCCGCTGCACTCCAGCCTGGGCAACAGAGCAAGAGTCTGTCTAAAAAACAAACAAACAAACTAATGAACAAACAGAAAAACCAAATGTAATGGAACAAAAATGTTTCACTGGACTTAGAAAATATGTAGGCTTAATACACCCATCAGAAAATACATTCTATGAAAGAAGGGTTCAGAAAGATAGTGGTCAGTAATACAGTTTCAAGATAGCAGGCAGAAATAAATATGAAAATTATGCTATATATTAATGCTTTTCATAGCACGCCAAATGTAGTAGCTTTGTCAACTCTTTAAACTATATTATAAATTGTTAGTCATCGAAACATAAACTGTCTTGTATATACATTAAAACAGATTTTCATGGTTAAGTAGATTGTGCATTAAATAAATTCTAGGGTAGAGTTTTGCTTGATTCATACATTTGGGACAGAAGGTGCATATGTATTGTGTTTTCTTGTACTTCTTTCTCTGTTGTCTATAAAAGTGAGGGGGTATGCCTAAGAAACACCTGGATGCTCATAGCTCCTTATAGCTCATATTTGGATTTGTAAAATGTTTACAGCTGTGAAAAGTGATACTTCAGTTTATAATCAGCGTTTATTTCTTGCAAAACAAATGAAAATTAGGTTGTTATCTTTTATTTAGGAGGCAGAAAAATTTGATCTACTATGCAGTGAAATTTATGGGAAAAGAAGTTTAAATTGTGTATTTTTAAACACACATTTAAAGGATCTCGGCTGATTTCTTGTCACTGGAGCAATGGACATAGTATGTTGTTTACTAGCGATATTCTTTGCCTAAATAAAATTTAACTAAAATTGAATCAGACAAAACATATGAATCCTCACATCCTATGGCTTTCTAGAAGGCAATGTGCTATACAGGACTGATGCCTATTTCATTTTGCTATTCAATGTTTTTATTAATAGTAGTTTGGAGAATGTCGTTGACTCTAGCAATTCTTAGGATGGGGCCATCTTTATTTCTCAGTACTTCTATTTTTCTAAATTTTAAAAATTACTTGCTCATCAAAGCATAATTGTTAAGTCTAAAAATCACTTTAAGAATCTAGAACTAGAAATACCATTTGACCCAGTAATCCGATTACTGGGTATGCACCCCAAGGATTATAAATCATTCTACTATAAAGACACATGCACACGTATGTTTATTGTGGCACTATTCACAATAGGAAAGACTTGGAACCAAGCCAAATGTCTATCAATGATAGACTGGATAAAGAAAACGTAGCACATATACACCATGGAACACTCTGCAGCCATAAAAAAGATGAATTCATGCCTTTTGCAGGGACATGGATGAAGCTGGAAACCATCATTCTCAGCAAACTAACACAAGAACAGAAAATCAAACACCTCATGTTCTCACTCATAAATAGGACTAGAACAATGAGAACACATGGACACAGGGAGGGGAACATCACACACCTGGGCCTGTCGGTGGGTGGGAGTCTTGGGGAGGGATAGCATTAGGAGAAATACCTAATGTAGGTGACGGGTTGATGGGTGCAGCAAACCACCATGGCACGTGTATGGTTATGTAACAAACCTGCACGTTCTGCACATGCACCCCAGAACTTAAAGTATATTAAAAAAGAAAAACAGAATATCCAATCCTCATTTCCAAGACTTCTCCAAAGCTAACAATTTTTGTGTAGGCTGTGTTTTTGTAAAGCTTTTTATTCTCTCTCTCTGTATATGTACACACGCACATACACACTATAATATACAAATGTATATTACATAAAGAAATGTTTGTTTATTTGCAAGTGGTTATACATAAAATATGCCAGTCTACATAATTTTATAGATCGTATTTATTAATTTTATAACTTTTTGTCATATTAATTCATATGGATCTATTCCATCCTTTTTATCTGTTGTAAAATATTTATTCATATGACTATATTATAATTTATAGTCTCCAACTGATGAACTTTTTCATTGTTCTCAATTTTTCAGCGTCCAGGTGGTGCTGAGGTGAATATTGTAGAACGTGAAAGGATGTTTAGGTAGAAGGGACTTTGAGAAGTGAATTTACCTTGTCATAAAGTGTGGGTATTTTAAATATTCACATATATAGTGGCTGTTAAATTCCATTTCCATCTGCAGTATGTGAGAATATATTTTTAAGTTGCCACATGATTAACTTTAAAAAAGTTTGCCAAATGGATGATTACAAATAATATTTTGTAGGTTATAATTACCTATTACTAAGGTTGAACACTTTTTAATATTTTTATTAAATCGTATTTTCTTTGTTAGTAATTGCTTATATACTTTGCTTATTTTCTATTGAGTCATTTGTTCTTTCTTTTTTTATTTTTATTTTTTTGAGACGGAGTCTTACTCTGTCACCAGGCTGGAGTGCAGTGGCACGATCTCAGCTCACTGCAACCTCTGCCTCCCAGGTTCAAGCAATTCTCCTGCCTCAGCCTCCTGAGTAGCTGGGACTACAGGCGTGCACCACCACACCCAGCTAATTTTTGTATTTTTAGTAGAGACAGGGTTTCACCATGTTGGTCAGGATAGTCTTTTAATTTGTAGGAGTTCTTAAATATTTTGGATAGTATTTATGGTACATGTTGTATATATTTTCTCTAAATCTGGTTTTTTTTTTTTCTATGTTTTGTTGCTAGGTTGATTTTTTCGTTAATAGACTATTTCCGTAGGGTTAATATTTACAGAAACATTGAGCGGAAAGTACATGGCGTTCTGGTAGGCATTATCATCCCCCCATCCTTACACATGCTCTTGCTTTATTTTTAATTTCTTTGTGATATCTCATATTACCAGGAGCTTTTCATTTTGATGTAGCCATATTTGCTAATCTTTTATTTTACAAGTATTGTTTATTTGTTTGTTTGTACTTACTTGAAAAAAATCTTTCCTATCTAAGGTCTTTAAGGTAATGTCTTATATTTTCCCTTTTTTATTTTAGGCGTTCTTTTTTCTACTTAAATTTAACTACACCTCTTTTCAAATTTGCCTGTCACCTCACACATTTTTTTCCATTGAGTACTCATACCCTAGTTACCTCACCATTCAGATGTCACTTCCATGCCATTTCTTCCCCTGAGTGTTCTTTTGTTCTTCAGGTTAGGAGCAATCTTCTTGCCTGCCAGAGAGTCTTGCAAAAAAAAAAAAAAAAAAGGTGATTTTCTTTTCTTCTCCGGAAGTTTTTATATTGTACTTAAACTAGTCAAGACAGTATTATGCTTGTTTCAGTATATTATTCTTCCAAATAGTTCTTGAGAACAAGATCTATAAATCTTGATATCCCCAAAGAGTCCTACTCAGTGTCTCAAAGAATAAGTTTACCATTAACTTTTGTAAAGAGAAAAAAAAATGTATGTTTAGTTTGGACAACTGAATGCTCATCTGGGACACACAGTAATTATTTCCAAATACTTGAACACCTATCCTAGGTTAAAGGAATTGAAGTGGTCCTATATGGTCAATAGATCATTGCTAAGGGCAACTATACAGTATTTTTCTCAATACGAAGAAGAAATTTTCAGCAAATAGAATTCTCTGAAAATTGAACGAACTCACACAGGAGTGACTTGATTATTCCCAGCCTCATTCAAGCAGAAGCAGTGCATTAATATTTCTTCTAAAGCCCTTTGTACACACAGTAGTCCTACTGAAGGAATGAATGACATATTAGCTCTATTTATATGCTTCGTGAGTTTTAATTTTAAACATTGACTCTTGATATTGGGGTTTCTTCCCCATCTTTCCAGACTTCAGTTACACCCATCTCTGGGGATCATTTTATTTTTCTTTAAATATGATTTGCTTTTTATTTACAAAAATGCTTAGGGTATTTATCATGTTGTTTTCACCACTCAAATAGATGATTTTATTTTCATTTTTTGGGTAATAACTTACAGAGGTTAAATGACTTCTAGGAGGTTCAATATTAAATTTATTTAACTGCTGAAACCTTATCTACAAAACCAATAAATACACATACTGTGCTGAGAAATAAACGTATGTTTAATACTCTATGTACTCTTTATTAAATTGATTTATGTTTCCAAATTTCTGTATATCAATATTAATGTAGACATTCTAGGTGAGATAAACATAACATGTTAAAAACAGAAAAAAACAAGTCAGAAGCTTGTGATTCCATATTCTACTTTTTTTTTTTTTTTTTGAGACTGAGTTTCACTCTTGTAACCCAGGCTGCGGTGCAGTGGCACAATCTCGACTCATTGCAACCTCCGCCTCCCGGGTTCAAGAGATTCTACCTCCTCAGCTTCCCAAGTAGCTGGGATTACAGGCATATACCACCACGCCCGGCTAATTTTTTTTTGTATTTAGTAGAGACGGGGTTTCACCATGTTGGTCAGGCTGGTCTCGAACTCCTGACCTTAGGTCATACACCTGCCTTGGCCTCCCAAAGTGCTTGGATTACAGGCATGAGCCACCGCATCTGGCCCCTTCTTTGTATCTTTAATTTAGACTCTAAACTAAATGGCAGGAAAGCAGCATTTTGACAATGCTATGTATATTGCCCAGAATATGGATGAAATTTTAGTAAATGTGAAATAAAGCATAAGGAAAGCCATTACTTCCAGACAGAAATTTGTTTATTAACTAAGAACTAGGACATTTTCCAGAGTCAGAATGCAATAAATTGGCAAGGCAAGATGATAGGAGAATCCTAAACGCAGATTACACATAATTGTAAAGGGTCTCTAACAGTATTTGTTCTTCTTTCAACAAATAATTTTCATGCTTTAGCTAATTCTGAGGCTTTTTCTTAGGCATGGAGAACAAAAGCTGAGTACCAGTGAATCTTGTTTTATGGCTTCTCTGGAAGAGAAGATTTGCTGAAGTCTTCTATTTTTGAGCTCTAGTCACCATTGCTATTTGCCTGTTCTTACAATCAATCAGTAAGAAAAGGATGAAATAGTTCAACTTATTATGCTCAAGATAGTGTTTTCTATCGGCTTATTAGCAAGGTGCTAGTTAGGTAGTTGACAAAAATATTAATGACAATCAAAGCCATCCGAATGAATTTGCATGCTGGAATCTGCAGTCAAACCATGGAGGCCCCATTTCATCAGGAAAGGTAGGTGATAATCACACTGTCAGACAAGTGACAGTGACAGCCAAAGTAAGAAAGCCGGTGATGGTTGTATTTCAAATGGAGTCTCTTCGGTAAGTCCATTGTAATAAATCTCAGAAATAATGATGTTACCTTCAGGGTCAGCTTTTAGTACAAAGAGCAATAACAGAACAACAGAAAAAAGAAAACCTAGCAGGTGATACTGGCTGTGGTTAATAAACCTGGGAGTTGTATTTGAACTTAATGTAACAAGATTCTTAGGCTGAATAAAGAGATTCAGCAGAAAATTAGACGTTCTAGTACTTAGTAGAATCTTCCCCATTGGGCAATTTCCAGCTGCTATAAATTCTGGAAGTTGGTCAATAGCATTTCAGAGGTCTGCTACCACTGCACAAATACCTCAGAGGTGGAAAGGTACTGGGTATATAGCTCAGAGATCTGAAGCTTCTAGATAAATAGCTCAGTGGTCGGCAGCTCGTAGGCCTGTAGCTTGAATAGTGATAATTTCTCACTAAATAGCTTTGGGGTTGGCAGCTGTTGGAAATATAACATAATGGTGAGACGTAGCTGGGTATGAAGCAAGGATTTTGGTAGCTTTTATACCCCAAAGTACTCAATCTGCAGTGGTTTAGAGTTTGGAAACTCTTGGATAAGCAGTTAAGTTGTCCAAAGCAGTTGGAACCGTTGCGGAGGGTTTGGCAGGCTTTGGATGCATTTCGAGTGGGTATGTGGCAATTGCATACATACCCATTGGTCTGGGTGCTTGGGCTGCAGCTGGGGCTGGGGCTGACGTTGGTAGTTTCACAGACACTGAAGACTTGGCCTGCTGATGGGGAGTTGCAGGGCACAGAGGAGTTTGACGGGTCACAACCAGTGGTACTGCAGGTCTTGGGCTCACAGCTGGGAGATTTGCAGGTTGGTGCTTCACCGTAGGATTCTTGGCAGTAATCCAGGAGCCAGAGATTTCCTTGGTAGCTACTGGGTAAGCAGTGTCCAAAGGTAGGGCTTAAATCACTGGAGCTAAGAGTAACAGAAGAGGTCACTGGGATATAACAGTGAGTTCTGTATGATGTGGTACTGCAGACCCCAGGATAGCCTGTAGTAGACATGGAGCCTGCAGGCATGCTCAGTGGTCGCTGTGCAGTGTGTCTGTGGCCTAAGGACGTTTTATACCTTCCCTGGTGATTGTCAAAAGCCTCTCCAGACTCTTTCTTCTGTCTGCTTGGGGCAATAACACAGCAACATCTCATTAGTGTGTTGGTTAGCCACAGAGGCTAATGTTTTCACACGTGTAAAAATAAGTTTATTTTAATTCTTCAAAGTATCCATAATCACCACTTTGACCATCACCCATCACTCATCATCTGTAGACCATACCTTCAGCAAATAGTGATTTTCATGTTAATAGGCAAACTCTCATCTGTCAATCAGAGGTTAACAAGAGTTCATGGGTCTATGGGCTTCTGCAACATGGTTATTTAAAGGTTCACAAGGACTCAAGTAAAGCAAGTAACCTGTATTTTTCCACGCTGTTAACTACTGGAAAACACTGAAGGACTTAATCATATACTCTGAAATAAGTCAAGTAGTTTGTCTGTCTCAACATGGTTACTCAAAAGCAGGCATTGACCTTTCAAGAATCAGTTTTCCAAATATGTGCTATACTCTTACCTGTGCAGGGCCATATACTGGTAACGGCTTCTCATGTAATGTATTAGGAGAAGTTCATAGGTAAGACTCACAGCAATACTTGGGAAACTTGGTGACCAACACCTGGCTAAAAATGAACTTGTTCCCAGGGGGCATTTGTTGCTAAGCAACCAAGACTTCTGTTAAATCCCTTCTTAAAGAGTGTCGGCAATATGCACTATCAAATAAACCCAGCTTTGCAAGATGATACCTTCCTAATTGACTAAGATTACATATCACATGTTCCATTGCCTGCTGTAAACCCCAATTGCTGTCAGATGTAAATATTTTCCCCGTTTTTCCCCAAATAAGTTCTCTTATTCTTTATTTGCTTTCTTTTGCACCTACACTTTATTTTACTCCTGTGTTGAAAAATGCAGTTATTTTTAGTTTATGTCAATGAAAGGAAATAACTCTTTAAAAGTTTTATCTGAATAAACTGTATAGTTCTTACAAGCACTGTATATATGAAATAGCACTTTTTACTACTCAGGGTGAAGGCTAAAGAATTTTTTTAAAGATTTTAATTTATACTGAAGAACTGAAATTTTGTTCTTCAAATATAAAATTATAATTTATAATTCCAGCCTCTATTGAATTGGAAACAGCAATGCATTTATTAACTGTGAAGAGTTCAGACAGAGAATAGAACAGTCTTCTTCAGGTATAATCAGCTATAGGGATAGTTTTTTAAATTAACTCTCTTTATAGCAAACTATGAGATTTCTCTCACTGTTTTCGGTTACTTTTCAGTCAGATTTTTCAAATGCACAGCAATTTAAACCTACAGATATTCTCTTTTTTTTAAAAAAGATCTCCATTTTCTCAGTGCTTTTCTCAGTATTTGTTCTGTAAGTTGACAATAAGCAATTCTGTATTAAACATGTTTTGCTGCCTTCTGCAGTATCTCTCAGGTGACAAAGGCCACAATCATGAAACTGTATTTCCAGTAAATTGTTTGGCTATAGAGAGCCTTGGGATTTTGTGCGGAAAATGTTAGTCCTGAGGCAGGCAAAATAGGAAAGAAGATACATGGGCAGTTAGTTGACGGCCAACTTTCCGCTAAGTTACTGAGCCCCAGTGATACACAGAAAAGCCACAGGTTGATGAAGCTTTATTTCTACAGTTCTCTATTGTATCATTGTTGCCTCTAGTCTTTTTTTCTTAGGCATCCTTGAAGCAGGTTTGAGGGCTAACACCATTAACAAACACAGAATGAGTTAAGTCAGTTACTGTAAAGCTCACATTCTTCCCTTCCATCTTAAAATTAAATAGTGAGGTATTTTGAATTAATTTGATTCACACAGGTGTAAGTCTAAAAAATAATGTGGAACATCATATGGCATGACCAATATTCAAAGCATGAGCCATTAGAACATATTTAAATTGATTTTGCTATGATAATATTCTAAACAAATAAACAATGAGATTTGAGAAAGGAACCCTAGCTCATTTCCTCTCATTTGCTTTTGTGTTTCCTCTCCTTCCTTACTCAGAACATCACACACCTGTAGAAACAACATCCCATCCCATTCACACCATCATTTTCTGTACATGATTCCTCTGCACAATTGTGTCCTACTCTAATCTCAACCTTTGAAAGAGATGGAGCACACCGCATCAGAAATATAGCAAATATCAGGTTCATAGCGATGGCAGGCTTGAGTAGAAAATAAAGACCATTGTCGTTTGAGTGGCATCGTGGTCTGAAGGCTTTGGAGAGTCATATGCATTTCTCTGTTTTCACTTAACTCCTAAAATAATGTTTTCTTCCATTAATTCCCCTGTTATTAGTATTTGTTGTGTGCGGAAGTCCGAATAATGCACCCACCCAAGAGGGTCACATTCCAGTACTGGGAAATCTGTGAATGCTACGTGACACGGCAAAAAGGGACTGTGCAGGTGTGATTAAATTAAGGATCTTGAAGTGGATTATCTGGGTGGGCCTGATGTAATTTCCAGACAATATGAGGATGGAAACAGAGTTTGGAATGATGTGGCCACAAGCTAAGGAATGTCAGCAATCGTTATAATCCAAAAAAGGTAGGGAATGTATTTCTCCCTGGGGATTCCAGGAGGAATCAGCACTGTTGATAACTTCACTTTGGGTCAGCGAAGCAGCTTTTGAACTGTAGCCTCTAGAACTGTAAGAAAATACACTTTTGTTGTTTTATGCCTTTCCATTGAGTTTGTGGTAAGTTGTTACAGCTGTCACAGGAAATAAATACACTATGCCAGAAAAGTGTAGGAAAATATAATAGATAGTCCTTATGTAGTTTGAGAAGTTTGCACTCTGTATTCAGGGAAAGTTTAAGATGTAAGGAATGAGCTTCCTAGCTATCAGATAATTCAGAGAGATACCAATACTGTCTGTGGAATACGCAACAAACTTCCTGTATCTAATGAGCCAGCAGACTCCTTTCCTCATTAAAAAAGAGTTGTGGAATTCTTTCCCAGTTTTATCCAAAGGTTAAAAATCCTTTAGGGTAAACAGAAGATCAAATAAAGCTAAATTTTCCAGTAAATGGCCCTTAAAAAAAGTAATAGAGGACACTTTTCTAGTCTTTTAGGTCAAACAAAATTTTATATTCCCTTTTGCTACTATATATGCAGTAATGTATTTTTCCACTTGCCAAGATGGTGTTAAATTAGGCAAAACTGATCTTATGACTGAAAAAGCAAAATGTTTGTGAATCCATACTTAAATAACAATTGAATTGCAAATATTGAGTCAAAATGATTCTTACATTTAGCATTGGTAACCTAAAATATTGGTTACTTGCTGTTTACAAGTAGCATTTATATTGCTGTAAATGTAATGCAGCATTTACATTGTTGGCTTAATAGATCGTTAGTGGTTTAAGAAGCTGAAGAACAGATGAGAAATATAAAAAATTTTAAGAAACAGAAATAAATGAAGGTAAAGCCTTTAAAAAATGATAGCACAAATGGGTGGAAAGAGGAATTTTCATGCTTAAATTCAGGGAAACATGGTATACATGTAATGAAATACAACTGTAGTAAAAGTTAAACATTTTTAAATGGAACTGTCAGGACTGTGCCCTACTGAGTTATGCATTACTGTCTTGCTGACTACCATTTAAATGTATTTATTAGCATGTACCTTGGAAAATTGTTCTCTCTCAGTACATCAGTATCTTAAATAAAACTGGAGCTAATAGCATGTACTTTGCAGGACTTTCCTGCAGATGCAATGAGATAATAAATATGAAAATACCTAGAAAAGTGCAATGGACATAGTAGATGCAAATTAAATCTTTTCTTTCTAATTTTCTAATGCTCCACTTTAGGGAATTCCGGTCACCAATTAGACTAAAAAATATTATTTGCAATTTACTTTGATGTTGTAAACACATAGTCCTACAATAATCATTGTGTCCTTTAAAAGTAAATGCTAAAAATGAACAATTCTACCTTGTGTAGTTAAGAAAAATGACTTGCTTGACAACAGGCTACTAATGACTCCTCTTGTATAACTCAAATCCTTCAGTGTCATATATCATTAGCTAGTTCCTGGAAGCCGTATATGTATTGCTAGCAATAAAGGCTCAATGCTCAAATTCCCTGGACTCTAATCCTGTTTCTGATGCTCAGTTTGACTACCACGTGTTTCTGTAACTTAATTTCCACCTCTTCAAAATAAAGCTAATAGTAGTATTTGCTCCACAGGTGGCTATGAGAATTAAATAGGTAGCTGTGAGAATTAATAGTAGTATTTGCTCCATAGGTGGCTGTATTTATTAAATTAAATAAATACTACTAATAGTAGTATTTGCTCAATAGGTGGGTGTGAGAGTTGGTCAAGCACAGCATAGGAAATATAGTTTTGTGTAGCTGATGTTTTGATGTTAACCTTTATCATTATCATCAGCCTATAATATTTGTTAGTATTATTATTTTTTATTGTCATTGGATCTCATCTAAAACTTACTGCATTTTGTATGTGTACATCAAAAGCAAGAAGAAAGAAAAAATAAAGAAGGAAGGAAGCAAGAAAGGAAGGGATGGAGGGAGGGAAGAAGGAAGGGAGAGGAAGAAGGAAGGAGGGAGGGAGGAAAAATGGAAGGAAAGAGAGAGGAAAGAAGGAAGAAAGGAAGGAAGGAAGGAAAAAGGAAGGAAAGAACATGCCAGAATAGGCTGTTTTAGGCTAGGTAACTTGCTATGATGTGTATAAATTATATGTTGATCTTAGAAATTAAATTTGGAGGAATTGAATAAGTTGAAGGCATTTACCACCATTTATATGGGAAATAAGGATCCCAGAGAGGGCATACTCCATAAAGGTACACACCATTAAAGTTAGTCCAGCTAGAGAGAAAGGCTGGGTGGGGCTGTGGCAGAGAGGAAATACTTTTATTTGAAGTTTAGATTTGTCATTCTAGAATTGAAGATTATGGTCACCAAGTAATTGATAACTTCCAAGTGGCTTCTAGATTAGCCAAAACCTGAATAAATAAAAATAGAGATAATATGAAAGACAATGAAAAGTCTTTGAACTATAACTTATGTGGGTCTTCTGGCAAGTTTCTTGACCTATTTGAATTTTCTTATCTGTAACAATGGGGATGATAGTATCTTTTCATACGTGCATTGGGAGATTATTGATCATGTAGTGGTATGCCCGGTACATTGAAGATGATCAATATGGTGGAATAGTTATTGGAATATGAGCAGTTGCTTGTAAGAAGAACAAGTTCCCAGTGAGTAGGTGGAATAACTGAATTAATTAGTTACATACATATAAGAGAGAAACAAGTTCAAAGTAATAACAATTTTCTCTATGCAAGGATCCACGGGAGGGAAGGGGGGAGGACTTAAGTTTCATTCAAGAGGAAAAAATATTGTGCTGTCCGTTGTACAGAACTAAAATTTATGTAACCCCTTTGTGCTTAATCTTGTGGGGCAGGCTGGGCATTGTAACTTGTTCTGTTCAATGGTAATTTAGAAGACATATGCAGGGCTGATGAGCAATTAATTTTCCTTGCTATTTTCTCTCTGCCTCTACTGGCATTATTCCTGATAGTGAAGATCCTCTATGCCTGGGTCCCAGAATGAGAATGATTTGGGAGCTGAAACAATGAATGTGTAGTAGGGGTGATAAGTAGACCATTCCAATTTTAAGCATCTGGAATTTTGAAGTTGTTGGTTGCTAAGGCAAAATGTAGTCTATTTGGGCTAAATAATTCTCTTTTTAACTGTTAGAAAATACAGGTGCATATTTAATGTTTAAGTAGTAGGACACATGCAATCAGATTCTTGAAAGGATCTATCTTGCCTGCGTTTTTCAGATACTCTTTATTTTCTTTCTTTTCATTATATTTGTTTAGTGAAACTAACAGTCCTTAACTTCATTGAAGATAATGAAGAACCAAAAGATACTCTTTTCTATATAATTTGAAGACAGTTTACTTATAAATAACCATGAAAACTTGTCTTCCTATTCAAGGACATATTATTGGCATAGAAATCAAGAATCGCTGGCAGTGAAAATTTTCTAGTGAAGAAACAATTACAATCTCTTAGAATTTGATCAAGTAAAATGGTACAGGTTAAAACAGCACCTGAACTATAAACACAATGGTCCATCAGCCTAAGAACAATTCTTCAACCTAAAGATAAAATTTCTGTAAAACGCTGTCAGGGCAAGACACTGAAAAGACAATTCAGCATGTTCTTCTAAGAAATGGAGATTGCCAACCCACAAAATCAGAACAAGCTGGTTGGAAACTGCTGTGCATGAAGGAAATAGGTTGGAAACTATGAGACACATAATTCAGGGATCTGAAGCTGTTGGATATAGAACCTATAGTTTGATTACCATAGGAGAAATAGCTCAAGGGATAGCAGGTCCTGGACACAAAATTCAGTGATTGACAGCGACAAAAAATAAAGCTCGGTGATTGACAGCCATAAGAGACATGGTTTTGGGGGTGGCAACTACTGAAAAAAAAGCCTTGAGATCTGTTATGCATTGAGGATTGGCAGGAACTTGAGAAATAAGGATTGATATAAAAACAGCTAGTTGAGTGGCAAGGTCTGGAGACACAGTAAGTAGTAGAAAGCAGCAAGAAATTTTACAAATTGCATGCACACAACTGGATGAATGGTAGCTGGAAGGTTTACCACATGTCTCTGGGGAGTTTTCTAGAAGTCAAATTCAGCGTTGGTTGGACAAGCACAGAGCATGGTCCCAGTTTACACAAGTAGGCCAGAGTGCAGTGGATGAGGTGACAAGAACATGGCAGTAACTCCCAAGACAACAGAAGTTGTAGTTTCCATAATAGCAGATGCTGGCTGACATGACAGAGTCTGAAGTAAGGCTTTCATTCAGATAAGTAACAAAGAATAGCTTATCTAAGTCTACATCAAACTAGACCAGGTTGCTTCTACACCTTGATAGCTATATACTCAGACTCTCTGCCTCCCCATATTTTAGATTAATTTGCATCATAATATCTCATGAACTTAGTGTTGTGTTGCCTATGAAGATAACTTTCTTCCCATTCATAAAATAATTTTGGTTTTAATCTTCTATATATCTACAGTTGTAATCTTTCTCCTGTTTATCAGGTTTCAGAATGTGTGTGATGTAATCACTTGTGTATTTTATCTGCTTTGCTTCTGCTTCCACTCCTAAATAATGCTTAATTAAAAGGAGTCCATTTGAATGGATGTTTATCCTATTCATTATCTACAAGGAACCCCACAGTTAGGAAGGCATAGTCCTCATCCTGGAAGAAGAGATACAATGTTGCAATGCTTAGAGGAGGTGTTGATGTCCTAAAATAGTTTCCATATATCAAAGTTTCTTGGATTTTCCAGACAAAATATCTCATGCTATTCGCTGTTTTTCATACTTAGCTGAGAATCTAATTATGTGATGTTGCTATCTGTATATTGTCTTGAGAGTCAATTTTATATAAGCATGTTAGGGTACATTTTAAAGAGCTCAGCTTTGACAACTTAATATTTTTCATACTTAAAAGTTGTGTTTGATTTCCAAACACTTGAGAAAAGACATATAATAGTTTTACATGGTAACATTGATGACATATGTGCTTTTATACTAGTGCAAATGTCTTACATGTACCTGTGGTCTTCAAATAAGAGGATAAACATGATATCAATAGTCATCAGCTTGTGTACTAGCTTTCCAGAATTAATGGATGTCTTCATCTGAAGCAATTTTTCAGGAGGACCAATTTGGTCTTCATGCAATGAGCTAAACAAGGATTATGCAAAACTATAATATCACATAAAAAAGATGTCCGAAGCCTGCTTACTTGAATACTATGGAAGGAACAACAATATTTTGGATTCTTCCCTAAAGATGCAAGTTAATGTTTACAGGCATCTATTTTCTGGAGTCTCTTGTCTTCCCAAACCAACACATTCCATTCTCAATCATCTTCTCACTTATCAGCAGTGACGGAGTTGTTCATGAGCAGAGGACACTAAAGATTCCAAGTAGCCACTTGGCATCTTAGAGTATCATTGATGATCCTTCTGTTGAATACTTTCCTATTGTACAATAGTCCTGTTGTTCCTGCATTGTTCATTGAAGATTCTGGAAGACTGATTATTATTTTAATTTTGCGGAAAAGATATTGAAATATCTTTTTAATTGGAAGCTTTTACGGAGCATTCAGAAAACTGCAGATATCTCATCACCCATGCAAACATGCACAAAGGAAGAAAAGAAAACAGAGAGAGACAGAGAAAACACACTTATGATATATTTTGACATTTATTTACATAAACATGACATTTGGTACAGATGTAGTATAAGGTTCTTCCTCTGAATTTCACATTTTTTGTTTCAGACAGTGAAAGGAAAAATGTTTGACATTTCACATGGGGAATTTTCACAGTCGATTGCTACATTCTTGTTAAAGAAAGCCTCAGATCACATCAATGTAAAAGAGGACTGTTAGGGATAAAAAGGAACAGAAGAGATTGGAATCATCAAGGATTGAGATAAGTTTGAGAATCTGTCTGACATTTTTCCATCTTCTCTGAGAACCTTAAGCACTCCAGATAAGTGAAATCTTTCAAATCCTTATATGCTTCCAAAGAAGAGTCCTCCAAAGTGAAATATTTTAGTTGAGGTGTGTGCACCTCCCCTAAATGCCTCATAATTTAGTTGAAGTTTATGTTCACTTCTTATATTCTTTGTAAAATTTGAAAACAAGTGGTAACCAACTAGTCTATAAAATATTTTCCTCAGCATATTGGCATGTTACATGAGCGTTCCAAAACCAAAATTAAGGTTTTTCTTTTTAAACCATAGTGAAAACAGATTTGATCTCAATAGAACGGCTATTGAAATATATCTGGTAACTGGAAAGTCATTAGGGCCACAGTTATCAAACTAAATATAATCCCATCATTTATCATCAGTAATTAAAATTTAAGTTAGATGTGGGGCATGTAAATGAGAGAAACCTGGTATCATCAAACAATGTATTGCATCTTGATGACAAATGCCAGAGAAGCCCTATACATATACCAACCTGATGCGTGTCCTGATTTATTATTTCTAATTCCATTTATAATTTCTTCAAATGCCTGTAGAGACTAATGGTTCTTTAAGTTTAAAACATCTCCATGTAGCTACCTGGTTTAATAGCCTGAGATCAAAAAAGCTACTGAGAAGTTATATATTTTGTTTGAAATGACTGGTGGAGGATATGATGAAATTAACATAAAGTAATAAAAATAGCATTTAAGAGTTCACATTTTCACCTTGGGAGGCTGAGGAGGGCCGATCACCTGAGGTCAGGAGTTTGAGACCAGCCTGACCAACATGGAGAAACCTCTTCTCTACTAAAAATATAAAATTAGCCGGGTGTGGTGGCACATGCCTGTAATCCCAGCTCCTCAGGAGGCTGAGGCAGGAGAATTGTTTGAACCCGGGAGATGGAGGTTGCGGTGAGCCGAGATTGCGCCATTGCACTCCAGCCAGGGCAACAAGAGCAAAATTCTGTCTCAAAAAAATAAAAAAAAAAGAGTTTACATTTTCATTCTCACATACTAATTAACATGCTAAATCTTATTTAGAGTTTATAAGTCTAATACATACTCCGTATTTTCATTGGAGTTCTTTGTGAAATACAGATTTTAATGACTCCTAATTGCCTATATAATAAAGTACACACTCCTGAACGAGGTTCAGAAAATCTTCAATATCTGGGATCAACATGTATTTTCAACTTCTCTTCGTGATCCTATTCCAAAACCCCCATATTTCCATTTCAATTTAATGTTCAAATTTCATAAAACCCTGCTTTTTAGTCACAGAAACTCTGCATAAGCTACACCCTTCTGGAATATCCTTCTCTATTGTGCCTCTGCAAATTACTTTACATTTTTAAAAGCAGGTTACAAATGGCTCTCAGAGACATTTTCTGCATCTCTTTACCCATATCCATGCATTATGCCTTAAACATTGCATTTTATTTTCTCCTGTCACTATAGAGGTTGGAAAAAACGTTCATATTGGCCTAATTTTCCTGGTTGTGTGTAAAGATAGGGGGAGGGATCACTTTGTCAATTCCTCACTCATCCTTTCTTAGAGATACTCCGACTTAATAGAGTATGGGTCCCAACATAATGATTTATAATTATTTTGTTCTTGTCAAACGTATATCATCTTGGCCCAGGACGAATACTGCTCATTCAAGAATTTAATAGCGCTATTCAGTACATCATCATATTTGAAACATCACACACTTTCAATGCATGCAATAGGCAAATAATACCAACCAAGAACCATATCAAGAAGAGGAGTGCTCCCACTTCTTTCCTTTCCTTCTTCCTTTTGTCTATAGAACTTTATTCAAAAACTAATTAATGCAATTACACAGGATATTGAACCTGTTTGCTTAGGTTCAATATCTATGAGATAAAGATATTTTATAGACTATCCCTCTAGTCTCTAAGACTTTGACCTCCTTGTGGCCACAGATATGTCTTATTCGTATCAATTTTACTAGTTGCCAGTTCCTTGAACAACGTAAACAGTCAATAAATGTTTTTGAATGTTAGATGAGTGAAATAAACTTTTTTTTACACTGAGATCAGATTTTTAAAAATCCAAGCCACTTATTTGACATTGTTCCTTTGATTTTCTTTTTTTTCTTTATTAGCCACTCGAATTTAATATCTAGAGTCAAATTTTTGATTCTGGTCCTAAAAATTTCGTCTCCTATATTTCCTTATCTTAGTAAGTTTAAATTAATCTACTCGATTTCTCAAGCCAGAAATCAGAGTATCAAACATGATTCTTTTATTTCTCTTATTTCCCACTTACAAACAATAAGCAAGTACTGTTTCTTTCTTCTAAGTATATCTCAAATGTATCTGCTTCTTTCCATATACGTGATCTCATCGTAAATCCTCCAAGCCTTCCTCATTCTCACAACTATACATCTTACTGATCTGCTTCACTCTATCCTTCTACTCTATTTCTCTTCTAAATTTCTTCCTCTCATTAAGTAAATTCAAGTTTCTGACCTATTTCATTTTCCTTTGTTCCAAAGAATTTCTTTTAACATTTCTTCCAAGGCAGTTCTCCTGGCAACAAATTCCCACAATTTCTATTTTTCTGAAGGATAAGTTCACTGGATACAGAATTGTAGGTTAGTTGTTTATTATTATTATTATTTATTTCCATAGGATTTTGGGGGACAGGTAGTATGTGGTTACATGAGTAAGTTCTTTAGTGGTGATTTGTGAGATTTTGGTACACCCATCACCCAAGCAGTATAAATTGAACCCAATTTGTAGTTTTTTATTAAAAAAAACTTTCAATATTCTGCTTCACTTTTTGCTTGCTTGTATGATGTCTGATGAGAAGTCTAATGTGATTCTCATTCTTGCTTTTCTATAGGAATGATGTTTTTCTTCCCTTTAGTCTCTTTCAAGAATTTCTCTTTGCTTTGCTTTTCTGTAGGTTGACCATGATACACCTAGCTGAAGGTATTTTGGTATTTATCTTGACTGGTGTTTTCTGAACTTCCTAGATCTATGTTTTTAAGTGCCTATTATTAATTTTTTGAAATTCTCAGTCATTATTGCCTCACATAGTTCCTCTGTTACTTTATTTTTTCTTCTGATATTCTCATTATGTATACATTACACATTTTTTTGTAATTATTTTACAAAGTTGACCTCCAAGCTTTTTAAATGCTGCACCAGAAACTGACACAGAAACTGGAAGTCCAGAATTTTTTTTTTCTTTTTTTTTGAGATGGAATCTCACTGTTACCCAGGCTGGAGTGCAGTGGTGCAATCTCGACTCACTACAACCTCCATCTCCCTGGTTCAAGCGATTCTCCTGCCTCAGCCTCCTAAGTAGCTGGGATTACAGGTGCCTACCACCACCCTCACCTCATTTTTGTATTTTTAGTAGAGATGGGGTTTCATTATGTTGGCCAGGCTAGTCTCGATCTCCTTACCTCAGGTATCTACCCACCTCGGCCTCACAAAGTGCTGGGATTACTACCACGCCCAGCCTACTATTCTATGTAGTAGAATTTTTTTTAAACATCTATTTTTTTAAACATCTCTGTAATTTACTTCATGTAGCTATAGAACTGAAAAAAATAATTGCTATGATCATTGATTTAGGTGCCCTAAACAGGGACAAAGTAGTCTGAACATTGTAGGGAGTGACTACACCTTCCCAAGACAGAGGCTCCAAAAAAATGGAAAGGCATTTCACAGTTGAAAATATGCCTCTTATATTTATATTATCTAATCACATTTTCCTATATTGGATTATATTTTATATTCATGAATGGAAGGAATCATTTCAAGTTGGACGTATGATAAAATTAGTCACATATTTCTTGTGTTTGTAGAACATTTTTACTGTTTCTATTAGCTGTGAACCATTCAATTATGTTGAATTTTAATCTTCAGTATTGTTACAATATGATGTTTTTTCTGCTTTTTTGGTCTCTTTGGAGACTAGCAACATAATCAAAATTCACTGGTATATCAAACTGTATCAGAGAAGTAACATTAGTATTCAGTTACGTATCATGAGAAAAATAATATTGTTTTGAATTCAAATTTGAACTCTCTCACTTACTAGTAATGAAATTTGGGCATGAGATTTAATCTCACTAAGGCTGTTTCTTCATCAGTGAGACAGAACTAATGTTAACAATCTAGCAAGTTGTAAGAAAAATTATGTTTAATATTTATAAAAAGCCTGGAACCAGATATGTGAAAAAATTATACATTTTTTCTTCCATTATTTTTTCTTCAGGGACTGGTGTAACAGCAGAACTGAAATATTTGAAAATCAAATAAATGATTGTAAAATAAGGCATATGTTCTAGAACAGGTGAATGTGGTTTTGAATCTCAACTGTGCCCTAAAACTTTATGTATGTATGTATATATGTGTATGTGTATGCGTGTGTATCTCTATTTATCTATATTTTAGTTTATTCTTGGTTTATTCTGAACCTGTCTTCTCGTTTGTAAAAACATAATAGTTTTGGTACAGGAGAGTGGTTATGAGGATTAATGTGGTCATATATAAGATGTGCCAGGCACATAGTAGTTATTCTCCATGTTCCCCATCCAATAGTAAACACTTCTGTCAGAACCGATCAAAATCAAGCCATGGTACCCATTTATGAGCATCAAGTTGATTTGACAAAACAAGTAACTGAGAAACTGGAATTTGAAAAATAGCAATTTTAGGAAAGACGGCTATAGTTCTGTAGTTAAAATGCACATTGGAAGTATTGGAACGGTGTGGTACAATAAAGCAAGAGCATCAGATGTTTGAATTCTGCAAAACAAAGTTATATTTTTCATAGTTGCATCAGAACTTTATATATAATGTGGTAGTAGATGTAGATGTTCTTTTTTTGTTTTTTCCCTCAATTCTGTCTCAAATTAGTCCCTGTTACAGAAAGCTTTAGATGTTCTACCAAGTCTATGCTCTCCTCTTCTTTCTGGACACATGATTGCATTTTATATGTAACAGCCTCTTTTGAGGTTAGGAAAGGCCAAGCTGCTGAGTTCTATGCTAAACTGCAATGGAGTGCAACCTCTGGGGCAATGCTGACAGTCACATCATAGTCAAGTCTCTGTCAACTAATCCCTGACTGCATGGAGGGCTTCTCTGTTGATTTTGTTCCTGCTTACTCTAAATTTACTATTACTCGAAGGATACTGATTTCAAATTCCATGTAGCCATATAGTGCTTGAACACTTTGACAGTCACTAAGTCATATTGCTCTATGTACTTTGATTTTTTTCATAGGTCCTTTAATAAATTATCTTCTCTACCTCTGGAAACATTCAATAGTCTCCATAATTAATTCAGAGTCTAAAAGTCATCCATATTACATAAAGTGATTGACATATCTTAAGGGAATAACTAGACAAAAAATAAGGTACATGTAAATGATAACATATGAAAAAGTATGATTTGTATGCCAAGATATGATTTATTAGAAATAAAATAGATGAAAATAGTTTTACCCAAATTGAAAAACATCAAGCTTTAAAATACTATACATAATGTGTGTGTGCATGTGTGTGTGTGTGTGTGTGTGTTTGTGTGTGTGTGTGTGCGTGTGTGTGTGTATGATAAGAAATCCGGAAGCAAAGAAAAGTTGTTAAGAATATTTGGTATAGAATTGGAAGAGATAACGTATCTCATGTAGAATAAGAAGCACTGATGAATGATCTATCAAAGCCAGTAAGCATGAGTTTTTGTTCCAGCTATTCATGATAATTTTCTTTCATAAGTATACTGCCAGTTGCTCAAGGAAAATAAATATGGCTGAAAGTTGCTCTATGTATAGCTTATGGGTCTCTAGCAGTCAGACTCGTAGCTAAGAGGTTGGCATCCATAGAACAGATTTCTTAGGGGTTGATGATCATAGGTCAGGTAGCTCAGTGGCTGACGGCCATAGGGAAGGGAGTTCAGTTGTTGACAGCTATCAGATTGGTAACTTGGAAGATGGCAGTTGAAAGGCTGTCTACAGGATTCTGAATAATAAGAACTGGAACTATGGGATGAGATAGGAAGACAGCTAGTTCCTTGATGGGATATGGACTCATCGGAAACAATCGAAGAGTAGACAGAAGGGCCGCAGGCACCACACCCTCACCACATGACTTGTGACAGTTGTCATGGCACGTGAGCTCCACAGCTCACCTTAGTTATGCAGAGAGCACTGGGTGAGGTGACAGGAACCTGGTGGGGATTCCAAAGGGAGTGAGAGCTGTAGTTTTCAAAGCAGAAATTGCCGTTAAGACATAGTGGAGACAGAAGATCAAGCCTTGATTAAATTGCAGAGAGCAGGTTGCTGAAGTGTAGTTGTTGTCTATGTGACCTATCGTTTCTATATACCCTGAATGCTGGGTGTTGGTTTCCTCTATAGCCAATATATAGGCTATAGAGGAAATCATTTGTATGACATCTTACTAGAATTTTACTTAATCGCCTACCAAGCAGTCCTCCCACCACCGTATAAAATATATATTATCAATATCACATCCTTCAAATAACTGTCATTCCAAAGTCAATCTGGTCTTCCTTGCTTAATCTTTCTTACAGTATAGGTAAACTGCTTCTTTAGAAATCATGTTCCTTTGTCAGTCTTGACAATTCCTTGAACTCACTGCTAAAAAGCCACAGATGGATCTCCATAATTGGAGAGAATTTCTTTATGGCCACTTTTTTTTTCCCACAGAACCAAACTATCTATATATTAACATTTAAAAGTATTAGTGAGATATTTTTAGAAGAGCTAAATAATGAAAATTCTTAATTTGGAAACTGAACCTTATTTTGCATTCTTCTGAGACATAACCTAGATCCAAAACCTAATTCATCTCTGGAAAATTTGACATCATTTTCAAGTGTGTCTTTCCAATGAAGAATGTTGGCCTCAAAAGCTTTGACAAGCTTTGCTAAGATCCACACCCAATGAGCATATAAGTCACTGTTCTATATTTTGTGAGCAAGAAACTGAAGGTGTTAGCACACATGTTTTGATAGGTGCTGTGTAAGAAAGAGGCCATCTTGCCTTGGATGCTTGCTAGGTAAATCTCAGCATGATATTGCAAATATGAAGAGAATGCTTATGTTTGTAACCTGTTTCTATATTACTATTTTCCAAGGAATATATTCCTGTACATAAAAGATTTTGAAATAATTCATGTTTTTCTAATTAGTTTGCTAAGAGAGGCCGTTTAATTTACAATGAAGTTTTTTTTCCAAAGGTACACTTTTTGGTTGATTATTTGGATTCAGAATGTATTTATACATGGAAAGGAAGTGAAAATTCCTAGACTAGTCTTCCCCAGAGAAACATATTTTTAGCCTAGTAACATAAATGAACTCTACAACTCAATTTTGACCACATTAGGATAAATGGATCTTACTACTTCCTTGAGGGGTTTCATTTGAAGGGACTACTTAGATTATGGCACCTCTGAAAATCTGCTTTTGGTAGTACACATTGCGGTGGGAAAATAGTAGATCTTATCTAGAACAGCATTCCTCCTCCTAGTTCTCAGTGTGAGAGTCATCTTTTTCAATGGTGAAGGAACAAGAGCTGACATTTATGGTTCAAGCAAATGTAGCCAGAACTCATGATTTGGAGTGCCAAATCTAGTTATAAAGCTCTCAACATAAATTTCCTATGTTTCATTTTTCTTGACTATAAAGTGAAATAAAATGGGCACATTAAACACCATTTCACCAGTATCTTTAATGATTTAATTTTTTAAATGTATATGAAAGGCTCTGAGCATTATCCACTTAGCATACCCTGGATGAAGCGGCTTATGCAAATTAGTCTGACTGAGACATGAGGCACAGCGTATTAGTCAGGGTTCTCTAGAGGGACAGAACTAATAGGATAGATGTATATATGAAAGGGAGTTTAGTAAGGAGAATTGACTCACAGGATTGCAAGGTGAAGTCCCACGATAGGCCGTCTGCAAGCTGAGGAGCAAAGAAGCCAAATAGTGGCTCAGTCCGAGTCCCAAAACCTCAAAAGTAGGGAAGCCGACAGTACAGCCTTCAGTCTGTAGCCAAAGGCCCGCGAGCTCCTGGCACACCACTGGTGTAAGTCCAAGAGTCTAAAAGCTGAAGAACTTGGAGTCTGATGTTCGAGAGCAGGAAGCATCCAGCGTGTGAGGAAGTTGAAGGCCGGGAGACTCAGCAAGTCTGCTCATTCCACCTTCTTCTGCCTGCTATTTCTAGCAGTGCTGGCAGCAAATTGGATGGTGCCCATCCAGATTGAGGGTGGGTCTGCCCCTCCTCGTCCATTGACTCAAATGTGAATCTCCTCTGGCAACACCCAGAAACACCCAGATACACCCAGAGGCAATAACTTTCATCCTTCAATCCAATCAAGTTGACATTTACTATTAGCCATCACACACAGCAATCATGGCCAACATAGAATTGACTGAGCTGGTTTTCTAGATTGCTGTCACATGCTGCCTTTTTCAACTCAGCTTGTGGAAAAGGGCAAACCTTCCCCCACAGAGGAGAGACATTTCTTAGTTGAGGGTACATGAGTAGCTGAACTTTCTTGCTCAAAGCCTTTAAATCTCTCATGGCTCATTTATGCAAATTCAGTAATTAGATAAAGTCTTTTCCCTATTTGAGACAACAGGAAACTTCCACACTAGTGTTGAGTATATATCAGTTCCTGTGTATGCATATTCAACAGTCATATTTATATGAATCCCAATGATATTGGTAGCACTATAAATACCTTTTATGATCTTTGGATAAATTGGAAATCAAGTAAGTCAGGTTGTAATTATTTTTGTTGAGTGTCTTATAACTAGCAACATACTTCACCATCCTTGCCTTGAAGAGTGGAACATTTATTTTTAAAGTTTGGCCAACTGACCATTAAATTTAAAAAATGGATACCAGAGGCAACATATCTTTCCTAATCCTGCAAAGAGATGTTCTCTAATGATTTAGGACCCTCAAACCAATTAAGTTCTCACATACCCACAAAAGTTCAAGTGTCTTCATGATTCACGAGGACTTATCCTTTATATTTATCAATAGCCAACAATTGAATTGTGCTATTGTGTGAGTGGATTGATTAGCCATGGTTAGATCCCCATCATCAGATACCCATGACATAACTAACTGGGCATTACTGTACATAAGGCCTGTTTTTCCTTTTTTTGATTCAGTTAGTATACAAGTCTATATTTAGTGAAGTATATAATGCTGATTTACCTCCAATATACTATATTTTCAAGTACATGTATGGACAAAAATGCCACAAGCGTCAAAAGAATGGAAATGTTACTATCTTTCCCCTGAGGCTATAAAAACATAAAAACAAACAAACAAACAAAAACAACCGAATTATTTGTAGCTCCAACTGCCTTCTAAACCTCGGTCTACTTACAAGGAGGTTGATTTGTTATTTTGGGAACATGGGTTGGTGCAGATGTCTAAGTTTGGAAGTAAGATTTAGAGAGTGCTGAACTTTTTTACATTCGAGAATGAGAAGATTTTGGAGCTCCCAGAATTAATCCGAATGTGAGATAACTGGAGACAAAAGAACACAGGGGCTGAAAGAGTTATGCTATATGCACTGTTATATGGCCCCACTATTTGAATAATCTTTAGAGTAACATTATTGATTCATTTCTTTTGGAAAATAGTAAAGGGCTATGTACAGCTTCTGGGTGGATGATGAGATAACTAACCAGAATAGAATCAGTTAACACTGGGCCATAATACCCAGGGAATTAGTAGAAATGGCAAGATGGCATAGGATTTCACAGATCATGGAAATGGTAGGGATCAGAGTCAATTATAGCCAAGGATGAAAGGAGGACACAATTCTGCCTCATTTTCTAGCCCTATCTGTATTTCATATCATGAAATTATAAAGCTAGGGGAGATCACAGTAAATCACTTGGTTTTCTCATTTTATTTAGAATTTGTTTCTCTTTATGTCATTAGGATAGTTTCTGTTTCTGCATTTTGAAATTTATTAATATTCTCTTCTGCAGTGTCTAACCTTCTGTTAAAGCCATTTATTGTATTTTCCACCTCACTCATTTTAGTTTTTATCTCTGTAATTGTGATTTGAGTCTTTGTTTATATCTTCCATTTCTCTAACATGAACAAAATTTTCTCTAGCTTCTTAAATATATAAATACAGTTATATTAATTGTTTGAATGTCCTTTCCTAACAATTCTATCATCTGCATAATTTCTGATTAGTTGTGGTTGATTTATTTTCTCCCTATTATAGGTCTTATTTCTCTGTTTATTTTCCCGCTTGTTAACTTTTGATTGAATGCCAGATATTATGATTTAACATTTTGTGTGTGTTGTATATTTTTGTATTCTTATAAAAACTCCTGTGATTTGTTCTGGAACACAGATAATTTACTCAGAAACAGCTTGATCCTTTTGAGTCTTGCTTGTAAGCATCATTAGGTAGAACTAAAGCAGCATTTAATATAGGATAATTTTAGCCCCAGGACTGAAAGAAAACCCTTCCTAGTTTTATACCAGTTTTCTACTCTGTCTGTTGAGAATATAAACTATTCTCAGCCATCTTTGGGCTCCAATTATCTCTCTTCTAATTCTTTTGGGTGTCCCTACACTAAGCTTCATGCAGTGTACTGATGGTTATGACTCAGTGAAGGCTTTGATGTATCCTCTGTAGATCCCTGCAACCCTCTTTCTATTCAGTTCTCACAACTGTCTTTCATGGAATACCGTGATTTATTTGCCTATTATCCAAAGTCCTGAAAACCCATGTTTTAGATATTTATCTAGTTACAGTATTACTTCAGATGGAAGAATAATCTTGTCTCTGCAACTCCATCTTGTCTGGAAGCAAGTCCAAATCATCTCGTTTGAATCTCTGTTTTCGTACAGATAAATATCCAATAAATAAAGAAAATCAATTTACCATAGTTTTTGAAAATAATTAAATACAGACTGCGTATTTTGTAGAGTCATAGAGATAGTTTTTCTTACTCTAAAGATCTTGTTTGTGTTCAACAATCAACATTCCTATTTTATGTTAATCCACTGTCTTCACTTATGGTTGTTTTGAGTATGAAGATCAGTTTCTTAGGATAGCTTTCAAGCAAAAGAAATAAGTTATGCTTCACTTTAGGCCAACAAGCCCCACTTCTTTATTCTCATATATATATAAAAGTTCTCAAGAAATTTCTTTGTTTTTTTTAATTGTCGTTATTGTTGTTGTTTTAGAAAAATAGGGAGCAATGTTCTACCAAGAGACTCTCAAAGGATGACTCTGGAAAGGAAAGTAATATCTCAGCTATCAAATATTTAATTCCCTACTAACGCAATCAAAAATGATATTGTCATTGCATAATTCTTCATATATATTGCATGGTCAGCTATGTCTTGGATGTAGCTTTTTCTCTTCTTTTTCATAAATATTTTTATTCAATGATATGTCAAACATGATATCATAATAATTACCAAAGTGGATAAAGCATTATGAAATATAAGTTTACTATGAAGAATATTTTGATGAGTCTTTAAGCAACACCTTCCTAAGGCCAAAGGCTCAATGAATCTGCAAGGGTTTGTGATGTCTAAAACATTATCTCCTCACACGGAATATATACACATATATATATTCCTCACAAGAAATATACAGGATGAAACTAGAGATCTTCTTCTAGAAAAAAGGAGTGTTCAACAACAAAATGAAACAAAAGTATGAGGTTTGTTAAAAAGACACAAGAGCCAACTAATGTAGCTCTTAATGGTCAAAGCTGGAAAAATTTGAGCAAAAAAACCACAGGTAATATTAGATTATAACCTAATGTATTGTATTTATGCATTTATACTGATATAAATAAATAATTGTATAAACAGAAAGTAGAAGAGAATAAGCGAATATTCGAATGCAGAAGGACTCCAAGTAATATACACAGATACTCCTTAAGGAGGTAAAGAATGATTCCCACTTAATATGAACTGCACACAGTGGATTTCTTCCAAAAAATACAGTATGAAAAGGGGGGGAAAATGAGTAACTTCACAGCGGAATCTTGATGAACACTACTGCAGCAAAGTGATCGAGGTTAACACCAATAGTGATTAGTCATGTTGATGGCATATGCTCTTGATGTGGAATTTTACCTCGCTGGTCTTTCTCCTGCAAACCTAGAATTCTATTCTAATCCTGAGAAAGATATCGGCCAAATCTACATTGGGAACAATCTGTAAAATTCCTGACTGACACTCTTTAAAAATGTCAAGGGCATCAAACACAAGGAATATCTGAGGAACTATCACAGACAAAAATAGCCTAAAGAGACATGACAATTAAACGTAATGTACTATCTCAAGTGGGATCCTAGAACATAAAAAAGACATTAGTTAAAAACTAAAGAAGTGTGAATGAAGTATGGACGTTAGTTCATAATAATAAATCAACATTGGTTCATTAATTGTGACAAATATGAATACCAATGCATGCTGTCATTAATAGGAGAAACCAGGTGCAGGATATATGGAACTAGGTATTATCTTCATGACTTTTCTGCAAATATAAAACAGCTTAAAATAAAGAATTTATTTATAATGCAAACAATAGGTTAAATTCTTTACTAATGAAAAATCAAAGAGATTTGTTTATTTTACATCTTCATCAGCTTATTCCAAAGCTACTGAGGCTTAACTTTTGTCAAATAAGCTAACATTTAATTATAATTCACATTTTGGTACCATTCAGGTACTATTTATAATGCACTTTCTCATATTTCACCTCATTTAATTTTTGTGACAAGTGTCTGAGTCAGGAAGGCAGGTTTGTTTTACTGATGAGAAGATAAATTTAAAATTTTACTCAATTTATCCACGTCACAGAATTATTAACAAGCACAGCTGAGATTATAAGTCAGCTCTTGTGATAGCTTACCTAGCATTTTTTTTTTTTTTTTTTTGAGATGAAGTCTGGCTCTGTCGTCCAGGCTGGAGTGCGGTGGCGCGATCTCAGCTCACTGCAACCTCTGCCTCCCGGGTTCACGCCATTCTCCTGCCTCAGCCTCCCAAGTAGCTGGGACTACAGGCGCCCACCACTACGCCCGGCTAATTTTTTTGTATTTTTAGTAGAGACGGGGTTTCACCATGTTAGCCAGGATGGTCTCGATCTCCTGACTTCGTGATCCGCCCGCCTCGGCCTCCCAAAGTGCTGGGATTACAGGTGTGAGCCACCGCTCTCAGCCCTTACCTAGCATTTCTTTGTATCCCCCTTAAGAAAAACCATGCCATTGTTAAAAAGGAAAATATCTTTTCCTTTGACTATAGTCATAGAGCAAAAAGCATATTACTATGCTGTTTTTTGAATGCTATATAGCACTATTGTAGCCTATAAAACAATGATGATAATATACTTTCCTAAGTGACTTCCTCATGTATAACTTTACTCTCCCTCTGGTAATAAGAACTGGGCAATTGATTGTACCTTTTTTTCTTCTACTTTATTTCTCAGGAAATGAAGTAAAGACAATGGGCTTCATGGTGAGAAACTTTGTTATTACGGTCCTGACATATCACCAGGCAGTATTCAAGGGAAGAAGAATTTAACATTTGTGACAGTTCAGTAGCTCTATTTCTGATGAATGAACAACAGCTGTAAATAGGCCTTTGGTAGGTGTTTTCAAAGTCTTTATGAGTTTTGGAGGCTATTTACTTAAAAAGCACACAATTTTCTAATTGTAACAGGTTATAGAAAACTAATACTTTACCAGAAAATCTAAATAGGCCTATTGTGACATCACTATATACTAAATCACGTGACTAATTTACCAGTAAGAGTAAATAAAGCACTGAGGAAAATTTAACCCCCTGCACACATTGTATACTTCTCTATACATTGCATTTGTATTTTACCTCCTAGAATTCATACATTTTTTAGTAACTGGTACAATACATTAATTTTAGGACACCATCTTGTAAATAATGAGCACAATTTTTCTAGTTGCAGAAGAGTTGATGGAATTTCAACAGATATTAATTAATTATGAGGAATTTGCACATACATTTAATTCGAGAATCACTAACGGCTCTTCCACACCTATATCCCACCATGTTTGCTTAGTAGTTTTATGCTTTTAATCACAGTGGTCACTTGAAAATTCATCAGCAAGATTACACAATTTTAATTACTTTCCATCTTTGAGAGCCATAAAAAGGTAGCATAAACCCTAAGTACAGTCTTAACTGGGACTCTGTGAACCACTGTTGAATGAGGTTTATTCCCTTCTAGACTTAGTCCCATGAAAGTCTCAAAATAAGGATTTGAGTGGGTTTAGTCAGAGTAATTTATAAATGATAAGAAAGCCTTAGGCCTGGCACAGTGGCTCATGCCTATTATTCCAGTGCTTTGGGAGGTAGAGGTTGGAGGATCACTTGAAGCCAGGAGTCTGAGATCAGCCCAGGCAACATAGTGAGATCATGTCTCTTAAAAATTATTAAAAATTAGCAGCACATGGTGGTGCATACCTGCGATTTTAGCTACTAGTCAACGGCTGCCTCAATATTAGGAGGCAGGAGGATCTCTTGAGCCCAGGAGTTTGAGGCAGGAAGATCTCTTGAGTGCAGGAGTTTGAGGTTATAGTGAATTATGATTGTGCCACTGCACTTTTACTCCAGCCTGGGTAACAGACTGAGACCCTGTCTCAAAAAAGAAAAAAAGAAAAAAGAAAAAGATTTAGGAAGAGAAACATCCAGAAGAATCCAGAGTAAATATTACAACGCACTATCTGGCACACTTTTGAAAGTTGATGAACACTTGCTGAGTGAATCAATGAAGAAGTCAGCAAATCACTCAAGTTACATTTATAATTCTTTATCAAGCAGCTAGAGCTCTCTCATTAATTAAAAGCATCATAATTCCACTAGAATTAATAAATAAATATTAACAAAAGTCACATTTTTAGTACCTGAGGAAGCACATTTATTAGGTGTTAAAGCAAGTCTTCTCTCACCTGGTGGAAGACACACAAACAAAACCTGAGGGACTGTGCTGGCCAGGAGAATCTTGAAACAACTGGTACAAAAAGAAAGAGTTTTATTTGGAAGAGTTTTTTAAGAAGTGATATATGGCAAGCTATATTTAGCAAGAAATCTCAATCCTAATATTGATTCTGCTTAGCCAAACTTACTGGAAGGTAAATGCCAGGTCCTCCAGAGAGAGCACAAGCTTTAGAAATCACCAGAAGCATAGCTCAGAGATCTGAAGTTAGCTGACAATAAGGTTAGCGGTTGGCATCTGCTATGCATCTAGTCAATGGCTGGCGACAACAGAAGACATAGGTCAAAGGGAAGCCACTATCAGACATATAGTTCAAGATCTAGTAGATACAAGAGAAGTGGGTCAGTGGATGGAAGCTGTTAATCAGGAATCTTGGTATGTGGTGTGTGTTGGTGGATGCCCTGAACTACAGACACAGGAAGTGGCAGGAACAAAGTGAGTTTCTTGGCAGAGTCTGGACACAGGACAATCAGTAGAAGGGCCGCAATAGATTTGACAGTTGCTGAACGCACATTTGGCTGGCTGGCAGCTGGTGGGTTTGTTACTGTTCTCCTGGCAGTTGTCCAGGACCCAGGTTGGAAACTACTAAGTAAGCAGAGGGCACCTCTTTAGCTCACTCTTCTAGAGCAGAGAAAAACAAATCAGGAAAAAAGAATGTAGCAATAACTCCTCAAAGAGCAGGAGCTCTCATTTCCAAAGCAGCAGTAGCTGAAACACATGAGTTAACAAAGTGAGTTTCAGAAGATGTATAGAAGCTTTTTCAAATGTGCTCATCACCTTCTAAGCAAATTTCTTATATATCCTCACTGCTTTCTGGCAGTTCCGTATACTCACTCACTTCTGTCTTCCTGAGATTCTCTTACCTGATGTCATTCCCTTAATAGTTTGTTCGGATGTCCATGAAAATGCCCTCCAGCTTTCTTGTATAATTTTACTCATAATTTTAAATGTCGCAGCTATTAACCTTCATTCTTTTCATTTTGTCCAGGAAATGTTCAGAATCATAACTAGCTGAGATGGAATTCCTTCTTTAGAATATGGTGCAAGAAAGAGGGGAACATAAGTGCTCTTTTCCACAGGTGGTGGATACAACATGCCAAAGAATAGGTTAGTGGCTTGCAAAACAAAGATGACTTCTCATTCTTGAAGGTTTCACAGTTCTTTTTGTCAGCAAAAAGAGAAAAAATGTATACAATGTGGTGGGCTTTTTATAAACTAAACTCTTCAAAATAAAATATTATCATTTATTCTAAGATTCTATCCAGATTGTATCTCCATATAAATTCACCCATTTAAATAACATACTAGGCCGGGTGTGGTGGCTCACACCTGTAATCCCAGCACTTTGGGAGGCCAAGGTGGGCAGATCACCTGAGGTCAGGAGTTTGAGACCAGCCTGGCCAACATAATGAAACCCCATCCCTACCAAAAACACAAAAATTAGCTGGGCATGGTGGCGGGTGCCTGTAATTCCAGCTACTCGAGAGGCCGAGGCAGGAGAATTGTTTGAACCTGGAAGGCAGATGTTTCAGTGAGCAGAAATTGCACCATTGCATTCCAGCCTGGGCGACAAGAGCGAATCTTTATCTCAAAAACAAAAACAAACAAACAAAAACTAGCATGTAAAATTCAAATTAATTGGAACCCTACCTGAGGTGAATTGGATTCCAAAGTCCTGAGAGATTTTGCAAATGTTTTTATAGACCCTTGTGAGAACTAGAAAATTTACTAAGATTTGTTTGGAGGGTGCTCTTACATCTGGTTTATTCTGATTTAGTTTATTATTTCATTAAACAAAATCTAACCTATTCAAATAACAATATATTTAAAAGATTTTTGATACATGTGTCCAAATCCACACTTGGACTACAGTGATGAGTATCTGGTTCCCCACCTCCTCAACACCACTAAGTATTGTTAGCATATTTATTTTGACTGTTTGATGTGAAAAATAGTGTTTAGTTATTGAGCTAATAAGTATTCATTAGATGACTGGTGAGGCTTTCTATTTTGGTATATTTGTATTGATTATTTAGCTTCCTAGTTGTGGATCTTTATTGTCAGTTTTAATATCACTCAGTAAATGTATCTTTCATTTTAAAAAGAGATATTTTTCTTAAAAAAACAGAAGAAAATGAACATTTTCAGAAAGAGTAGTTTTGATGGATTCTGTATTGTCAAATTAACCTTTGCTTTGAAAAATACGGTGAATTTTTAGAAAAAAAAAAAGCCGATTCCTGGCCTGTCACTTAGAGGCTCATATTTAGAGAGTTGGAATTGGACCCAATAACTTGATTTACTTTGAGGATACATTTACAAAGCCTGGTTAGAAATCCACTGGATGAGAAAATTCCACAGACATTTGACAATTATCAAAGTCTCTGATTAGTATGTCTATATAAAATTAAAACAAACTCATTGCATTCCAAAAGATCTAAGATAGAAACAATTTTCCATCGAACCTTCTTGGGGAAAGCTCTTATGCAACTTTCACCAAATATTTTATTTTGCAGAACTCCCCTGACAGACTTATATCAAATTGCTTTGACATTTGATAGATAGATTAGATTATAGAGTGACACATTGGATTAAAGGTTTAGTAGTGTGTGGCTTCCATGTGCCAAAGCATTAACATAGTAATATTTCTAAATTGCTTGTTTATAGATGTAGAAGATTCAGTAAAATGAGTGTCCATTTTACTGTCCAGTAAACTGTGGACCATTCACAGTCCACAGCTAAAAATGAACTGTGGTCAGCACTTAGAATAATGCTTAGTATATAACAGCAACTCAAAAGTATTTGTTGATTAAATTATGCCGAATGATGTGTTTGAAGATGTAATTTTAAATAATGGTATTCAGCTGTGTTTCAGCAAACATAGTATGAGACTAACCCCGAGGAAATTTTTTTTCTTTCAAGATTTCTCTCTCCCTGTCTTGCTTTTTCTTCTTCATTTTTGCCATCTCTTCACACTACTGGGAAGGAAATAGAAAGCATTTTGTTCTCCTCACAGTTTCACCCTAATAATAAATAGAGTAATGAAGTATAGGTCTCTTCATGGGAAACAAGGCAACAAGTATGCTTTAAAATACAGCAGTCTCTTTACCCTGTGGTTGAGAAAGTTCTGTAATCAATTCATAAATTTGTGTTACAGATATTTCTTATAGGCCATCATCACCTCCAGAGATTCAGCTCATGCTGACTTAACAATACCAGATATTTATCGACCAATAAGAATTTCATAAAGAAAATGGAAAGTGCTCTTCTGTTTTAATGGAGAATGAAGGCTCATCCATACAACTGTCCCTAGAGCAAACAGGAACAGACAGCGTGTTACGTGCGGGCCGCATAACATTTCCTTGTGTGGTCTTTTTTTTTCCACTGTATTGTTACATCTGATAATTGTCTATATTGGGAGCCAGAGGTAGATAGCACTTGTATATGGAATTAAAAGGAACAGAAAAAGTGAAAAGGCAGCAAAATATTGTGTTTTTTTGTGTGTATCCTCTGAATTTGCCTCTGAAGTCATTGGCCTTGACTGCCTAGGTAAGGCTAAATTACTCCTTGGAAGGTTCTATAAAAAATTTCTTATTAAGTACACTACATTTTTTTAGGTCATGGAAATAAAATGATTTTGACATTTGCAATAATGCTCTGATTTGAGTTTAGAAGAAAACATAGCCTGCAATTGATTTCACTAACTGGAGTGTGACCTATATTGCAAACCCTATATCCTTCCTTTAATTTTTAAATAATTAATTGCTAAGACATACAAATACTAAAAAAATTTGATTGTTTCTTCAGAGAATAGTAATGTCTTTTGTCTTTTTCTTTGGATGAAAAAATAAGATAATAGCAGAGGAAATACAAAGCTAAAACACCTGTGATCCAGCACAACTGTCAGTTAGAAAAGTACAAGTCAATGTCCATAGTCAGCTGATTAAAGTTAAGCAGGTGCATCAAAAATGATGACAGGTACTTGTGCATAAGAAAGTACGAGCTTCCATAATTGAACTTGATTGCTCGATATCTTCATGTGGGCCTATTTCATAGAATCATTTTAATGTGAATGTTTCTGTTATAAAAGGGATATGTTATGTTTTGCTAAATAATTGTATCTACATGTTGTAATAGAACTGGTCAATATAGATATAATTAAGAAGGCCAACCATAATTTATTCAATATTGTATTAGTTCACAGGAATAATTTTAAAAACTTGACACTTTATTGACTGTTCTGCAATGAGGCATTAAGTAATAATATGGTGTTTATTATTAACTTCATATTTAGATAAACTTAACATGGGCTTTAAAGAATTTACTGAAGAGGATTAAATACATTTTTGAGGGGCCACACTCAATTATTTGATTAGATTAGATTACTACAGAAAGTAGCTTTGTATTCATTTTCTAATACTGAAAAGTTCTGGCATTTAGTTGAAAGATCCGTATATCAAATGTCCAATCTGCAGTCCCCTTCCTTTGGATTCAAGTAAAGAACCTGTATCTGAATGACATGGTCAATACTATACTGTCTATACAGAATGGCTGTTCCTCAGTTCACCCTTGTTGGGATATGAACTTTGAAGATTTCCTTTTAGTTTATCCTATAGCCTCTCACTAGTAGCACTTTTTGTATATGGCACATGATATAGGTGCCTCGTGTGCAGTAAATTGCCCGCTCATGTTGTCCCGGAGGCCTAGATGTCACGTAAAGGGCATTCACCTACTTGAAAAAGTTATTGCTTTCCATAGTATAAAATTACTGGAGTATGCATAGGACATGAAAACTTTCAGTAATCTGTGGGATTTTTCCTAATTAATGCTATCTATCAAGATAATTGTTACACACCTCAGAGTATAAATAGCCACATATTGTATTTTAAAAGTAGATCTCTAGTTTCATTGCCAGATATCTCTCAGCACAAACTAGATTAGTATGAGAACAACCTGCTTTTGTTTTAATGCACAAACCAAACTTTGAACATCTGCATTCCAAGTACAAAAAAAGTCCATTGTAAATATGTCAGCAAGAATTAATATCATTAATGACATGCTTATTTGATCAAGGGAATACATTAAAATATAAAGAGTAATTTCCTATGAAAAAAAAGTAATAAGACCAGTAAAAAGGAACAGAAATGTCCAAAAAATTTGAGAGAAGAAAAGTGCTTGGAACTTGAATAAGGTCACAAACATTTAACTACTGTCATTGTGATATATGTCAGAAAAGTTATAGAACTAAGAAAGTTTTATGTTATGTATTTCCTTTAAAGCTTGCAATCAGGTTTACTCTGATATCTTAATATCTGTTTTGGTAATTTGTTAAGGTTTAAAAGGTGAGTAAAATGTTTACAAGGTATTGGCTGAGGAACTTTGTGTTGGAAGTTAATAAACATCAGTGTCAAATTGGAAAGATTTTGCATATTTATATTGCAAGGAAAAAGTCACTAGGCTTTCTTACTTGATTAGGAAGGGCACTTCCATATGTCATCTCTATGATTTGAAGTGGACTATACTTCTCCCTTCTATTGGTTTAAGAATTACACACACTGTATATTCTTCTACCACGTAATAACTTAGAAGGATTTATTGAAAAGTTCAAAATATGCTGTTTTTGTTTTTATTCCATTGATGAAATAAATGCATGAATGGGAGTAACAGAATATATTAACACATCTAGAGAAAAATATTGTTGCTTATCCCTGCATAGCTGCTGGTACATCACAGATAGCAACAACAAAAATCCATAACCAGTACTATGATTTGGATGTCTTCTCCATAACTCATGTTGAAATTTAACTGCCATTGTGATGATCTTGGCAAGTGGAACCTCTAAGTGGTGATTAAGTGGCAGAGTCTTCATAAATCCTGTTATTTCATGAGTGGTTTAGACTCCTGGGAATGAGTTCCCCAGGATACCCTTTCTCTGTCTCACAGGCTCCTTTGTTCTCTCTCATCATGTGATATCTTCCACCATGTTTTCACACAGCAAGGGGATCCTTATCAGATGCAAACCCTCTATCTGGAATTTCCAGACTCCATAGCTAAGAACTGATAAAAATTTCTATTGTCTATAATTTGCCCAGTGTGTAGTATTCTGTTACAGCAATAGAAAATGGACTAGGACTACCAGCCAAAATCTTAGGTCAGAAACTAAAGTGACTCCAGTGAGACATTAGATGAATAACTAATTAACAACTCCTAAAAATTATAATTGCAAGCTTTAAAAAAATAATCTTATGAAAGAATAAGTCTTGTTATGTAACATGGACCACTTGGATCTTACTGTCTCAGCAAGATGCTATAATTCTTAGTAAGCAAAAATTAAATACTCATCTTTAATTAGAAGTCTATCTTGTTGAACTTACTCTACTTTTGGAAAACAACCAATGATTGCTAAATACCTTTCAGACATAACTATTTGAGGTGACCCTGTTGGTGGCAAAGGGTCTAATGTATTGAACATATTGGCAAACTCTCTGATACTGCTCTTTCTTCACTCAATACCATCTAGCTGCACTGGGTTCCTTTTATTCTGCATTCTCCCCAAGTTCCTGCCTTTGATCTTGTTCTCCATGTCTAAAACCGTTGACTGCAGGGCACTCTCCTTTTAATATTTCTAGATATGATTCAAATGAAATTTTTGTTAAAGCCAAAATATCCCAACCTTGTTAAAATTAACCAGCTCCCCTCTTTTTATAATATAATTTGTATCCCCTTTATACTGTTTTATATACTCTAATATTATCATATTTCTTTATCAATATTTATGATTTATTTTTTGTCATTCCCCCAGATTGAGTTGTTTATTATTGTATTTCCAGAACATAGAAGAGGGCTTGGCATACGATAGAAATTCCTTATTATTGACTGAGCGCTTATGTATGCTGAAATTACTTCGAAGGATAAAAATGCGTTTATCAAATGATACGATGAATCACTGACTGAATTATCAATCTGAAATGTTTAAGTAGATTCTCCCAACCGTTTCAGGGAACATAATCCAAAAAAAAAAAAAAAAAGCAAAGAAAATGACTGGTTTAATGATTTAAATGATAAGTGGAACAATGAGTAAGTAATCATGTCACTGCATATGTTTTAAATATTTCACTCCATGCTTTTCTTGCATGCATGGCTTCTGACAAGGAGTCTATTGTAATTCTTGTCCCAGTTTCTCTATAGATAAGGTATTTTTCCCCTGGCTTTTTCTTTTCTAAAGATTTCACATCATTTTTGTTTATCTGAAGTATGAATATGATATGCCTAGGTATAATAATCTTTTTGTTTTATTCTAAAATGCTGCTTGGTGTTCTCTGAGCTTCCTGAGTATGTGGTTTGGTGTTTATCATTAAAATTTGAAAGTTCTCCATCATTACTGCCTCAAAACCTTATTTCTTCTCCTTTTGACATTCAAGTTAAGAGTATATTATATGTTTTGAATTGTTCCATAGTTTTGGATGTCCTCTTCTGTGTTTTTGTGTTTGTTGTTGTTGTTTTTCTGTTTTTTTAATCTTTGCATTTCAGTTTGGGGCGTTTCTATTGGCTTAGCTTCAAGTTCACTGATTCTGCGCTTCACCATGACTAGTCTACTAATGAGACCATTAAAATAATTATTCGTTTATGTTGCAGTAATTTTTATTTCTAGTTTAATTCATTCTTTAAATTTCTATCTCCCTGCTTCCATTGTCCATCTGTCTTTATATGTTATTATATCTACTTTTCCCATTAGAACTCTAAATGTATTAATCAGAGTTATTTTAAGTTGTGTCTGATGATTCCAATGTCTGTGTCATATTTGAGTCTGATGTGGATGCTTGCTTTTACTTTGGAGGCTGTGCTTTCATTGCCTTTTGGTGTGTCTCTTAACTTTTTTGTTGAAAGTCACTTGTGCTATATTCAGTAGTAGGAACTGAGGCAAATTGGCATTTAATGTTAGATTTGAAATGATTCTGGCTAGAAGTTGGGCTGTGTTTAATACCTGCTGTAGTTGTAGGTGTCAGAGGCTTCAGATTTCTCTATTATCCTTAATTTTTGTCTACCCTCTTGGCTTTCAGCTGACCTAAGTACTCCTCCTTAGAGACGATCTGTTTCATGGAGCCCTTTCAACTATAATCCACTGTTATTAAACTGGAGCCTTGCCGGTGTGGGGCGAAAGATGGAGGAGAGGCGAAGCATTTCATAATCTTATAATTAAACCTCAGTCTTTTATTGGACCTGTGTCCCTGAGCTGTGAGCTTCACTGGTATTTCTTTGTCCTCCCTACTTAGGTGAGCCAGAAAAGGTAGTGCAGGCATCGTGTGGAATGGGAAAATACCCTTTCCTTGAGTTGAATAAGGTCCTGGTAAAGTCTTTTCTTCCTGAAGAGTAAGGATTTATGATGGAGGAGGTTCTGAGCATGCTTTTCTAGGATTATTCCTCTCTTTCTCTTGACAGAGCCATTTTGGCATCATCCTTGGATTTCTTCCATGAGAAACCTGTGGGATCCCTAGAGGCAAAAACCATGGAGTATATGAGGTATGAGGCATCCTTAAGACTGTAGCAGCTAGGAGGGTTGGATACACATGCTGGTACACACTCAGCCTCCAGAAATTCCTCAAATTTATGATTTAAGTGTTCCTACCAGATGATGGCTTCAGCAGCTTTTGCTCTAGGAAAGCATACTCCAGATGTGACTCTAGACTCACCTGCCTCCCCAGATTTTGGAGTGGAATTTGGCCCTCCAGACTTAGCTCTTTGATGGGTTCAGGAAAAGTCATTGATTTTCAAGTTGCCCATTGTTTTCTTGTTGTAAGACAATATTGGTGACTCTTAAGCTCCTTACGGGTTGGAATTGAAACCAGAAATCCATACATTCCTTGAGTCATCATCCCCAATGGCATCACTTTCATTAATTTCTGGAAAAATTCTCTAAGCAAAAATATAGTTTCAGTGGAGAATGAAATTAATGTTTATACTGGCAAGTGACTATTCAGAGTTAAGTTTAGAAAGAAGACTCAGAATCCAAATTCTACCCTCAAAATATCTGAATAATCTGTTAGACTAACTCTGTTTTCATTTTTCTTATGTATGACTGATTTAAAGACTCTAATAATTATTAAGGTATATGTTTACTTTTACCTCAACCCATTTCAATCAAGATAAAGAAGAAGATGATTCTGTGTGTCTTTCTTATGTATTTGGTATGTGGAGTCTCATGTTGAAATTAAGGAAAAGTAGTGATGCTTCACAATTGCTTTTGATGGAGACTTACGCTTTCTTGATTAAAGTTCAGTTGAAAAGGGCAATGTATTATTTGTCCTTATGGTTTGACAAAATGACGTCAGCTTTTATAAAATCCAGTTTGAAAATGACTACATCCAGAAGGTTAATCACAAGGAACACAATGGTACCTGAATATTAATAAAGAAATATTTAAATTTTGTGAAAAGAGGAGCCTAAAGACCTACCCTCCACTTACCTTACTCATGGGAATAAAACCTATACAACTAGAAGTCAAAACTTATCAGATAGTACATTGCCCTGTAATTTGCTTAAATAAATAAATCTTCATATTACACTTGTAATGTAGTTTACTGTGGAGAAACACAGACTTTGAGAAAACTTAAAAATAAATCTCAGACAAGTAATTTACAATCTCTATGACTGTGGCTAAATTATGAACAATTAGAGCTACTGCGCTGGATATTAAAGAAATTAAATTAATAAAATACTAAATCAGACATAGATGGCAATAGACAAGTATCAAAGGTGGACTAAGGTATAGCTATTAGCAGGTCCTGTCTAGTCACGGGATAATTGATACAGAACTTTCCTTAATTCCTAGCGCTTGGACTTGTAAGCTGTGGGGAAATGAGAAGCAAACATTTGTTTCCCCCAGACTCAGGAAAGATAGCGTAAAACAAAACTCCAAAGGAAAAAATGTGAATTTCTCATCACCATCCAATCAAAATGCAATCTACTGTCATTCAAATCAATAAACATTTACAGAGAGCCTAGTCATGGTACTGCCACAAAAGCAGCATTTGAAGGGCTCAAAGTGTAGAGGAGAGTTTATAAATGCAAATAATGAAAAATAAAACATGTTAGTGAGGTAACGCTAGACAATTAGTCAACAGAACAGAACAGAGTCAAGAAATAGACCCATCCATTTAAAGATAATGTATTTACGAAAAAAGGGGCACGGAACTGCAGAGTAGTAGAAAAAGGAGAGAGTTTTAGGTGATGGTGCTGATTCAACAGAATTTTGACCCCTAACTCACATCACACACAGGCACACAGACACACACACATAAACACACAAACAGCTTTTCATTGATGGCATATTTAAATGTGGAAAATCAAATAAGAAAGTTTCTAAAGTTAATATTTTTATTAATTTGGGGTAAACAAAGTTTTATTTAAAAGGATGAGAAAATTACTAACTATAAACAGAAGATCAATAAATTAGATTCATTTCTGTTAATCTAAATACACCATTAAGGGCATAAAAAGACAAGGAATGATATGGAAGAAGTTAAGCTAAATATGTATACTCAACAAAGAGTTAATATCTAGACCATGTGAAGAACTATCCAATCCTGAAGACAGACAAACCTACTAAAAATAGGGACAAATGACATGGATGTTACTTCAAGCAAAAAATTTAAATGGCCAAGAAACAAGAAACATTTTATTTAAAAAGTGCTCAATTCAATGGACCATCAAGAAAATTAAAAACAAAACAAACATTTTTTAGAATTACATTCTCACTAGAAGTGCTAAATGTAAATAGGCTGACAACTTCAAGTGTTGGTGAGGGTGTAGAACAACTGGAATTCTCATACTCTGATAGTAGAAGTCAATATTAGCATAACTGCAAGGATAACTTTGTAATGGTGTAAAATAGAGCTGAACAAGCACATCCTACATAACTTAATTCCACCCTTACACATATTGCAGAATAGAAATAGATACAGATGTGTATTAAAATATAGCCGAAGAATACAAGAATATTCTGTACACTAATTCTAATAGATCCAAACTAGAAACAACCCAAAGGCTCATCAACAAAAGAATGTATAAATATATTTTGGTGTTTTAACCTTGAATATTATGTACACAAAAAATTAAAAGACTACTGGTACATATAACAATATGGAAAAATCACACATAATATTTAGTACAAGAAGACAGACACCAATGGGTAAATACTTTATAATTTCATTTTACAGTTCAAGAACATGCAAAAATTAGTTATGTATGTTATATGTTAACTAAAATCTCATTTAAAATGATGTTAAAAATAACAGTTCAACAAGATTAACAGTAGACATATGGCTGAGATAAAATTCAGGCTGAGCCAATGTGTGATTAGGGTAAGAGGCACAGAGAGGGCCGGGGAAAGGCTTCAAAAAATAGGGGATACAGATGTCACAAAATCAAAATATCCAGGAGAGCAAGCAAATAAGGCAAATAATGAACCAGAATGAAATTAACAACAGTGGCATGATCATGATAGTAAGTGGAACTGGCATTCTGCTTCATTGTCAGGAAGTCTCTAGGGCAAGATTGAACTGAGAACCAGAAGTGTGTGCCCTGTCTAAAGGGAACAGCTGGGAGTTACTGCGAGCTGCCTGCCAATCACTTTCTTGCACAGTGATACAGTTTCTAGCTTTTCTAGCTATTCCAGTTCCTCAAAAAGGTAAATATTCAGGCTTTTAAAACTTTATTTCCTTTTAATTAATGAAATATATGCCCCCACACATTTTAGGTTGAGTGAGAGAAAAAATGTATCTTTAATTGTTACATGTCCCATAGCTTATAACTTCTGGCAAATTCTGTGATAGTTCAGGACTGTTTTGTTCACCTCAGTATCTTTTGTGCCTGGCATATAGTATGCAAGCAGTACCTTTGTTTCTGAATAAATCAAAAGATTAATTAATGAACTCAAGACTGTGTTTTTGTAAAAGCAAGTATGAGTTTTCAAAACAGAGCTGAAGAACATACCGCTCTCGATGATGACCTATGCAAAAGGATGGATGACTGTAAAAAGCATATGTTTGGGGACCCATGTGTAAGTCAGGATCGCAGGAGCTTAGTTTTATTATTTGCAATATTGAGCAAAAGAGCATGAAGCCAGAGAGGTATGGGGGAGAAAGACAGTGAGGGAACTAGGTGTCATGCTAAGAGGTTTGAATATTTATCTTATGGGAATAGATTATAGGAAGCCATCAAAGGCGTAAGCAGAAACTTGGTTAGGTTTGCAATTAGAAAGAACATTCTGGTGGAAGTGTGTTCATGGGGTAGAGAGATAAGAGACATCACTCCTAATTTTTCCTTTTCAAAACAGCTTTCCCAAGGACTTTTTGGGTCTCTCAAGTACATAGGGTCAGAAGTCTAAAAAGCAGCTTAAGGAATAAACCATCAAACAATCCCTCTACTGTCAGGTAAGAATATATGGTTGAGTATCACTTGTCCAGCTCAGTCATCTTGCAAGCAATTGACGTTGGTTATTTCTGTGTTGAAATTAAGTCATGAAACACAAAGCGCTGAACCAGATTCTTAATTTGGACTTAATCGCATTTATTATAGTGCAAAACAAATACATTCTTCCCAGACCAGAGCAACATTGAATAGCATTGTAAACTAATTTTTTTGATGTCAAGGAAAGATGAAAACAAGATAAAACATGCGAGAGAAGCAGCTTGCATTAGATCAGGCACAGTAAAACTAAGAAACATCAGTTGCTACTAGCAAAGAAGCAAAAGTCCATGGAGTTTGAATTTTTGTTGTGGATGCTCAGAGTGATTATTCACTGGAACAAAGAAGCTGCTGGTTTCACAGTCCAGAGCAAGATGGACGACACGTGCTGAACACATGGGTCAGAGGTTGGCAACCACTGAACAGAGGCCCCAGAGGTCTGAGGCTGCTGGACACAACGTGAAGACTTTGAGGACGATAGGCCAAGCAACTCGAGGGTTGGCATCCAGAAGTGAGGAGGTTTTGGGGCTGGCAACTCTTGGACAAGCAGAATTGGGGGCGATAGGCATTGGGCACACAGTCTCCTATGGGCTGGTAACTATTGAGCAGCGGCCTCAGTGGACGACAGCCGCTGGACACATACCTCTGTGGTCTACAGGATACTGGAAGGCAGGAACTGGAGAAGAAAGAAGCAGGAAGAAAACTGCTTCCTTGGCAAGGCCTGGGCACGTAGTAAGCAGTGGAAGAACCGCAAGAGGTTTCAAGATTGCCGGTCTCACAGTGGACCGGCTGGCAGCTGGTTGGTTCACCGCAGGTCTCTTGGCAGTTGTCTGTGACCCAGGTATGGTCTTGAGAGCTAGTGGGTAAGTAGAGGACATCTCCACAGCTCACGCTGGTAGGGCAGAGGTCGATGGAGGTGAGAGGAATATGGCGGGAGGTTCTGAGAGATCCTGAGTTGGAGTTTCCCGAGCAGTAGTTGGGGCAAGACATAGTGAGGTTGTGAGAGCAGGCTGAAGTTGAGGCAAAGAAGTGAGTGTCTGAAGTTTGTTCTGCCCTTCCTTAGCTTGACCCTTTATTTATCCCTAGAAGGTGGTGCTTCTGCGTGCAGACTCTTCCTCTTGTTGTATGAAGATGCATCAGAACTCTTTATTATAGCCAAGGAAGTGAGGCTTCCACCCTCCATAAAACTGGATGCTCCTTGCAATGCCATCCATTGATTACGTCTATCTATAAACCAATGCGACTGAGTTTTAATAGGATCTATCCTTCTTAAATTATCCAAACAAAACAGACACATTTTAAAGCCTATGTGCTTATTCCAATTATAACCACCATTGCACAAACATTCTTAAGATTCCTCTCTTAGAATTGTCTTTGAAAGTTGTAGCAACTTCTTTGAAACAGTGAGAACTTACATCTTTTTGAAGAAAAATTCTATTCTTCTTGGAAATTGCCAGAAGTGAGTAACTTGGAACAAGTATAAGAGAAAATGAAAATCCTTGCAAACTATATGACAGAAATATGGACAATTTCAATATGTTTTGCTTGGTTAGAATTTATTTTTCTAAGTTGTGATTTGCTTTATTTCAGAATTCTATTCAGACTTGACTTTCTACCAAAATATCTTTATTCAAAAATATGTGCTCATTTTAGTCATTTCAATAAATAAATAAGCTGAGTGAAGCTGAAACCTTGGCTTATGTTTAAGATATTCTTGAATATAGATAATGAAGTTGGGCCAAGTTAAAATTATGTATCCTACTGTGAACAAAAGCAGAGAAGTAGACCTCTTAAAGAAAGTCAGGCATCTTGACATTTTTCATGATTATTTCAAGGTTATGTATTGCATGGTTTCTCATATTCCAACTGAAAAAATATTGTTCTTGGTTAAAAAATACACTGATTATGACATGAATTTATTTTGCTTTCTACATTGGCCTTGATGTCAATTTCCAAAAAGGAGCTTCTAAACTGCTTTACATAGGGAAAAGCATCAGGATAAATTATTGTTTTCCTAAGTTTTAGTACTTTAAAGGTCATTTGAGAATATGTATTTCTGGTAAAATTGTTTTAAAAAATGTATGATTTTAGTTAGTTTCAACTATCCCTCTATATTTTTCTCATACTGACATACCCAGTGGCTCCAGTAGCTATTTTAATGGGATTTTAAATTATCTGCTGGCTCTAAGTTCCAATTCCTTTTGGCTAGTCAATTTAAATCATAACACTTTCTTCTATTTTGGTGTTTGAGGGACATACTTGTGCTTATCCAGTCTCCCTCTGTCCTGGAGGAGTGAAATCTCTGAAACAGAAAGTTGGTTTCTCAATGAGACAACACTAGACTATTTTACTACTGGGGGAGAAATATAAAAATAAAATGGTATAATCCCGGAGGTCCTGTACTAACATGTTGAATTTATCTCAGTATTTTAGGTCAGACGATTTGTACCTGATGTATTTGAGAAAGCCCCACTCACTCCAACCCCCAACCCCAGGCCCTCATCACCTAATACTGTTTGTATAACCGGATACTTTGTATACTTCGGACATCACCTAATACTCTGTGTATACAGCTGCTAGAGTCTTCTTGTAAAATCCTGGTTGCATCAGCTGAATGGCGTTAGTAATAGGTACAGTCATATTTAGCTGAATGCTTATGAAATTGTATGTTGATCCTTTTTATGTCTGCTCTTCTCTAATATAAACAAGAGCCCAACATCTGTATCATTAGTACATCAATACGCTTGTGTGTATGTGTGGATAGATGTATATACTACATGTTCTATGTATACATGGATGGTTTTCCATGAAGAGAAGGGGTGTGGAATAAGAGGAAACTGGCATTCATGGAATGCCTACTCTGAAGAACCTTGTGCTGTGGGTGCCCACATGTGCCATTCACTTTGTCCTCACAATTCTATACAGTAGATCTTACTATTTCAAGTACTCATACGAGAAAACTTGAGCTTTAGAAAGTTGCAGTAATAGGTATTACGAAAAACATCTGAAAAAAGGCTCCTTGACTCCCCAAACAGTTTTTCTCTATCCAATATGGCATTACATAGAGATGCATTGATACTATCATTTAATAACCAATAACCGTGTGAATTGGGTAATTTGCATAATTGCTCTGCTCCCCAGTCACTATCAGTATAATTTTATGGAAATATTAATAGTATCTACTTTTCAGTGACATTTCAGGAATATATTGAGATGTCATTAAAAGTTAAAATAAACTGTAAAACGTTATACAAGAGTAATCTATTTTCTTGCTTTGGCGTTCTTAACCCATTCTGGAGAGTACGACCTTGGGTTTAATTTCTTTAGAGCACCACCATGAGTTTCTCGTGTGTGTGTGGGGGGGGGGGGGCGGTGGGGGGGTAAAATTGCAAAAATATCAACAGATCTTCAGAAAGTGAAGTACCCTGAATATAAGTTGTCCTTCATGTAATATAGGTTGAACTAAAATTATTTCATAGTGGCTGTGTCACTAATAGAGAATTGCTTATTTGGGCATAATACCAGGTACCTCATTAGCAGGATCCTATAAACTACATGTTTCAGACTTCTCTTCTGAGTTAAGAGCCCAGGGATAATCGGAGGAACTGGGCATCCTGTGTGATTTCCCAGATTTACCCATGGCGTTGCTTTTTTTTTTTTTTTTTTTTTTTTTTTAATAAACCATGGATCTTTGTCTCTCCTACTGTAGAAGGAGAATTCTGAGTTTCTCTGTCTTGGAGACAAAAAATCCCCAGAACATTTCAACAATAAAGTTGTGCCAATAAACAAGGTACTTTTAACTCATCCATTCAGCAAATATTATTGAGCATGTAGTATGTGCAAAACATTATGATAGATGCTGGCAATGGAACCAACATAAAATTGGTTTCTGCTCTCAGATGTACACTATCTGGTAAGCGTGATAAGACAGGTACATAACCCATGTCAGTGTTTACTAAGTTCCGTAAGTAATGTACAGAGAAGAGCAAACATAGTTCATTCACCTTACCAAAAATTTAACATTTGATATTAATTTTGAAAGATGGAAGGGGCTTTGGAGAAGAGGAAAACACTTTAGGCTATGGAAGAAGATGTCAAGGTAGAGAAAATGACAACATAGAGCTTCCCAGTGAAGGATTCTAAGAAGCAAACTCATATTCACATGTTGAAATTACTGGGGGAAGTAGTTAAGATATTGTTCTAAAGGTGTGGTGATCCAGTAATGTGTTTCAAGAAGAGAGTGCTGAGGTTAATTTGCAGCATAGATTGGAAAGTGGGAAAACCTGTTATGCTTTTCTCCCTTTATCTTCTAAAATTATATATTTCTTTCCATTTTTTTCTTTCTGTTATCATGGCAATGATTTAAGTTGGGCTTTTTTGTTCTCCTTCAGTGAATTTCCTACTGCCACCTTTGACTTCTGTCCCTATGGTCTTCTATTTTGCCTAAATAATGCATTTGAAATAATACTCATGAAATTAATTTCATCATATGATTCTCTTTCTCAAAAAAGTGGATGATTTCTCTTTGTCAACAGAGAATTGTTCTGACACTTGTCTGGCCCTTCTCTACTTCCCAGTAAAGATTCTCTCCTACTTTTTTGGGTTGCCTGTTAATATTTACTAGTTCTAATAGTTTTTTGGTGGAGTCTTTAGGGTTTCTAATGTATAGAATCGTGTCACATGCAAACAGAGACAATTTTACTTCGTTATGATTTGGGTGATTTTCTTTTTTTTTTTTTTTCTGACTAATTGCTCTGGCTAGGACTTCTAGTACTATATTGAATAGAAGTAGAAAGAGTGGGCATCCTTGTCTTGTTCCTGATCTAGGGAGAAAAGCTTTTAGGTTTTCACCATTGTGTGTTTCACCTGTGAGTCTGTCATATATGGACTTTGTTATGTTGAAGTATATTCCTTCTGTGCCTAATTTGTTAAAGTCTTTATCGTGAAAGTTTGTTGAATTCTGTCAAATGCTTTTTCTACATCCATAGGGATGATAACTTTTATCCTTCTTTCTGCTAATTTGGTGTATCACATTCATTGATATGCATGTGTTGAATCATCCTAGCCTCCCAGGAATAAAATTCACTTAATCATGTTGTATCATCCTTTGAATGTGCCATTGAATCCTGCTTACTAGTATTTTGTTGAGGACTTTTGCATCTATCTTAATCAGGCATATTGGCTTCCAGTTTATGTTTTCATTTCTGTTTTATCTTTTATTATCCTTGACCAACACTAGTATCAGGGTAATGCTGGTTTTGTAAAATAAATTTGGAAATGTTTAAAAAACAACAAGCCTTACTTCTACAAATCTTCCTAATTTTATAAAAAATTTTCTATTTGACTTTTTTCTGCTCTATTTTTTTTTCTTCTGCTGACTTTGGGCTTAGTTTGTTATTCTTTCTCTAACTTCTTGAGAAGTTAAGTTGTTTGAAATCTTTCTTTTTTCAGGTAGGTATTTTTTGCTGTAAACATCTTAAAATGGTTTTCGATGCATTCCAAAGTTTTGGAATGTTGTGCTTCCATTTTCATTGTCTCAATATTTTTTAATTTCTCTTTTGATTTTTTCTTTGATTTATTGGTTGTTCAGTAGTGTGTTGTTTAATTTTCACATATTTGTGAATTTTTCAATTTTCCTCTTGTTACTGATTTCTAGTTTGGTGGTTTAATATCATTATGGTTGGATGTTTAATATGATTTTAATTTCCCTAAGACTTTTTTGGGGGCTAACCCATAATCTATCCTGGATAATATTTAGTGTGTGCTAGAAAAGAATGTGTATTCTTCTCCTGTTGGATGAAATGTTTTGTATAAATCTGTTAGGTAAGTCTGCTGTTTCCTTTTTGATCTTCTGTCTGGGTGATGTATCCACTGTTGAAACCGGGGTATCAAAGTCTCCTGTGATTATCATACTACTGTCAATTTCTCCCCTCAGTTCTGTTAATATTTGTTTTTATATTTAGGTATTCCAATGTTGGGTGCATATGTATTTGTGATTGTTATATCCTCTTTATGAATGGACTCCTTTTTCATGATATAATGACCTTCTTTGTCCTTATGATAGTTTTTGGTGTAAAGACTATTTTGCACAGTAGAAGATCTAGCCACCACTGCTCTCATTTGGTTACCATTTTCATGGAATAACTTTCACTTTCAGCCTATGTGAGTTCTAAACTCTCAATTGAGTCTCTTGTAGACAGCATTTTAGTTGGATCTTTTAAAAAAATATATTCAGCCACCCTGTATTTTTTAAGTGGATATTTAAATCCATTTACATTTAAAGTAATTCTTGATTACTTTACTGCTGCCAAGAACTTACTACTGCCATTTTAATTGTTTTCTGTCTGTTTTGTGATTCCTTGTTCTTTTTGATTTGACGATTTTTTCTTAGTGGTATGCTTTGATTCTTTTAATTTTAATGTGTTTACAACAGCTTATTCTTGGTGATCACCATAAGGCTTACATAAAACATCTTCTAACTGTTTATTTTAAGCTGACAATAATTTCACTTTGATCACATACAGAAGTTCTACACTTCTTCCCCACACACACATATTTTGTTATTGATGTCATAATTACATCTTTTTATATTATGTATCTATTAACAAATTATTTTAGCTGTATTAGGGTTCTTCAGAGGATCAAAACTAATAGAATATATATAAATATATGAGGATATTTATTATGAAAATTGACTCACATGATTATGAAAGCCGAAAAGCTCCATCCATGCCATCTGCAAGATGGAGAACCAGAAAAGTCACTGGTGTAATTTAATATGAGTCCAAGGGCCTGAGAACCATGGAGGGTTGGGGAAGGGAGTGTTGGTGTAAATCCTGGAGTCCAAAGGCCCAAAAACCAAGAGCTCCAGTATTGAAGAGCAGGAGAAGATGGCTCTCCCAGCTCCAGAAGAGAGAGGAAATTTACCTTTCCTGCACCATTTTCTTCCCTCCTGGGCTCCATTGGATTGGATGAGGTCTGACAGATTGATAAGGGCAGATCTTCCTTATTTAGTCTACTAATTCAAATGCTAATCTCTTTTAGAAACACCTTCACAGACACATCTAGAAATATGCTTTGCCCACTATTTTGGTAAATCCTTAACCAGCCAAATTGACACCTGTAATTAACTATCACAGTAGTTATAGTTGTTTTTAATACTTTTGTCTTTTAACTTTTACACTAAAGTTAAAAGTGATTTATATACCACTATTACAATATTAAAGTATTCTGAATTTGAGTAGATACTTACCTTTAACAGTGAGTTTTATACTTTCTCAAGTTTTCATGTTTCTTATTAGTGCCTTTTCATTTCAAGTTGAAGACCTCCCTTTAGCATACCTTATAAGGCAGATCTAGTGTTGAGGAAATTCTTAGGCTTTTGTATATCTCAGAAAGTCTTTATTTCTTTTTCATTTCTGAGAGCCAGCTTCACTGGGGATATTATTCTTAGTTGGCAAGTGTTTGTTTGTCTGTTTCAGCACTTTGAATACATCATTCCACTCTACTGGCCTGAAAGGGTTTTGCTGAGAAATTTCCTGATAGTCTCTTGAAACTTCCCTAGTTTGTGACAAGTCATTTTTCTTCATAATGGGGGAGTACATACTCATGATTAACAAACATGTCTCTCAAGTCTCATGTAGCCAAAAGGTACAAACTTTGTGTCTGCAGCAGGAAAACAACATGGCTGCAACTGCTGGTCCAGTTACTCCATGGCTTAATTAAACTGTGTCAATAATGATTATATTACTGCTTAATATAGAACATTCGGTGGACTAAAAAATTACATGTTTGTTTGTTTGAGCCCCTAGCAGATGTCTTGCTGCCAAAAACTATAAGTAAAAGCATCTTGTTTTCTGGTGCTAAGCTGCTATCTGTCTCTCCACACCTGCTAATCTGTTCCTCCTTCTCTATCCTGACATAAGTCACTTTAAGGAGAAAGACAATTCAGGGTAGGAACAATGTCTATATCTTTCCCCAAGAGAGACTGAAGCTGTATACACTCATTCAGATACATTGAGGAACTTCAAGAAAAAGAGGAACTCAAACTTTTGTCGCTCTCTTGGATACAGGTGTCCAAGTTACCATTTTACTCAGTCCAGTGGAGGTGAAAGGGAAATACTTGAATACAGCTAATGAGGCTTTGGAAGAGATTACAGATGGAAAGGAAAAATAATGTGACTTTCTAGGTGGAGCCCTTTGTGTCAGTTTAATGTACAATTGACCCTTGGCATCTTTGGGGGACTGGTTCCAGAATCCCTGCAGATACCAAAATTTATGGATACTCAAGTACTTGTTATAAAATGATATAGTATTTGCATTTAATTCACACACATGCTGTCATCTACTTTAAATCATTTCTAGATTACTAATAATAGCTGATACAATGCAAGTGCTATGTAAATAGTTATTATGTGTTTTCTAGGGACGAATTATAAGGAAAAATGTCTGTATATGTTCAACACATATGCAATCATCTTTGTTTCCCTTAATGTTTTCAGTCTGTGATTAGTTGAATCCACAGATGGTGAACCCACAGATACAGAGGGCAAACTATACTTTTGCTGTTGTGTTATATGACTATGTTACCCCGTTCCATAAATTACAAAAGGGATTCCACTGATTGTGAAGATCTGTATTCATAGAAGTGCTAGTACTTTTGGGGTCTCTGTGAGTTACAAGTCACTGTGACTGATGATTTTGTTATTGGAGCACTTAGCATAGGTAGACGCCTCCATTCACTGAATGCCACTTGGAGTCTTGTTAATAGTATTCTAACCTGAATGATATATGAGATATATTAAATAGATTTGGTTGCAGCCTCTATTGGTCAGACTAATCGGAGTGGTCAGTGGAATGTCATTCTCATGGGAAAATTCACCAGGAGCAGTGCAGTGTAGAGATAAGAGTTGGGTATTGTTTCAGGGAAAATAATCCCCATGGGTCTCTTGCATTTCTGCATGTCTTCAGTGCAGTCACTGGCTCCCTTTGTTCTAAATTAACTTTTCAAGCATGTTTTTAGAGAAACAGTCTTGGAAAATAGATACAGTGTTTCTCTCAGGGTCAAATGTCAAACATGCTTACTCTTCATGATGTCTATGATCCAGGGTTCCTAAACTCAACATTCCTCTCCTGTGAAACAACCTGCTGCATATGCAGGTGTCAGCTGGCCCTATGGGAATTGGAGCTCAGGGATCTGGTGTCAATGCTAACACTCTGGCTTCGGCTATTGCCATAAATGATAAAGGCCTTTGTCTCTAACCTAGGCTTCTTATGTCTTCTGCCTGCATTCCCGAAACTATGACGGGTTAACTTGTTAGCATACAAATAGGATAAAATTTCTGACTTTTCACAGTTCTCAATGCCCCTTCCACAGGTTTCGGTTTTCTAGTTGAAATTGTGGCACTGCAACGTCATCATAATCACCAACTCTATTGCTTTGACAATCTTTTAATAAGACACAGACATTTTAGTCAAAGTATAATATAGTCATAATAATATTGAAATAATTATGGGCAATTTATGCAGTAATAACTAGTAGAGATTAATCGAAGCTATTAGAAGATAAAGAAAGCAACTTGATACCATATTGAAAATACATCTTAAAGGCTTATAAGGCATTAAAAGAAAAAGCTGACAAAGAAAAGGGACACATGTGAACCACAGTTTAGTTAATAAACAGTCTGCTCATGGAATAGGAGAGCAATAAATAGGTCTGTCACATATTTTTTACAGCAATCCAGCCATATAACATAGCCCTCCATGAGACTGCCCATTTTCCCCAACTATGCTAGATAGAAATGTTTGGATAGTTTACTTGGGAATTGACAATTATGAGGGAGTACTCAAAATACCCCCGTGAGCTATATAAGCAACAGCTTTTGCCCCTGACTTCCATATTGTATATAATATATATAGGTATACAATATGTATACAATATGTATAGATATGGCAATATGTATACAATATGATGCATTTGTATACAATAAGCATAAGTATACAATATGTATACATACACAGTATGCAAGTCAGGGGCAAAAGCTGTTTATTATATAGCTCATCATTTGTTAACAAGTGAAGGTGCTGCACGACGGGGCAGCAGCTGCTAAATCCCAATCATGAATGAGATGCAAGAGCCAGCCCAGGGGTTAATAGCTCTAAGACCAGTGAATCCTGGGACAGCCACTGCTGTCCATGTAGTCCAAAACATTGATCACAGATTGCTTGGTGGAAGGAAGTAAAGACTTAGGACGAAAAAGATTGTATGGCAGGTTCTGGACACATCACAAGCAGAGGAGTACAGGGAGTGGTTTCACAAGATCTGGGTCCGCGGCATGCTGTTGGCAGCTGGGGATCCCCTCAGGTTTCTTGGCAGTAGTTCAGGAGCTGGATTCTGCCATAGCTGTTCCTGGCTTAGCAGAGGACATCTCTGAGGGTCACATGAAAAAAGGGGCTATTAGAGGGGATGACAGCCCCATGGCAATAACCCCTGAGGGAATGACAGCTGTGGTTTTCACCTGAGCAATTATTGAAAGACAAGATGACCTTAGTTTAGATTATAGGTAAAGTACTCGCACTTACTTAATGCTATTTCTCCTTCTTTGCTGTGGCTTCTAGAATTTTTTAGTAATGACTACTAGCATTCAGTGTAGGTTTTATTCTGACTCACTATTTCAAATGTGGTTATGAACATAGCTCAATTATTCAGATGTCAGGAAAATGGCTACTTATTACTATGAAAAAAGTACTCAGTGAATCTCTAAAGCAAGAGAACTGTGGTCTTGTTTACTTTTTAACAAACCATGCATCTAGAAAAACAATATTTCAAGTTTTATTAAAATATATTTAAAATTCTGTGGCTAGATGAATATTTATTACACCTGGAATATTAATTTAAAATAGGTTACATTTATGACCTAATAAAGACTTGTATATGTGTTAAGTGTGGCCTTTAAGGTACATAAAGGGCTCACTAAAATTATTGTGCTTCATATGTTTAAATATTCTTAATAAACTTCTCATGAGAGATACTTCAATGTACAATCAGTAGGACACTAGGTTGAGCATCACAAGGCTTGAGTTCTAGCCCTGATCGGCTGGTAATGAGCCACGTGAAATTGAATAACTCATTTAACCTCAGCAGATGTATTTGCTCAACTGCAGAATAAGTAAGGTTCACTAAAGATCTCTTACACATTTAGACATGATTGTGATTCTATGAAAACATAACTGTGATAGAAATGAGGCAGCTTCAGAAGAAACCATGCAAAAATGGTCACTGGTCTTTGCCATAAATACAAAGGCCACAGCATTTCACTCAGATATCTGATGGAAGCTTGGGAAACATTTAACTCTGATTAGGCATCTTTCAGAGCAAAACACAGCTTGGGCTGATATTTGTCCTCTAAGGAAAACTCAAAGGCTCAAAGTGTAGAATATTGTTTTTTTTAATTGCCTAACATTTCATTTGTAGCCTTAGGGCCATGGAGCACTGACCTTGCATTAGAAGCCCCTCCAGGACCTTCTCAAGATCAATGGTTTGATCTCCACCATCATTCACTGCTGGAAATTAAACCAGACTCCTGAGGACCAAGCCACCATCAGCTGTAGCCTCAGGGAGATGGGAATGTGGGAGCAGGCCCACTTTAAGCAAGCTGCTGAATAAATATAGACTTGAAAAATGGAAGAAACACATGAAGCCTGTTTCTGTTTTCTAAGAAAGATGTGTTTCTTTCAGTGGTAATGTATATTCTAACTTTAATCTGGTAAGTACACCTGTAATCACTACAAACCTTGTGAATATCAACAGCTAAAATTTAAAATTTATTTATTGTACTTGCTCCTGCAGTTTAATTTAATAAAATATGAGGTCTAGAGGAAGGTACTTTGTTCCTAAGAATCTCAACATGCATTATTAGATTGGTTTCCTAACATATAGAGTGTGAAAGTGAATTCGCTCATGCCAAGTGGGAGATAAGAACAATGGCTAATAACTCTACTCTAAATTTTGACACAGTTTATTGTGAAAGAGGGCTTTTTAATCCAGGTGTTTCACTCTGCACAGTCAATTTAAATAAGGAGCATGCAACTGTCCATAAAGTAATAGTGACAAGGCACTGCAATAATAAGGGTGATGCTATTCTTAGCTTTCTCTTTGATTTTTAGCCTTCTTTTCTCATTATCTTTGTCAATTAGTAGTTACTAAACTCCTTCAGGGCCAACGACCCAGTACCATTGAGTAATGGAAGAATAGAAATTGGCTTAACTATTTTCTGAAATTTACCCTCAACATTTCTATGTTCTTAAGTTTGGATACAACTACATTAGTTTTGCCTCTGAGATCCAAGGGACAACTCTCTTTGAATGCCATCAGTGACTTTGTTTCCGTAAAGCTAGAGGAAGTTATACAAAAAGTCAGGCAAATAACTTATTCTTATGCAACTACAAAAAGATTTGTATTTTATTTTAAAATTGAGCTTTAGATGTTTAGTGTATTTGTACCTATCTACCTATGATGCATTTTATACTTCATCAAGGCCGTATCTCTGATATAACCAGAATATGATTTATTAATTATATTAGCTGTTTCCTTCTTAAATATTTTTCAATCAACTATTATTTGAGTCCAAGTGGAAGATTTTAGAACAACTCTCTAGGTAAAAGAATTTCAAATGAGGAAGTAAGTAAGACTCCTGGAAATAAAACAGAAAGCACAACTAGGGAAGGATATTGTGGCTTCAATAGAGATATGAGTGATTCTCATCTAACATGGAGCAAAGTCCTGTCCAATCCTATTAGTGTCTACAATGAGCTCAAAATTTTCAAGAGAAATAGTATTTAATTTAAAAAGAATAAGGACTAAAGGATATGGAAAATGAAAGTACTACCATTAAGACGATAATTGTTGTATTGTAGGTGAATCTGACTCCATGCCATCTAAATCCTTTTCCTAGCATCTAGATTCTATTGATGACACATGACTTGAAGTTAGTATTTGTTTTTTTCTAAGATATTTCAATTGCATAATATTTTACAAACTCTAATGAAAATATGTTCATTTCCTTTATTGCATTTATTTTTGAGTTACAAATGAGCCATCCAGTCAACAATACTCAGTTCTCTGGGTGTTTCTTCTGCAGTCTCACAGCAATACAATATAACCAGACCAATCATTTTTAGTCAAATTATTTGTATCGGTCCTCCACATTGCACAGATATTTCTTCCACATTTGAAGCTACTCTAATGACTAGAAGTATAATATAAGTAAAGCACAATTAAAGTATTACAGTGTTATACTCAAACTTTAAAGATTCATGGGTTAAAACCCTCGTTCCACCATTTACTTCCTGTACTGGAAAAGTTACTTAAATTACAGAGTAGGGAGTAAGTAAGACTCTTGAAAGTAGAAAGACAGAGTAGAACTAGGGAAGGATATCGTGGCTTAAAGAAAGATATGAGTAATTCTCTTCTAACACAAAGCAAAGTCTTGTCCTCCACAGGACAAATTTGTGCCTTTGTCCTCACTGGAAAAAGGGGGATTTACTAATGTTACTTATACCACTGGGTTATTTGAGTTTAAAATGATAAAATATGTACAAAGTGTTAGGTAAATAATAAGCACCCAATTAATAAGAGCTATTTTATGGCTCTTGACCCAGCACTGTACAGGCAAGAAGACATTCTTGATAGTCATTATGCTTTACTTCTAAGAGAAAAACATGTGGTTAAACTACCAATGTCTTGAGGTGTTCAGGATACCAATGTACAAATCCTACCATTCTTTTTAGGCAGGAAGAAGTCCCTTGGTCTATGAAGAATGCTCTGTAGCATGCATATACCCACCGGTATGTTTTGACATTGCTTAAAAATGAGTCCTGCATAGAATATCCTGGTTATGTCCCATACTGCTTACATTCTTTTCACATGGAATGAAATAATTTTCTTGGTCTCTGCCCTGGATTCAAATGCATTATAGACAATCATAAAAACAAACTGAAATTGAGGCCCAAGAGAAAAATATCAGACGAAGTATCAAATGATACCTAGCATATATTGTGCTCTTATTATGTGCCAAACAGTCCACTAAGCATTTAATTGGAATCATGCCATTTAGTTGTCATAATCATCCAATGACTTTAATATTATTATCTCCATTTTACAATAATGGAACCAAGTCTCAGAAATGTTAATTTGGGCCAGGTGCAGTGGCTCACGCCTGTAATCCCAGCATTTTTGAAGGCTGAGGCAGGTGGATCACTTGATGTCAGGAGTTTGAGACCAGCCTGCCCAGCATGATGAAACCCCATCTCTACAAGAAGTACAAATATTAGCCAGGTGTTGTGGCATGCACCTGTAATTCCAGCTACTTGGGAGGCTGAGGCATGAGAATCGCTTGAACCCGGGAGACAGAGTTTGCAGGGAGCTAACATTGCACTACTGCCCTCCAGCCTGGGCAGCAAAGTGAGACACTGACAAAAAAAAAAAAAAAAAAGAAAAAGAAAAAAAGAATGTTAATTCATCCCAGAGCACATAGCTTTTAATACACAGAATTTGGAATTGAGTAAGATCTAGTCATACTATAAGATTCATGTCCTTTTCCTTACACTAAATTTTCTACCAAGGTTTATATAATTATGGCATTCCATATTCCAATATCAAAAGTCTTTTTGTACCTGAGTCCACATAATTTCTTTCTATGAGGAGCTCTAATATGCTCCATGTTGAGTTAGATTAAATACTGGCTCCTTCTTCAGCTAGCTTCTCTTTCTAGCAGTGGTCAAGCTCAGCCTGGAAAGCTAATGTCTAGAATGATGAACAGAGTAGATGGGAAAGTGAAACTTAACATCACGTCCCTCTTTCCTGGCATTCCCCTGCTCCACAACACATACCACACATAGCCCGTTTTCGCCAAAGTCCTGTTTTCTCAGCAAGCTACACCCAGTAAAATAATATATACTTGGAAGGCACATGGAATGGGTAGGTTTTCCCTCTTGTCTTTAGAAACAGTGGTCCAAATGAATTGAGCTTTTTCTGGGCAACCCAGTTGGCATTGCAATAGTAAAAATCCTTATTGTGAATGAACTTGATCTATGTTCACATGATTGGCTGTGACTAGAATGCTGAGAAGCTGCCACGAGATAAATTCTGTCTTTACTGTTGCCAATGCTGTGTTACTGCCATCAGTGCTGTGGACAGAAGCTTTATGTCAATGTTGTTTGCTTCAGGGATGTTCTGCTATTGAGGCTGCCAAAGGCTCTGAGTACTATTGATGGTATTGAATAGTGTTTGGCCTCTCTCAGACTTCCGTCAATCCTATCCCTCTACAGAGCACCTGTGTATGTGGTGGTTTACAGATTTTAGGCTTAAGTCTTCCTCTTTGAGATGGCCTGTGTCTATCCCACTGTATTATTCAGGGCTACATAGAGAAACAGAACCAATAAAATAGATAGATAGATGATAGATGATAGATGATAGATAGATAGATAGATAGATAGATAGATAGATAGATAGACAGACTATATATAATATATATTTATCTCACTGTATATATGTGTGTGTATATATATGCATGTGTGTGTGTGTGTGTGTGTGTGTGTGTGTGTGTGTGTATGAAGAGAGAGAGAGAGTGAGTGATTTATCACGAAGGATTGGCTCACACAATTATGGAGGCTAAGAAATCTCATGATGTGTCACCTGCAACCTGGAAACTCAAGGAAACCAGTGATATAATTCCAGTCCAAATGTGAAGATCTGAGAACCAGGGGAGCCAATGGTATAAATCCAGTCCAAGGGCAGGAGAAACCCAATGTCTCTGCTCAAGTAGGCTTGCAGGAAACATAAACGGGCACATTTCTCCTTCCCCGACCATTTGTTTTATTTAGGCCCTCAATGGACTGAACGATTCCCATCCACATTGGAGAGGGCCATCTACTGAGCACACTGATTTAAATGCTTATCTCCCTTGAACACTCTCACAGACACACTCAGAAATAATGCTTAATCTGGGCAGCCCTTGGCTCAATCATGTTGATACATAGAATTACCATGGCACCCACCCTCAGAACTAACTGGTAAATTATCAGTAGCATTAGGTTTGCCATAGATTCAGAGATACTTGCCAATTTACTTCAACTAGACAGCGTTTAAGTTTCTTAATTTTCTCCCTTAGTAGATGATGCTGCCTGCATCTTCCAAAATACAAAACAGCTAATCTCTCTTTTGTTGGATGACTAGCTTTCCTAATCTCTCATGGATTTCTGGGTTTATTTACAAATCCCCACTACCTCCCCCATACCAAGTCTCTGAGCTAGCTGAGTTGCTAAATATGCTATATACATGGTAATTTTTTAAGCCTTACACTTTCAATTTATTAACTTATTAAGGCTCACAGTAGCCCTATTATTATCCTTCACTTTTGAAGTTGAAGAAACTGAGGTGGTTAAATAACTTGCACACAGTCACACAGTTGGAACTTAAACAGCCATCACTAAGCAAAGCTAAGATTCCAGCTCAAGGAAATCCATATTCAGAGTTCATGCTCTCAACCACTACCTTATTTTGCCCTGAAAAAATGTGAGATCCAAGGCCAGGCATGGTGGCTCACGCCTGTAATCCCAGCACTTTGGGAGGCCGAGGCAGGCGGATCACGAGGTCAGGAGATTGAGACCATCCTGGCTAATGTGGTGAAACCCGTTTCTACTACAAATACAAAAAATTAGCCGGGCATGGTGGCAGGCACCTGTAGTCCCAGCTACTCGGGAGTCTGAGGCAGGAGAATGGCGTGAACCCAGGAAGCAGAGCTTGCAGTGAGCCGAGATTGCGCCACTGCACTCCAGCCTGGGTGACATAGCGAGACTCCATCTCAAAAAAAAAAAAAAAAATTGAAAGATCAATTTAAGAACACACCAAAAGTTTCAGAATAGCTAAGCTACCTAAATAAAATTAATCAATTTCAAACATCTGACTCTATGGTCTTATGATGTTCATATGAGTATATTTTCCATCTTCTGTTGACTACCACCATGAGTTATTCTTTTCTGGTTCACACTATAAAAATTATAACAAGAGGATATGTTCTCTTTTCTTCTAAATATTTATACTATTTTCATTAGGTAACAAACGAAGAAACAAAAAGCCTGTAACATAACACCTGCAAAAGGATTGAATAAAAATAATAGTGTGACAAGTCCAAATTTTGCTTCCAAAGAAAGCAAATTTATTTAATACAAAGAATATTTTCCAAACTCAAAAAATACTTAAGAAATAATGAAAACAGGAAAAAAACAAACAACCAAAAAAACAACGGGAACGAAATGAAGTGAAGATTCTAAACTTCAATTCATTCTATTTAAAGGCTTCTGGTTGCTACGTGGTTATAAAGCCCATGGAGGTGAAATTCAAAATTACCTTGCTCTATTCGAACAATAGACTTAATCTTCTAGTTAATTTGAGAATGTTGTGATTCAATGGCTAAAATAACAGATGGCCAGTGAGTAGGCCTGGATTTTAGTTGTGGTTCTGATGTTATTAACTACTTGGGCAACCTCTGATAGAGTTGAACCTATCGTAATTCACAGGACTAGGTAGGCTTTTAGGTTTGGTTCCAATATTTTATGAATTTCTGAGACTAGTAGCACATTACTTAATAAACCAGATCCAATGCTAAGTATTTCCAAAGAAAACAACTTGCAGTTAAAGTGTGATGTTTCCTTTAAGTATTCATGTTATTTCCTGGCTACAGCTCTTATTGCTTAATAACAAATCGTATCCTACTGCTCTAAAATAGCTAGCATGCTTTCCAACCCCAGATTACCACTAGACATACCCAAAAGAAAAACAAGAAAAAAAATCTTGTCTTTGGAGACAGTAGTAAAATAAGACATGTTCATTTACTAACAAACACACACAACATTTTTTATTTAAAGAAATACAAAATATCTAAGTATCTCAAAAATAAATTCATCCAAATGAGAATATAAGCCATCTCCCCTACAGATCTTCACTTACTAGGCAATTGAGAACCACCAGTAACACAGCAAGTTGGTTCAACTCCTGGAGAAGATTCCAGGAGTTGTGGCTCAGGTGCAACATTGACCAGAGGTCTACAGGAACTGGATTCAGGGTTCTGAGACTGACACTGACATTGGCTAGATGCACGTTCCAGAGTTTCGAAATTTTTAGACTTAGAAGTCTTGGGTGGGCAACTGTTTCCCTTGAGGCTTGCAGGTTGGCAGCTCTGGGCTACAAAACCCATCTGCTGAGTGCTTTCTGATTGGCAAGGCTGAGAAACACAAGCCAGCCCTGCTGAAGAACTTTCTGATTGGCACGCTGTCCTTTCGCAGGGCCTGGAATTGGAGTAAGTAGTTTGGACAACTCCGGGGAAGCAGTTACTTTGCACACAGCTATCGTCTGTGAATAAGTCCTGTTCACAATTGGTCATTTGGCAGCTGGTGGTTTCATTGCAGGTTTCTTGAAAGTTGTCCAGGAAACAGGTTCTGCTATGGAAGCTGCTGGGCAAACACAATCTGTCTTCAAAGGTTATAGGATTAGTGCCATGTGTGATGGCAGAGAGTGGTGGGGCATTGTGGAAGCTCCTGAGTGAATGGCAGTGGCTATGAGGCATATTGCTAAAAATCCTTAAAGATGGTCATAAGGACTCAACATGCTGAGTTTGAAAATTAAATTCTTTGGTGCGGCGATTATATACTCAGAAACCTGGGTGTTGGCTTCTCAAGACTTCTTTGCAACTCATTGCTTAAACTAATTTGAAGGATAACATCTCATTACCACTTTGGTTATATATGCAGATGATGTCTTATTAACAAAGATGTAAGTCCATTTTGAATCTTCAAAATGGCTTTTATGTTAGCTCCAAAGATGACTCATTCAAGGTGGGGTTGGTCAAATAAGAGTCTAAACCTGTCCAACCAAGCTAACATTTTTTTTTTTTTTTGCCACCATGACTCTGCACATTGGTAAGTGGACAATGAGAAATGCATGAGGCAGTGGCCAACTGAATACTGATTAACATTTAGCACTGGTTTTGAGAGCTGCCAATGTAGCAGAATGTGGTAATTTGATGTTCAAGACATTTAAAGTTAGAATTGGATCCAGGTTGAGCCCAATCTCATTCCACTCAGATATTGTTCTCTCCAGTGGACCAGAATGTGAGAGGACTTTGTGATCACATTCCTTCTCAGTGTTCATGCAAAGTACTGAGTGTGGCCATTGCCCAATAAATACTTGTCTTTTGCCTAACATTTCGTTTCCCTAATCTCCTTGAAAGCCAAGTTTAAATGCGTCCTTTTCCTGAAGTCTTCCCCAATCTTCCCATTTAGGAGTTATTTCTTCCTTTTCTGAATTACTAATGGATTTAATTCCTTTTTTCTATACTTGACAAAGTGGTGTGTTTACTTGTGTTTGTGCTTCTCAAAGGTTGATTATTTTCCTTTATAATGAACCTTCTTCAGATATTTTTCATCTTTATTCTGTGCTTTTTTTATTGACTGCAGACAGATGATCAGTTCCTATGTTTATCGCATTAGGACACCGTTCTTAGCATAGTTTCATACTCATGGCACAGAGCCAACCAGCACAATTTCTATAACATATTCTATAATATATTTGGCTCAGCTAATGACAATAAAATAGAAGTATAGTCTTAGTGCACTAACTAGACTCCCTTTCTAAGGTCTGAAGAAGCCCAAGAACATTCAGCAATTCTCAGTAATTCTTATGCAAACACTTCCTTGAAAGACTGAGGATATTATAAATTTAAAAGGGCACATCTGAATACTTTCAGCTTTATAGGCTGCACACTCATCTTGTATACAATACCTTTGTAACACACGCAAGTCATTTATAATTTTGAATAACCACACTTGTATGTTTAAAGATCTCAGTGTGCCCTCCACATGAACCCTACAGCCACCCATTTAATTCTTACGCATATATGTATTTATTATTGCACGGAGGCTTCGTTATTGCACAGAGGCTTCATTATAGCTTGTGACTTTCTTGCTTAAAGATACCAAATGGCTTCTCATTGTCCTTACAATAAGATCTTTTTCCTTTAGACTTCCCTACAACATCTTATAAGACCTGGCCATGGCCTTTCTTTCTTTCTTTCTTTCTTTTTCTTTTTCTTTTCTTTTTTTTTTTTTTTTTTTTTTTGACAGAATTTCACTCTTGTCGCCCAGGCTGGAGTGCAATGGCATGGTCTCAGGTCACTGCAACCTCCGCCTCCCGAGTTCAAGCAATTCTCCTGCCTCAGCCTCCTGATTAGCTGGGATTACATGCGCCCACCACCACGTCCAGCTAATTTTTGTATTTTTAATAGAGATGGGGGTTTCATCATGTTGGCCAGGCTGGTCTCGAACTCCTGACTTCAGGTGATCTTCCTGTCTTGGCCTCCCAAAGTGCTGGGATTAGAGGCGTGAGCAACCATGCCCGGCCCTATTTTTCTAAATCTAACTCTTGTCATGTCACTCTGCCCAACATGATTCATCCTCACAGGCCTCATGCAGCTCCTTGGCACACTAAACCTCTCCTTGCCTCCAAACTTTGCATACGCAGCTGCCTGTCTGTTTCACCCCTCCACTGCCTTCTCCCATTCTATCCATAGTTCTCATCTTTTGTGTCTTAGCTTAAGAGTTACTTCTTAGAATGTCTCTCTATCATCCTATATGAGAAAATTCCATTATCAGGGTCTCATATTTTTTCATTTTTAAAACTCATCTTAACTTATGATGATTTTATTTATTTCTCTTTTGTGCTTTTGCCACTAATTGTGAATTCCATGAAGAGGAGAAGCATGTGTATCTTCCTCACTTCCATAACCCCAACACTGAGCATGGTGTCTCATTGCCATATCATCAGATTCCCATAAATGTATCTTCAAAAATTCATACATAGAAGGTGCTAAGTAAAAATTTAATTATAACTAAACATCTGAAGAAATATAGTTTTGAAATTTTGACATTTCCAAGATTTCTAAGAATTGGCAAGAGTATTGAGCTCAAAGAAAAACAAATTTAAAAACTATGCCTATCTTTCAGCTACCCCTTTGTTTAATAAGAACAAAATCATTAAGAAAGCTACTTATTACCATGGCACAAACTTATTCAATTATTTCAAAATCATGTTTATTTGTAGGTTTTTTTTTTCTTTTTTTTTTTAGACGGAGTCTTGCTTTGTCACTCAGGCTGGAGTACAGTGGTGTGATCTTGGCTCACTGCAACCTCTGTCTCCTAGGTTCAAGCCATTCTCCTGCCTCAGCCTCCCAAGTAGCTAGGATTACAGGTGTGTACCACCACACCTGGCTAATTTTTGTATTTTTAGTAGAGACGGGATTTCACCATGTTGGCCAGGCTCATCTCGAACTCCTGACCTCAGGTGATCCCCCCCGCCATGGACTCCAAAAGTGCTGGGATTACAGGCGTGAGCCACTGTGCCTGGCCATGTAGGTATGTTTTTACCATGAAAATGGGAGCCAGTTCTCAATACCAACACAGAGTCCTCTTGCCAAATTGTATAGGTATAGGCAGGACATCATATAGGCTGGAATTTACAGAACTGTCTCCAGCCAGCAGCCTTCTTATTAATTTCACAATGTGCAGCCAATTACTGAGTACTTGGGCAGTCCCTTCAAATTTCATATGGTGATGTTAAGTCTGTCATTTGTGAATAAGGTCACTCCATGAGTTATTTTCTCTTTGGAATGAGGCATTTGCACATTTTATTTAAGTGAGAGCCAAATTAATAAGTGTTTCAGTATATAATTTTGATTCAGTGAGTAAACACAGATTTTGGTTGTTGCTGGATTTATAGAGGAAGTTACCTGGTTTATTACTATGGAATGACGTAGGCTAGGACAACTGGTCACCTTGGAATTGTTTACATGCAGCCTACTAAAAACTAAGTATTAGCTTTGTAAGCATTTGAAAAATTATGACTATGTAGTTTATCTGCTGGTATTCTTGAGAAATAGATAGAACTGGTTACCTAATTGCATACAGTAACTGGATACTCTTGCTACTAAAGGGGTGAACAATTCCCTGGTCTCTCCTGGACTTGAAATCATTCTCCTGGAATGACTGCAGCTGCAGTGGCACCTCCTAACCACCAGAGGGTGGAATATCAACATTTGGTATGAGGATGCAATTAAATATAAGAATTCTAGAGTGAGAATGCCAGGATTCTAAGCCAATATTTACAATCTCAAACTGTAACTTTGAACAGGTTCCATAAGTTTTCTATGTCATGGCTGTTTCATTAAAATAAATGAGATATTGTATATGGTACCAGATTGCCTGCCACATATTGAATGATAAATAATAACAATTATTACTGATCAGGTTAGGAATCTTCATGCAGACTAAGACGCTTCTCATTATAACATCAATCTAGGATTGATATAAAATTATAAGCAAAAACAAGCACAGTTTTTTTATGTTTATGATTATGTTGTTGATTTATAATTATGTGTTAATTTTCACATTCCATTCCTTTAAAGGTTGGATTATACTTATTCCCATTAATGATGGAACTTGTCTCCATCTCTCAAGAGCTCAGCATTTGGTAGTTGTAACATTGAATAATTTATATGTCTTTTATATTTGATCATATGGCTATACTAAACTTCTTAATCACTTGTTTAGAAACATTGAAGTGAAATGAAATAAAATAACCATTTTTTTTTTTTTTTAGAGGCAGGGTCTTACTCTGTAGCCCAGGTTGGAGTGCAGTGGCGTGATCACAATTTGCAACCTCAAACTCCTGGATTCAAGCAATCCTCCTACCTTGGTTTTCTGAATAGCTAGGACTACAGGCTCACACCACAACACTTGACTATTTTAAATTATTTTGTAGAGACAGGGGTTTCACTGTGCTGCCCAGGCTGGTTTTGAACCCCTGGCCTCAAGTGATCCTCCTGCCTCGCCCTCTCAAATTGCTGGGATTACAGGCATGAGCCACCATGCTTGGGCCTAGTCACTCTCTTCATCCCAGTGGTCCCACAATTTATTTACCTCATCCTTGTCTTAGTTTTATCTCATCAACCAAACTTATACCAAATGACATAAGTTAATTTTAATCCATTCCTCTTCTCCATTCACCAAATGCCGTAAGTTAATTTTAATCCATTCCTCATCTCCATTCAAGAAGTTTCATACAGAACCATTGCATAACAATGGAGGAATACTAGAAAAAGCATGAAGAGATGTGGCTTTCAGCCTTGGATCCATCAACTCACTGCATAAATTTGGACAAGTCACTCTACCTCTCTGGATATCTTTCAAGATAATGAGTTTAGATGAGAAGCTCTCTAAGGTCCTGTCACATCCTATAATTTTCGGTCAGAATCTTAATAACGTAGAATTAACATTACATGACATCTCGTCAAATCTGTCTATTGAATGAAATCTTCACTTACATTTAAGACCATCTGATCTTTATTAAGATTACATATAAAATTTTAACAGGACAGACCAAAGACTGAAGTCAGTACATTATTAGTTCCCACAGATGCTAGTCAATATCCACAACTGTAAAATTAGTAATCTTATGGTATTTAATCTTATAGTATTAATCTTATATTAATTCTTCTTATAGTATTAATCTTATAGTATTTGACAGCAACTCTTGAGAATAAATAAAAGTATATCTCTGCAGTCAAGTACACGTTAGTCTATCCCAAAAGAGGCTTTTTTGAGGGAAATGAATAACTTTTGTTAAACATAACATTCTATGAAATAAGTCAAGTACCATATAACCCTTCTCAGACACTGTAATGCATATAGAAAAAAAAATTTAAGTTGTAGAATACTTCAAAATTCTTATGTGGAACACAGAAATAGTATTTTGCCAGCTTTCTCTGTTTCTAATGAGAAATAGATATTTTATTATATGATAAAATAAATCACATGTGACATCATTTGTTCTCTGAGACTATCTCTAAATAATTTTGCTTCTTTGGCTAGTTCTTGGTCATTTACAATTCAATTATACGACACATTAATTCAAATAGCCAAACAAAAAACAAAAGAAGTAAAACATAAAAGTTGGAGGATTACACAGTGTCTATGCGGCTCTTAATAATAAGTAATTGGAGAAAAGAATGAACCATGGTGTTTTGACCATCTGAGCATTATAGTCCACATTTTCCGACTCTTTGTTCCATTATATCTTGGATATGAAAGCATTATAGTTTACTGTAGTAATTATACACTTGTTTTTTGCTTCTTTTCCCAGATGTAGTTGTTCTTGCCTTCCTCTGAGGTTATCTTTGAGTGAAGTTATTTTTCTATTTCTGGGTGATCCAGAAATGTGAATTGGTTTTTGATTTGTCTCACTTCTGTAGGCGCTGGAGTTGTGACAGTGTGTCATTGAGATATTGAGATTGTGCTAAATCAATTGTGATGATGATGATCAGAGGATTGTGACAACTAGCTTATCTAAAAAGAGTTCCACTAGCAAAAATGAATGCGAGTTTGATGTGTCATTGACATATCCTGGGACTGTCACCTGGCTCAATTCCACTTATTTATTTAATATTTATTTATCTTTTATTGAGTACAGGCATACCACATTTTATTGTGCTTTTCTTTGTTGCACTGTGCAGATATTGCATGTTTTACAAATTAAAGATTTGTGGCAACACTGAGTCAAGCAAGGCTATCGGCATCATTTTTCCAATAGTGTGTGCTCATTTCATGTCTCTGCCACATTTTGATAACTCTTGCGGTATTTCAGATTTTTTCATTATTATTTTATCTGTTATGGTGATCTGTGATCAGTGATGTTTAATGTTATTATTGTTAATTGTTTCGGGGCACCACGAACCACATCCACATAATGAAATGGGAAAAGTTCTTTTATTCTCCCTTGCAAGGCATGCAATGGGGTTGTGGCTCGCTTCTTTGGTGAGCCCCTGCTCAGACCTCTGGGGGAACAGGCAGATGGGCAGGCTGTGGGTCTCCCACCCTACAGCAGTGTCTAGGGTTGAATGTTTACACCTGTAGCCCCAGTGGGCATGAGTTACAGGGTGTTCTTTCAGTTTAGCCGTCCATAGGCAGCTTGTGTTAGCTCAATTACACCCTCTGCCTTATCACAAAGACAGGGGGCTTTCTGTATCCCAGAGTTTCTTGCCTTGGTATACCAGAAGAATCAGGGCACACATGGGCTTGGAGAATGAGTTGAGTGCAAGTTTTATTGGGTGGAAGTAGCTCTCAGCATATGGGGGAGCCAGAAGGGAGATGGAGTGGGAAGGTGGTTTTACCCTGGAGTTGGGCCCGTTCAGTGGCTGGGCTCTCCTCTAACTGCCCCGGCCAAACTTCGCATCATTCCGCTGGTTGACGGTCTGCAGGTCTGCCAGTGTCTGTCAGTGTGCTCTTACACAAGTGCATTCCTCTTGACGTCCAGCCACTTGTGTCTTCTGCCAGTCTGTTCCTCTTGACGTCCAGCTGCTTGTGTGCATGCCCACTAGGGTCTCGGGTTTTTCATAGGTACAGGATGGGGGCGTGGCAGGACAAGTGGTCTTGGGTAATGCAACATTTCGGCACAAAATAAGAAATGGCTGTCCTCACCTAGGTCCGTGGGCACAGGCCCAGGGGGTGGAGCCATAGCCAGGGACCCACCTTTCTCTACCCAGAACTTCCCTGCCCCCTCCCATATCAATAAGACAACAAACTTAATAAATCAAATGTTGTGTGTGTTACAACCGTTCCATCGAATGGTACACCCCTGTCTCTCTCCCTTTCTTCAGGCTTCCCTCTTCCCTGAGACACAACAATATTGCAATTAGTCCAATCAATAACCCTAAAATGGCCTCTGTGTGTTCAAGTGAGAGGAAGAGTCACATACCCTTATTTTAAATCAAAAGCTAAAAATGATTAAGCTTAGTGAGGAAGCCAATGTTGAAAGCTGAGATAGACTGAAAGCTAGGCCTCTTGCACCAAATAGCTAACTTGTGAATGCAAAGGAAAAGTCCTTAAAGGAAATTAAAAGTGCTAACCTATACTAACGAAAAAAATGATACTCTATATGAACACACAAATGATAAGAAAGCAAAACAAGCTCCTTGCTGATATGGAGAAAGTTTTAGCAGCCTGGATAGAAGATCAAACCAGCCACAACATTCCCTTAAGCCAAAACCTAATCCAGGGGGAGGCGCTAACTCTCTTCAATTGTATGAATACTGAGAGAGGTAAGGAAGCTTTAGAAGAAAAGTCAGAAGCTAGCAGAGGCTGATTCATGAGGTTTAAGGAAGGAAGCCATCTCTATAACATAAAAGTGCAAGGTAAAGCAGTAAGTGCTGATGGAGAAACTGCTGCAAGTTATCCAGAAGATCTAGCCAAGATCATTGAAGAAGGTGGCTACACAAAACAGCAGAATTTCAATGTAGATAAAAGAGCATTCTGTTGGAAGATAACATCATCTAGGACTTTCATAGTTAGAGAGAAGTCAATGCCTGGCTCCAAAGTTTCAAAGGACAGGCTGACTCTTTTTTATGGGCTAATGCAGCTGGTGACAAGTTGAAGCCAATGCTCATTTACCATTCTGAAAATCACAAGGCCCTTAAGTATTATTGTAAATCTATTCCACTTGTGCTCTGTAAAAGGAACAACAAAGCCTGGATGACAGCACATCTGTTTACAGCATGGTTTACTGAATATTTGAAGCCCATGGTTGAGACCTACTACTAAAGAAAGATTCCTTTCAAAATATTAGTGCTCGTTGACTATGCACCTAGTCACCCAAGAGCTTTGAAAGGGGCTGGAGGGAAGGCAGAAATGGGCTGCAAATGGGCTTTGCAATTATATTAAGGGGTCTTCATTGGGAAGGAGGATTGTTGAAGGTTTTAAATGAGTGTCTCATTTAAAAACATGTTATCTACGAGTAACAGAAATTGTAATTCAAAATGGCTTAAGCGATAAGAAATTTTATTGGCTTACATAAACCAGTGTCCAGAAGTGAGATGGTCCAGGTTCTGTCCTCCTGCATTTCTCTTGGTTCTGGCCTCTTTCATTTGATGGTTTAATTTTCAGGTTAGATCGGGTATGGTGGCTCACACCTGTAATCCCAGCACTTTGGGAGGCTGAGGCAGGCAGAACACTTGAGGTCAGGAGTTCGTCAACAGCCTGGCCAACATGGCAAAACCCCATCTCTACAAAAAATACAAAAACTAGCTGGGCGTGGTGGCATGCACCTGTAATCCCAGCTACTCAGGAGGCTGAGGCAGGAGAGAATCGTTGGAGGCAGGAGAGAATCACTTGGAACCAGGAGGAAGAGGTTATAGTGAGCTGAGATTGTGCCACTGCACTCCAGCCTGGGCAACAGAGGGAGACCCTGTCTCAAGAAAAAAAAAAAAAATTCAGGCCATATGCAAAACGGATGCAGCATTCCACATATAACAAAGTCCAGAGGTAGAGAGAATCGTTTTAAGAAATCCCAGAGACACTTTGGGAGGCCGAGGTGGGCAGATTGCGAGGTCAGGAGATCGAGACCATCCTGGCTAACACGGTGAAACCCCGTCTCTACTAAAAATACAAAAAATGAGCCAGGCATGGTGGCAGGCGCCTGTAGTCCCAGCTACTCGTGAGGCTGAGGCAGGAGAATGGCGTGAACCCAGAAGGCGGGGCTTGCAGTGAGCCGAGATTGCGCCACTGCACTCTAGTCTGGGTGACAGAGCAAGACTCCATCTCAGAAAAAAAAAAAAAAAAAGAAAGAAACCCCAGAGAAGGAACTTTACCAGAAGCATTGTTCCACATGGCTCCTTGTTTCTCATTGGCTTACCTCAGATCACATGCTCATTCCTGAGCCAATCACTTTCAGTAGGCATTGGGGCGCTCTAGAGTAGCCAAATTCAATCCTTAAGCCTAAGGCATAATCACGTTCATTTGCAGGACTATGTGTGGACGAGGAGGGATGCACAAACAAAATCCAATTTCCATAGAAAGAAGAGCGAGAAGGAAAACAGCTGTGAGAGCAGTGAACGATGAGCTACCCACCTCCATTTAGATATTTGAAAATGTATATGACTGTGTTCCACTTAATGTAAGAATATAATGGACTGTCTAGTTTTGCATCCAGATACAAGCCCAGGATATCAAGAGGTAAAGTCTTATCTCTCAGTCCGTGTCACCTATGCATGATACTGCCAGGTTTCAGACAGTTTTCAGGTGACTTCTATTATAACACCGGATGGCTTTATAGTGACCTAATGAAAGGAGGAGGGAGTGAACCATCAAATTAAAAAAAAAAAAACTCTTAGATATTATATTCTTCTTATTATAGTGGAATGCATACATCTTTAATTTCATGTATACCTAAACTATTTGTTTCATTACACTTGCTACTGAACTCAGTTAAAATCCTGACCTCAGAATTTCATTGTGGCTTATATATGTCTGGGAAGGAAGATTACAGGAAGGATTTTGATAATGTTCTCATAAAAACAGCCAGGCTAGTACTTGCTAAAACATCACTGCTGTCTCTGGATATTTTCTTCCTAGACTAGACCCATGAGTAGCTTAACCAAAGTGAAGTGTCCTGATTAGGCCTAAATGGCCATGAATAGAAAAACAGAGATAATCTCCTGTCCTATCTCTGAGTCTACTTGGCAGAAATTCCCAGGAACTAGATCTCTGTTGTTAGAAAACTCTGCCTATCAAGGAACCTACTCCTTTCCCTCAAAGTGAATATTTTATTTTTAGACAAAAAGTGGGGGTTTCAAATTCCCGACAGACATCTTATAAAGAAAATTAACACAAGATTTGTGATCTGATATCAGATTAAATGAGTTTATTTGAAGAAAAAGAAATCAACTCTTGCTCCATTTTTAACTAGAGAAGGAAGGGAAAATACAAGAAAACAGAAGAAAAAGAGATGAGTATTCTATGAGAAATGTTATTTTAATATTAATAAGTTTAAAACAATTATCTTTTCTGGATAGTAGAATATAGGTTCTAGCCAGATGATAGCTGAGATGGACTTTGAGAGAAATAATTGTAATGTGGAGGTTTGGAGCCCTTAGCAAGTTGATCGGTAGAAGCCAGATCCACAAGTTGGTCTGTAACAGGAAGACTGGAATGTCCTAAAGAGAACATATGTTGGGTGGCAGAATCCAGATCCATAGCCCAGGGAAGGGAAGCCACAGCCTCCATAACCCAGGGATCTGACGCCACTGGACCCACGGCCCACTGAGTAGCAGCTCCTAGATCCATAGCCCAGGGAGCGGCAGCTGCTGGATCCAAAGCCTAGAGACTCAGAGTAAGTCGACTGGCAGGGACTGCAGAGCACGGAGCTTCTGGGGCGGTAGCAGGAGGTCTGGCAGGGGCTGGACTCCACACAGGACATCTGGCAGCTAGGGGTTTCCCAGCAAGTCTCCTGAAAGCCCTTGCAGAGAGAGGAACCCAGCTGGCAGGTGCTGGGAGATCAAAGGTTCAGTGCTGTAGACCAGGTTGCTGGGGTACGAGGAGCCACCACGGGAGTAGCCTGAGTAGCACAGGTAGCCCTCACAGGAATGGGAGGAGAAGTTTCCACAGCAGCAGTTGTAGGACATGTTGACAGGAGATGTGAGTTCAGCTGAGCTGCATTGAGAAGATGCCCTGATGTCCCTGCCTGTGCCCAATGATCCAGTGATGTTTACACCCTCACACTGCTGGGCGTGATGCAGTATCCGGGAACCCCCCCATTCTTGTGAATGTGTTTTCATCAAATGACTAAGTAACCTAGGTTATAATTATAACTCAACACATTCATTTGTCTTTAACAGCAGTGTAATCATTCCAGTTTATAGAAGCCCATTGGCTTCTCTCTCTCTCTCTCTCTGTCTCTTTCTCTCTCTCTCTCTCTCTCTCTCTCTCTGCAGAAATAAGGTTTGGTTTGCTTTCAGAAACATTGGTGATGATACATACAGTGCCTCCCCACCCCTTTTACTGAGCTTGACTGTGGGTATTCTGAGCTTCAGCCTACAAATTCTTACCAGCAATGTACTCCCAACAGTAATCAGCAGCCACCCACCCCCCATTATTTACATATGTTTTATTAAGCATTAACTACATGCGCAACATTTAAAAGTGTGGTATGATTTAATCTTTGCAAATATCTTATGAGATACAAGTTGTCATAAACAATTTAGAAGTAAGGCCATGGAGGTTTGGAAAAGTTATGTAACATTCAGGTAATAAATCAAACAAATCATGGACCCCATGTCATCCCAGGTGTGTCTGTCTTTAAGGCTAGCACAAACCACAGAGCTATATAGACAATTTGTGAAGCTTGTAATTTCTGCTCCCAGAATCACATGGACAATTGAGTATGCAGGTGAAAAAAAAATTCCAAGGTGTTAATATTTGCATTTCATCTGATATATCTACTTGAGTATTCTTACCCCTTTTATGAATTCCCCAAATATAGCCAACTGAGGGGACAGCTTCTTAATTGATTTTGGTTATTTTTTTAGTATTCAGAGTTACTATGGAGATGCTTTGTTACAAATTATCTTCTATTTGCCCTCTCACTCAGTTTATCCTAGTTAAGCAACTCATGTTTTATCCACCATGGAGTTATTAGATTCTTTTTCAGTGTGAGGCAGAAAATTCTTTGGCAAACACAGACTTTCACTGGGACTAGTTGCGAAAAACTGATATGCCTTTAGTGAGTTGACTACCAATAAAATACATTTGCAGAAGCTTGAATTTTAATAGGGTGCCGACCTTTTGCCAACTCAGTTGGGAGTGAGAAATACGACACCTTCCAGAGTGATTCATTTCACTCCTTGCTGAGCTTCTCTTGTTCATCCTTCTAGGAAGACAAAGCAGCATAAAATTTACCATTATATTAAGTGGTTAAAATTATCTTTACCACTATAAAACATCAGTGGTATAAAGAAAAATCTTGGAATTAGAAATGTCTTTTTCCCCACTTGTTATCATATCCAACTTCTGCCTTCAAGCATCTTTTAGAAATTGGAAAGCAAAAAGCTATTTATGTAATTTGATCTTTTCAAACTGTTTCATAGATGATTGTTTTTTGTAATCTCCTGTAATATTTGCTTATCTGGCAACAATGGAATATTTTGTCCATTGTTTTGCTAACAAATTTCTACCAAATGCATTGCTCACATTGCACCAAATCCCTTTGTGAAAGATGTACCAAAATGGAGTCATTTATGTCAAACTCTAACAAAATGGGGTCAAGAGAGGCCACAAAAAAAATCCTCGTGCACACATGCCTGTAACAAGGGTTATCACAAGACCTTCTTCAAATTGCACTATTCCAGATAAATAGGTTCCAGGACAGTTACCTAGCAACAGCTGTCTTTACCAATAAACAAATGTCAACTCCTACAATGAGCTTTTGACCCGTGAACTTGTCTCAAAGCAGCTTACCTGGACCTCTCTTTGTATTTAAAAACTTCTCCTGTGCCCTAACCCCTTGGATGTGCCTATGATCCATCATCCACCATAGCATGCACATTCCTAGATTGCACTTCGCTGCTCTTTCCAATTAAAACTCATTTGTTCTGAAGAGCATATGTGAGTTTCTTTTTAGGTTGACACTTCTCATCCCTCAATGCCAAAATCAAACTCCTCCTATCAGATAGGTGTTCATCTCAACTAGACTTAGCTCTTCAGGAACAAAGATCTCAGTATTTTGTAATCTAGTTCACACACACACACACTGTGGAGGATTTGCAAGGGATGTACTTTGAAATGGCTCATGCAGGATGAATAATATTTCAGCTTGCAGGGAAATTACATATGTGAGAAGAACGAAGAACGCAATGCACAGAAGTTTTGTGGGGTGAGTGATGATGCTTAGTCTTCTTTGACCTAATTCCTGGCACATCATGGGTGCTCATAGATTATTTATATCAAATAATTAACTTTTATTTTACTTTCACTCAAGATAAATGTATGCATGTGAAAATAATGTTTCTGCTTTTAAAGTTACCTCTAATTAAAAGTGAAATGAATATTAAATCTATCTTTTATAATGAATATATCCCCAAGTTAATCATAACCAGTAAACCAAGGCCTGTTAAGATAGAGCACCTCTTAGAAGATGAACGGAGGATGGAAATTATGGTTTTAGTGCGTAGGGGAATATTCTGAACAATCTTTATAGTCCTTGTATGTGAATGTGCACTTGTTCTCTTCTCATTACACAAGGCAACAGGATCAAATAAACCATAATTGGTAAAGGTGCTCAGTTAGGTTAGCCAGAAGTCTGGGTACAACTTTACATGGCAGTAGTATTTTAATTATGGCTTCTTTCCATTATACTACAGATGCAAAGACCGTACACACTACCCAGGCATTTCTCTTAGCTCAAATTCTCCATCACAACCAGCTATATAGCAGCTTTCCTGAATCACTGTGGTATCAAAGTCTTTTAATTAGTTTTCCTCTATTCCTGTAGCCATATCAATGTTATTTAGGGGATGTCCAGCAGTCTATTATAGCCACTATTAATCTCAGCTATTTTATAATTTCTCAAACTCAATGTAATTTTTTAAAAGATAAAAAATAACTACAATTTTTTAAAATTAAAAATGTACGTAAGTTACTTTTGGAACTTGGAATACTCTTCTAAAAATAGATACCACTATAATTTTTTCAGAAAGTAAAATTCTTCATATATGTAACTTAAGGCAATGCAATAGTTTTATTTATTTATTTATTTATTTATTTATTTATTTATTTTTTAAACAGGGTCTCACTCCCATGGCCCAGGCTGAAGTGCAGTGGTGTGATCTTGGCTAACTGCAGCCTGGAGTTCACCAGCTCAAGAGATCCTCCCACCTCAGCTTCCCAAGTAACTGGTACTACAGGAAGGCACCACCAGGCCTGGCTTTTTGTTTTTTTAATTTTTAGTAGAGATGTGGTCTCTCTATGTTGCCCATGCTTGAGCTCAAATGCCTGGGCTCCCCACCTTAGCCTCCCATAGTTCTAGGATTACAGGCATGAGCCCTTGTGCCCGGCTTTATACAATAGTTTTAAATATAAAGAGCCACTTCTTTATTAAGTAAATTAGAAGACATCCCTCTAAGAATTTAAACACATTTAAATATATATTCACTATGGATGTGTGTATATCTATCTATCTATCTATGTATCTCCATAAATTTTGAGAAAGATCAAATATTATGGTTATATATTTACTGAATTAGGAAATTTTGCCGAAATACTTTGCATCACTCATGTCACCTTTTTATAAAGCTGTTTGGATCTGAAAGTGCTTTCGTGGATTTCACACTAATGCTTTATAGCATTGAAGGAGCTATAATCATAGAATAATAATTTGTCATCTGAGGAAATGATGTCATGCAGTCAAAAAGCTGCAAGCTTGGGATTGGAATGCATGTCCCTGGCTCTGAGTCCAATTCTTTCTTCCAGTAGGCTGGTGCAAAGGTAATTGTGATTTTTGACATTAAAAGTAATTGCAGAAACTGTAATTACTTTTGCACTTTACATGATGCAAATGCATGAACCTTAAGAGAAATTGTATATTCTCTTCACTTTGTATTTCCATAAACATGGCCCTCTAGCATGCATCTCATATTTGTACATATTATTGAATATGTCTCCTTTGAAATGTTGAATTTCCCTTACTTTGACTGTATCAATATGTTCATTTTAAAAATCAAAATCTCTTACAAATTTCAGTGCTTGAAGTGATCCTCAATATCTGTCCTCAATCCATATCCCAAGCAAAATTGCCTTTGGGGCCTTCCTAAATTATTTTTCTTTCTCTTTCTAATTGCTTCATTCTCTTTCATTGTAATGGTTCTTTTATTCTCAGCCTTATAACCATGCTCAATCTTCTTCAATCCAAAAATTTTAAATAGTGCCATTTTCTCTATGATTATATAGCTCTTCTTATTTTATATCAGAATTATCTAAAGAGGTATGGAATCAGCTTGTCAGCTACCTCACTTTTTATTCTCTTTTCAATAACTGATATGATTAGGCTTTGTGTCCCTGGCCAATTCTCATTTTGAATTGTAATTGCAATAATCCCCAAAATCCCCGTGTGTCAAGGGAATTACCAGGTGGAGGTAATTGAATCGTGGGGGCAGTTTCCCCCATGCTGTTCTCCTGATAGTGAGTGAGTTAGCACAAGATTTGATGGTTTTATAAGGGGCTCTTCCCCTTTCACTCAGCACTTCTCCTTCCTGCCGCTTTGTGAATAAGGTGCCTTGCTTCCCCTTCGCCTTCCACCATGATCGTAAGTTTCCTGAGGTCTCCTCAGCCATGCTGAAGTATGAGTCAATTAAATCTCTTTCCTTTATAAATTACCCAGTCTTGGACAGTTCTTTACAGCAGTATGAAAATGGACTAATACAATTACCATCTTGTTTCTGTCTGGTTTAAAACTCTTCTGGAATTGCTCTGACATGGTCAGCAGTAGCCTCAATGCTGCCATACGTGATGTACATTTTTAGGATTATCCCATGTGAACATTTAACCATATTCAACACAGGCGACTATGTCCTTAACCTTAAATCTTGTTCATCTATATACTTCCATGAGATTACAGTTCTAGTCTTCTATCTAACTTTCACCTAATTCTTTGTTACTATTAGTTGGATTTCTTTCATAATATTCCTTAAGACTTGGCGCTGATCCCTGGACATATTCTCTCTATAGAGGAGACATCTCCCTTCCATGGCTTCAAATACCATCCATATTCTGTGACACTGAAATATTCAAATTATCTTTCCAGTCTGTATAGTTTTTTCTTTTTTAATTCTAGACCTAAATACCCAAGTACTTCTTGCCATTCCACTTAAAGGTTTCATAAGGGTGTTGAACTTCTATGTGTATGACATTGAACTTTTGCTCTTCTCTTGTGAGGCAGAAACATTTTTTGTTTCCTATTAGTAAACTGCATTTCCACCTATCTAGTTGTTTAACTGAGACAATTTGGAATCCTCCTAACATACGCAATCTACCCTGAGGATTGGCCATTTTCTTTCCCAAATCTGTCTTACATTTATCCAGTCCTATTACTGCTTTCTGTGTAGTTCAGGATTTCTCACCCTTGGTACCAGGGGCATTTAGGGCTGGATAGTTTTTTGTTGTGGGGAGATATCCTGTGCATTGTAAGATAGTTGGCAGTATTCTTGGCGTCTACCCACTAGATGCCAGTAGCACAACTCCCCCTTAAAATTACAATTAAGAATGTCTCTGAAAATTGCCTAGGGGAGAGAGCAAAATTAGCCCTGGAGGAAAGGCATTGTCCTAGTCCAAGGTAGTCTCCTTTCTTGGTGGAACAACCAAAAATAATGTCCAAGATTCTCTGCCTCTCTTTTTAAAAAAAAAATTGTCTCCTCCAGTCTTTCTTCTACACTCCTGCCTGATTTTTTCTTTCATTCTTTCTTTTCTTTCTTTCTTTTCTTTCTTTCTTTTTCTTTCTTTCTTCCTTTTTCTTTCTTTTCTTTCCTTTCTCTCTCTCCTTCATTCTTCCTTTCTTCTTTCTTTCTTCCTTCCTTCCTTTCTTTCTTTTCCTTCCTTCCTTCTTTCCCCTTTCCTTTTTCCTTTACTGTTCCTATTCTTTTTCCTTTCCTTTTTCCTTTCCTTTCCTTTCCTTTCTCCTTTCTTTTCTTTGCCATTTTTCTGCCTGATCTGAAAACAAAAATCTGGTCATTTCACTTTCCTGATTACAACTTCCTGGTTGACTTACCGTACATTGAGGATGAAACAAATCCTCTATATGATCTGTAAAGCTGTGTAATTGAGTCCCTGCTCATGTCTCTGACTTCATCTTCATACAGTGTTCTTTGTCTTTCTCACAAACACACTGGTCTTTGTTCCACACTAAAGTATCTCAAGCTTTTTCCTAATCCAAGGACACACTCTTCTCTCTGCCTTGAATGTTTTTTCTTCATCTGGATGAAAATAATTAAGCCTTTTCTCACCTCAATACATTATATCTCAAGATAAAGTAGGTTCTCCTGTTGTGATTTGTAATTTATCTCTGTACTTAATTCTAATATTTAAAAAAATTGTTTATTTCTTAGACTGTCTTCTAGACTAGAGCAGTGCTACTAGACAAACCAGTCCATGACAGTTCACCAATTGGCCATAAGTTAAGTGTGTATATCAATATGCAAATGAATGCATGGCTACCTTCCTTAAGAAGTCTTGCATGATTAACAATTTCAGCTTAAGGAAATCATATGTCAAATATACCTGCTTTACCCTGTACCCTGATCTATGATCCACTCTTTGAATGACACATCTCTGAATTGTAATATCTAAAGTTGAGTTGGAGGCAAATACTATCTGTGTTCTTTCTTATTTGACATTAAATTCTCAGCTCAAGAGTAGTCAAAGTTGTTGTTCAATAAATACTTAATGATAAACTAGATAATTACTGGTTTTATCATTGCTGAATATCTCCTATCTTATCCTGTTCCTAGACCTCTAAACTCCTCTTGAATGCTTTACAACAGTAAACTCAGAGGAGTCTCAACTGCCCTCTTAATCAGTACCACCTGGCCCAGACTTGCTTCTATTCCTTTGCACCCTAACTTAGCTATAATAGACCATCTATAGTCTGAATACTAAATAAAGACTTGTTAAACTGAACCATCCTGTCCAATTTTTTTAATATAGCAAAGTGAAATTTGAAAGCTAGAGAGATTCATTTCAAGTCAATTCAGCAAGCATGCAGTGAAGTGTAGGCATTGTGGTGAGAGGTGAGAATAGGGAGGTGAGTGAGAGATAGCCCTATCCCTGAAGGAAGCATGTCTTAATCTTTCTCTGGAAAATGAGTGGAAGTATGTTAATAGAAGATAAGTGACTTTAGAGAAAGTGTGTCGTAGTCCATTAAATTCAATCACTTTTGCTGTTCTTTCAGACCCTGAAGCTACTAGTCAAAGCTAAATAGAGTCTTAGATCCTTTGCATTTACATATCCTGAATTATTTTGAATCTTGTTAGTGTTTTATGTAGAAAAATAGTAATTCTTGGATTAAAAATTATTGTAGGCTATACGATTTTTTCCCTGCTTGTAGAAAGTTGGCTGTCCTTGCTCTGACTTTACACACTGCTTCTGACAAAATCAACAGCCAAGCTATCCAAATAGTAATTCGTCATAGTAAAAATCATGCAACTTCAGTAAGCCAACAACTTAAAAAAGCTCAAGGAAAAACTGTTTATACTTGAATTCCTTAAAAGATTACTTTATTAAATAATAGCATTTCTGTCACATTGTAAACTAACGAGCACATGAAATACCCCCTAATTTCTATTACATATAATTTCAATTTTCAGACATAAATTTTTAGTGTAGTTTCTCAATTTTTTTTTTTTATCATATAATGGTGACAGAACCTGTCTCTCTAAGAGAAACGAACTAGTTTATGGTCAACCAGTTCGTAAAACGGCGTTTGTGGAGATGAATATGAGGGAAAGCAGCATTTCCTGGCAGTGTATGAAGAGGCATTAAGCCAATTTGTAGAAGCCATGCCTGTACATTGGTCTATAGCAAGTTGACAGGCTTTTCTTAGTAGAGAAGTAGTTTGGGTGGCAAGAAGCTGGGACCGTAATTCAAGCTTTGGGTACTACTGGGTCTATAACTTAAAGATTGGAATCCATTGAATTCATAGCCTAGAAAGCACCCTGTGGTAGAAAGCATGATGTATGTCTGCCGGAGGGCTTATAGTAGCTCATCTGAGAGTCTTACAGAGAGACCCGTCTTGGTGGAAACTAGAAAAGCAGAGGTCAGTGGGGTGGACCAAGTAGCTGGGGTAAGAAGAGACACAGGATTAGACCGAGTAGACCAAGAGTTCCCCAAGTGAGCAGGAAAAGAAGTTTCCAGTGTAGCAGCTTAATGTGTGACTGCTGTATCTGATTCACTTTTTATTAGTGTCAAAGGGTGTGTAAATGTCACCTTATTGCCTAGAAACTTATGTGCTCTGACCCTGTGGTTATGATGTTTTAGATGCCCAGCTTTACTATTCTTCTGCCTTACAATTTGACTAAGAATATCTCCTTAGTGTGTTGTCCAATTTCAGCTGAATAGATTAACACCATCATAAATATGCATACCTGTGTTTTATAACCAAAAGCCAGTTTACTGTCAGTCTTGGACTTCAGATGATTGTTGCATGGTCAAAGCAATTGGTCAATCATTGGCAGATTAATTTTTGACTGAGAGGATCACTTAGAGGATGCTGAGATATAGCTATTTTTTTTCCTCCCTGCTTAAAGTTTTATATTTTGTTGTGATTCTTTTCTCGGTCATTCCTGATATGGTTTGCCATATTACCAAGCGCATGTTTATGTTTACTAACAACTAATATAAGAGGTAGAAATGATCATGATACTCTAAAAAAGTTGAAAAACTTTTATTAAAAAAAAATTCTACTTGACTCTCTTTACCAGCTGGATGGGTATAGAATGCCTTATATAAGGGGACTTAAATTACATCAGTTAAGAAGATGGAAATTTCAGGCCAAATACTTTTAAAAAGTAATCTCCGTTGGGCACGATGGATCATGCCTGTAATCCCGACACTTTGGGAGGCCGATGCGGGCGGATTGCCTGAGCTCATGAGTTTGTGACCAGCCTGGGCAACACGGTGAAACCCCGTCTCTACTAAAATACAAAAAATTAGCCGGGTGTGGTGGTGGGTGCCTGTAATCGCAGCTACTCTGGAGGCTGAGGCAGGAGAATTGCTTGAACCCTGGAGGCAGAAGTTGTAGTGAGCCGAGATGGCGCCCCTGCACTCCAGCTTAGGCGACAGAGCGAGACTCTGTCTCAAAAAAAAAAAGTAATCTCTCAAATTTATAGTGTGGAAACTTTTAATGGCCCCTTAGGGACTGCGTTTATAAGCAGTAAAACAGATACGAAATTATTTTCTTCAAGCACCTTGAAAATTGCTGAACAAATAAAAAGTTCCAAAGTAATGTTGTAGATAGTCACATTTCCTTATTATGAGAGAGGGGAAATTACATCTACAGATGAGCCTAGATAAAGCAATGTGGTGGCCTGGAGAAGAGCAGACATTGGTGAGGACAAGAAATTAATGGCAAAGAAATGGGTCTAACCAGAAACATCATAGAATAAAATAAATTTTAAAAAATGGATACAAAAAAACATTAAGGGAATGGTGACTTAGGTTACACCCAGGATAAAAATATAAAGGAAATAAAGTAAAACACACTTTTTTTTACATATGTATGATGTTTGGGAGGGAATGAATTACAGTATTGTGCACTCTAGTGGATATGTTAAATGTTTTGAAATTGACATGTGTACCGCGTAAATGTTTAGGAGCTTCTAAACATTTAAAATGTGCCAAACAACTAATACATGTTGTTAAATACTAAACATATTTTAAAGGTATAAAATGTGCTAAATATTTATAATTTCTAAACGTTTAAAACATTTTCAGCAAAAAATGTTTAGAAATATGTTTAGGATAAATATTTCATTTTAGTGTGCATAAAAGAATATGACGTGTATGGCTTACTCGAAGCACCCATGTGCATTTAGTTTTTGGCCACAAGTTGCATACATTTATAGTCTAATAATAGTTAACATTTATGGAGTGATTTCTATACTCAAGGAATTCTTCCGGCTGCTTCACATATCCTATCATTTGCCTCTCATCGTAACCCCATGATCAAATTTCTATCATTCATGATCTCTCTTTAACATTTAAGGAAACTAATTTTTTGAGAGGTTCTATAATGTTTACAGGGCAAATAGCTGGTGTTAGAGTTGGGAATTCAGATATATAAATATATATGGTGCTTCTTCAGGATTTACATGCTTTGACAATTTAAATGGGTTCAATCTCACAGCAGGCAGAGTAATGTGCAGGTAAAAAAATACATTATTAACTAAATGCTTAAATCTTCTAAGGAATGTTTCTAAAGCACAAAAACTGAGAAGATCCTGGAAGTGTAGAAACCAAAGTGGGGACCCTGAGCATGACATTCTGATGATTAAGCACTCCTATTATCTGGAGGACAGCATGGGAGACCAGGCAAAACTTGGGATATCAGTTGGTTACTAGACCTAGCAGCCCTGACTCCTCTGTCTTTTTAAGCAGGTTGATCCTTACAAACTATTTACCTTCCACTAGAACTATCCTAGATCTTCTTTCATTTTAGGAAGATTGTTACTGTTAGTAATCAAGTTCTGACTTACCAAAGACACGTAGCCACTCAGGAATCATATGCCTATTAACAGGCAGGACTCCTTTGGACAGTATCAATTCTACATGATTTCAGCAACTTGAGGGCAATGCACCTTCATTTTCTATCCATATTGGAAAGGCTTTAAAGTTCAGCCAGCAAAGATGATAACTTATGGTGTCCATTCATTTTGAGTTTCAAGACCATCGTTAAGCTACGTCTTGTTTGTCATCCCCAACAGAACCATAGTAGATGTTCACTATTTGGGTAATGGATACACTAAAAGCTCAGACTTCACCACTATGCAAAATATGCATGTAAGAAATTTGCATGTGTACCATCTAAAAATATAAAAATTAAAAAAAAAACAATGGTGATGTAGTCATGATTATCTGTTGCCATCAAGAATAGAATGTGTTAGTTATGCTGGTAGTCTAATGGGTGCCTAGTGGCATTCTGTTTTAATGTTGGTTTTTTTCTAACTTTTTAGTAGCTCTCATTATATACTGCAGTAATTAATAGGGGTTTGCCCAGAATAGTATTTCAACAGGTAAAAGATTACTTTAAAAAAGGTTTATGCATTTGTTTATTTTTCTACCTGTTTTACTCAGACTGAACATAACAATCAGTTAAAATTTAGAAAAGCAAATATGTTTATTTAGTTACAAGTAAACTTTATTACACAAAATTTATTTTTAGCCATAGTTGAAAAAACAACAATTTATTTGCTTATACTCGAAATAGCAATGCCCTATGGGAATCTCAGTAATGCCGATCAAAGTCCTTTCTATGCTTTTCCTGCTTGCTAAAAGGAGACTAATATGTGAACACTGACAAACGTATGAGAATCATATATTGAGGGGAATGTGCTCAGAAAACAAAGATGTGCTCAAAGGACAAAGATGTCTGAGGCACAGTACCTTCAAGAAATTCAAAATCTAAAAGCTCATACTCTATATAATTATCATATATTTCTTATAATAGACTTATGATTTATTTTCATAAATATTTTCACTTCTCAGATTATTTCACTTCTCAGATAAAGATATATTTATCACTTCTCAGATAAAGATATAGAGATATATTAATATTTTCACTTCTCAGATAAAGATATAGAGATATATTAAGTAATTTGTTAAAAAATTATTTTAACAAAAAGTTATAAATCCAAAAAGTGAGACTAGTTCTGTCTGTCTGCAGATATTTCATTATTCATCCCTACTTTCTGTGTTTGTTAAGCCATGATATAAGGCTAACAAATGCTGAGGATAAAATGTATGACACAGGTGAGGTGATTTTATTATTAAGCTCCTTAGCACTTAAAACTCCTCAGAAGAAGGACGAAAGTGGAGGGAAAGAATAGACTATCCCAGACAGAGTACTAATGCAAATGACAGAAGGTAGGGAGTAGAAAAACAAACGGCAGATCATTTTAGGATCCATAACTGTATTATTTTCTTGTCTAGAATTTTAAAATAAAACCTTGCTGAGTAGAATTCCATCTCATGGCTTCAGTAAATGTAGGCTTCTGTACAAAACGTTACTCTCCATGTGTTCACAATTGATTAAGATAACATTTCTGCATCATTTTCCCCAGAATGAAGTTTGCAGCTCCCAAGGATGTACTAAATGTGGTTGACTGTTTTTCCTGTTCTCTCTAGTGTAATAATAGACCATGGTAAATTACCCTAAGATTGTCAAAGCTAAAGCATTTTTCAAATTTGGTTTATAAGCTGGAGAATATGAACAGCCAATGGCACCTCTTCACCTTACAATATCTGTAGAACACAGACAGTGAAGTCTCTGGAATCAATTTTATAGTCAAGACATTAACCTTTGTGGTCATTTGCCCAGCAGAAAGAGTAAGCTGTTAAAAAACACAAAATCAGCCACTATTCACCTCTTTTTATGATTATGAGTGTGTTAACAGCTTTCCCTTCAATTACATGACTAGGGTTATTTTGCCAGTAAAGTACCAAAAAGATAATATATACCAGAAGCAAATTTAGATATTGTCTCTTTGCAGAAATGCCCTGAAATGAGGGCAATCACTCATTACTTTGAGTATAGATTTTAACTAAAATTTGTTTGACTGAAAATTACAATATTATCTAGCCCAAAGAAACTTGGGAAAAACAGTGTTGTGTTTCTTTCAACTCCACTGTCCAGAAGAAGAAAACTAGAATTCTCCCTCTCATTCTTTTGGAAAGTCATAAAACACTTGAGCATATTAACAAACTTTTAAAAAGGATAAAAACAAATCTGATTAATGTGGTTAGCCCAAATTAATCATATAAATATAAACTTTGTATCCAATCTATTAATATTTCTTAAAACCAGTGTCTCAAGCAATTAACATTTGAGGAGAAGGGCTTTAGTCATTTGAGATTGGAATGGAATGGTATTACTGGTATAGTTCAGGAAACTAACTGGAGATTAAAGGGATACCTACTAAAATAGGTGGCAAACATTAAAGAAAAGAAAAAACTTAGGGCAATTTCTAATTCTTTGACTTTGCTCACTACTTCTATAGCTACCCTTACTAGATTAAGAACTTCCTATATCAGTAACTACATCTTCTTCAATAACAATCAAGCTGAGAAACGAATCATCAACTCAATTCCATTTACAATAGCTACAAAAATAACTAGGAATACATTGAACCAAGAAGGTAAAAGAGCTCTACAAGGAGAACTATAAAACACTAATGAAAGAAATCATAGATGATACAAACAAATGGAAGAGCATCCTATACTCATGGATTGGCAAAATCAGTATCATTAAAATGACCTTACTGCCCAAAGCAACCTACAGATTCAGTGCAATTCCTATCAAATAACAACATCATTTTAATAGAATTATGAAACCTAAACTTCATGTGGAATCAAAAAAGAGCCCCAATATCCAAAGCAATCCTAAGTAAAAAGAACAAAGCTGGGTCATCACATTTCTTGATTTTAAATTATACTACAAGGCTATAATAAACACAACAGCATAGTACTGTATAAAACTAGACAAATAGATCAATGGATCAGAATAGAGAACACAGAAATAAAGCCAAATACCTAAAATCAACTGATCTTTGACAAAGTCAACAAAAATATACACAAGGGAAAGGACACCCTGTTCAATAAATGGTGCTAGGGAAACTGGATTGTCATATGCAGAAGAATGAAATTGAATCCATATCTTTCACTGTATACAAAAATTAACTCAAAATGGATTAAAAACTTAAATGTAATATCTGAAACTATAAAAACCCCAGAAGAAAATGTAGGAAATCTCTTCTAGACATTGACCTAGGCAAAGAATTTATGACTAAGACCGCAAAAGCAAATGCAACAAAAACAAAAATAGACCAATGGGACTTAATTAAACTGAAAAGCTTCTGCACTCCTAAAGAAACTGTCAACAGAGTAAACAGACAACTTACAGAATGGGAGAAAATATTTGAAAACTATGTGTCCACAAAAAGACTAATATCTAGAATCTACAAGAAGCTCAAACAACTCAACAAGAAAAAAAAAAAAACCACTATCAAAAAGTGGGCAAAGGACATGAACAGACATTTTTCCAAAGAAGACATACAAGCAGCCAACAAACGTGGAAAAATTCTCAACATCATTAATCATTAGAGAAATGCAAATTAGAACCACATTAAGATACCATCTTACAGTAATAAGAATGGTTATTAAAAAGTCAAAAAACAACAGATGTTGGCAAGGATGCAGAGAAAAGGGAACACTGTTGGTAGGAATGTAAATTAGTACAAACTTTATGGAAAACAGTATGAAGATTCCTCAAAGAGCTGAGAATAGAACACCATTTGATCTAGCAATCCCATTATTGGGTGTCTACACAAAGAAAAAGAAATTGTTATATATATTAAAATCCCCTGCACTGGTATGGTTATCATAACACTATTCACCATTGCAAAGTCATGGAATCAGCCAAAGTGTCCATCAATGAATGACTGAATTTTAAAAAGTGATATATAAATGCAATGTGATACTACTCAGCCATAAAAAAGAATAAAATTGTGTCTTTTGCAGCAAAATAGATGGAAATGGAAGCCATTATCCTAAGTGAAATGACTAAGAAACAGAGTCAAATACCACATGCTCTCACTTATTATTGCGAGCTAAACAATGTGTATACCTGGATATACAGAGTGGAATAATTGACTTTGGAGACTCCAAAAGTTGGGAGATTGGGAGAGGGGTGAGGGATGAAAAATTACCTACAATATAAACTATCTGAGTGATGGATATACTAAAAGCCTGGAGTTCACACTACGTAATATATTCATGTAACAAAACTGCATGTTTACCCTTAAATCTATAAAAATAAAATAAAATAGAACTTTAGAACAGAAGAGTTTCCATACATCAATAACTGCATCTTCTCACTTTAGTTAACAGACTTTAGTATTCTTATACTAATCTTCCAGAAATGCCAACTAAAAACCTTATAACACATCTTACTAATGAATAATCTACTTATGTTCTCCACACGTGACTAACTTTTGTTAAACTTAAAAAAAAAATCATAGGCTCACATGAAGTTGTACAAATAGTACCTAGAGTCCCTTCACACAGCCTCCTGCAATATTGCCAACTTATTTAACCATACTACAAAATCAAACCTAGGAAATTGACACTGGTGCCATGTTGTTCGCTAGACTACAGACCTTATTGAGTTTTGCTGGTTTATACATGTACTCATTTGTGTTTGTATCTGTATGGTTCAATGTAATTTATCTAATGTATAGATTAGTGTAACCACTACCACAGTCCAGAAGAAAAATTCTTCCATTTATGATTAACATTTTTTCTTTTTTTTTTAGAGACAGGGTCTTGCTTTGCTGCCTAGGCTGGATTGCAATGGTGCAATCAATAGCTCATTGCAGCCTGGAACTCCTGGCTTCAATACTCCCGCCTCAGCTTCCCAAGGAGCTGGGACTACAGGCATGCACCATGTGTATGAATTACAATGTTCATGTAATGAGGCAGAAATATGAGCCACATATTTTGTCCTTTTATATTTATAAAATGTTTAATTTAGTTATATATGAAATTAAAAATGGAAGCTTGTGTTTTCTAGACAACAACACTAGACAGTAATGCAGCATTTGAGGTGAGTGGTGCAAGTGGTGGTATAGAGCAGAAAGAAAGATCAAGTCAAAATACGACACATTTATGTAATTATGTCATTTTTTCCCCAAGTCACAAGTAGAAGCAGTGCCATTAGAAATGTCAAAATTTTGGATGAACCTGGAGGACATCATGCTAAGAGAAATAAGCCAGACACAGAAAGGAAAATACTACATGATGTCATGTATGTAGAAATCGAAACTAGTTAAACTCACAAAAGCAGAGACTAGACTGGTAGCTGTCAGGGCCTGGGCGGAGGGTAAATTGGGAGGGTGTTGGTCAAAGGGTAAAAAGTTTCAGTTATGCAGGACAATTAAGTTCTGGATATCTAATGTATAGCAATGTGACTGTAGTTAACAATATTGTATCGTATACTTAAAATTTGCAGAAAGGGTAGACCTCAGTGTTCTTGCCATAGTCAAATGATCAATCAAATGGAAACTGAAATTATAACTATATTAATTACCTTGACTGTGACAATTTCACAATATGTGTATATATTATATACAGTGTGTGTATCTCAAAACATCAATTTTTACTCCTTAAATTTATATAATTTTTGTAGACTATACCTCAGTAAAGATGAGAAAAAGAAAAAAGGCATAAATTGATAAGGTAAAGTAATTCTTTCCAGGAAATGATATGCATAATTTCTTTTCCTCCTCAGTTTCCATATTAAAGGAAAAATGATATTCAGACTTTTGTAGCACATCTGTTACTAAGTTTTACAATTAACATTACTGATTTCACATACTGTTGTCAGAAAAAATTGTGGGATTTTGAAATGGGGGAAATGTATTACTATGTGGCCTGTCTAGTTCATTTTTCAAGGTATTGTCACGTATTATTGCTTTTTAACTCCTATATAATTCTGTAAGTTGAATAAAATTGTTAATAATGCAAATGATTCTAGTCCATAGAAATGAAATAGTTTCTGTCAAGTGGAATGATACTGATTTTTACTCTGCGTACAGCACTACTTTGCATCTATCTGTGGATTCATTTCAAACTTCCTAACAACCTGTCTAAGTGTTCTCTGAATTATGCTTTGAACCAGTTGTAGCATCTTAGTGGTCCCCACATTTATTAATGAGTTAAATAAAAATTTTTATATGTGTTGATTTTTTCATTTGTGTAAGAATTGTGACTTTACCTTTTTAAAAATTTATCTTAATACTATTATGTTTTATATTGTATCACATTTTAAACGTTTGCCTTCCCTTTCTTTAAGTTCCAGGGAAGCAGCATGCAAGACATAGTGAGAAAAAAAAAGAAAATAAAAATAGTTGGAGATCAACAGAGATGAGATATTAGGATTGGATTAACCATGAATGATTTCTTTTGAACAGCTGGATAGAGAATTCTGGACTTGAACAGTAGATACCTGATGTTTTCTTAATTCATACTGTGGTGCCTCTCAAGTAATAGTCTGCAACCCTGAGCTTCTGCTTGTTAATACTTTATTAGACTGCTAATTGTAACTAAGTCTCCAGTTACATAAACTTTGATATCTAAGAATAACATGAGCCCCCCAAAACCACTCCCACATATGAAATGTGAAGTTTATTTTTTTAATTGTTTATCGTTGACATCTTGCCACCCCAGACACAAAGCTGAGGCCCTCTATGGCATCCGTGTTGTTTCCGTCTCTATTTCTGGATTTGTAGAATTGGACAATCACACTTACTTATTATTATGTAGTCTTCTACCTCTTGCTGACCACATTTCCCAGTTTAATAAAAAAGGAACTTGTAGTTTTGTCCCCGAAACCCACACTGTATTCTTCCAAGCAATTATGCCACCGCTTACGCAGTTTCCTCTTGCTGGCGCTCTCTTCTCACGCATCCTTCACACCAAAATCATAGGAGGAAATTTGTCTCTCTCACTAGTGAGAGACATGAGTCTAGTGACATTGGTCTTTTCTAAGCTCTCAGCACTTTTCACAGAAGAGCTCTAGTGCAAAGTTAAAGCTCAAACACATCTAGTGAGCTGAATTAGAACAAAGAGCTGATGTCACTTGGTATATTAAGGTCATTAGGAGTGGAATAATTATAAGTGAGCTTGAAAGCAACTTATCTTTTCCACTCTGCTTTTTCTTAGCCAGTGATGGGAGTCAGCCTTCCATTACACTCTCTGTTACCCTCATACAACTTAGGCGTTGACCCACAGTTACCAGGTGCCTAACTTGACAGCACCCTAAAGGGTGAGTGTGGAGAGGAGCAGAGTGTACATAAAAACTGAAAAATCACAGAGAGAAGGAGAGAAAGAAGAAAAGCAAAGAGAAAAGGTGAGAGAGGAAAATAAAAAATAGTTGGAGATTAGCAGAGATGAGATATTAAGGGAAGATTATTCATGCAGAAAATGGAGGAGGCAAAGAATATTTATTTTGTCTGATCCCTGAAATCTGAATCTTCACATTATACTTTGAAAGGTTTAAATATTGAAAGTATTCCAATGTGTTAATTTTCTCCTTTACTCTCTGCCTCCCTGTCTCAATTGTTTGCATTCCACTTAAAGATTGCATTAGAATGGTGGAGATTCTTCAAGTCACTACAGAACTAGATTCTCTATGTCACTGGACACCCCTTCCTTCTATCTTGGGATTGCTGCATTTTAAACATTTCTCTGTGCTCAGATGTCTCCTTGCAAGGCCTGGTGCCTTCCACACTTGAAGTTATGAGCCTCTAGCTCCCAGGACTTTCTTACTGTCCATGCTACTGTGACCCCTTTAGTTTGTTTTCTCAAATGATTTTTTTTAATCCACATTTTACTCATTCCGCATTATTTAAAGATGAATTAGTAGTCCACCTTCAATGCTAATGGCATAATTCAGACTCATAGGACCTTTATGTCTAATAAAAATTTTTAATTACCTATTTACACCAAAGTCAATGAGTAGCTCTGCACTTGATGACATATTTTTTTTTTTTTTTTTGAGTCAGAGTCTCACACTGTCACCTAGGCTGGAGTGCAATGGTGCAATCTTGGCTCACTACAACCTCCGCCTCCCAGGTTCAAGTGATTCTCCTGCCTCAGCCTCCCAAGTAGCTGGGATTACAGGCACCAGCCACCATGCCTGGCTAATTTTTTGTATTTTTAGTAGAGCCGGGGTTTCGCTATGTTGGCCAAGCTGGTCTCAAACTCCTGACCTTGTGATCCACCCACGTTGGCCTCCCAAAGTGCTGGGATTACAGGCATGAGCCACCATGCCCTGCCCAACGATACATTTTGTTTGTTTGTTTGTTTGTTTGTTTGTTTTTAATTATACTTTAAGTTCTAGGGTACATGTGCACAACGTGCAGGTTTGTTACATATGTATACATGTGCCATGTTGGTGTGCTGCACCCATTAACTTGTCATTTATATTAGGTATATCTCCTAATGTTATCCCTTCCCCCTCCCCCCACCCCACAACAGGCCCCGGTGTGTGATGTTCCCCTTCCTGTGTCCAAGTGTTCTCATTGTTCAGTTCCCACCTATGAGTGAGAATATGTGGTGTTTGGTTTTTTGTCCTTGCGATAGTTTGCTGAGAATGATGGTTTCCAGCTTCCTCCATGTCCCTACAAAGGACATGAACTCATCATTTTTTATGGCTGCATAGTATTCCATGGTGTATATGTGCCACATTTTCTTAATCCAGTCTATCATTGTTGGACATTTGGGTTGGTTCCAAGTCTTTGCTATTGTGAATAGTGCCGCAATAAATATATGTGTGCATGTGTCTTTATAGCAGCATGATTTATAATCCTGCGGGTATATACCCAGTAATGGGATGGCTGGGTCAAATGGTATTTCTAGTTCTAGATCCCTGAGGAATCACCACACTGTCTTCCACAATGGTTGAACTAGTTTACTGTCCCACCAACAGTGTAAAAGTGTTCCTATTTCTCCACATCCTCTCCAGCACCTGTTGTTTCCTGACTTTTTAATGATTGCCATTCTAACTGGTGTGAGATGGTATCTCATTGTGGTTTTGATTTGCATTTCTCTGATGGCCAGTGATGATGAGCATTTTTTCATGTGTCTGTTGGCTGCATAAATGTCTTCTTTTGAGAAGTGTCTGTTCATATCCTTCGCCCACTTTTTGATGGGGTTGTTTGTTTTTTTTCTCATAAATTTGTTGGAGTTCTTTGTAGATTCTGGATATTAGCCCTTTGTCAGATGAGTAGATTGCAAAAATTTTCTCCCATTCTGTAGGTTGCCTGTTCACTCTGATGGTAGTTTCTTTTGCTGTGCAGAAGCTCTTTTGTTTAATTAGATCCCATTTGTCAATTTTGGCTTTTGTTGCCATTGCTTTTGGTGTTTTAGACATGAAGTCCTTGCCCATGCCTATGTCCTGAATGGTATTGACTAGGTTTTCTTCTAGGGTTTTTATGATTTTAGGTCTAACATTTAAGTCTTTAATCCATCTTGAATTAATTTTTGTGTAAGGTGTAAGGAAGGGATCCAGTTTCAGCTTTCTACATATGGCTAGCCAGTTTTCCCAGCAACATTTACTAAATAGGGAATCCTTTCCCCGTTGCTTGTTTTTCTCAGGTTTGTCAAAGATCAGATAGTTGTAGATATGTGACATTATTTCTGAGGGCTCTGTTCCATTCCACTGATCTATATCTCTGTTTTGGTACTGGTACCATGCTGTTTTGGTTACTGTAGCCTTGTGGTATAGTTTGAAGTCAGGTAGCATGATGCTTCCAGCTTTGTTCTTTTGGCTTAGGATTGACTTGGCAATGCAGGCTCTTTTTTGGTTCCATATGAACTTTAAAGTAGTGTTTTCCAATTCTGTGAAGAAAGTCATTGGTAGCTTGATTGGGATGGCATTGAATCTATAAATTACCTTGGGCAGTATGGCCATTTTCACGATATTGATTCTTCCTACCCATGAGCATGGAATGTTCTTCCATTTGTTTGTATCCTCTTTTATTTCATTTAGCAGTGGTTTGTAGTTCTCCTTGAAGAGGTCCTTCACATTCCTTGTCAGTTTTATTCCTAGGTATTTTATTCCTTTGTAGCAATTGTGAAGGGGAGTTCACTCATGATTTGGCTCCCTGTTAGTCTGTTATTGGTGTATAGGAATGCTTGTGATTTTTGCACATTGATTTTGTATCCTGAGACTTTGCTGAAGTTGCTTATCAGCTTAAGGAGATTTTGGGCTGAGACGATGGGGTTTTCTAGACATACAGTCATGTCATCTGCAAACAGGGACAATTTGACTTCCTCTTTTCCTAATTGAATACGCTTTATTTCCTTCTCCTGCGTGATTGCCCTGGCCAGAACTTCCAACACTATGTTGAATAGGAGTGGTGAGAGAGGTTATCCCTGTCTTGTGCCAGTTTTCAAAGGGAATGCTTCCAGTTTTTGCCCATTCAGTATGACATTGGCTGTGGGTTTGCCATAAATAGCTCTTATTATTTTGAGATAAGTCCCATCAATACCTAATTTACTGAGAATTTTTAGCATGAAGGGTTGTTGAATTTTGTCAAAGGCCTTTTCTGCATCTATTGAAATAATCATGTGGTTTTTGTCTTTGCTTCTGTTTATATGCTGGATTACGTTTATTGATTTGTGTGTGTTGAACCAGCCTTGCATCCCAGGGATGAAGCCCACTTGATCATGGTGGATAAGCTTTTTGATGTGTTGCTTGATTTGGTTTGCCAGTATTGTAAATCTTTGTATGAGAGTGCCAGAAGTCTTATTTTATTTCAATTATTTTATTTAGTTTAAACCTAAAGAAGACTTTATTGACCCATATGATCAAAGCACTTAAAGGATGAATAAAGCTGGCTTAAGGTACATGGGAATCAGAGGCTTCTGTGTTGCCAGGAGTTTCTTCCCGTGTTTCCCTTCTCTATTCTTCTAGTTTCTGTGGCGGCAGGTTTCTATGATCAGAGGATGTGGTTCCCACACTTCCATGCTTAGCCCGTATTGTCTCCATTATAAGAGAAAAGATACCCTCTTTTTTCAGGTTTAATTATAAAAAGCTTAAGGGAAAGGTGTCAGGGAAAAAAATCAATTAAAGCTCGTGACATATTATTGGAGGAAATGATAATCTTTCAAAGTTGTTTTCCCATTCATGGAGAGTTGTTATTGAATATTTTATGAAAAAGTTTTAGCTGAACTTTTACACTACCTTTAGCCTCTGAAAGAAATCACTTGCTTAAATTAAAATAAATAGAGAAGGTCTTATATCTCAGATGTGAATAGCATCCTACAAATATTTATTTTTATTCACACTGTCACAGCTGAGCAGTGGATTCCAAGGATACTGAGGGAGGTTATAAAATCTAGAACATTGAAAGTAATCTAATTTTAACTGCCACTCAATGCAGAAATCACTGAAAAGTAATATCTTTTTCCTTGTTGATAAACTCAATAATCCAAAGAAAACACAAAGGTCATAATAGTTCTATAAATTTATGATTTATAAATATACATTTAAAACAAGCCAAAGTATTTCTCCCTATAACTGTTTCCATTACTCACAGTTGTAAACCTTAAGTCTTTCTGTCTTCTGTGCTCTCTCTCTCTTTCTCACACACACACAACACAAACACACACACACACTGAATAATTAATTTTCTCCTATATTTAAACACAACCGTAATGTCCTCCAGTACCTAACATTTCATATTTTCCCTTTTCCATCATAACATTTCAGATTTATTCAAATATTTCATAATTTTATATTTAATCACCTAGTTGACATCTTCTGAGAAAACTCTAAATACTCTTTTAAAAATGTAAACAAAAAGCAAATATGATTGTCAGCAAAATGTGTCTTCCTTGAAAACACACCACCATTATGAGTGTACTCTCAATAATTCTGTTAAGAATCCAACCAGTTTTCATGGCAGAAGACATGCACTTGCTCAGTCTTTTAGGCACTGGCATGCCCGGAGAATCTCCCCACACACTAGGCCTGATGACATTACCGATGGAAATGGATGTCCAAGGAAAAGACGTCTGGGGGCCTGGAGCCCCCAAAACAGATCACAAATCAAACTTTGGAAACCAATAAAAGACAAAGAGAACATATTGGAATCAACAGTAAATGAATTTATTACGTGAAACAAAACTGAACTTCCATATACTTTATAAGATGAACTTACGTGATAACGAATCACTTGTTTCAAAATTATAGACATTTGACTCTATATTTTGCTCATTCATTAATTTCACAGTCTGAAAGAACTAGCCTGTCCAGCCAGTACTTGATGCCAGAGAAAGGATGAAGAGCTAGTAGTAAGAGGGGTTAGCTCACATTGCTGGAAATGCCTATGATAACAGCTCTACGTAGAGACTGAGACACTTTGCTTAAAAGGTCTGGAAATTCAGCAAGTTGATCTGCAGAAGGTTGATCCATAGGCTGGTCTGTAACAAGGAGACTGGCAGCTCCTAGAAGCCAAGTAGGTTGGGCGGCAGAATCCAGATCCATAGCCGAGGGAAGGGAAGCCACAGCTTCCATAACCCAGGGATCTGACACCACTGGACCCACAGCCCACTGAGTAGCAGCTCCTCGATCCATAGCCCAGGGAGCGGCAGCTGCTGGATCCAAAGCCTAGAGACCCAGAGTAAGTCGTCTTGCAAGGACTGCAGAGCAAGGAGGTTCTGGGGCGGTAGCAGGAGGTCTGGCAGGGGCTGGACTCCACATAGGACGTCTGGCAGCTGGTGGGCTCCCAGCAGATCTCCTGACAGCCCCTATAGAGAGAGGAACCCAGCTGGCAGGTGCTGGGAGAGCAGAGGTCAGTGCTGTAGACCAGATTGCTGGGGTAGGAAAAGCCACGTGAGGATGCTGGGTAGCGCAGGTAGTCACCACAGGAGCGGGAGGAGAAGTTTCCAGAGCAGCAGTTGTAGGACATGTTGACGGGAGATGTGAGTTCAGCTGAGTTATAGTGGAAAGATTCTCTGAGTTTGAATGTCATAGTCTGGACTCCAAGTTATATATGCTCTTAGACCTGGGTGTGTCCACTGTCTCGACACTCCCTTCTCCTTGCTCACTTTTTATTATAAGAATGCTTCCCTAGGTTATTGTTTAATTTATCACATCTTCATATACTTACTTGTACTTTAGTCACTCTGGAACACTTAGAAGGAAGCCACTCAGTTTTTTTTTTTCCTGGAATTCACTGTGGTTTGACCTTCAATGTTATATGTCATCACATTTATGAGTATCTTGCCTCTTATTATTTGAGTACAGTGAGTCCTTATTGTACCAAATGGAATTACACAAAATTCTTTCTTTACTTCCCTTAAGTTATCAGGAGCATCAGTGGTTACTACTCAAAATAGATTGTCCTTCTTTTTAACACAAGCATATTATTTGTTACCAGAAACGGAGGATTTCTCCAAATACTAACTGTATTCAGTAGCCTCAGCAATCTGTCAGTTAAACCTTTTACTAGTACCTTAAGAGCTCAGGATCAGAACTGAGGAGTGCAGCATTATGTTGGGTGTCCATATCAGGCATCTTCCTTAACAAGAGGCTACTTTAGACAATGCTCACTTAGGAAACAATAAACACAAACTTTTTAGTAAGACTTTAAATTGAAGTTTTTCAGATATTTTCTGATGAACCTATCTTGTAGCAAGCACTATTCTATGGTTATGCTCTAAATCAACTCATAAATTTTATTTTGTTTTATGTTTCAATTTTTTTTTCTGGATAAAAGGACAGATTCTTAGCTGCAATTATTAATTTATACTTAAACTTTGAGGAATTGTTAACATTTTTCTGAAGCTTTTAACTTGAAGTATTAGAGTTATATGGGTCTTTAAACATCCCCTGTTCAACCCATACATGGAAAAATTACCTCTCAGAGAGCTTTAACTTTCCCCTAATTTCTCAGTAAGATAGAAGCAAAATTGAAGCTTTAATTATGGTTTTCTTATTCAGAGTCAAGTTGCAAATACCTTGCAAATATAAAAGTAAATTCAACTTTAACTTGTCTCAGAAAAGAAACTATTAAGCTTATTTATACTAAGATATAAAAGCCTAACAAAGCCTTATTTACTTTTCCTAACAATATTCACACTGAATAGTGTTCAACTGGGGAATTCTATGCCTTACTGATCTTCATACATTTGAAGTATATTTCACTTCCTAGCCCAAGAAAGAGAAAGAATATTGGTAATCCATGTTTAGATTAATGGGGGGAAGAGGCTTCTTATCTGTGTCTATTCTTCTTCTTTTGAATTTGACATTTTATTTGGTTTAACTAAGGGAAATGGCATTCACAATGGTTATCGAAAAGAGAGCCTCTTAACTACCTGAAAATTAACTTCCTTCATTCCAAAGCACACTGTTTCAGAGCACTTAGTTACTTTGTTTTATGATTATCTCTCCCATGCAGAATCCAAAGTGTGGCATGCATCACATGAAGTGCCCTTGTGCAATACTTAAACCATCACTCTGATTCACTGAAGTAAAATAAGCTGTGCTTTATGAATGGACACCTATTAAATTCACCAAAAAGTATGCACCACCCCCAACACATGGGATTCCTTATAATGGCAGCTTTTAACACCTTTAAAATGAGAAATATTTTTCTTTTCTTACTACAGGTTGATTCTGCTCAAAAAAAAGAAAACAAAAAACTTACTAATATCCAAAAGTTCTTGCCTTTCTAGACCAGCTCCCTATGTCTGGGAATAAACACTAAAATAACTTGGGAGTAAGTCAGTTCCAATTAACAGTCCCTCCACCCATTCCTAATTGGGTTAACACTTTTTATTAGGAGTTATTTGTGCACTTTGTACAAATGCTAATGAACAACTCCCAAATGCTAATAAATGTGTCCATCTGAAAGGCAGAAAAAGCAGAACAAAACTAGAGTAGCCTTAACAGTTCAAAAGTGGATTCTGGAACTAATAAAATACTCTACGTACTCTACATACACAGGCAAAGTATTAGTATAGAAAGAAAAATTCACTATCTTGATATGTCAGGGAAAACGTGATATTGAAATCTTTTCTCTCTCTCTCCTTCCTTCCTTCCCTCCCTCCCTCTTTCTTTTTCTTTTTCTTTCTTTTCTTTCTCTGCCTCTCTTTCCTTTTCTTTTTCTTTCTTTTCTTTCCCTCCCTCCCTCTCTCTCTGCCTCCTTCCCTCCCTTTCTCCCTCTCTCTCTTTCTCTGTTTCTCTTTCTTTCTATTTCTTTCTTTCTTTTCTCTTTCTTTCTTTCTTCTTTCTCTTTTCTCTTTAGAAATTTAGGCATAACAACACTACAGAGAATAAAACTATCATTACAGTACACAGTAGCCACAAGTAGCCTATGATCTGAATTACTTGAAAAGTGATTGTTTTTCCAAGTTAACATAGTAATGTAGCAGAAGCTTTAAACTGACAATCTTCTATTGCAATGTTTCCAGAGATTCTTCAAAAGCTTTCAAATTAACCAAATATTAGGCAGTAGTAGAAATAGTAAAAATCCATATATACTGCCCTATACCTTTTTTACTTTCTTTTTTTTTTTTTTTTTTCCGAGACGGAGTCTGGCTCTGTCACCCAGGCTGGAGTACAGTGGTGCAATCTTGGCTCACTGCAAGCTCTGCCTCCCGGGTTCACACCATTCTCTTGCCTCAGCCTCCCGAGTAGCTGGGACTACAGGTGCCCGCCACCACGCCTGGCTAATTTTTTGTATTTTTAGTAGAGACGGGGTTTCCCCATGTTAGCCAGGATGGTCTTGATCTCCTGACCTCATGATCCACCCGCCTCGGCCTCCCAAAGTGCTGGGATTACAGGCGTGAGCCACCGCGTCCGGCCACCTTTTTACTTTCTGTTCACTTTTTAATTTTCTGCCTTCTCTAGACCTAGGAGAGGCTTTTATTGTCTGGTCACTAAAGAGTCTTCATAACAGCTGCTTTACACTAGATTTTATTTTTAAAATTCTCACCCAAGGGGAAATGTATCTATTAAACATTAATGCTAACTATGAAGAACCCACTACTGAGTAAAGGCTTGATGAGAACTCCCTGGACTAACCTGTTCATGGTCTCTTCCCAGTCCCCCATGCAAGCCTACCCAGGCCTGTGGCTTTCTCGGAGGTCATCCGGCCTCATTGTTTGAGACTTTTCCAGGCCCTGGCACCTCCTCTAACTTCACTACAGCTCTTCCTGCTTCAAATTCATCCATTTTATGTCTTCATCATCCATGACTTTCGTTTGAAATAAAAAGGCCAGGCTGGGCGCAGTGGCTCACGCCTGTAATCCCAGCACTTTGGGAGGCCGAGGCAGGTGGATCACGAGGTCAGGAGTTTGAGACCAGCCTTTCAAACATGGCGAAATCCCGTCTCTACTAAAAATACAAAAATTAGCCAGGCGTGGTGGCAGACATCTGTAATCCCAGCTACTGGAGAGGCTGAGGCAGGAGAATCGCTTGAAACTGGAAGGCAGAGGTTGCAGTGAGCCAAGGTCATGCCACTGCACTCCAGCCTGGGCGACAGAGTGAGATTCCGTCTCAAACAAACAAACAAACAAAAAGATTTATAAACAGCCTGCTTACACACCTCTCGGTTCTTCTTATCTCTTCTGAGACCTTACCCTTGCATTTACTGAAAACAAATAGAAAATTAAAGTAAATTCTAGAGTCATTTTCTGGATGCCTAAACTCACAATTGTTACCACGTTGTCAGATTTGCGTTCATCTTTCTCTTTTTTATTTTAAATGTTTATGGATACATAATGTTGCGCATATTAATGGGGTACATGTGATATTTTGATACAGGCACACGATGTGTAATGATCAAATCTGGGTAACTGGCATATCCATCACCTTAAACATTTATCATTTTTTTTGTGTTGAGAACATTCCAAATCTACTTTTCTAGTTATTTTGAAATATGCAATACATTATTGTTAACCACAGTTGCTGTACTGTGTTACTGAACACTAGATCTTATTCCTCCTATCTAACTATATTTTTGCACCCATTAACCAACACCTCTCTGTCCTTTCTTTCCACTACCCTTGCAAGCCTATGGTAACCACCATTCTATTCGCTATCTTACAGAGAGAGACCCCTTGTGGGCCAGTCTCTCAGTCTGATTCTTTTTCATATCTTTCCAAAGGCATCACAATAATGCATTCGTTTTTGCATAGCATTCCAGGAAATTGTCTATACATATATTTATCGGTTTATACCATTTATTGTTGTTTTAAGTTACAAAAATGCCATCTTATTGGATACATATATGTATCTGTAGCTTTCTTTTTATATTAAATTTATTTAAATAAAAATATCTAAAACATATCCAAGTTGATATTTATATATTTGTGCATTTATTATCACTACAGTAGAACTTTTAAATGTCAGGCACTGTTCTCAGCACTGTATTACAAATATTAACTCAATCCTCATAATAATTCTACATGGTACACACCACTTTTATTCTTGTTTTATAGCTGAGGAAGCTGAGACACAAACAGATTGAGTTACTTGCCAAAGCTACCCATGTAGTTAGTAGCAGAGATGAGATTTGAACTGCAATACTGACACCATTGTCAGACTTTATGCAAATAACCATGTTGCTATGATACACACATCTAGTTTATTCCTTGTTACAAATTTATAGAATTCTACTGTATAAAAATATTTTATTGATATATCGCTCTACCATTCTTGATTTTTTACTATCACAAACCATGTGGCAAGAAATATACTTCTATATAGGCCCTTGCATCTACTGTCTAGGGCTTCTGGAACATGTATATTTAGATGCAATTGCTGGACATACATAATTTCAATTCTAGCATGGTAGTTACGATCAAGGCTTTTGGATTCAGGCTGGCAGAGTTTGAATCCCAGCTCCATCACTTAGCTGTGTAACTCAGACCTGTTTTAGTTTCTCATATTTTGTTATCTTTTAGCCATTATTCTATGGAGTCATTTGTTCTTTTAAATGTATTTTTAGAGAATTTGTGCATTCTTTTTGTATGCCTTTGTCTTTCATATGTTGCTAATATATTCCTCTGGTCAGTTGTTTGACTCTTTTGTAAAGTCAGATCTGTGGATACACAGTTCCCATAAAATGAAATGCACCATTTTTAGGAGTACAGTTCAATGGGTTTTTTCCTTTCTGTTCTTTTTTTGGTGGAGGGGGCAAGGGCTTGCTCTGTTGCCCAGGCTGGAGTGCAGTAGTGTGATCATAGCTCACTGTAGCCTCCAACTGCTGAGCTCAAGTCATTCTCCTGCCTCAGCCTCCTGAGTGGTTAGGACTATAAGTGCATACCACAACCCCTAGCTATTTTTTTTTCTTTTTTTTTTGTAGAGGCAGATTCTCACTGTGTTGTCCAGTTTAGTCTTGAATTCCTGGCCTCATGCAATCTTCCTGCCTTGGCTTCCCAGTTCAATGAGTTTTGACAAACATATATAGTTATGTAATCATCAATTGATTGAGATAGAGTATTTCCATTATTTCTAGAAATTCTCCTGTGCTCCTTTGGATCAATCTGCTTCCCCAATATCTAAATTTCTGTTCCTATAGTCTTATTTTTTGAACTGCATGATAAAAGGAATTACACATTACGTTGCCTTCTGTGTTTAACTTCCTTCACAGAGCATAATGCTTTTGAAATTCATCCATGTTGTTGCATATTCCAGTAGTTTATTCCCTTTTATTGCCAAGTGGTATTTCATTGTATGTACGCTATACACTAGAAAATGGACATTTAGATGATTTTGAGTCTGGAGTTACTGTGGATAAAACTGCTATAAACATTCACATACAGATAATTTTGTGGACATATGTAATATGGTTTGGCTCTGTGTGCCCATTCAAATCTCATCTCTAATTATAATCCCCACATGTCAAGGAAGGGACCTGGTGGGAGGTGATTGGATCATGAGGACGGTTTCCGCCATGCTGTTCTGATGATAGTGAGGGATTTCTCATGAGATCTGATGGTTTTAAAAGTCCCAGTTTCTGCCTGTGTATACTCTCTTTCTCTCCTGCCACCATGTAACATGTGCCTTGCTTCCCCTTCACCTTCCACCATGATGTAAATTTCCTGGTGCCTCTCCAACCATGAGGAACTATGAGTCAATTAAACCATTTTTCTTTATAAATTACCCAGTCCTAGGTAGTATCTTCATAGCAGTGTGATAACAGACTAATACAGAGAATTGGTACCAGCAGAGTTGGGTACTGCTATAAAGATAAACTGAAAATGTGGAAGCGACATTGGAACTGGTAACAGGAGGAGGTTGGAACAGTTTGGAGGGCTTAGAAGAAGACGGGAAGATGTGGGAAAGTTTGGAACTTCCTAGAGACTTGTTGAATGGTTTTGACCAAAATGCTGATAGTGATATGAACAACGAAGTCCATGCTGAGGTGGTCTCAGATGGAGATGAGGAACTTATAGGGAACTGGAGCAAAGTCACTCTTGCTATGCTTTAGCAAAGAAACTAGTGGCATTTTTCCCCTGCTTTAGAGACCTGTGAAACTTTGAACTTGAGAGAGATGATTTAAGGTATCCGGTGGAAGAAATTGCTAAGCAGCAGAACATTCAACATGTGACCTGGCTTATTCTGAAAGCATTCAGTTATGTGTGTTCACAAAGAGATGCTTTGAAATTGGAACTTATTTTAAAAAGGAAGCAGAGCATAAAAGTTTGGAAAATTTGCAGCCTGACCATGTGATAGAAAAGGAATACCCATTTTCTGCAGAGGAATTCAAGCTGGCTGCAGAAATTTGCATAAGCAACGAGGAGCTGAATGTCAATAGCCAAGACAATGGGGAAAATGTCTCAGGGGCATGTCAGAGACATTTACAGGAGCCATTGTCATCACCGGCCTGGAGGCCTGGGAGGGAAAAATGGCTTCATACATTAGGATCAGGGCTTGGCTGCTCTGTGCAGCTTCAGGACTTGATGCCTTGTGTCCCAGAAGCTCCAGCTCCAGCCATGGCTGATAGGGGCCAGGGTATAGCTACAGCTGTTGCTTCAGAGGGTGCAAGTCCCAAGCATTGGTGGCTTGCAAGTGGTATTGGGCCTGCAGATGTGCAGAAAACAAGAGTTGAGGTTTGGGAACCTCTGTCTAAATTTCAGAGGATATATGTAAATGCTTGGAAGTCCAGACAATAGTCTGCTGCAGGGGCAGAGCCCTCATGGAGAACCTCTGCTAGGGCAGTGCAGAAGGGAACTGTGGGGTGTGAGCTCCCACACAGAGTCCCCACTGGGGCACTGTCTGGTGGAGCCATGAGAAGGCCACCATCCTCCAGACCCCAGAAATGTAGATCCACCAACAGCTTGCATTGTGTGTGTGGAAAAGCCACAGACACTCAATGCCAGCCTGTGAAAGTAGCCATGAGGACTATAACCTGCAGAGCCACAGGAGAGAAGCTGCCCAAGGCATTAGGAGCCCACCCCTTGCATCAGCGTGTCCTGGATGTGGGACATGAATTCAAAGGAAATTATTTTGGAGCTTTAATATTTAATGGCTGTGCTACATGGGGCCTGTATCCTTTTTGTTCTGGCCAATTTCTCCCTCTTGGAATGTGAACATTTACCCAATGCCTGTACCCCCATTGTATCTTGGAAGTAACTAACTTGTTTTTGATTTACAGGCTCATAGGCAGAAAAGGACTTGCCTTATCTCAGATGAGACTTTGAACTTGGACTTTGGGGTTAATTCTGGAATAAGTTAAGACTTTGTGTGACTGTTAGGAAGGCATGATTGGTTTTGAAATGTGAGAAGGACATGAGATTTGGGAGGTGCCAAGGGCAGAATGATATGGTTTGGCCCTGTGGCCCCACCTAAATCTCATCTTGAATTATAATCCCCACATGTTGAGGAAGGGGCCTGGTGGGGGGTGATTGGATCATGGGGGGTGGTTTCTACCATGCTGATCTTGTGATAGTGAGGAACTTCTCATGAGATCTGATGGTTTTGCAAGTAGTAGGTTCCCTTGTGTGCTCTCTCTCTCTCCTGCCGCCATGTAAGATGTGCCTTGCTTCCCTTTTACCTTCTGCTATGATTGTAAGTTTCCTGAGGCCTCTTCAGCCATGCAAAACTGAGTCAATTAAATCTTTTTTCTTTATAAATTACCCAATCTCAGGTAGTATCTTTAAGGCAGTATGAAAACAGACTAATACAATATGTTTTCAATTTTCTTAGGTAAATACCTATGCATGGGATTACTGGTTTATATGGTAACCACATGTTTAACATTATAAAAAACTGACAAACTATATTCCACAGTGGCTATACCATTTTGCATTCCAATAGCAATGTATGAAAATCTCACTTGTTTCACAGTCTCAACCGCACTGTATGTATTATCCTTATTATTTTGTCTATTCTAGTTGGCATGTAATGGTGTCCCATTGTGGTTTCAATTTGCATTTCTCTAATGAATAATAATATTGAACATTTCCTCATGTGCTTTTTGCCTCCCATACTTCTCCTTTAGAGGTGTCTGTTCAAATCTTTTGAACATTTTCTATGTGTGTTATCTCATTATAATTATATTCTTACTGTTTTTTTACACAGAAGACTAAGATTCAAATCCTCTATCAAAGTATATGTTTTTACAATATTTTCTTCCAGTCTGTGACTTTTAATTTCATTTTCTTATTAAAGTCTTTGAAAACAGATGTTTCTAGTTTGATGAAGACTAATTTAGCTAAAAATCTCTTGGTATATCGTGCATCAGGGTGACCTGGATGTGAGACATGGAATCAAAGGAGATCATTTTGGAGCTTTAAGATTTGACTGCCCAGCTGGATTTCAGACTTGCATAGGGCCTATAGCTTCTTTGTTTTGGACAATTTCTACCATTTGGAAAAGTTGTATTTACTCAATGTTTGTACCCCCATTGTATCTAGGAAGTAACTAACTTGCTTTTGATTTTACAGGCTCATAGGCATAAGGGACTTGCATTGTCTCAGATGAGACTTCGGACTGTGGACTTTTGAGTTGATGCTGAAATGAGTTAAGACTTTGGGGAACTGTTGGGAAGGCATGATTGGTTTTGAAATGTGAGGACATGAGATTTGGGAGGGGCCGGGGTGAAATAATACGGTTTGGCTGTGTTTTCACCAAAATATCATCTGGAATTGTAGCTCCCATAGTTCCTATGTATTGTGAAAGGGACCCAGTGAGAGATAATTGAATCATCGGGGTGGTTTCCCCCATACTGTTCTCACAGTAGTGAGTAAGTGTCAGGAGATCTGATGGTTTTATAAGGGGTTTTCCTTTTTACTTGTCTCTCATTCTGTCTTGCCTGCCTCCATTTAAAACATGCCTTTCGCCCTCCATCGTGATTGTGAGGACCCCCACCCACTTGGAACTGGGAGTCCATTAAACCTCTTTTTCTTTATAAATGACCCAATCTTGGGTATGTCATTATCAGAAGCATGAAAACAGTCTAATACACCATCTTATCTTGGAATTTTCATTGTTAGAATTTTTTTACTCTTAATTTAATTTATTTTGTAGATCCAGGGCTAGTCAGGCTGTCTAGGTATTTTTGAGTGAGCTCTCTTAGTTTGTGCCTGTTAAGAAATTTTTTCATTTAATCTGTGGTATTGCTGTAAGTGATCTCAGGGTCCAGCAACAATGGTTATATCAATCTGCTTGATCTGCAGACATATCAGAAATAGTGACAACCTGTCTTTCAACCATAGGAATAACATAAGCCATTGCTAGGGGCACCCTGGCCAGAAAGTAAGGCAAGTTCATTTATATTGTCTTGGACATAAACTGAACCAAGAAGAGATGAAAGCAACAATGTCATATTTATTATTTCACCCTATTTTGTTTTGTTTCTATGTTAATAACTTCTGCCACAGCACTATACTTGTCCTTTTGTACAGTTCATGTGAATAAAATATTATCATGTATCTTTATTAAAAATATGTTAAAGAAACCAAACATCTTTTGAATAACATGACTCTTCACAGCCTACAATTATAATACATGCTCCAGTTGAACAGGTGCCCTAGTTCTCTTCTCTTCATCATTTTGCATGGACATGCATGACCACTTCCCTACCTGACTTGATCTCAGTGTCTTGCTTGGCAGTATGTTACTGAGGTGACAGAATGTGGTGACATGTTTTTCTCCTTGCACTTGTGAAGTTTGTCACTTGAGTGCTAGATGGACCACTTAACTGATGCAGGCTAGTAGACGTCCTCAATCTTTGTCAGTTTGCTTTTCAGTTTATAAACACTACAGATTCTTCTAAGAAGATTGAGAAATATTCAATTTCTCTTTTGTTTTCAAAACTTAGTATTCAAATCTCCATCTTGAAAATTGTCAAAGACGCACGTAATCTAGCAAAAAAGAAAAATTTATAGGGCTAGAGAGGGAGTCAGTAACAGAGTTACTGTGTTCCTTGCTTTTTGCTTGTGTGTTCATTCTAATTCAGCACTATAGCATAACAGAAACAAAGTCTCATTGGGAACTGAGCAAAGCACAGACATATTTAACATAAGACATAAGAATAAGGTGTTACTAAACCTACCAAGTAAATAGTGTGAGAAACCACTGATTGTAATGTTTTATCTCTTACATTAATAGAGATGAGTTTTCATGTCTTAGAATGGAAACAACACTGAATTACAGCAAGTTATTTTAGCTCTTACATATGCCAGAGGCAGGACTGGATGGCTGCTGTAGGTCCTAACAATTGCAGAATTCTGTGACTTGAAGGTGAAAATCAAGTTCTTATAATTCAGTTTCCACAATGAGTTTCCATATGACTACATTGTTGTTTAGTTTTGTTTTTTGCTAGGTAGTCCTACACTGTAAAGTTGCAGTGAGATTCAAGAAGCACGTGATCAATTGGTTAGACAGATATTGATAGTTAATAATGAAAATGTCAGCTATTTCTTGAAGAGAGTTTTAGTCAGGGTCCTCCAAAGAAACAGAACCAATAGGGTGTGTATGTGAGTGTGTGGGGGTGTGTGTGTGTGTGTGTAATATGTGTGTTTGTGTATGAAGAAAGAGAAATATTTATTTTAAGGAATTTGTTCATGCAACTGTGGGGGCTGACAACCCTAAAATCTGCAAATTAGGCCAGCAGGCTAGAGATTCAGGTAAGAGTTAGTAAGAGTTGATGATGCAGTCTTGAGTCTGAATTCACAGTGCTGTAAGCGGGAAACTCAGGCAGTTTCTATGTTGCAGTCTTGAGAATCCCTTCTTTCTCAGGAAACCTCAGTCTTTATTCTTAGGGCCTTCAACAAATATGAGGAGGTATACCCCTATTATTTATGAAGGGCTATCTGCTTTCCTCAAAGTTTACTATTTTAAATGTTAGTCATATGTAAAAAATGCCTTTACAACAACATCTACACTGGCATTTGACAAACTACTGGCTACCATAGCCTTGCCAAGCTGACACGCTAAAGGTAACTATTGTGAGTGGTTATTCATTAAGGCTTTAATCAGTGTCATCAAATCAGGCATTAAAGTATTAGCAAACAGTTATTTCATCAGAAAGATGATTATTTGTCATTCTAGTATTTACTCTTTTTGCTGATTTATCATGTCTTCATTTTGTTTCAATAATGTTAATAATGTAGAACTTGTACATTAAAATATGTAGATATTTTAATATCATTCATCCAAGATTAAGCTATATTTAAAATCACAAGCTTTAATATATCGACAGCACTAAAAAGGGACAAAAATAAGAAACTCTTAATTCATGTCTTTGAAAAGGTAAAACACCATCTGAGAAAGACATTAGTCTTATTTATATGGATTAGAAAAAAATATTAGAAAATATATACAAAACAGTGCTATTAAATGTAAGCTAAGTCACGAAATACTCTATACCTCATCATAGTGGTGAGGCTCTGTCTAAATTCATTTACCAAAAAGTGCAAATTGATTTTCTATAATTTTGATATATTTACTATAATAGTTTTGAGAACTCTTTACTTTGGAACATGTGGCTATAATCCATGTTATAGAAAACCACATTTGTTAAGATGTATTTGTTCACTTAAAGCTTTTGTGAATGGTGCTATAGTATATGAATTTAATTCACTGTACTTGTGAACATTAATATCTTGACTATGATGACACTGAACTAACAAAAGTTAACTCATTCTAGTGGTGTGAAACTCCAGAGGTTCTTTAGAGCTAGAAACATACCTAAAAGCATTCCTAGTTCTTTTTTTAAAAAAAAATCATGTAAAATGGATTAGAGGGCCTAATGCTTAATTTAGGAACACAATGAGGAATCTCAATTATAAAAAATAATAGTAGATAACATTTAAAAACATTTTATGCGCATTTAAAGCATTTAGCCAGGCATTGTGCTAAGCATTATTCATGGCACATAAGTTATAGTATTTAACTCATAGTAAATCTGTAATAATTTGTATATCCTTCTTACAGATGAGCTACAATAGCAGAAATGATGTAGTGTGATAGTTTTACTTGAGTCTCTACTCTTAACCTTTGCATGTACTGCCTCAGTAATACAAAAGATGGGAGATGATGGTTGGGTGGATGGAGAATGAAGGATTGAAGGCAGCAGGGTAAAGAATAAAGAAATATTAGATGAGCAAAGTGGGAAATACTAAAATATTTCGGGGTTAAATCATGTTTAAGATCTGTTTTGGCTCCAGTTTTTCAATTATGGTGAAAATAAATTTTAATTATATTGATATCTAAGCATGATTTATCCAATACCTGAGATCTACTACAGCTTTATGCCACCACCCTAGACTTCAAGGATACAAAAAATATTCTATGTCCCCTTAAGGAAATGACAAAAACACTTCCACCCTGATATCTTAACCTTTTAGTATCTCAATTCAACTGAACTCCAAAGAGCTGAACTTGAAAATCCACCTCAAAACATGCTTCCTCCCATGAAGCTTTTTCTACCTTTTCTCTAACAAATCCCACTGGTTCAAATATATTTGTCAATTTCATCACACATTCCTGAAAGTTGACCCTTCATATTATTTCATGTTAATTTCTAGTTTGGATGCCATAGGAAGGTAGACATGAAAATAAAAACTCTAAAAAGACAAGACCAGGACTATGAAAAATCAGAAAGTAAGCTCATAGAGGAGAAATCACAGACATGACACTAAGAAGTTGAGGAAGTTTAGTCCAAGAAAGCTTCCTGGATACAGAGAGATCAAAACAAAGGGATATAGAGCAACGTGGCAGCTAGATGGAAGGGTTGGAAAGTAGCAGAACCAACATGTGTCCAAAGGCCCTAGCAGGAATTGTACATATGTAGCCTCATTTAAGTCTCCAAAGAAATATGTGTTATTACCATTCACATTTTCTAGATGTTGAAACAGAGACCAACAAATCTTAATAACATAAGGTCACCTCTCATAAATGATAGAATTATGCTCAAGTTTAGGTTTGTCTTACTGCAGATTTCATTCATTTCATTCATTCACTTATTCTATTTATTTCATTTACTCTTCTAAGTATGAGATTTTTAAACAGAATAGGTATTATTCATTTCGATCAGATGAGTTGATATATAAATGCATAAATAAAGGAAAAAATGAAGTTTATGAGTTCACAGCAGTCTAAGTTATTAATATAAAATCCTCTCTCAAATTATCCTAAATTCTGACTCTTCTAGGAGCCTGAAATATATTTCAAGATGGCAAGAACTGTATTCTAACTTTAGGTTGAATTTGGATTCTGCTTATTTGAGATAACACTTAGGTCTCAAGTGGAACAGCTAGCACAGTAGAAAGAACTTTTCTCAACACATTTCTTAAGTTATACTCTTTGATTTATCACACAAGGGATGGGGAAAAGCTAATCACTATTCAGACTTAAAAAATATATTTTTGTGGCTCCACGTTTGGATAGAGACCAAGAGAAGAAAATAAATTAAGTAGGAGAGCTAATTAAGAATGTAGCTATTGCAGTGATTTCAATATCTGGGCACTTGCCTTTAATAGTCTCCAGAAGTGCTATACCTTACAGTTAAATGGCCTTCCCAAGCAGGACCAGTGGATTTTCATGCCAGAGGAAACTTACTAGAAGCATACAAGACACACAAAAATAAGTGAAAACAAAAACCCAATTTCTATGTTAACTTAAGAGGATGATTTTAAAGTAGTTGGAATATTTCTGTTTTGGGGAGACACATTGGAAAAGAGAGGATCTAGAAAATATGAAACATAAACTGTATTCTAAGAAAGGAAGAGGCAGAGAGAGGAAAGAGGAGAGGAAGGGAGAAAATGAAAGGGGGAGAAGAGAGATAATTTCAGGAGTAACAACTTGCAGATTTCTAGCTGTAGCATAGGTCACTACTATATTAAAAAGCTTCAGCTAAGTTCTTGAAGATGGCTTTTGAAGACCTCATTTTTGGAAATGAATAGGCAGTTCATGAGTTAGAAAATCTAGAATCTCTTTAGTAATAAAGTTATGAAAAAATTTATGAGATTCTAGAAAGGCAACATGCTGCTCTTTAGACCTGTGTCCACAAATTGATTGGGAATAAAGTGAACTGACTTCTCCTGGAGGAGCAATTATGAGTGTGACAGAAACCCAGCCCATAATCTGGGTCAAGGGAGGTCCCTCATCCACAGAGGCTGAAAACTGCAGAGTCCACAGCCCCATGCTCAAAGCCCTGTCCTCTGGACAGGCTGATGAAAGGGTGTCCATAAGAGGGCACAGGATGGCTGCTAGGTTCTTTGCTGGCCAGGAGAAACATGGTAGACATTGGGTGAAGGAGGTCCCTGTGGCCACTCAATACCTGGGATGGGAGGAACTCACTTTGACAGATGGCGGGTATATTAGTCTGCTTGGGCTGCCATTACAAAGTACCACAAATTGAGTGACTTAGTAGGAATGTGTTGTCTTACAGTCCTGGAGGCTGGAAGGCTGAGATGAAGGTATTGGCAGGTGAGTCCTTCTGAGGGGTGTGAGGAAAGCATCTGTTCTAGGCCTCTTTCTAGGATACTTCTCCCCAGATGGCCATCTCCCTAAATGGTCCTGAATGGTTTTCTCCCTGTGTCTCTTCACGTTATCTTCCCTCTGTGTGGGACTGTCTCTGTGTCTGTATTTCCCCTTTTTATGTGGACACTAGTCATACGAATGAAATGGGCCCACTTTCACTTGCCTGTCTCTATAAAGGCTCTATCACCAAATAAGGTTATGTTCTGAGGTGCAGGGGGTTAGCACTTTAAAATACAAATCTCATGGGAGGACAAAATTCAACTCATATAACAGGAGACAGGCCATCGCTAAAAGTTAAAAAAAAAATGCATACTATAGAATTTCAATTAGATATTGTTTCCTGACTGCAGTTTTCCTTGTATTTAATAAGGAATTCTAACAAATTTTCTCCCAAGGAATGTTATATACCCTTGACCACTGGTATCGGGAGAAAACATCCTGGTATTCAGAGAGTACTTTGCAGTTTCATTAATTAGTTGTCTAATTAAAATAACATTGATTTGCCTCTGCAGATATGGCTGAATGTGTTTTATTCATGTACTTAAGAGAAACAGATCATTCATTTCTTATTTTAAGGATGAAGGTGGCTATTTCCATGGCCAAAAATCACCATGCAACCTGGCAGGGTCCCCTGCCACCTCCCATTTCCTGCCATCTCATGGTGACCAGATGCCATGCCCTTTATGTCTGTTTTCTAAGGAATCAGACAGCAAAATCTCATAGTTCATCAAATGATAATCATATATTTTCTGTTGTCAACAAGTAAAAGTAATAAAGTTCATGCTAAAAATACCTGTATTCATCTTTTTAATAAACATTACTGAAAGTCCATTGCCAGTCAATAATTGAGGAATAGACATTGTTCCTATCTTCCAGGTTCTTCCGGTCTGGTAAATTAAGATGGGGTATCGTACAAAGCTAGGGTGTCCTAAGGTAACAACAGACTAATAGCTCTGGAGGCCAGATATGTATGTATGGTTATTAAAAAGTTTTATTAGGGCCATTGTTGCAAGTCATCTTGGAATTGTTTGCCATTTGAGAACATTCAATTAAAAAGGCATTATAATGCTGAGATTTTAAAATGTAAATTAGAATCTGGAAAGTTTTCAATGATTTCTAGTCTAAAATTAAATAAAGCACCAAAAAAACGAATTAAATTTAGAACATTTTAAGAGAAATGAATAAAAATACTCAACTACTTTTGGAAACAAACGTAGAGGAGAGTCAACTTTATTCAACCAATAAATAGAAAAGCAATGCTATTTAATTGATGGAACAAAAAAAAAAACACTTCCTCAGTTTGAAATTATTCCCAGTTTAGAAGCCAAACCAAGAAAAGGAGTGCTTAAAATAAGTATAAAGAAAGGAAAAACATACAGAACGGAACAGAGATAAAGCAAAAAAAAAAAAAAAAAAAGATTAAAAAAAAGACAAATTAGAGAAGAAGGGTAAATGAAGAAGAAACACACCATAGGGACATGAAACTAAATCGTAAAGTTAGGAGGTTGTTGATCACTGATTTATGAAAAGCTGACTGGTTCCATGAAGATTTAAAATAGTGCTCTCAATATTGTGTTGCAGGTGCTATGGTTTTATTTTGAAATAAGTATAGTGTTTGAAATTCCAAATTTCTCATTTAATCCTGAACATTTTGCTATTATGCCAAAGAATGACTTGAAGCACAAAAACGTATTTAAAACTATTTCCAGCAGTGGTTCTCAAATCTGATACCTCAGCATCACCTGGCAAGGGTTTGCTTTGTTATTTCAGCAGAGATTTACTAACCAGCTGGCAGTACTCTGGATATTTATGTTTCAGTATCTCTATTTATCTATTTATATTATCCCAGTTCATTCTCACAATCACACAATGAGCAAAGCGAGGCAGTGCTGAAAAGGGCAGCATCAGAGTTTGCCCGCAAAGTGTTCTGACAGCAAAATGCATGCTGAGCTTCTACATTTCATTGTCCCACAATTGCAATGGCAGGCCCCCACCCTAGAACTACCCTCTGGGCTGGTGGGATTCTGACATCTACATTTTGAACAGCATTTCTTAAAATCATCAAGGTTGAAGATTCTAAGTGGTCAAATACACTGCATTCCACAATGACCTGAGATTACCTTCTTTGTCCCTTGATTTAAATCCCAAGTCTTTAAAAATAAATCAAATCCTGGAATGAGGGTAGGTGAAAAAGTTAATATCAAGGAAAATAATGAAAAAGAAAGAAGGAACTCTGTGTATAACACTTCCCCAGGAATAAGTAGTCTCAACTACATCCTAAAGCTCTTTAACCACCTTCATGAAAGCCTCAATCCACTTGGAATGGGACAGAAATTGCAAAGGAATACTCTCTGGGCACCAGCAATATTGCCACAACCAAATCTTAACATCATAGGATTTCAGCACTGAAATGGAAAGTGAACAAAGAAAGGTAAGCAGTTTACAGTACTAGTAAGGAAGAAAAGCAAAAGGTTTTTCAAACATTGGGGCTCTCTCCAGTTGTTACCAAGAGATACTGGGATATTTTACCTCTACCATGTCTGTGCCTCTAATCATCCACCCACCACAGAGCTCAGCCAACCAAGAAGGGCTAAGGGTCCTGTCTAGGACTCTTCACTTGATTTTACTTTCTTTTCTTTCAAGAGTGCACAAGCCAGGCACGGCGCAATGGCTCATGTCTATAATCCCAGCACTTTGGTAGGCCAAGGCAGGTGGATCATCTGAGGTCAGGAATTTGAGACCAGCCTGGTCAACATGGTGAAACCCTGTCTCTCCTAAAAATACAAAAATTAGCCAGGTATGGTGGCGGGAACCTGTAATCCCAGCTACTAGGGAGGCTGAAGCAGGAGAATTGCTTGAACCCGGGAGGCAGGGGTTGTGTGAGCCAAGATCGCAGCATTGCACTCCAGCCTGGGCAACAGGAGTGAAACTACATCTCAAAAAAAAAAAAAAAAAAAAAGAAGTGCGCAATCCTAGTACACAGAGGAACCTCAAATATCCTCTACTTCTAGCGCTCTGAAAATACAGAAACACCTTGCAATAAACTCCCCCTTTTGCTTCCTTTTTTCCTACTCTCCTATCCACATCTTCCTTGTCCATATCTGTTTGTTTGTTTGTTTTCCCTTCAGGAATAAAGGGAGTTCATGAACAGAAATCTCACCCAATCCTATGATACCTTCCAGAGGTTAGATGAAGAAATGCTGAGTAAATATGGAGTTCCCTTCTGTATGCTGTTTTGTCATTTCTTCGATCTCCAGCAAAGACTTTAAACAGAAGGAAAGGAGGGAGACAGTGGTGACATCCAAAATAAGGTTGAGGCCAGACTTCTTCAAAGTGATATGGGAAGGGGGCAGGGAAGTGCTGGGTAGGGCCTGTGCCCTCAGACCAAAGTGAGGACAGGCACTCCTGTTTTCATGCCCAAATGTTGCATTTTCCAAGACCACCCTGGCTCACAATGTCCCCATCCTCTGCCTATAAAAACCCCGAGAACCTAGTGGGCAAATACACAGGCGGCTGGACGTCAAGCGGAACACACCAGCAGAACACACTGACAAATGCTGGCAGGCCATCAGCTGTGGAACACCAAGGGAAATTTGGCTGAGGGTTGTCAGAGGAGAGCCAAGCCTCTGAGCCACCCGACTCCAGGGCAAAACCACCTTCCCACTCCATCCCCCTTCTAGCTCCCCACCCATCTGTTGAGAGCTGCTTACACCATTCAATAAAACCTTGCACTAATCCTCCAAGCCCACATGTGATCTGATTTTTCTGGTACACTAGGACAAGAACCCTAAGATACAGAAAGTCTTTTGTCCTTGTGATAAGGCAGAGGGTCTAATTGAGCTGATTAACACAAGCCAGCTGCAGATAGCTAAGCTGAAAGAGTTGACTATAACATATGCCCACTGGGGCTTTGGGAGCTGTAAACACTCAACCCTAGATGCTGCCATGGGGTCCAAGCCCACACTCCCCATGACCTGCTGGTCTGCATGCTCCCTGCTAGGGGTTTGAGCTGTGGGGCACAGAAGAAGCGAGCCACACCCTATTACATGCCCTGCGAGGGGCATAAAGGAACTTTCCTCATTTCAAAAATGGCAGAGAAGGAAGGGTGCTCACACACATGTCTTCTAGCATGTTCTCTTTTCCCCTTATCTCGCTTTTTTCCACTAGGCTAGGATTTGATTCCAGCTAGATAAAGGCCAGCCCATGGTTTGTATCTGATCCACTGTTGAGGCTTCCTACTTCTGAGTGAAAAAGCTTCCAAATCTATTAATAGATATAGCCAACTTTCACTCAGCTGCCAAATCAAAGAATGAACAAAGGCAAAATAGTTACCATTTAGATAGGCTTCTGAGACGCTTGATTTCATATAAGACATCTGCATGCCTAACTTCCCTTTTCATTCTATCAACGTCTATCTATGGAGTGCCTACTATATGCTAGGGACTGTTTCTGTGCTACAGGCATATTCATCATGCCATTCATTTGATTTCTAACTGAAGGCCCTTTTTCTTCTGCCTCCCAATTTCAGCTGTCATCACCTGTCAAAATCACTATTTGCTCTGGTATTTATGGTGAAAGGAGTCATTACTAGTCATCATGAGACCATCTGTACAATGTCACTGGGTAGTGACATGGCCTCTGTTCAGACTCTAAGATGTTCCATCTTGCAGGATGGATATTAATGCCACTAAATCCATCTTCAGCATTCTTGAATGAGAGCATTTGCAATAGCTATTACATCTTTGCAATAGCATGAAGACAGAAGACAGCATATTATTATCAAAGACTGCACATTACAATCAAATTATAATACTACAAGCAGAAAATAGATTACCTTTCCTCTATTTTTAATGTACTTTATAAACTTGGACAGACAAGCCGTGTCCAGAGGGGGTTATGGTGGTCAGGCATGTAGCATGATTTCACAGGGCTATGAGGATCTCCTGTGGGCTCCTGGCTAGATGTTAACCTTTTAATTTAAGGGAGTAACTTCCAAAAATGGTGGTACATGAGAACCACGAATGAGGCAGCCTTAGGAGGAATTTAATCATCTGTTTTTTTATTTAAGTAATTAATTATTTTTTGGTTTATTTGTATGTCCTAAAATGACCCATTGTTCATTCTGTTGCATATTCAGAAGTTAGACAACACTGATTTAAGCATTTGCCCAGCATATAAAAACCAACTCAAATTCTGCTGGCTTATAAAGTATTTGAAGTCAGAGGAGATCATTTCAAGCCACTACATGATGTAGGCAGCTCATAAATATAAGTGAGGTGGTTCAGTGGATTTGTGATTTGTTTGATGATTGATGCTTCATATTCTAATCCATCATCACAGACATGATGTATTTTCTTATTAAACATGAAAGAATATTTGTCAAGTGCACGAGAATATAGTTTTCAGAAATTTTCTTGAAACCCAAAGCTTCTTAATTCATCTCACATTCTCTCACTTATGATAGAGACATTAACCAACACAACAAAATAATAGTGCAGGCTTGATGCGTAGTCACAACTGAAATTTGGCTGTAGAGCTGGGAGACAAGAGGGGTGGTTAGAGTTGTGGGGATGATAAGAAGCATGTCCCACATCCGTGGAGCAACTCTTCTTCAGTTCCAGCCAACTGTGAGTGAGAAAACCCAGGATCACCAGACTTTCAGAATTTTTAAAAAAGAAATCACAAATCCAAATTTTTGTGAATTTTTGATTGTTGAATATTAGCAACTAATTTATAGTTGAATAAAATGCCCGGGGGGGCCTGCACTTGTGAGATGAATGAACCTATGTGGGCTGGATTTGACAGAGGACCTGTGAGTTTATGGTCTATTATTTCAACTGGTACCATTCACCAGCCCATTAGTGCAGGGAAGGCAGGATATGCATGGGGAGGAGAAGGGCACTATTGCAAAGCGGGGAGGGAAGTCATAAGGGTAAGCCCTGATAAACACATTTGCTGACTTTGTTAATTTGATTATTTCCAGTTAACAAAAAGTTACCCTTAGTTGTGATAGGATGGTTATCTTCAAAAAGTTCCTTGGAAAATGAGGATTTGAGAAAGAAATGGTCTTCACAGCATCTTGTGGGCTAGGACTTTTCTCGCAGCTGCCAAGAGCCTATAGACAGAAATTTAGATATTTAGAAGATCACAAGATAAAGTTGTTAAAAGTAGCTGTTTGATGTGGAGGAAGCTTCTTTGTCATTTTTTTTTTTTTACTTATGCAAGTTTTATCTAGTGAGTTCTAAAGAAAATTCCAATTAAACATACATTTACATTAAGAAAAAGTTGATACTTTCAGTATCTGTTGTATAATTACCTTTTTATTAAATAGATTTGCAATTCCATGACATTAGCCATGGCTTTATACTTCTTGAGCCCCTGACATCACATATTTGGACTTTGGCATATATTCTGTCAGGGAATTTGTCTTGAATTTTTAGAAAACATATATCCAAAGAACATAATAAAGCTATCAGACATTTTCTTATTTTGTTTTCTGTTTTGATTTGGGATTAAACAGCAGCAAAGACAAGAAAAACACCAACAACACATACAGCAAAGTAATTACTAAAAGTGAGGCTGGAGCTCCAGAGAGACACATTGTCCTGACAGGTGTCCGAGGGAGACCTGGTGTTCCATGTAAGTCCCTGATGTCTTAGAGAGACTGTCATGAGCACATGCTCAGACATCTTGGGCAGGGCATGTTAGGCAGAGGCAGAGACAGATGTAACCTAATGAAGGGTAAGCTTGAGGGTACTTCTCTTGCCTGACATTTTCCAAAGCTCTGTTATCACTCCTGGGGAGACTGGGAGGAACCCGCTGCTCCAGCTATGCTGCTGTGGCCTAGGAGTCCCTCGTGGCATCCTCAGGCTGTGGGTGTATCCGGAGAGCTGCCTGCACTACTTCTAATATATCTAGTCCCCAGGGTCAACCTTATAAACCTTAGAAAGTTTTCCTTTTTTTTTTTTTTTTTTTTTTTTGAAACAGAGTCTCACTCTGTCGCCCAGGCTGGAGTGCAGTGGCGCCATCTCGGCTCACTGCAAGCTCTGTCTCCGGGGTTCACGCCATTCTCCAGCCTCAGCCTCCCGAGTAGCTGGGACTACAGGCGCCCGCCACCACATCCAGCTAATTTTTTGTATTTTTAGTAAAGACAGGGTTTCACCGTGTTAGCCAGGATGGTCTCTATCTCCTGACATTGTGATCCGCCCGCCTCGGCCTCCCAAAGTGTTGGGATTACAGGCGTGAGCCACAGCCCCCGGCCCATAGTTTTCCTTTTAAGAAGAAGGATTGGAACGAGGATACTGCTCTGCCACAAACTAGAAGACCCCTACAACCCTGGATCCACAGCTGTTTGCAGCCGATCCTCATGCAAATTGCCAACAGATACAGGTGGGAGGTGAACCAGGGACATCTGGACAAGAGGCGCACAATCTCAGGCTTGAAGCACTGCTGAAATGAAATGACAGAGGGTGTTACAGCTGTGGCGTTGCTCACAACAAATGGCAATGTTAAAAAAAAAAAACTTTTCTGTGTCATAAAAAATAATTCAAGTATTTTTGATGTACTATTTCTAAAAGAAACACCAAGTTTTACTTCCATTTGTTCTACAGAAAATCATGTGGACAAAACCATTGTCATGTGTAGAGATGATCAAAGACCGACTATGCAACCAAAAAATGTAGAAAAAGATTATAGATGAGGATGATGATAAAGGTATATTATTGTCTTGATTTTGTGACATCTTGGGTTTTGTTAACTATGGAAGTTTTTATTCTAAGTTAATATCCATGTTTATATCTATTATTATATTCCTAATATTGTGTTTTTAATGAGGATCTCCAAATTATACTTTTCAACACCACAAAACCTAAATCCACCTCTTTAAAGAGGGCTGGGACAGAGTCACGAAAAACATAGAAGCTGGTGTTACCCCGCAAATGCTCAGAAGGCAGTCAACATTTTGAGGTGGGGGTTTAGAGGTGTTGTAGACAGGTAGGCTCCAGAACACTTACAAATATGAATGCATCATACAAAAGTCATCAAATAAGTTTATTTGAAAGCATTTTGATTTGCTTTTAGGATGGAGTCCTGAGCATCCTTCTGCTATTGTGACTACTCTGACTTGTTTCCTACCTCATCTCAGCAGTGTCTTCTACTTTCCTTTTTTTCACATGGGTCCTTATTGTTGTATTTGTATTTATTTATTTTTTGCTTTTGTTTTGATTTCTTTTTTCTAAATACTAATTTTTTAAAAAAATTTGTTCAAGATGATATCTATGTCTAGTTATCTCTCAATTCCTTTGGCTTACTTTTATATAGGCCCTCGAGACTGGACTTACAAGCACTGATTATAGTAAATAACAGATGGCAAACTATTTTGGAGAGTGTGAACAATAAGATTTCTGCCTCTAGGCCACTGACAAAAAAAGATGAATACATTGCTATCCCCACCCAAGACAGAAAGAATTTCCCAGCCAAAACAGGAGCAGATGTATAAATCATGGGCAGAGAAAATAAGAGGGGTTTTCCTGGACATAATGGAGTAGGGACTAATCACATACTGTCATAGCATTTGTAACATAAATGCATTTCATTGACGCAGAGCTGTAAAAACAAAAGGAGTTCTTCCATAAATATAAGATGAAGGGTGTTAGTTAACTGCAATGACAAAGAAGATTACTAAGTTGCTTATATGAAATGTGGGAGCTTAAATGTGTGAAGGATGACCCTGTAAGGTGCCACACCCACGGCTGAACGTATATAAATGGTCCTGTCCAGATGTGGCATGCAAACTCAGAATCTTCTCAGTGTAACTCAGCTGAACTCACATCTCCCATCAACATGTCCTACAACTGCTGCTCTGGAAACTTCTCCTCCCGCTCCTGTGGTGGCTACCTGCACTACCCAGCCTCCTCCTGTGGCTTTTCCTACCCCAGCAACCAGGTCTACAGCACTGACCTCTGCTCTCCCAGCACGTGCCAGCTGGGTTCCTCTCTCTATAGGGGCTGTCAGCAGACCTGCTGGGAGCCCACCAGCTGCCAGACATCCTATGTGGAGTCCAGCCCCTGCCAGACCTCCTGCTACCGTCCCAGAACCTCCTTGCTCTGCAGTCCCTGCCAGACAACTTACTCTGGGTCTCTAGGCTTTGGATCCAGCAGCTGCCGCTCCCTGGGCTATGGATCGAGGAGCTGCTACTCAGTGGGCTGTGGGTCCAGTGGCTTCAGATCCCTGGGTTATGGAGGCTGTGGCTTCCCTTCCCTGGGCTATGGCGTTGGATTCTGCCGCCCAACCTACTTGGCTTCTAGGAGCTGCCAGTCTTCTTGCTACAGACCAACTTGTGGATCAGGCTTCTACTATTGATCATCTTGTTAAATTGCTGATTTTGTTGGCTAATGCCTTCAATGCCTCTACTCATAACCTTTATTGTCTTCATCATGTACAGAAAGAATTAGCCTCTTATTCTATAATTATCAAGTTCTCAGTTTGTCTTTGTCCCCAAATACTGGCTGGCAGGCTTCATCTGAAAAACTGTAATTGGAGAACTAGCTCAAAATAAATCTTGAAATACACATTAAAAGTAGAATTTATATTATTCGATTTTCTTCCACAATTGTATAAAAAGTCAAATCATTTTAATCCAATAAATCCATTGGTCTCATATTCAGCTATGTTTGTGGTGGTTTTATATTGCTAGGGTTTTGGTTGTGATGTATTAGGCAATTATTATGAAACAATTGGTGTATATATATAGGAATAGGTTTCAAAATCATATGAAGTTTGCGATTCAGACAAACTTTTGGGGGCCTCAGAGATTTTTGTTATTCAAACTACAGGTAGTGGAAGTCTACTAAATTTACAGACTTTTATTCATTAAAATATCAGAATCAGGAATTAGCTTGATCCCCTTATAAAATGTGGATTCTTGTGTCTATGCCAACAAGCATAAGGTAGCAAACTAGTTGATAGTTATATCAGGAATCTGCAGAGAAAAAAATACTATTTAGAACAATATGGTTATAGATATACATAAAAGAAAAATGGAATTGAAGAGAAACAAAAGTGATTTGAAGTAACTTTTGAAGTCACCCAATATTTGTTGGTAATCATGATCAAATGCCTGCATCTCATTGATGAGAATTCAATATGATTCAGTTATCTACATATGTGTAATAAGGGATACCATGAAACTTGAATGGAGGATTGATATTCCACCTTGGTTTGTATTCATGTTTCACACTAAGTAAAGCTGAAGATAATAACCTTTTGATATCATCAGAAGTGATAATTTAATTCACATCTGAGCATAAAATTAGGGAAATGTTATTTCTCTTTTTTGTGGTAGCATTCTTTGTTTTCTCAGGCAAAGCAGTTCCAGAAACAGGTGTGAAGATAAATAGATTTCAATAAGGAACCTAAAGTTGAGAAGAAAAAAAGAGCTCAAACAACGTTCAATAACTATTCCCATGCATTATTCCTTTAGACAACAGCTGTTAGAGAAAGAGATCCATTATACATGTAAATGATGTTAAATGTAAAAATATGGAGACACAAAGATGATAAGGAATGTACAGGGAAACTTATTGTACGATATCTTGAAGGAGCTGCAAATTTTTGACTTGCAAAGACAGAAATATCGGAGGGGAGAAGTCTGGGAAGATTACACGCAATAAGCAAAGCAGAAGGGGCTGAAAGTCTTTGTGTATTCAAGGAATTATTGGAAATTTAGCTCAGTTACAATGCAAAGTGATTTAATATGGTGTGGTAATGACAAACATGTTCATTCAAACTACTAACACAGTCTTGAGATAGGGCACTTTTTTTTTTTTTTTTTTTTTTTTTTTTTGGGACAGAGTCTTGCTCTGTCACCCAGGCTGGAGTGCAGTGGCGCAATCTCTGCTCACTGCAACCTCTGCCTCCTGGGTTCAAGCGAGTTTCATGCTTCAGTCTCCCTAGTAGCCGGGATTACAGGTGCCCACCACCACGCCTGGCTAATTTTTTTGTACTTTTAGTAGAGACGGGGTTTTGCCATGTTGGCCAGAGTGGTCTCCAACTCCTGACCTCAGGTGATCCGCTCGCCTCGGCCTCCCAAAGTGCTGAGATTACAGGCATGAGCCCCACACCCGGCCGAGATTGGGCACTTTTATTCCATTTTCTCTTCTATTCTAATCACTTATGTACTTTTAAAAAGAAATCTTTTATCCAATGATTAGGTATAAATTATTAGGTTCATACCTAAGGTTAAATAAGTTAAAATCAAATGCTTACAAATGAAAAAACAATTTATAATTAATGTCTTTTGTTTAGAAAATCTAGACAAGGAAAATACATGTGAAAATATTCAGAAATTATGAGTGTCAACATCTAAGAAAGGTCTTGATATATAAACATACATGTGAAAATATTTAGAAATTACCAGGGCCAAAATCTAAGAAAGGTGTTGATAAATAAACAAGCAGAAAGCCATGGAATTCATGACTACTTTTAGAATAGGAATGTTGTCAAATCCAAAAGAGAGGCTGAAGTTCAGCTCCAAATCATTTCAGTGCTTAAGTTAAGAGGATATAGGAATACCAGGGTTCTTGTTCTATCCTTCCAAAATCAAATTTAAATTCTTCCAGGAGGAGGATAACATCACAGTGAGCTCTAAATTATTTCTTTATATAGATAAATTTAGATACAAATGTAAATATAGATACCTATTTATATATAGATATAGATACCATTGCAGATATAGTTATATCTAGATACACATGAAGACGCAGATATAGTCTAGTACCCAACAAAAATTTACCAGGCTTCAGAAGTTAAGAAATTATTAAATCCAAAATATAGATATATGTAGCAGAATTAGGCTTACAAGAGCTTCAGTAAATGAAAATATTAGACATAAATGTTAAATAACTACACTTGACATGCTTAGGGAATAAAAAGATAGATGAAAAATTTTGGCAGAGTACTGAAGTATATTAAAAGAACCAAAAACAGATTTTAAAATTAAAAAATGTGATAAATTAAAATATTGAATTGGTGAACGGATTAAAACAAAATTAAACATGGCTAAAGAGATAATTAGTTATTGTTCACTAGAATATATACAAACAAAAAAAATAAAGAAAAATTATTAAAATATTTAAAGGAGTTTCAGAGACTATGGAACATGTGAAACAGTCTAACATAGTTGCTGCTAGAGTCCTAAAACAAAATTATGTGTCTCTCTGTGTGTGTGTGTGTGTGTACATATGGCTAGAAATAAGTCCACATATCACTAAATCTAAGAGAAGTCATATGTAATAAAAACAGATTCACAGGGGATCCAAAGATAATTTTTGAATAGAGGAAATATCAAATCCATATATTCAAGAACTACTAAAAATCCCATGCATGATAAATATGAAGACAAGCCCATAACTAGGCATATTGGAATCTCACTGAGGAACAGGAAAGAAAAAGAGAAAAACTTAAAGCAGCCAGAGGTGGGAAAAAAATTTAAAAAGAAATTTACCTTCATCAAAGCAACTGGGATTAAAAGCTAAATTTTAAACAGAAAAGAAAAAATATAAGAAAACAAATACATGTCCTCAAATATTAAAAAAATTCAAAAGTAGAGTAATATGACCAATAAATGTCTGTTTTAAAAATGGAAGAGAAATGGAGGATGTACAAAAGCACCTTTTATGTTTAGGCAATGTTTGGACAGTTAATTTACAATAAACAGAGAATAACTAGGGCTAGACCTTTATAATGGTTATTCATTACTCCATCATTTTGAAACTCATCATTTTGAGTGTTTAGTGACAATAATCCTAGGTTTCACCTCCACTTATTCATTTTACTGGAACAAATTTATGATTGATAATTCTCTTTCCAGGTTTTCTGCTTATTCTAAGTAATTTTGCATATATAATAAAATAAACCTTTTTACCCATCACTATTATATACCGAAATTTAATATGATATTATTTAGATAATATAACTTTTGGCAGCAGCAAATCTTGGTAGCTCAAATCAACCCTATCAATAAGATCCCTAGTAAAACTGAATAAAACAATCCTCATATAAACTCTAGAGCACACTCAGGCTAAGAACTGCTGGAACAAAATTAGGAGATGGTTTAAATCAAAGGAAGTGTTGACAGTTAAGCTGCTTTCTTCCCAGAATTGTTCATTGATTTAAAAAAAAAAGGATATTAATGGGCTCATGGCTTGAATGACCACAAGCAATCAGACTACAGGACCTTCTAAGGACCTGGGAACACACGTGAACATGCTAAGTTTTTGGTAAGGATCTTAAATAGTCTATCAGAATTTTTAAGAGCAAGCATATATAGAATATGTTTCATAGAAACTGAAGCCAACCTTTGAACTGCATTGATCTTGGTGATATGGGAGTGTTAGTAACATTATCCCAGCATGCTATATCCAAAGTAAATTTGTCTGCAAATAAAACCACTCAAACTCTCAAATTGCCTATGGTAATTAATTAAAAATGACCAATTCTATAAAAAAGCAAGATATGACCAAGCCAAGAGACAATACAGAGTGCAAATAAATCCACAAGAGATGAAGGTATTAGAATATACAGAAAAACAATTGTGGTTATTATTGTTCTTAAAAAATTTAAGACAAATTTAAGAATTTTGACAGAATACCATTATCTATATAACTAAACACAAAAATATTAAAAATATAAAATACAATAATTAGAATGAACAAATCTAAAACAATTCCAATGGCAAACTAAAATACTAAACACTCTGAAACTATAGACCAACCTCCCCACTAGATGAAATATAGACTATAATAAAGAGCACTGATCAGAGAGTGGCAGGATCTGGTTGCAGTTTAGACAAATTGGAAGTGGAATCAAGCTGATTGAATTTGGTAACGGTGCTTGTTTAACTCAATTAATTGAGGAATTTTACTGAGAAGCTCTTTACCTTTCTAAAATGCACAAGGAAGGGATTATATTCTCTGGAAAATGATAAAAATATTTGCAGATGTATATTTGTGTGTATGTATGCATGCACACACAAATGTATGGGTGTATAAATAGTAATATTTATATGCCACAAGCCACAGCTTTTCTATGCCTATAATGCAATAAAACATTACAAGATACTTGAAAAGGCATGTAAATGTTAGCCAAAGGAAAACATTTAATAGAAGAAAATTCACATTTAATAAAAACACTAGAATTACCAAGCATTGACTGTAAAATGACTATGATATTTGAATGATTTAAGAAAATATTAAGATAATTGATAAACTTTAAGATATGAAAATAATAAAAAGTAATCCAATGAATATCCCCAAACAGAAAGATAAAAGTTTTAAATAAAATGTATCGGATAGAATGAAGAAAATATTTGACAAGACAGTAACAAAGATAAATAAACTTGAAAATAAATTTTTTAGAAAAGATTATCTAAGTACACAAAGAAATTGAGAATGAAAAATGAGACAGAGTAAGTTATTAAAGACTTGCTGAAAAACATTAAGCAATTTAAAAATTATGTAACAGAAGTCCCAGCAGAAGTGGGCCAGAAAAAAGCATAGAAAAGCTATTAGTCAAAATGTTGCGTTTTTGACAAAAATACCACAACAGCGAGCAAGCAACAACAACAAAAATCCCTTCAACCCCCAGATCCAAGGATCTTGGGATTTTGAAATCAGAATAAAGATAAAGAAATTCAGACTTAGGCATACAATAATTAATTCATGAAAATGAAATAAAGAGAAGTTCTTAAAAGTAGCCAGAATTTTATAAACTACACATTTTTTAGAGAAATAGCAATAAGAATTATAGCTAATTTACAGCATAAATATTGAAAGTTAGAAAAAAATGGAATGATAGCTTTGAAAGGCTGAAAAAGAAAAATAATCAACCTAGAATTTGATGACAGTTAAATATATCCTTCAAAAATGAAGGAAAAAAACCCATAAATTTTAAATCTGCACAAATTATTGATAAAATAAGTAATTTGACCAAGGCTGATTGGTAATAAATTGATCAGCAATTTTTAGAAGAAGTGGGTAAAGCTGCAAAAATAAGTTGTATAGTCTCTGGACAGCACCCCTCAGATCTGAAATAATTCAATCTACACATCAGGGATGCAAATCCACAAACCAGAAAATGGCAAGCCAATATTTTCACAATGAAAAGCACACAAATTTTGAAATTTTCTATTTTCACAATGTTGACAAATAATTCATCTTTTATGCTTAAATGAAAAATCAAACTACCCCTGGATGCCTACACTGTACAGACCTTACCAATAGAATCTTGGGGCTGGATTAACCAGGATCTGGTTGCATATCAAGTCTCTATTCTCATACCCCCACATCATTCACACAATAATACAAGTGTAGAAATAGAGATTAGAATAAAATGAAACAGATGTGTCTACAAGCCTCTTTGATTGGTGCAGAGAACATGAACTAGAATTCTATAATTTTTCAGAACAAATTGGTTAACTTTCTACTCTTAGCTAAGAGTAGTTTTGCTCTCTATTCATCATGTGGCTACCCTAATGTTTTGCCATGAAGACTATTTTGAAGAAGTGTTTCAAAAACAGAAAGAATGGAGAAGGCTAAGACATTTAACCTTACTGAAGGAAATGGAGGAGAAATTAATTCTGCTTTGGAATATAAAAACAAAATTTTTTTTTCAGATAATTATATAAATTTTGTGCAGTTACTGACTCCTTTTTTCTCTATGCTTCTTTTAAAATTGAACTACTTGATTTTATTGATCTTCACAAAACCTAAATTTGACTCTGTTGATTTTCTGTTTTATGTTTGACTTCTATTTAATTGGCTTCTGTTCTTGCCGTCATAATTTTCCACCTTTATAATTTCAGACATTTCTTTTGGCTTAAATTGCTATTTTTTTTTCCTAGCATCCTCAAATAAAGTACTGAAAATTTGATTTCAAGCTTTTTAATATTCTCATTAAAATCTAAAATTTTCCTTCTAAACAGTTAAATCTCTCAAATTTTACTGCATTTTATCATCAGTATCATGTATTTCAAAATATTGTCTAATTTCCATTGTGGTATTTCTTTCTTTAACGTTTGAATTATTACAAATGGCATTGATTAATTTACAATTGTATGAGATTTTTTAAGTTAAACACCAGAAATTAATTTGTCTTACATCTGCTTATATTTTACCCTTTAAAAAGTGTATTGCCAGTGCTCAACTGAATAATAGCTCACATTTAAAGTCTGATGCCAGCACCTGTGATAGATTTCATTTTAACAAATTTTCTTTTCAAAATAAAATTTGCATGATTTAAGGGTAATAAACTTTTTAACCCTGGAATAATGTGGTGGCTTGTTATCTATTCATTTTCTAATGTTATTTTCTTGTGTATTTGTGTTATTAAAATTAAAGATCTATAGTTCTCTGTGAATGAGCTTTGTATACAAAGCCTTAACCGATATCCTCAGAGTTTTTAACTCTCTTAAAGTAATAATTTCCCAGTAGTTCAGAATTTGACAGTGAAGCATTCTCTGACTAAACACCTCAGGAGCAGAGAAGAGCTTAATTCACTCCATGAACCATTGCCCATGTGTTGCTGCTAACAGGAGGAGGGAACAAAGAAGCTGTACAAGCACCAGGAATACATAGAGCAGGGTGACACTTCAGGCTTATATGACATGGCTCACATTAAGCAAAACAAACAGAGAACTCATGTTTGTAAAATTGAGAAAAGATTGCTTATGAGCTTTTTTCGTTTTCTTTTTCTTTTTTTTTGAGATGGAGTTTTGTTCTTGTTGCGCAGGCTGGAGTGCAATGGCGCGATCTAAGCTTACCGCAACCTCTGCCTACTGGGTTCAAGCGATTCTCCTGCCTTAGCCTCTCGTGTAGCTGGGATTACAGGCGTGCACCACCACGCCGGGCTAATTTTGTATTTTTAGTAGAGATGGGGTTTCACCACGTTGGCCAGGTTGGTTTCAAATGCCTGACCTCAGGTGATCTGCCCACCTCCGCCTCCCAAAGTGCAGGGATTACAGGAGTGAGCTACTGTGCCCAGCTGCCTATGAGCTTTTAGTAAATATCTTTGAATTCACCCCATTTTGGGTGCAAAGTTGCCTGAATCCCTGCATTCACCAACTGGCTTCCAGACTGATTTATTTCTCTGAGTGTGTGTAAGTAGATTATAACTGAACCTATGGGGGAAAGGATATAGACGTGGAAGCTGTGGGTTCCATGTTAGTGCTTTCCCATGGCTCAAACTCAGTGTAGCTGGAAATAACCTTCTGTAGCAGCCAATATGGCTATTTTAGTTATATCTCACAAACAAGGATGCTATTTGATTTTCTTTTAATGGTTACTTTCTAAGTTTTCATGAATGTAGTATTTCACAAAATAATAAGTTGTCAAAAATATGACTGGTTGTAAATGAGCTAAAATTAAAAGCAAAATGACACCTTTGTGTAGAGCTGACCAATCTTTAAATAAATTTTCTATGCATCATCTCCTTACACCCTCAAGCAGACCTGTGAGAGAATTCACTCATAGTCTAAGGTTCTTTTGCATATGAGAAAATACAGTCTCTAAGAGAATCATAGACTTGACAAAAGTGCCATTCCTTTAAAAAATGAGAATGTTTCACTCTTTCTGGTAAGAAACTGTGTAGATCACCAAATTAAATTTAATGTATTAAGGTGGCACTTGAGCTCTAAAAGAGTCAGTATCTTTTTTTTTTTTTTTTTTTTGGACAGGGTCTCACTCTATTGCCCAGGCTGGAGTGCAGTGATTTGATCACAGTTCCTTGCAGCCTTGAATTCTGGGCTCAGGTGATCCTCCTACCTCAGCCTCCTGGGTAAATGGGACAATAGGCACATGCCACCATGCCTGGTGATATGGTTTGGCTGTGTCCCCACCCAAATCTCATCTTGAATTGTAGCTCCCATAATTCCTACATGTTGTGGGACGGGCCCAGTAGGAGATAATCGAATCATGGGGGCAGTTTCCCCCCTACTGTTCTCGTGGTAGTAAATGAGTCTCATGAGATCTGACGGTTTTATAAGGGGAAACCCCTTTCACTTGGTTCTCATTCTCTTCTGTCTGCCGCCATGTAAGATGTGCCTTTTGCCTTCCACCATGATTGTGAGGCCTCCCCAGCCACATGGAACTGTGAGTCCATTAAACCTCTTTTTCTTTATAAATTACCCAGTCTTGGGTATGTCTTTGTCAGCAGTATGAAAATGTATTAATACAACTGGCAAATTTTCTGTTTATTTATTTTTATTATTTATTTTTATTTTTTATTTTTATTTTTTTGTAGAGACAGGGTTTTGCCATGTTGCCCAGACTGGTCTCAAACTCCTGGGCTAAAATGATCCACCTGCCTTGCCCTCCTAAAGTGCTGGGATTACAGGCGCGAGCCAAGAGGCAGTTTCCAGGTCATGCAGCAAGCAGAGGATGGAACCCTGCTTCCTAAGTTTCATTTTAATGCAGTTTCAATTGTGTCCTGTGGTCTCATTTTCCCTCCCTTCATCGGCCCTCTTTCTTATTCTTCTCCTCCCCATTATCACCACCATCCTCATCACCACTAGATTGCTTGGGTAATAATCATGGTTAGTAGACTTTTACTGGGAAATCCAAAGGGATTGAAATAATGAGTGAAAATATGGAAGGTTCTATTCAGTTTTCTGTGACAGAAATTGGAATGACAATGTTCGATGCTCCCTGGTGAACTTGATCTAATTTTGTTTATAACTTTCATAATTTAAAAAATGTTATAATTCAAGTTAGCTCTATATATAGAATTCTCATCTGTGAGTTTCTGCCATCTTAGAGATCTAGAACACAGACACAAATAGCATTAACATTAAAGAATACTTTCTGGCTAAGCCAAAGCCATCTTGGATTAATGGAAATGATATGCCTATTTTAGATATAAAAGTGGTTCTCTGGCCTCTGGAAATACTCTAGTTAGAAAAGCAAACTACCTTTTAAAGACTAATATGATAGTTTCAATAATAATTACACAACTATATAGTGAAGCATGCTTACACAACTGGTAGTTATAATGTTGGAGACAATAAATTTGCAATATCAAAACTGGTACTAAAGTTAAATAGATTAATATCTAATTTCAGGATGAAATAACGATAAATTTATCATCATATTATAAACTCTATCATTATAAACTTTATCATTCTATCTCAAGAAACTATCCCAATGCCATATTAAAGTTTCTCTAAAAATGGCCAGCCGAAATCCCTGACTCTTTTGCAACATTTTGAATTTACCAGGATTAAGGTAGATTTCTCCCTATATTCCAGCAACTCAGCAACAGTGATTCCAGATCTCCACTTCCCTACGAAGGCAGTCCTGCTCTCTACCAGATTTCTATTAGATCTCTCATGGGCTTTGCCTCTACCAGTGGTGTGGGTTTCCACTGCTGCCTTCCCTGTTTGATCTGTTACATTCATTAGCTCTGTGAGTCTTGAATCTGGGGGTTCAGGTCTTAAGTTCCTGCTGCCCTAGCAACTGTATTTCCAGAAATTACCATCCATCTAGCTACTGGCCAGCATGTGGTTCTGACTTCCAGGAATTACTGTATTCAGTTTCCCAGGAAGCTCATCATGAATCATTTATATGCAATTGATTTTACCAATTTTTATTTATTCTTGTCACTTTAGTGATTACAGATAACAACTTTGTTCCTCCCAACCTTAACTTCTGTATTTTTCATTAGTCATGCCTCAGTAGCATTTTGTCACTTTTCAAAATAAGATTCATCTGGCTCTGTTCTTAGGGAATGCATGATGAAAAAATATTTTATTATATTTTTCAAGGAAAATGCATCCATTCATAGGCTACCATATAATGAGAAAATTTTAAAACAATTTTTTAAAATACAGTTCGTTTCTCTGAACTTACCATTTAGCAGGTTTAATCGATGTTAACCAAATAATTATTTAATTATAGTTGCTATTAAAGCTGTGAATAAGCAGCCTCAACATATAAGAACACTTAACGAAGAGATGTCACCTATTTAGAAGTCAGCAAAGGTTCCCAAAGAAAGTATCCTATCAGCTGAGTCTAGAGAGTGAGTAAAAATAGCTTGATTGGGGTGAGAAACTGGAATAAGCATATCCAATTAGAAGGTGCTTTGCACTAATTTGAATGAAAAGGATAAAAACCTATGATTAGTGATATCCAGTCATCAGACTATCTGTATGTACTCATTCTACATTGCAAGTTCTGTCTCACATTTCTACATAAACCCTCTTTTACTGTACACCAACTAAATTTCACTTCTTCCCTAAATACAAAATATGCATTTTTTTCTCTCTGCTTTGGTCATTTTACTTTACCTTCTCATATTTCCCTTAGCTATTCTCATAGTTCTTGTGATTTTGATATTCAAGATAGCTCCAACTTTTAGATATATGTTTAAAAGTTCTTCTGAAATTGGAGCTAAACTGAATTAGAATGAAATTTAAAGAGTGAGGTAGTCAGGATACGATGGTATATTGAATGTCGTGATCTTGAACAGGAGAAATTCAATTAATAAACTGCTGTATGTAAAGACCCCACTTTCCGAGCTGAGAGAGTTTGAAAATGGAGTTCTCAGGCTCGCTGGGGATGGCAGAGGAGGCGTGTTGTTGCAGATGCCTTCTAAGTTAGCTCAATTAATAATATCAATCATCTTTTACATGTCTCCCTGGTCAGATATCACTTGATACTGTAAACAATAGGCACTTAAAACAAAAAAGATACATATTTATTGTTATAAACAGAAACGAATGTAGCACACTACACACTCATACATACACGTGCAAATCAACTATACTGCACATTCCCAAAACATTTCTAGTCAACATTGAACTATTGGTCTTATAACGAAAAAGCAAAAAATAAAAATAAAAATAACAGGAAATAAGTGGTAAAACATTCTAGTCACAGGTGCGACTGCTCGCATCGAAAATCCTAAGTAATCTATAAAATTACTATAGAAATATTGATTTTATTTGTCTATACAAATGAAAAGCATATGAAAAATTAAGTTTAAAATTAAGTTAAAATATATTGTAATAATATCAAAACATATCATTTGTGGAATAGATCTTGAATCGTATCATGGATCTATGAATTTAGGGATAATTTTTATTATCTCAAATTCACAGATCCAAAACATTCCAAACAAAAGTGCCAAAATTGCCAAAAATTGAAAAATTGACTGAAATTTATAAAGTTTAACAGAGGAAGAATAGGCAACACCATCTTTAAAAGGAGAAATAAAATAGGAAGATGTATATCAAAATATTATGGTACTGGAATTAAATATAGATAATTAAATTAGTGGAACAAAATAGAGTTATGCAACAGATCCACATGTGTGCTACCTATTTTTTACAAAGATGTGAAGTCAATTCGAATGTAAAAACATGTCTTTTCAACAGATGGTATTAGAGTCACTGATATGTGTAAATATCCAGGCATCTGGAGCACCCTCTCTCCTGGATTAAGAGTTTAGGGCACCCTTTCTACCTTTGCAGAGATCTTGGGACTGAGGAGCTTTCACACCTCCATACCTGACCCGCCTCTGAGTGTTTGGTGTCTGCCGACAGAACTCTCCCTCAAGGCTGATGCTTGTGCCTGTCATCAGGGGACCTGTCGGCAGAACTGCCAAGTCTGGCCCTGCCCATCTTGGCCGCTGCTCCCATGGAGCTGAGCAGGGAACTCAAACCACTGCGCACTCCACAAATCAGCCCATTGGCTGAGGGAACAGAGAGCTTCTCCCAGTAAACAAGGATCAAGTTACGTACGTAGCCACGTCGGCTGCAGCTGGCTGTTTCCCATCAGCGCCATCTACTGACTTGCAAGTCAAACCACACAGTCCAGTATAAAACATGCCAACAGAGTGCGTAGGGCTATAGAAGCAAAGCCAAAAACCCTACCCAGCATTCTCTGCAGTCGCACCCCCTAAGGAAGTAGGAAGGGGAAAGGGAGAGAAAAACAGAGAAAGAAAGAAAAAGAAAAAATACTACCCCACAAAAATAATTACAATAATTAGAAGTACCAGTGCTTCCAGACGAGAAGAAACCAGAACAGGAATTCTGGCACCATGAAAAATCTGTAGTGACACCACGAAAGGATTACACTAGCTCTGCAGCAATGGTCCTTAGCCAAAATGGAAACTCAGAATTGATAGATAAAGAATTCAAAGCATGGATGGCAAGGAAGCTCAATGAGATCCAAGACAAGGTTGAAAATCAACAGAAAGAAACTTCTAAAGCGATCCAGGAAATGAAGAAAGAGTTAACATCTGAAGAAATAATTCAGAGCTTCTTGAAATGAGAAACTCACTTAGGGAATTTCAAAGTACACTTGAAAGCTTTATCAATAGACTGGGCCAAACAGAAAGAATAATTTTAGAGCTTGAATATTGAACTCTCCTAGGTAGACAAAAATTTAAAAAAATGATTTTTTAAAAAAACTGAAGTCTTTGAGAAATATGAGATTTTGTAAAGTGACAAGTCCTACAAATTATTAGTATTCCTGAGAGAGGAGAAAAAGTAAACAACCTGAAAAACATATTTGAGGGAATAAATTAATGAAATTCCCCTAATGTTGATTGAGAGATAGATATTGAGATATAAGAAATCCAGAGAACACCTGTGATTTGCAATACAAAACGAATGTCACCAAGGCATACAGTCACCAGACTGTCCAAGGTCAATGCTAAAAAAATTTTTTAAAGGCAACTAGAGAAAAAAGTCAGATTATGTACAAAGGGAACTCCATCAGGCTAACAGTGGACTTTTCAGCAGAACCTTACAAGCCAGAAGAGATTAGGGGCCTATTTTAAGCATTCTTAAAGACAAGGAATTCCAATCAAGGATTTTCTATTTAGCCAAACTAAGCTTCATAAGCAAAGGAGGAATGAAATCTCTTCCAGACAAGCAAACACTAAGGGACTTTATTACCGCTAGAACAGCCTTACAAGAGAGCTTAAAGGAGTTAAAAACCTGCTGCCGCAAACACATATTTAAGTACATAGCTTACAGACCCTATAATACAACCACAGAATAGAATATCAACAAAGCAGCCAGCTAACAACTTCGTGATAAGATAGAAACTTCACATATCAAAATTAACCTTGAATGTAAATGGCCTAATGTGTCAATTGAATGGCACAAAGTGGTAAATTGAATTTAAAAAAGAATATTCATTTGCTGTGTTTAAGAGACCCCTCACACACACTATGACACCCATAGGCTCAAAGTTAAGGGATGGACAAAGATCTATCTCACAAAAGGAAAACAGGAAAAAGAGCAGGAGTTGCTATTGTTATATTGGATAAAACAGACTTTAAATCAACAACAGTAAAAGAATAAAAAAGAGCATTACATAATGATGAAGGATTTAATTTAAAAAGAAAACTTAACTATCTTAAAGATATATGCACTCGGCCGGGAATGGTGGCTCACGGCTATAATCCCAGCACTTTGGGAGGCCAAGGCAGGTCAGAGTGAGACTCGGTCTCAAAAAAAAAAAAAAAAAAGATATATGCACTCAACATTGGAGCACCCAGATTCATAAAACAAGTACTTCCAGGTCTGCAGAAAGACATACAGCCACACAATGTTAGTGGGGAGACTTCAATACCCCACTGACAGCAGTAGACAGATAATCAAGGCAGAAAACCGATGAAGAAATTCTAGACTTGAACTCGGCACTTGACTCTAATAAATATCTACAGAATAGTCTACCCATCTACCACAGAATATACATTCTTCTCCTCTGCACACAGAACATGCTCCAAGATTGACCACATGCTCAGGCATAAAATAAGTCTCGATAAATTTAAAAAAAAAACAAACCTCATTTCATCATACTCTCAGATCACAGTGCAATAAAAATGGAAATTAATATGAAAAATTTCCCTCAAAACCACACAATTGCATTGCAATTAAGCAGCCTGAATGACTTAGCGGTTAAAAAATGAAATCAAGGCAGGATTTAAAAATTCTTTGAAATGAATGAAAACTGAGACACAACACACCAAAATCTTTTGGATGCAGCAAAAGTGGTGTTAACAGGAGAGTTTGTAGAACAAAATGCCTACCTCAGAAAGTTAGAAAGATCTCAAAGATTTGGTATCACACCCAGAGAAACTAGAAAAACAATAACGAGCTAATCACAAATCTAGCAGAAGAAAAGAAACAAGCAAAATCAAAGCACACATGGAAAAAAATTGAGACCTGAATATTTATAGAGAATCAATTAAACAAAAAGTTTGTTCTTGGAAAGGATAAACAAGATGATTCTAACTAGTGACCTATTGATCCCTAGTTAGAGTAACAAAAAATAGAAGAGATAAGATTCAAATAAACATGATCAGAAATGAAAAAGGTGACATTACAACGAATCTCACAGAGACATAAAAGATCCTCAGAGACTATTATGAATACCTCTATTGAATCAGGAAGAAATTGAAACCCTGGAGAGACTAATATTGAGTTCTGAAATTAAATAAGTAATTAAAAAAACTACCAACCAAAAAAAAAAAAAAAAGCCCAGTACCAGATGGATTTACAGTTGAATTCTACCAGATGTACAATCAGGAGCTGGTACGAATTCTATTGAAACTATTCCCAAAAATTGAGGAGGAGGGACTCCTCCCTAACTCATTCTATGACTCCAGCATCACTCTGATACAACACATGGCAAAAACAAAATTAGAAAAGACAATTACAGGCTAATATTCCTAATAAAATAAACACAATAAAAACTTAACAAATAATTAGCAAACAGAATCCAATAGCATATCAAAAAGTTAATTTATAGTGATCAAATAGGCTTCATTCCTGGAATGTAATGTTGTGTCAAGATGTGTAAATCAATAAATGTGATTTACCACATAAACTAAATTACAAACAAAAACCAAGTAATTATTTCAACAGACAGAAAGAGCTTTCAATAAAATCCAATATTCCCTTACGTTAAAAAACCCTCAAAAAAAACTAGGCATCAAGGGAACATACCTCAAAATGATAAGAGCCATCTATGACAGACCCACAGGCAACATCACACTGAATGAGAAAAATCTGGAAGCATTCTCCTTGAGAACTGGAATAAGACAAGGATGTCCACTCTCTCACTACTCCTATTCAACATAGTACTGGAAGTCCTAGCTAATGCAGTCAGGAGAAGGAAAGAAATAAAACGAATTCAAATAGGAAAATAAGTTAAACTGTATCTCTTTGTGGATAATATGATTCCATACCTAGACAACCATAAAAACTCTGCCAAAAAGCTCCTGGATTTCATAAATGACTTAAATCAAGTTTCACAACACAAAATCAATGTAAAAAATTAGTAGCATTTCTATATATAACTATTATTTAAGCTAAGAGCCAAATCAAGAATAAAATAATATTTACAATAGTCACGTCAACAATCAAATACCTGGGAATACATCTAACCAAAGAGGTGAAAGGTCTCTAGAAGGCAAACTGCAAACCACTGCTGAAAGAAATCATAGATTATACAAACAAATGAGAAAATTTTCATGCTCATGGATTTGAAGAATCAATACCGTTAAAATGTCTATACTGCCTAGAGCAATCTACAGATTCAATGGTATTCCTATCGAACTACAAATTTAATTCTTCACAGAATTTTTAAAAAGTATTCTAAAATTCATATGGAAAAAAAAGGATCTCAAATAGCCAAGGCAATTCTATGCAAAAAGAACAAAGCCAGAGGCATCACATTACCTGACTTCAAACTGTCCTATAAGGCTACAGCAACCCAAACAGGATGGTACTGATATAAAAACAGATACATAGACCAATGACACAGAATAAAGAACCTAGAAATAAAACTACACACCTACAGCCAGCTGATTTTCAACAACTTCAGCAAAAATAAGCAATACAGAAAACACTCCCTATTCAATAAATGATGCTGGGATAGCTAGTTAGCAATCTGCAGAAAAATAAACCTGGACCCCTATTTTTTACTATATACAAAAATTAACTTAAAATGAATTAAACATTTAAATATAAGACCTCAAACTATGAGAAATCTGAAAGAAAACCTAGGAAACACCATTCTGGACATCAGCTTGGGAAAGAATTTATGACTAAGTCCTCAAAAACAATTGCAACAAAACCAGACATTGATGTGGGACCTAATTAAACTAAAGAGCTTCTGCACAGCAAAAGAAGCAATCAACAGAGTAAACTGACAACCTATGGAATAAAAAAAAATTCCACAAACTATGCATCTAACAAAGATGTAATATCCAGAATGTGTAAGAAACTTAAACAATTGAACAAGCAAAAAGCAAATCACCCCACTAAGAGACACTTCACACACACACACAATACAAGCAGCCAACAAAAATATGGAACACATTTCAAATAAAAATCATCAGAAAATTGCAAATTAAAACCACAATGAGATGCATTCAAACCAGTCAGAATGGCTACTATTAAAAAGTCAAAAAGCATCACATGCTGGCGAGGCTGTCTAGAAAAGAAAAAACGTATGCACTGTTGATGAGAATGTAAATTACTTCAGCCACTATAAAAAAATAACAACTTAAAGCATAGCTACAATTTGACCCAGCAATCCCATTGCAGGACATATATTCAAAAGAAAGTAAGTCATTTGACCAAAAAACAAACAAATAAACAAACAAAACCACACATACACTCGTATGCTCATCAAAGCACCATTCACATTCGCAAAGACATGGAATTAACCTAGGTGTCGGAGGCATTTGAACCAACCCTCATGGCTGCTCTGCCTACGGAATAGCCATTCTTTTATTCCTTTACTTTCCTAATAAATTTGCTTTCACTCTACTCTAAAGACTTACTCGGAATTCTTTCTTGTGTGACACCCAAGAATCCTCTCCTGGGGTCTGGATCAGGACCTCTTTCCTGTAACATCTTTCTGGTGACCACAGAAGTGCAGAAGTGACTATAGTGGGAAACCCATGACCCAAAGTGTAACTTTGGGTAACTGGTAGAGTCCAGTAACATCTTTTTGGTGAACCACGGAAGGGGCAATACTTAGAAGACTGCTTGATCCAAAGGAAACAGACTGCAGCTCTGATCAGCCAACTTTGGGCAGGTGTTGGGGTACCCAGGTAAAGAATGGGATTGGGTTAGAGGCTCAAGTTAGGGGAGTTAGAGTCTCTCCTAAGACAGATTGGGTTAGACGCCCCTCTTAATAAAAGGCAAGGACGCTTGACAGACCTTGGGTTAGAAGCCCAACTTAGGAGGGTTAGAGTCCCTTTTAAGGAACCTAAGATTTAGGGGGTTAGAGGCCCCTCTCGGTGAAGTCCCTTTTCGATAAGAACTGGTTTGGCTCTATGGGATGTTAACCACTATTCTCTTTAAATTAATCTGCCTTGCCCTCTTTGCTGATGGCCATGGGTGAAAGGGTTAGCCATGTACAGATCATTATGAATATGGGGAGCTTTTTCCTCCCTCAAAAAGGGGAAACTTGAGAGCTGATGGGACTGCTGGAAAAGATCTGTTTGCCATCGACAAGCAGCCACCTAAAATTTTTAGTGTTGCTGCAATGGGTGGGTCATTCTCTGACCTTCCTGAGTATCTCACCTTCCCCACTCTGACTCAGGCAATGCTTTCCTCCTTCTCTCTCTCCCTCTTTTTTTATTCCCTCTCTGAACAAGCAGGTTGAATGAATGGTAAAATTCACTGTTTATCTCCTGTAAAGTTTTGCTTAATGGAAAAAAGGATTTATAAGGCTAGTCTTAAGCTGTAGCAAAGGGTGTGCTTTGTGTGTCTTTCTGTATTATTCTGTCCTAATAAGGTGTACCTTAGGATAGAACATGGATTTAGGACACCCAGGTGTGTTTTTCAAGATGGCCCAGCAAACTTGTCAGTTAGAAAGTTTGACACAGGTCCCTGAAAAAACTGGATGAGATTTCCTTCTTGTCTTGTATGTCCATCTTTGGGAGCTTGGCCTTGTAACCATGTGGCCATGCTTTCTCTTTTCACAATGGCAGACTGGGCTTAAGGTTCAATTCCTGGCTTAGAAAATGAGTCCTTTATTTTCTGTCTAAGTATTTTTTTTTTGAGATGGAGTCTTCCTGTGTTTCCCAGACTGGAGTGCAGTGGCATGATCTCGGCCCACTGCAAGCTCTGCCTCCCAGGTTCACACCATTCTCCTGCCTCAGCCTCCTGAGTAGCTGGGACTACAGGTGCCTGCCACCATGCCTGCCTAATATTTTGTATTTTTAGTAGAGATGGGGTTTCACTGTGTTAGCCAGGATGGTCTCAATCTCCTGACCTCGTGATCCGCCCACCTCAGCCTCTCAAAGTGCTGGGATTACAGGCATGAGCCACCACACCCAGCCCTAAGTATTTTTATGTATTATGTATGTGATGTTTGTATATGAAAAAGACTTAACTAATTGGTTTAATAACAATAAGAGCTTAAATCAAATATTTTGTCAGAAAAGTTAAAAGTGTAATGCCTTTTGGTTCCCATGACTTAAGTAATCTTTGAGAAATAAAAAACAATTTTAAAGATTATTGGCAAAATAAAAATATCTTCAAAAATGTAAACATCTGGTCTAAATCATATACGTCAGCTATTTAGTTTGCTAAATGCTTTAAGGTTATAAACTGCTTATTTGTCTTTTAAAATTGTTCAATTCATTTTGAAGCATTAGATTCTAGATAAGGCCTGAGGACATGTGGAATTAGCCGTGCCCCCTAGCTATGCAAGGAAGGCTATAAAGAAAGCTTTTATATAAGAAAGGATGTTGTACGGTAAATTATTGTCCTAAAGTAAAATAACTGGTTGTTTAAAAAGAGGGATGTTTAGGGCAAGTCAGAAAGTCTAAACATGTTGTACATGGCCTATGTAAGTCCTGAAAGGATTCGTGAGAGGGAATTTATGCACGAAATGTTGTACATTTAAAAGTGATTAGGCCTCCTAAATGCTTCATAAAAGGCATCTGTGACTCTTAAATGTACAATTTGCCTGGTTTACAGCTAGGTAAAGCCTGGGACACATGGAGTTAGACACTAGGAAGAGTCAAACCTTAACTGCACTTCTGTCTGCTGTCCTAGGCTCCACGCCTAGTACATAATTAAAATCCCGAATTTAACAAAGATTTTCATGAAAAGGAAAAGTTTGTAAGAGTCAACAGTGCAACATGTGTTTGAGACTACCAAAAAAACCCAATTTTACACACAAGTCATGTCAGGAAAGTAGGATGTACTTTTGGTAAAAGAGTATAAGAAGACATAGAAATGTGAATTTCTTGCCTATGGTTAGAGAGTTAAGAATTGTTTTAAGCTAAATAGGATAAAGATGAAGGTTTTAGCAAGTTGTGGAAGGTTTGTGAAAATGAAAAATTAATTGTAAAAGAGATTCTGTGTGTGAACATATTGGCTAAAGTTAAAGGGGCATTACTCAGTTTTTCCATAAATTAAACATTGGAATAAAAGCACAGCAGGTTGTTCCTAAAGCAAAAGCCTGCATATAATCTGCTCTTTAACAAACATTGTAAAGAATTTAAAAAGGTTTATGAGGATCTTACCTTATGGTCAAACTGATTACAACTGGATAGATTTATTTATATAAGGTTTTATAAAGAATTGGGTTTGACATCAATAATGCGTTAATGCAACAGTGACATTTGGCTTATTTGGTATAAAAATTATACGAAAAGCATTCTCAAATGTGAAATGGTGTTTGGCTTTCTTTGGGCTGTATTTGCATAAATGTTTCATTGGTATATGTTCCAAAATAATGGGAAAGCCCTATAATTCTAATATGACTTAGTATATATTATTAATAATTATAATTGTCATTGTATGGCACAGAGGTAACCAAATTTCTCTGTCAATCATGTTTTTGACTGTGGCTGTCCTAAGACGTTTTGTCACCTACAGATAATTGTTGTCTCATTTTAGTCCTCTTTAGAAGGTGGTTTTATAGTCAGCTACAGAACTCCAACAGGTACACTTGAATACAGATTTCTGATAACTTTAGAGACTGTGACATCAGAACAGAGAAAACAACTTCCAGAAGTCTCATGGAGAGCTAAAATGTTCATGAATATCAAGCAGAACAGAAATTAACTTCATGGAATAAACTGAAGAAGTCTAAAGTAATCCGTTTATCTTTTTGCTTAAAACATTGCTGATTCTTTGTTTTGTTTTTCAGAATGAAGGAAATTTTTCTTTAGAGCTATTTACAGCCTTTGACAATTGAGTAGAGTATACTCCTGTGAACAAAATTTGGAGCATATTTGTTTCTCTCTAGCTGATTTCTCCAGAATTTGGAAACACATATTTGTGAGTATTCTTAATTTATGGTTATATGGTTATTTGCATAAGTTCAGTAAGAATCTGTTTTCTTTTGCAGCAGGACACCATTGGAGAAACTGGTTATTTTACCACAGCTTTGTCTGGAATGGTGTGTTTTCCTTTAAGGAATCAAACTTGACTTGTAAAGCCTATAAAAGCCCCTGGGAACCTGGCCTTACACCTTGTCTACCATAGTCCCTTATAGGGTTTGTGACCTGTGGTAAGTGAAGAATGTCACTCTCTAACAGGTCCAGGAGCCCCAAGTTATCTTGGGACCCCAAGAGGAGAGGAATTTACTCAACTCATAGATATTTGAAGGTGCAAACCCATGTCTGGGCTGGGCTCTTAAAAAGTCTTACCTACGAGTCCTTCTATGGAGCAGAGTTCCATCAAAGACAATTTAAAAAGAGTTTATGTAACAAAATAATTATTCTTTCTGCCATTTATACAAATAATCAGGCCAAGTATAATAAAGCCAATAAGTCTTATCATGATTTGTCTTTAGTAAAAATGAAAAACTGGAGAGAGAAATATTATGTTTCCAGAACTATGGTACAGTTGTTATTAAATTCTCATCTCATCAGTTGTTTATAACTTTGTTTCTGCAATGTAGGCTAACCCTACTTATTCTTGCGTACCAACCAGTGATCTCTAACTGCTGCTCAGAAAAAACAAGAAGGATGGGTAATGTAAAAATCTAAATCAGTTAATTCTGGGCACATTGCAAATAGCTAGCAACCCCACATCAGCTTGGTTCCACCTGTTGCCCAGTTCATGAAAAGTCTTCTAATTTAGTTTGTTTGGGATAATTTTACTTGTTTTGCTTTATTCTTGTGGAATATATTGCTGTTGTACTCTTGGTATAGGAATGCAGAATAAGCTTACTAAATGTTTTCTTAAATTGAACACTTAATTAATCTCCCAGATATCACCTTTTGTCAGAACTCAAGAGTTATAAATGACCCTCAGCATACCAACTCTTTCTAACTGAGCTCCTCTCTACCCTGAACACAAGAGACCCTAATGGTTAGGCAGGAATATCATCGCCCGTATTCAGCCTGAAGATGTTACAGAAGATGGATCTTCATCCCTCAGCAACCCTTAGGATTAAGAGTTTTCTTATAAAAGTGGGGGAAATAGCAGAGGTGTTTGAAGCAGAGCTACTCCATCTTGAATAGGAGCTGGGTTAAATAAGGGTGAGATCTACTGGGCTGCATTTCCAGATGGTTAAGGCACTCTAAGTCTCAGGATGAGACAGGAAGTTGGCACAAGATACAGGTTATAAAGACCTTGCTGATAAAACAGGTTGCAGTAAAGATGCCAGCTAAAACCCAGCAAAACCAAAATGGAGACGAGAGTGACCTCTGGTCATACTCACTGCTACATTCCCACCAGCGCCATGACAGTTTACGGATGCCATGGAAGCATCAGGAAGTTACCCTTTATGGTCTAAAAAGGGGAGACAGGAATAATTCACCCCTTGTCTAGCATATACTCAAGAAATTACCATAAAAATGGGCAACCAGCAGCCCTCGGGGCTGCTCTGCCTATGGAGTAGCCGTTCTTTTATTCCTTTGCTTTCCTAATAAACTTGCTTTCACTTTAAAGACTTGTCCTGAATTCTTTCTTGTGCAAGATCTAATAACTCTCTCTTGCGTCTGGATTGGGACCTCTTTCAGGTGTCCATCAGCAGTGGATTGGATAAAGAAAATATGGTACGTATACACGATGAAATACTTAGAGCCATAAAAAAGAACAAAATCAAGTTCTTTGCAACATCAGGAATGCAGCTGGAGGCTATCATCCTAAGTGAATTTAAAGCAGGAACAAAAAAAACAAATACCATATCTTGTTACTTACAAGTGGGAGTTAAACATTTGGTACTTATGGGCATGCAGATGGCTACAATAAACAATGGGAACTTCTAGAGTGGGGAGAGAAGAAAGGGGCAAGGATTAAAAACTGGTTGGGTACTATACTCAGTACCTAAGTGATGGGATCAATTGTACCCCAACCCTCAGCATCATGCAATATACCCATGTTATCAACCTGCACATGTGTCACTTGAATCTAAGATAAAAGTTGATTTTTTATTTTCAAAAAAGAAGGCGAACAATACATAGGAAATTACCAATACTAATAACTACTTTGGGAATACGTAAAAAAATTCAACTTTAGTATCAATAAAAATATAACAATAATGAGGGAAAAATAAACACTAAACAAAAGATTCCATGGGTATGGCCAATAAACATAAAAAAGGTGTATAAAAATCACTAGTCACCAAATAAATGCAACTTAAAACCACAGTGAGATGCCACTTAGCAAATGGCTGAAAGAAATATGGCAAATGTTGGTGACGATGGAGTTCGTAGGCGTCTAGGAAATTGCTGGTGGGATAGTAAAATAATGAAACTAACTTTGGAAAACTGTTTGGCAATTTCTAATTTAGTTGAGCATATGCCGACTCTATGGTCCAGAAATTTCATTCATGGTTTTCTTCCCCCCGAGAAAAAACTAAAAACATATGTTCACAAAAAGAAACTGGAACAATCAATATTCATTGTGCTCTATTTTTTAAATCTTGAGAAAATTTGATGTCAGTCAATAGATGAAAGAATACACACATTGTGATATTATTAACAAAAGGGAATATACGGCACCAATAAAATGAATAAAACATATCACCACATGAAGCTTTTCGAAAACATTAAGTTGAGTGAAAAAAGATGCATATGATAAAAAAAATGTATGATTTCATTTTTATGAAGTTCTAGAAGAAGCAAGTTAATGTATGGTGATAGCAATCACTACAGTAGCTGTGTCTGGGGTCAGGAATTGATTTAAGAAAGGAACATGAGTGAATTTTCTGGAGTGAAGAAATTTTCTGTATTTTGATCAGGTAGTCATTACACAGGTGTGTATATTCATCAAAGACAACAAGCTCTACCCTTTGAAATATGTGCATTTCATGGTATGTAAATATTGATTGAATAAAAAATATTATTTAAAAACAGAGGTATTCTTATAGATATACCTCTGCTTAAAAATATTTAATGGCTTCTTGTTGGTTTTAGAAGAATGTCTGCAACACCAAATTACAACTCTAAGGACCTGCCTAGAATGGCTCCAAAATACCTCTGTGGCCTAATTTCAAACTCTTCTTTCCTTTTCTCTTAATGACCAGCCAAAATGGCTTTTAGTCATGCCATACACATCTCAAAACTTTTTTTTTTTTTTTTTTTTGAGACGGAGTCTCGCTCTGTCGCCCAGGCTGGAGTGCAGTGGCGCGATCTCGGCTCACTGCAAGCTCCGCCTCCCGGGTTCACGCCATTCTCCTGCCTCAGCCTCCCGAGTAGCTGGGACTACAGGCGCCCGCCACCACGCCCGGCTAATTTTTTTGTATTTTTAGTAGAGACGGGGTTTCACCGTGTTAGCCAGGATGGTCTCGATCTCCTGACCTCGTGATCCGCCCGCCTCGGCCTCCCAAAGTGCTGGGATTACAGGCGTGAGCCACCGCGCCCGGCCCACATCTCAAAACTTTTGTCCTAGAAACACTTCTGGTACCACTTACTGATTCCATACTTATTGTTTCAATCTCTTTTAAATGTTAGTCCTCTGAGAAACATTTCCTGACTTCTAAGACTAAGTAAAGTTCCCTTGATGTATATTATTTTAGCAAAAAACCAGCTCATTATTTTTGTAATTAAACAATTGTTTAATATTTACTTCATCTGTTAGACTTTCAGCCCAGCTAGAACAGAGACCACGCGTTTTCTTAATTCATTTATTATGGAGTAATGAATGAATATAATCTTATTTTTAAAAATATATTCAGCAATATATTTCCACAGCAAAGATTCTGGTTCATGGTAAAGGCTGAATAAATATATTGTGAAAAAGGGTGGTACTGACAAAACATTTGACGATGTATTCTGAGACATGACTAATAAAAAACAGTCAAACAAACATGGGGTCAGGGTGTTGAGGAGGACAAAGCTGCTCTCTGTAGCCACTCATGAGGTATGCATTAATGAATAGAAATTGTTGAAATCAAATGCCTAGAAATGATTTGTGAGAGAATTTCCTGGAAAACTGGTTACATTAAGTCTTGGAAATCAGAACTGCAAACCAGTTGGTAGGCAGATGACCAGTAGCTTCTAAGATTATAATTGCATGGGCAGTAGTTGCTTGGGAACTAAACTCCTGGGTTCAAAATGCATAGCGCAAGCATCTGTCAAAGTATGCAGCAGGAGGGAGCTGGAAGAATGGAGGCAACTAGATGTAGTCCAAATAAGTGCCAGCCGATTTCCTGTTAATCATGTAGAATGGGATCAACTTGGTGACAATCAGAAGACTGTAATTCACTATGCTATATGCAGTTGCTGAAATAGAGAATAAAAGCTGCATTCTGGGAAATTTAGAGTGTTGCTAGAGATTTGGAATGGGAGAGGGTGGATGTTTCCTAACTGGTAATGACATGATATAAACTCAGGAGTTACAAGTCTCTCGTGATAAAATAATAAAACTTTCTTGTTTTGACTATCAGCTAGAAATGGTACCTTTATATAATAACCGGGGCAATTGTGGTATAAGTTCAGAGTCCCCATCATTGAGTTTTGATCATTTGTTTGTGAGCACTCTATTATACTGCTATCTATCTGTGATCAATCTATCTTTGAGTTATTTTCTAAATTTGCATGTTTACTAGTTTTGGTAGGCAGAATAATGGCTCCTAAAAGATGTTCAAATTCTAAATTCTGGAATTTGTAAATATGTTCCTTCACATGGCAAAGAAGAATTAAAGTTACAGATGAAATTAAGCTTGCTAAAACAGGGTGAGTATCTTGGATTACCCAGCCGAACCCAATGTAATTGTAAGTATGAAGTGGGAGGTAAAGGCAGAAAAGTAGGTCTAAGCGATCCACTATGAAAATGATTGGACTCACCACTGCTGTCTTTGGAGACAGAGGAATGGGACCATGAACCAAAAAATGTAGGTGGCCTCTAGAACATCCATCTCCAAACTTTTTGGTACCAGGGTCAGGTTTCCTGAAAGAGTTTTTCCACAGATTGGAGCAGGTGGGGAGGGATGGTTTGGGGATGATTCAAGCACATTCCATTTATTGTGCACTTTATTTCTATTATTATTACATTGTAATATATCATGAAATAACAATACAACTCACCAGAATGTAGAACTGGTGGGAGACCTGGGCTCGTTTTTCTGCAAATAGATGGTCCCATCTTCAGATGATGGAAGACAGATCATCAGGCATTAGATTCTCATAAGGAATGCGCAACCAAGATCTCTCGCATGTGCAGTTCACAACAGGGTTTGTGCTCTGATGAGAATCTAATGCTACTGCTGATCTGACAGGAGGTGGAGCTCAGGCAGTAACAATTGCTCAACTGCCACTCACCTCCTGCTGGGCTGCCTGGTTCCTAACATGCCATGGACCAGTACCAGTTCATGGCCCGGAGGTTGGGGACACCTTCTCTAGAATCTGTAAAAAGCAAGGAAATAGATTCTCCCTTAGAGCCTCTGGAAAGAAACTCAGCCCTGCTAATACTTTGATTTAGCCCAGTGAGGTCATCAATTCATCAGATTTTGACCTACAGAATTAAAAGATAATAAATTTGTATTGCTTAAAACTCTAAGTTTAATCTAATTTGCTATGGCAGTAATAGGAAACCAAGATTAAAGTGTATTCCTGAAAGCCAGAAAACCATTCCTGCATCTGCAATTTGGAGACAGTAACAGAGGAAACCTCAGCCTGGCCAATAAGCTATAGGTGCTCCTCATTAAACCCTTACCATTGCCTATGTTTTGGGGATATAAGGCTTGATCATTACTCTTGAGTAAATATTATGAGCATGGGACTAACTAGAATCACTAAAATTCAAAAAATCCATGAAGTTATAAAAAGGACCAAGTTTATAGAGGATTTCACAGTTTGTCATTTTAATTTTTGTAACTCAATCACTGATAATTTTTCCTATGCATTTTCTTTCATTATTCCTTATTTCTTTCCTCTAACTATATAAGCACCATGACTATTTCCTAAACATGATGGAGGAGAAGGAGGAGGGAGAAGAAGAAGAAGAGGAAAATAGGGAGCAAATGACGGAAGTGAGGAGATAAGAGAAAATGTCACAGCTGGATAGATCCAATAAAATAAATTGGGTGGAATAAAGTAGTTCTACTCACAGCTCTACAATAGCTTGCTGAGTAACATTTTAAAATTCTATCTAACGCTACTGTTTCCATTTCCACCTCTGTAGAATAAGAATATTGAAGTCGATGAACTCTACAGCTCTCTTTATATTTCATATTTTATCACATTCGCAGTAAAAGAGGAAGAGAACATGATGAGATGACTGTTATGTACTTATAAGACTAAGTTTTTTGTGAAGTGTCTAATAATCTGCATTATATTTCTAATTTCAGAGAATGTTAGAAGATCTTATAAAATAAAGAATAGGAAAATACTTGAACATTGCTTGTTTTATATAAATATTATGTCTGCCATTACCATCGTATTGTCTTAGTACCTTACTTTTTATAACACTTGGATGTAAGAGAGCAGAACAGCATAAGTACAGTCTATCCAATTTTATTTCAAGATACGACAAAAAACAATCATTTTTGATGATAGTAAAGGCTTCAGAGTTTTCAATTAGATTCAGTTTATATTTTGGCAAAGAACCCAGGTACAACTAACACCTGCTGAGCCTACTTCCTTCCCATCAAAGTTTGTTGCCTGCCTTTTTAAACAAATGGAGATCATTTGAGCAGATTGAAAACAGTAATTGGGGTTCAGGGATTTAGCTAATTAAAAATAAGTGATACTCCTGCACTATGATACCTGAAGCTCATAGGTGCTCTTTTCTAAACATTTACATCCATGTGTTAGTCTTCCATTTTAATATACTTCATGAACAGGCCTAATCATATAAGTATGAATTTTGTTCATGTACTCTTCAAACTTTTCTGTTACATTCTGTCCTTAGAGATGCATGGCATATTCAAGGAATGAACAAGGATAGTCAATGCTCTTAATACTATCAGTAACTTACTTTTTATAACGCTTTGATGTGAGAGAACAGAACAGTATAAATACAGCCTATCCAATTTTATTTCAAGATACAACCCAAACAATCATTTTTGATGATTCTGATGAAAGGTTATCATCAAAAATGATAGCAAAGGCTATCTTAACTATCCTGACGAGGATACTTAAGAGAAAGGCTATCCTTGGAAACTGTGAGAATCCCAGAAACTCCTGCTTAAAGAGGAGGAAAATATCTAAAGCCCAACCAAAATTAGTGTGGAGATCCCACAATCTGGGCATTGCAAAGCCCATTACCAGAAGCAATGACAATGCACATCCTAGACAATGCTTTACTAATAAATAGCAATATTAACAGCACATTTGGACAGAAGAATAAAGAGTTTATTAAAATAAAATCTTTTTCACTTCCTATCTCTTTTGGAAAGAAATACAAAAACTATAAATTATATCTATAATGCAGTTTGGATCACTCATTGATCCAATGGCTTCAGATATCTGAATTATAAAATCCATGCCTTCCCTTCCCAGAGTTATAGATCCAGATTGATCCAGTTATAGATTATTCATTGATCCAAACTGCAGTTTGACAGAACTAACATACAACCCAGTTTTTGAGGGCTGGAAAGTAAGGAAGACCTGGTGATCAATAATATTAGAATACTTCTCAAAGGAAGAAATTAACAGATGACCTTACTAAAGAATATGCATTTCTCAAATGAGTTTTACCAGTCACCACATTAGTCAGTAGAAACCAGATCTACAGAATGGCTGATAACAAGATGAATGGAACCACCTTCTAGGTGGAAAATAGATTGGATGGCAGAATCTGGATCTATAACTCTGGGAAGGGGAGGTATGGATTCTATAATTCAGATATCTGAAGCCATTGGATCCACAGCCCAGTGAGGAGCAGCTCCTGGATCCACAGCTCAGGGAGCAGCAGCTATTGGATCCAAAACCCCGAGACCCAACATGCATAGTCAGGCAAGAATTGCAGAGCATGTGAGTCCTGGGGTAGTAGCAGGAGGTGTGGCAGGGGCTGGACTCAACACACAATGTCTGACAGCTGTTGGGCCTCCAGCAGGTCTCCTGACAGCCCCTATAGAGAGAGGAACCCAGCTGGCAGGTGCTGGGAGAGCAGAGGTCAGTGCTGTAGACCAGGTTGCTGGGGTAGGAAGAGCCACAGGAGGAGCCTGGGTAGTGCAAGTAACCCCCGTGGGAGCAGGAGGAGAAGTTTCTAGAGCAACAGTTGTAGGACATGTTGACGGGAAGATGTGAGTTCAGCTGAGTGTACCTGGGAAGATTCTGAGTTTTAACGTGGCATCCTGGACAGTGTCATTTATATCCTCTCAGCAATAGGTGTGGTGCACAGCAGAGTCATCCCTCACATTTTTGTGCTCCCTCATTTACATATGTGTAGCTCAGCAATCTTGCCTGTAATTGCATTTGAATACTTTTCCACATGTTGTATTTATGCGTGCTATAATTTTGGTGTTATAGCACAAAGCCAATGAACTGCACTTATGCCAGAAATGCTATGACTGTTTCGTATTAATATTTATTTTATTATGTCTAGGAAAGCACCTCCTTTTCCTCCTAGCATAATTTTCATGTGTCTTGTTATTGGCTGTTATGGGCAATAATTTTCCCTAAACAGTGAGAAATGAGATAAAGTTACATGTCTTTTTTGTCAATGGATTAGAGACACAACTTTGGCCTTAATGAGAAACCTGCTGAAAACTAAACCTACATGTCACCATCCTTTCTCATTCCACAAAAGTTTCCTTCATCTATTATGTACTGTTACTCACTGTGTCTCACATCCAGTGTAGAGGGAAAAGTATGAGCCAAGACAAATTGAATAACATTGATGCCTATGACCAGAAGGAAACCTGGACAATTATTTGGAGACATGGTGACAGCAAGGGATGGAACTGAGACAATCACAAATGAAAAACAATTCTGGGGCCTTATGAAGAGAATTAAAGTGTTAAATAAACACACACCATTGAAATGACAGAAAAAAATAAATGAATTTTAGATTCAATGCATCTAATATGAGGCCCATGGTCCTAAGAGATTCTCATTCATATGTGTGGCAGCCTGGAGAATTCTCATCTCGGATCTTAAATTACAGGAGGCTTAAATAACCAGTGGTCCTACCTGCTGTGTTCTAAAAGTTAACACTGCATTTTTGGGGAAGGCTTGCTTTCTCTGGGCTGCTCCCAAGCAAAGACTGAGCACAGTGGGATATAGGAATTCCTGGAAGACAATTGACGGCCAGCTTTGACTCAGGGTTTCCTCAACGGCCTTAAAGAACTACTGTCTCCTGCATAGGTCTCAAGCACTTCTTTCTCTTTCTCCTTCACTTGGGCCAGACCTATGTCCAAATCTTACAACTCTCCCAGCCTCTCTCAGGGGAGACTCTGGAAAGAGAAAAAATGCAGAAAATCTGTAAATATTTAATCTTGTTTATACTTTTTAAAAAGTGATACTGTTTGGATTTGTGTCCCTGCCCAAATCTCAGGCCAAATTGTAATCCCCAGTGTTGGGGAAGGCCTGGTGGGAGATGATTGGATCATGGGGGTGGATTTCCCCCTTGCTGTTCTCGTGCTAGTGAGTTAGCTCTCATGAGATCTGGTTGTTTAAAAATGTGTAGCACTTCCCCCTTCACTCTTTCTACTGCTTCCCTTGTAGGACTGCCTGCTTCTCCTTCATTTTCTGCCATGATTGTAAGTTCCCTGAAGCCTCCCCAGCCGTGCTTCGTGTACAGCCTGCAGAACTGTGAGTCAATTAAACCTCTTCTCTTTATAAATTACCCAGTCACAGGTAGTAGTTTATAGCAGTGTGAGAATAGACTAATACAAAAAGTAAACCAATTTTTTGAAGGATAGCAAAAAATTTAAACTGAACATTTTATCTTGAGTATGCCAATCAGGGTAAACAAAAAAAAAATTATTTCAGTTGTTCAATGATTTAGAGAAACAATAAACAAACTTTTGAGTTTAGTTTTGGAGCTTATGTTCAGACTGTCTCCAGGTAATATCTGCTAAAACTCATTTTTTCAGCCATCTCCACCTTAGTTAGACTAGATCTACACCATTCTCCTATTATTTCACGTGTGAGTTGATGTCTTTTATCAAGATTGGTAAATTCCCAACTGTACTCTCTTCAAATATTGCTTCTGCCCCATCCTCTCATCTTTCTTTTGCTTAGATTCCAATTATAAGCAAGGTACACTTTTTAACTACATTACATATGGCTTATACTCTTTTTTCTATTTTCAATCTTTATATAGAAGTATTGGCTTTTGCTTATTGAGGTTGTAACCTGGATGGTTAGTGAAAGCAAGATTTTCCAGCATGTTAGTGACAAGTTGCCTGGTTATTTTGAAAAGAGAAGCAGGTAGGTGCCAAACGTTGTAATTTTCAACTATGGATGAGATTCTGTTGAAAACATATCTCAAATATCCAAAGCCATTATTCATAGCCCAGTGAAGAGAATCATCTGTCAAAAGATCAGAAGCCTTTTGATGTATATCCCTGAGCCATATATTTTATGTGAAAGATCTCAATTTTTAATTGTTGATAAATAATTCAGTCAAAAAAAGAAACAACAATGATGAGGCTCCATATTAAACAGAACAAATAATATGATCTCCAAGATGAAGTGAGTCCAAAGTTGTGGCATTTACAAGTTCTTCTTAAACTTCTATCAAATTAATGTGGACAAAGTTTTAGAGATTTAGAGGCAGAGAGAAGGGAAGAACACCTCTTTTCACAATAACTGGTTCAGAGAAGGATTTTTGAATAAGGAGCCTGGATTAACTGAAGACAAATTCACTAAATCCCTTAGTTTTGCCTGAATAAATTCATGCTCTCCATTTAACTCATAAGTTTTGTATTCAAGATTATTTTAAAGAGTTACATTTGAAACAAAAGAAAATGGGGAAGGAATAGTTTCCAAACCTACTTACTAAGGTACAAGGTTAGGGGAAATCAACTGCCATTGAAAAATAGAAAGTAACTCACTGAATAGATATTTGAATTGGCCATATTTGCTTCTTTCTTCATTCTTCCTTCTGGAAGGCCTATATTAAGTTACTTTTCAATATTGCCATACATTTTAATTGAGAAAATTTAATCGAGAAAATGTCTAACATTATTGTTGTAAGTTTATTATATTTTATTATAAAATAAAATGTCATCAACCATGACAGTACACTTTCTTTGGTCCTGAATATAATTTAACTACTTGTATTTCAACATAGAATATTTTGTGAATGAACTTACAAAGTGGCTATCCTCAAAGAATACGACAAAGCTGTCCAATTTTTATTTTTCAACATGGAATCTATAATTCAGCAGAGGCAAACAAACACATGAACAAAACATAAAATATAACAAGTAAAAAAAAGAAAAAAGATAAAATCAAACTTAAGCACAGAAAAAAGAAAGAAAAATAGAGGGAAAGAAAGTCAGAGGAAGAGAGAGAGAAAATAAGAGAGAAACATTCATATACCATGCAGAGGAAAAGAGGACTGGGGAACAAAGAAACTTCACATTTTCACAGGAAAATGTAGGATGGTACCTGGTTCTACAAGTGGCAAAAAGACACTGAAAGCCAGTAATATGGAAAGCTAGAGCCATTCTAAGAAGGTAGAAGTCCTGTATAATTACAAAAGTAGATGATAAATATATCAAAGTTCATAAGATTTGCTAATTTTGAAAATTTTTGCTCATAAAGACATTGAGACAAGACACATGACAGCTGGAATGCAATAGGAAAAAAAATTCTGAAATTCCTGAGCTTTCTCTTTGTTTCTCTTTCACTTGTTTCCTCCCTTCAGCAGACAAGCATTCGGGCTCTTTGGCTGAAGAGACATGACCTCAAATTGATCTTCTCTGTGACTGTGTTTCAATCGAGCTTCTTTTTGTTATCTCGTCTTTAAATAAATGGCAAGGTTTCTTTCAATTTCTAGCCATTTCTTTCTATCTCTTTGCTTTGCCTGTTCTTGATCTTTCTTCACTGGATATGAGACAGACTTTATAACTGTAGTACTTAATGTATTAATTTACTCTTACCGCCCTAAAAAATCACCACAAAGTAATTTTGGAGTATAGCAATCAATGGTGACAAGATGGATCATTTTCACAAAGGTTCTCATCCAGGTGGAAATTGCACCAGAAAGAAACTAACGTTATCTCATTCCCCACTCTTAAGAGGAAAACATCTACTAGCAAAGCCAGATGTGAATACACAGGAAAAGAGGCAGTTAGCATGTGCCAAAGAAATAGGAAGAGCTTTCCTTGTCATGATGAGCTAGACATTAATATAAAACAGTCATAGCATTTCTGACATAAGTACAGTTCATTGGCTTTGTGCTATAACACGAAAATTATAGCACCCATAAATACAATACATGGAAAACTATTCAAATGCAATTACAGACAAGATTACGCAGTTACACATATGTAAATGAGGGATCACAAATATGTAAAGGATGACCCTGTTGGGCACCACACCTATTGCTGAGAGGATATAAATGCCCTTGTCCAGGATGCGACATTAAAACTCAGAATCTTCTTAGGTACACTCAGCTGAACTCCCATCTCTCATCAGCATGTCCTACAACTGCTGCTCTAGAAACTTCTCCTCCCGCTCCTTTGGGGGCTACCTGTACTACCCAGGCTCCTACCCCAGCAGCCTGGTCTACAGCACTGCCCTCTGCTCTCCCAGCACCTGCCAGCTGCGTTCCTCTCTCTACAGGGACTGTCAGAAGACCTGCTGGGAGCCCGCCAGCTGCCAGAAATCCTGCTACCGCCCCAGGACCTCCATCCTCTGCTGTCCCTGTCAGACGACTTGCTCTGGATCTCTAGGCTTTCGGTCCAGCAGCTGTCGCTCCCAGGGCTATGGATCTAGGTGCTGCTACTCGCTGGGAAATGGATCCAGTGGCTTCAGATTCCTGAAATATGGAGGCTGTGGTTTTCCTTCCCTGAGTTACGGATCCAGATTCTGCTACCCAAACTACTTGGCTTCTGGAGCCTGGCAGTCTTCTTGTTACAGACCAATCTGTGGATCTCGCTTCTATCAATTCACCTGCTAAATTTCTAGATCCTTTTGAGTATTGGGATCAAAGTCTCTACTGAATGCAGCCATTATTTTCATTCTTGCCAGATCCCAATATCTTTTTATTCTTCCACCACCAGCTTCTTGCATGACCAACTTCTGGCAGACTGCGAAATTAATGAGTAACCTAATATTAACTTCTAATATCTTTACCATTGATCGAATATATGCTATCTGATTTTCATCCAAAAACTGTTGAAAATGGAAATTTTAATCTAATAAATGTATGTAATCTGGTACCCAAATATATTGTTCACATTGTTATTATTTTATTATTATTATTTTGCTTACATTTTTGCATTCAAGAATTTGGGAGATTTAAGTAAAAATCAATATGACTGTGTAACTGGATTTGGGGCCCATATAATCTGACAGATCTGAGAACATTTCTCTTGAAATTAGGTATGTTGTCTATTAAGAGTAATCATTTCTGGAAGAACATAGTTTGCATCTGCAGACTTGTCTCAACAGCAGTGAGAATTGTCTAAGAATGAAGGACATGCATTTCTACTGATATAGGAAAGCAGAAAATTTGATGCATAAACTAGAAATGCAGACAACAAGACTAGGATGTAATTTATAAGGTAAACTGTATGCTTGCACTAAAGGTTACTTAAAGTCTAGTATCTGAATGTGGATTTTCAACCAAGAGAAAAGTGAAGCTTAAGCACTGCTAGGACAGACGCTTTGCTCTTTGTTAGTAGACTTAAGTGCCAGGTTTCCTGCCTCCCACTGGTAAGGAGAGTCAGGATCATTCACCAATGATCTTAAGTGGGAATTATTGGGTCCAGGAGGCTTCGGTAACCTACCGATGCTTCTTCAAGGCTCAACCTTAATCAAGCTGACAGCAACACACCTGAGCCATGCTGAACAAGCATTTATATCCATTAGTCTTACTCTGGATCCTCCTCTTCTCCCCAGAACAAGGCTAATGTCAAAGATTTGGGTGCAAACAGTTTATGTGGCACAAGATCCCAGGAAGCAAGTATGAGACACTATGGAAGATGAAAGAATCAAAGAGGAAAATCTAAAGAAAGGGTGCATTTTCGAGTTTATTTTATGGAGAGCAACTTGGCTAAATCTTGTAAGGACCTTTTAGGAGCATGTAGAATGACTCTTGGAATTGTCCCCCACAGGATCAGATCAACATGGAAAAACATTTATCCATCCGCTTCTTTCTCCCATTGGCTGAACAATATCCAAGATGTGTAATTTTCAGGAACCTTATAATTATGCAAGGAAAGAATCACAGTGGGCACCTTCTGTTTTCCTAGTTGTGACCTGGAAGAAACCCAGGTACAGTAAAAGTGGCGTTGCATATGACTGAGGGCAGATGTTGTCCACACAAAGGTGGTTGAAGCCAACATAAAATGGTTTGCATTGCTATGCTTGTGGTCATAGGTGAGTGTATACCACACAAGAAGGCAAAAGAGTTATCAGGTAACAGATTTTCCCTTAATACTTAACATCCCTGTGAGAAAGACAAATACTGTATACTATAGACCTTTACAGGCATGGGGGAATGGAAACTCTAAAAGGATTTAAAACTGGCCAAGGCTTACAGATCAAAGACCTGGTAGAATATGATCTCTTGAATGAATCTTGTTTTGTTACTCTTTTCTGGTTTTTCTTTTCTTTTTATTAAAAAATACAACTCCTAGTTCAACCAAGGAACACTTAGTATTTCTAGTAGTACAGAAATACTGCAGAATTACTATTCATCTAAATGGAGATGATCCACTATTGGATTTATTTGTGTAGCCTCATGAGTAGTATCAGTAATAAAGAATGAAAATACAAATAAATTTAGAGTTTAGGAGAAGAGCTCCAAAGAAGGTAAACTAATTTATTTAAATAACATTTTAACGGTTATAACAAATAGTAGAGTAATAGAAAAATAATCAATGGCATCTCAGGAAGAAAATGTTATGAATTCTGAGTTCTATGACATATCTTAACATTTTAATTATTATCATGAGTGTAACTTAGTTTTTTCAGATTTAGGATCCAAGATGATAGATATAAAGTTCTGCCTTCAATAATACCAAGCATTATGAACAAGAATGGTGAAATTGCAGACTCTTGCAACATCTCACTAATAACGTAAATCAGATTCCCATTTTGGTGAGATTGGACTGAAGGGGGATGGAATCAATCAGAGTGAATTCATGGCAATGTTCTTGAGTAAACTAATAATATAGAATGCAGAAGCAGCATACAATGTGTAAAAAATATTGATAAACATAAGGAAATTCCTTTCATTTACTTTTCTGTATAAAACAATACAAATTATTGCTTAAAATAAATGAAACAAGAGCTCAAAGATAATACAGTAGAAAAACGTGAACATGGTGATTAACAAGGTAAGGAAAAGTATTGATTGCCAGTACAATTTAGAGTATATACAAAGTGTTTTAAAATTTTTCAAATTATATCTTCTACTTTTATTGATAGAATATTGCAGCTTATTCGGATACAAAGTGAGTTATGTATTCACCACAATTAAAAATGTGCGTCTTCTCCACAGGACTCTTATTTTCTTTACCATGATGTCCTTACCAAAATTTGTACTTTTTATCATTATGGATACAACAGATAATCTCATCTTCAATGTTGAACTTTTAAAATAACTTTACATTAGCTTTATCAAACAGAACATTATGAACTTTTTATAGCTTTACTCTTTTGGGGGGGCTAGGCGAAGAAATCAAAACATTATTGGAATTAATTTATTTTCTGTTTGAAGCATTTGACAGTTCTAATATAAAACTGAATTCATTTAATCCCTAGTGATTTGTTTTTCCTGCTACTGGAGGGGCATGTCATTAACTATTGGTTCAATTATTTTCTGTACATGCACAAGAATATGTATAATTTAACACGAGTGAAAATGACTTAAAACAGTTATTTGACCTAAATGAAAATGTCTGTATCAGGGTGATGTATTGACACACTTTTTGCAACTGTTAATAGTAAATAATCATCTTAGGACTTGGTCTTCTTAAACATTTTTCTGTCTTTTGAAGTAGATACTGATGTATCTTCAGTAAAACTATGTCTTTCACTTTTCATGTGGTCAATGATATCACCTACTCTCATGTTGAATAATAAATATCATCAAATTGTTGTACAAGTTCATGCAGTCACCATCAACCGGATTTAGTGGTAGAAATTCAGAACCCAACTTTTGTTTTTTTCATTAAAAAATGAGCTTTTATTTTTGGCTTATTTTCCTTTTCTTCTATCTACAAAATTTAAAGAAGAAAAGTGTTACCGAATAATAAAAAATAGTTGTAGATTTAAAAAATACAAGACATGGCCAAATCACTGTAGCAAGAGCATTTAGATTATCCTTTATCTGTGGCTTTGTGGCAGTCAAAATTTCATGCCCATACTTCACGTGCACCTAGCCAGCAATTCTCAAATTTCCCACTAACTCCACCTACTGTTGGCTTGAGAGTATTGCCGCGTCTTGCAGCTGTGGAATGGGCCATCGCACTACCGGCTAGGTCTGAACAACAAATGACCCACCCCCAAGACTTGAACGAGTAGGCTGACCTATCACTTGTATGTAAGTGTAATTTGTTTCTCAAATGCTCTGTCTGCATGTTCTCTTTGCAAGAAAAGTTATAGTTTTTAGCGGGGTGTGGTGGTGTGTGCTTCTAGTCCTAGCTACTTGGGAGGCTGAGGTGGGAGGATAGTTTGAGCCTGGGAGGTGAAGGTTGCAGTGAACGGAGATTGTGCCACTGCAATCCAGCCTGAACCATAGCACCGCAAGTTATCTCAACAACAACAACAAAAAAAAGATAGTTCTATTTTGTTTAGAAATTTTAAGAACAATTGTAAGCATTCTGTCTTCTTTCAGATTTAACAATTGAAGTAAAAACTCTGCTCACTGTGCGTGCTACTTTTTCTTCACTAGATGAAACCATGACAAAAGTAAAGTAGAAATTTCCTAAACTAATCATTATTTATGTTAATATATTACTGATTATAAATAAATAAAAAGTTAAAAATCTGAGACAATCACCAAATGGTATTGGATACTGAAACAACAACAACAAAAAATAAACCATGCCATATTGTTACCCAGTAGGTAAGTATCTAGGTCTTCCATTTAATAATGTTGTACTTGACTTAAATGATAAAACATTTGAGGCTTAACTGCTGATTCAAGGATTATCAGCTACCTGGATATTTAGCCTAATCCTGTAACAAGAGAATATTTGCACTGGTTTTGAATTTTATTTTTTCAAGAAAGTGCTGCCAACCAAACAACTTAAAAAATAAGAGTAAGTTGAGACTTCATCAAGTTTATAGAACTGATTATATAAAACAGGTTGGTCCTACTTGCTAACGAATATTGAAATATGTTAGCACTTTCATTTGGAGAATTGATTTCTTACCTGGCACTAAGGCTAGGGGATCTGGATTCCTCAACAAATCTAACTCACTAAAATCTAACTTTTTACTGGATATCCTCACTCTGAATTCTCATATATTTCAGAAAACATTTTATAAAAGTATTCTTTCTACCAAAATTATGTGATACAATCAATTTAATAGTCATTGCAAATGTAATCATTTATATAAAAATATTGATGTTTCTAACTCCCTGCAGAAAAAGAAGACCACAGTGGTTAGTTTGTTTGTAGTCTTAAAAATGTGTCCTCTTCATTTTATCACGTGAAGATATTAATAGATGGAATCAATATGAAAGATGAAAAGTCTTCTAAATTAAAAAAGAATATGGACAATTTTACTTTTTAAAATTAAAAATAAATTAAACTTTTATTTTAGGGTTAAAGGTACATGTGAAGATTTGTTACATAGGTGAACTCGTGTCACGGGGATTTTGTTGTACAGATTATATCATCACCCAGGTATTAAGCCCAGTACCCAGTAGTTATCTTTTCTGTTTCTCTTCTTCTTCTCGCCCTCCTCCCTCAAGTAGATCCCAGTGTCTGTTGTTTCCTTCTGTGTGTTCATGTGTTCGCATCATTTAGCTCCCTCTTGTAATTTACAACATGCACTATTTGGTTTTCTGTTTCTATGTTAGTTTGCCAAGGAGAATAGCCTCTAGCTCCATCCATGTTCCCACAAAAGATACGATCTTGTTCTTTTTTTATGGCTACATAGTATTTCATGGTATATATGTACCACATTTTCTTTATTCAATCTGTCATTGATGGCCATTTATCTTGATTCCACATCTTCGCTATTCTGAATCATGCTACAATGAACATTCGTGCGCAAGTGTCTTTAGTAGAAAACACAGAAAAACCTAGCCAGATATTTAGTAGTTTTTAAGACAAAAAGTAAGCAAAGAATATTAAAGCAGATATGCACATGTAATGTTACCCAGTTTTATTTAAACTTACGTTCTTCACTTTGTAAAATTTAAAGCAACTACTCTAGGGGAAATAACTAGGAGATACAGTAAGAGAAGTGTGCTTTGATATTGCATATCTATATAATTATAAATAAGCAGTTTTGACATCTTGCTCCAGTGAATATTTTCTAGTTACTGGAATTCAGATTATTCCTCATCTATCATGGGTAACAGTAGAAATCAAATTCGTAGGCAAATGATAGGATAGGAGAGCAATAGACGGTATGGATATATGGATATGGACACAGTAGGTATTGTGTTTAAGTTTCTGGTTCCTCAAACATAATTACTAAAAGTCATATTCACAGGCTGGATGGTAAGAAGCAGACTGGCAGCTACTAGAAGAATAGAAGGTTGGGTGGTAAAAGTTGGGTCTATAATTTAGGGATGTGAAAGCAATGGGACAATAACCCATGGATTGGAATACACTGGATACAAAGCCCAGGGATGGAGAGCCACAGCCAAAAGATTGAAAGCCCCTGGATCCAAAGCCCAGAGATCCAGAGTAAGTCATCTGGCAGGGCCTGCAGAGTATAGAGGTTCTGGGGCAATAGCAGGAGATCTGGCAGGTGCTGGACACTACACAGGATGTCTGGCACCTGCGGAGCTCCCAGCAGGTCTCCTGACAGCCCCTGTAGAGAGAAGAGCCCAGCTGGCAGGTGCTGGGAGAGCAGAGGTCAGTGCTGTAGACCAGTTTGCTGGGGTAGGAAGAGCCACAAGAGAAGCCTGGGTAGCGCAGTTATGCCCCACAGGGCGGGAGGAGAAGTTTCCAGAGTAGCAGTTGTAGGAGAGAGTTGACTTACAATGACAAGGTTGTGACTTTGAATGTCACTTCTTGGACCTGGGGACTTATATGCCCTTAACATTGGGTGTGTCATCCACATGGCACATAAAATAGGTTACCTGCCAACTTTAAATGAATTAAAAAGATAATCATAGTCAGACATATGTATTTATTGTGATTTTACAGCTAGGAAGTGCAGTAATGTTTGTGCCTTGGGATTCAGTTAATAGTGTTGACTCTTTAAAGCTATTACTCATCTTCCCTTACCAAAGGTCACTCTTCAGATAACTCAGAGAATCGCTTTAGAGGTAGACAGTGTCTGGGCTGAGGGAAGCTGCCTTAATTAAAAATAATTGATACCCATTTCACAATCTGTCTCAAAATTGTTGCCATCTGGTGCACAAAGTTGCCAGCTAACCAATCTATTCATAGTCATTTCTTTCAAACAAAAACATACATTCACTGTCACCGCAAAGTAGCAAGCTAACTTAACGAAGAATGTCATCAGAAAGCAGCAATGGTGATATGCAAGATATAATGTCTTTTTAAAAATCAAACTTCAACTGGAACAGCTTTAATGAAATATTAACTGAGATTCCCTTATTTTCTGTGCTCCTGTTTAAAACTGTATGCAGACTATTAGGAGCCAATCTTAGCTTTTCTTTCCTTGGGTGTGTGTTTACTGTTGAGTGAATTAAAAATAATAAATTGCTTTATGTATTTTGGAATGGTCGAGATTATTCATCTAAGATGCTTAAAAGGCATTAAAAATAAAAACAGATCATGTGTCAAAGATGCCTAGTGTATTTCTACCTCTAATCAGAGTCAGTGTTTCCCACTAAAAGAATTCCCCAGAATCTGGAAAAGATTCCTGTTTTAAAGAAAGTTTATAAAGTAACTGCTTTGAGATGGTGAGACAAAGGCAGCATCTTAGGAAGATTCTTCCTTTGCCTCAAAAATAACATACATGACTTTGACGTAAATTATTTTCAGGTGTTTCTGACAGGTATTACAACACTTCTAAAATAATGGTCATATTTTCTCTTGTTCTGTGACTTGTATTTCACCTTGATGTAATGGTGTAATGAGACTGATATCTTGAGGAAGAGGAGAGATTGAGATTTATCTTGCTGTGGTTTCTGTGTTGTTTGATTTGCTCATTTTTAGAAAAAAGTTTCCATTCCACTTCTGAATGAAAGTAGTTGAATGCAAAAAAATCCATACTTTGAGAAAAGAATGTGCGACATTACTTAATATCTGATCCCTCAGAGTATTCTTCTACTGAAATTGCTTATATAGGAATGGATGACATTAAAACAAGAAAGCAACTTCAATTTAGGCGGGCTAAATATTTGTGTGGCTATTTTGATATTCAATATTTTATTGACAAACACAACAGGAAGATTTGGAATCTACTAGAATGCTTTTTGGCTATTAATAATTGAGAAGCCTAATAAATAAGAATTGTTTATTCCAGAAACACAGAACAAACTATGTTACTTAATAAATGAAACATGATTGGAGATCAATTTGTCTCCTCAAAAGTTTAGACTTATAAAGTCTACAATTTGGAAGGAAGTTGAGCAATTATCTCCAGCCTCCTGTCAGATTGGAATTCCACTTACAACATCCTAATTAGATTTTCCCAGGGCCCTCAGTATGGAAATATCATTAATTGCAAGAGCAACTCATTTTAGATTTTTAGCTGAATCTTCCCCTAAAACTTTTACCTAGTAATCCTGATTCTTCATAGAAGGGAGTCTCAGTTCACTTCCATTGTAGAATACATCAGTTCTGAAGATGGATGTCTTAAGAGGTTTGCCCATTCCCACAGGTTAAGGCATTTCCTGCATCCGTGCCATATATCTATTTACAGTTTGCTCTGATGAACTTTCTGAGCGAATCCAGAAAAATCCTCATTACTCTAGTACTCTAGGCAGAATATATATGTCAGCTGATACATCAGAGGTCACAAAGGCATTCACTCTCAATTACACATTATCATCATGTATCCTTCCCACCCCTTTATTTCAATTTATAAAGTCATTTGTTACTATGAATTCTTTACATATTTTATCTTTCTGTGAATACTACATGGGATAGACATTTCCCTCATTTCTTGCTTTTCTTTTCCCTCTCTGGTAAAAATGTCACCCTCTGAGAGAAAAGAAAGGAAAAGATTAACGATTTACATTTTACTTATAGTGCTTATTATTTTCCTCTCAGTAACATCAACATGACCAAAAATTACTTATACCTTATGGGGATAAACGGTTTTTTATAATCAAACTTATTGATGACTTCTATGAAGAAGCAAATCAACCTTTGAGTAAGGGATTTCTTTAGTAGTTTTACAATGTAAACTTCAAAGCACTTGTTCAAAAATTTCACCCTTCATTCTTAACTCTTCATGTGCACAAGAGTGACTTAGCTACTTGTGTTATAAGAAATCTAAACTTAAATATGTTAGGCACTCATTTAGCATGTCTACCAAATAAGGATTGTTATTGGGTTATTTCTTCTAATGGTTCAAAGAATTGAAAGAAGGAATAGATATTGAAATTTTTTTTCTGTTCTCAATTGAATTTATAAAATTGGAGCAAGATCAAAGTCCCTTCCAGATTACAAGGTATTTTTCAGATCTTTACAAATACCAGAACTCTCAGTGTCTTAGCCGTTTGATCCAATTTCTAGAAGGACAGGATGAATGAAGCATCAAGTTTTTTTCTTTGTTTTTTTGTTTCTTTGTTTGTTTGTTTGTTTTGGAGATGGAATCTTGCTCTGTCTCCCAGGCTGGAGTGCAGTGGTACGATCTCGGCTCACTGCAAACTCCGCCTCCCGGGTTCAAGCAATTCTCCTGCCTCAGCCTCCTGAGTAGCTGGGATTACAGCCGCCCACCACCATGCCCGGCTAATTTTTGTATTTTTAGTAGAGACGGAGTTTCACCATGTTGGTCAGGCTGGTCTGGAACTCCTGACCTCGTGATATGCCTGCCTCAGCCTCCCAAAGTGCTGGAATTACAAGTGTGAGCCTCCGCGCCCGACCCTTTGAAGCATCAGTCTTATAGGTACAATTATGGTGGTTTTCATTCTACCTAAGCAAGATGAATGAGAAATGGCATTTTTGTTTCATGAACAATTGCTTTGAAAAACTAATGAAATTCTTTCATGTAGAAGTCTACGTTCATAAATAAAATTCTTTGAGTGTTAATATATTTCATTTTGACTGCAGCCTAATTAAGTGTTCTCATTAGAATGGGCACTTGTGACTACACCTATTGCTAGAGTATGTCAGTGTCCAGTATAGAAGGTAACATTCACACACACACGCTCCTCACTGCAAATCACCTGAGCTCAGAACTCCTGTTAACATGTCTTACAACTGCAGCTCTGGAAACTTCTCCTCCTGCTGTTTTGGAAGTTACCTGAGGTATCCAGTTTCCACTTATAATTTGTTCTACCCCAGCAATGCCATCTATTCTCCAAATACCTGCCAACTGGGCTCCTCTCTCTACAATGGCTGTCAGGAGACCTACTGTGAGCCCACCAGCTGCCAGACATCCTGCACTTTGGCCAGATCCTATCAGACATCCTGTTACTGCCCAAAGAATTCCATCTTCTGCAGTCCCCGCCAGACTAACTACATAAGATCCCTTGGATGTGGAAACACTGGCCTTGGATCTCTTGGTTGTGGAAGCACTGGCTTCCAATCTCTGGACTGTGGGTCCAGCTTCTACCACCCAACTACCTTTTCATCCAGGAATTTCCAGGCAACTTGTTACTAACCAGCCTTTGGGTCTCGCCTTTTTGGATCATCTTACTGAATATTCTCCATTCTCTCATGATTATTTCTGTACTCTATGGAACTGCAACACTCAGCCTGTCCAATATCTGTGATTGTTGACCATCTACATCAGTAGGACTCAGCATCCTAGCCCTCTTGGAAGTATATGATTGAACACGGACAAATTAATCTTGACCTAGGACCCTTCCTAAATCTGACAGGAGATATATCTTGAATTTCAATTTTTGTGCCAATGCTCAGGATCATTTCTGTTATCATCTTTCTAAAATCCTTCTCTCATTATTTTCCCAGAACTCTTCCACTCAAATATATTTCAAATAGTTACAATATTTTAAATAAGCTTATTTCTTTGGCATGAATTCTGGCATTCCATTTTATTTTGTTAATACAATACACTTAGGCTGGGCATGATGGCTCACACCTGTAATCCCAGCACTTTGGGAGACTGAGGCTGGCGGATCACTTTAGGTCAAGAGTTTGAGGCCATCCTGGCCAACACAGTGAAAACCCATTTCTACTAAAAATACAAAAATTAGCAAGGCCTGGTGTGCACCTATAATCCCAGCTACTCAGGAGGCTGAGGCAGGCGAATCACTTGAATCTGAGAGACGGAGGTTGTAGTCAGCTGAGATCATGCCACTACACTCCAGCCTGGGCAACAAAGTGGGACTCTGTGTCAAAAAATAAATAAATAAATAAGTAAAAATGATACATTTAGTGAATTCATCCCATATCTTCAACTGTCTTCCTTAGGTACACTTTTTGTTTGTTTCATATGTTTTATTGATATTTTGTTGAATAGAAAACAAAGTGCAAAGAAAATTTAAATATATAACCTATCACATGTTTTAAGAGATTTAAATCCCCTCATAAGTGCATTTTTTATATATTTGCTTCAGAAAATTTTGTTTTAGTCTTTCATTGAAAAAAAATTTATTGAGGTCCTATTATATACCAAGCATTACGCTGAACAAAGACACAAATTCTCTGCTTCAGGAAGTTCCCACAAATACAATTATAACTTATATGGCAAATGGAATAATGGGGTGAAGACAAGATTCAGTGGGAACACAAAGAAGAACTTCAAAAACACTCAGAGAAAATAATATAAACCCATTATTGAAAATAGAGTAAATAAGTTACACTTAATTTTAGAATAACAAATCTTACTGATCTATTGTGTCCATTGCAGTCCCTTGAAAAGCAGCTGCCAAATGGGATTAAACATAAAAAAGATTTATTGGTGAAAATGCCAGTGATAGATAATGGGGAGGTAGTTGGAGAGGTCTGGGAGAGCCATACTACTGTGGAGTATGTCTAGCCTCAGTGAAGGACAGAGGGAACTAAGTTTGGTCTAGAAGAAACTTCTTTAAGAAACTCCCCATCGGGCGTGGTGGCTCATGCCTGTGATCCCAGCGCTTTGGGAGGCCGAGGCGGGTGGATCGCGAGGTCAGGAGATCGAGACCACCCTGGCTAACACGGTGAAACCCCGTCTCTACTAAAAATACAAAAAATTAGCCGGGCCTGGTGGCGGGTGCCTGTAGTCCCAGCTACTCGGGAGGCTGAGGCAGGAGAATGGCGTGAACCCGGGAGGCAGAGCTTGCAGTGAGCCAAGACAGTGCCACTGCACTCCGGCCTGGGCGACAGAGCGAGACTCCGTCTCAAAAAAAAAAAAAGAAAAGAAAAGAAAAGATAAGAAAAAAAAAGAAACTCCTTTAGGGCAATTCTAAGAAAGTTTTGGCAAGTCACCCATCAAAGGAGCCTTACATATCACCAAAATGGGCCTGCCTTAGCATCCTTGCCAAGAGTATTTACTAACAAGAATGGATGACAGCACAACCTTGGCACAGAAGTGATGGTAGATTCAAAGACCAACTGCTGTAGCTGTCAATCAGTCAGTAATGCTCCCTGAAGCAGAAGATTTAAGAGGTACATTTGCATAGCTTCCATCTTCATGATATTTATTCTGATCCTAAGTAAGCTCAGCACTGATAAACAGTGGTAAAATAATAAATAATAACTTGGAATTTTTCATGTTTTTCTTACTTTGATCAAAATGTCAATTATTATGTCAGACCCTATAGAGGACCCACTGAATGAAAATCTAACCCTACTACTGAGTAAGAGAAAATCAAGAATTATTAGATGGTTATCTTTGATTTTAATTGATGCATTAAGCAGACAGGACTCAGGACACAATTAGGAAACTGCTTCATTTTTTTTTAACACCACTGAACTTCACACTTGAATTTAGAGCTCTAGCTTCCCTGAATCCCTGAACAACACAATGGGTAGATCTATGATCACATTAAGATATTAAGAAAAATTTTCATTTCACGTTAGTAATCCAAAGTTGCATAATTACAAAACCAGTCTTACAGCCACAATAAAAGCTTCTCCCTTTCCCCTCAGTTTAGGCCTGTCATGTGTTTCCAAAGGCCACCAGTGGTTTAAAGAAGATTTTTTTTTTTTTTAAATTTCCATACTCCACCTTGCCTTCCATCAATGTACTGCTCCTTGTTTCCCTTTGATTCAAACATACACAATGGGAGGAAAGAAAATGACAACCAGGGCCATCTTCCTCAACATGATGCTTTAGGCCACCTGTGTCAACATGGACTTTGTTGTTTGCCTCTGAAAACTTTTACTGGGAAGAGATAATAACAACCAATAGCTCATTTCACTGCATGCTTCAGGAAATTCCTATAGATTAATTTGTTGGAGCCAATAGCCCAAAGACCTGAATAAACAGTTCCCTAATTAAGCAACAGTTTATGTATCAAGAAACTCATGTCAGCTTCCTCTCTGAAAGACCCACCTTGAACCAGCTCAGCCCAGAATCTCATTTCTAACACCTCCCTGTGGAAACACAGACAAGACTTACAGTAGCATTCTTCTTTGTGGCAGGGAGCTCAAATATACTTCATTTCGTCTTAGCAGATTTTCTGGTGATCTTACAGGTTTTTCAATAGGGACATTAAGGTTTGTGCATTTAGCTAGGACCCAATCTTTGCCATTGAATATCCTCTGTTATTATGCACTCTGAACTGAGCATGTAATGTTTGTGCCCTTCCTCCAAATTCATATGTTAAAATCCTAATTCCCAATGCAATGGTATTTGGAGAAGAGGCCTTTGGGAGGTAATTAGCTTATGAAAATGGAACCTTCATGTGGAAACTAGTGCCTTTATAAGAAAAGACACAAGAGGTTTGCTTCTGGTCTCTGTGCTCTCTGCTACGTGAGGACACAGAGAGAAGGTGGTCATCTGCAAACCAGGAGGAGAACCATCTCTAAAAACCAAATCGGACAGTACTTTGATCTTGTACTTCCCAGCCTCCAGAACTGTGAAAAATAAATTTCTCTTGTTTGAGTCTCCCAGTATATGGTATCTTAGTCTGAACTGACTAAGACACCACAGGTGTCTGAATATTGGTTCTTTTCCTAGTGGAGACTTTGGTGTGTTTTCTAGAAACCATCTTATTCCCACCCCAGCCCATTCTCCCTGGAATCCCTGAACTGAATATTGCCTGACAGAGTTAGCACACCCTTCCATGACTTCTCCCTGTATCCTCATCCCGAGTTCCCTCCTGCTAGGGCTCCATCCCAGCCAGCTTTCTTCTGCTAGAATCCATTTGTCCTGGAGGTGGCCCTCTTGGCCCATAGGAAACACACACTCACAGCACTGCCCATGGAAGTGTGATTTGGTCCTAGAGCAGGTGTCTTCCACCCAGCTAATTCTAATGGCTCACTGCTTTAAGAGTATGCTAGTATAGTCTCAAAACTCCAGGAGATACAGAAATACTCAATTTTCTGCCTTGTCTTCTTGGTGGGCAAACAATTCCAGAGACATGTCATTTTCTTTTATTAGTGTGACACTTTTAGTAAATGCATCCTGTACTTATTACTATTTTCATTAGGTAAGCTTGTTTTCTTAGCTTTATGTGTTTCTTCTTCTTTTTTTTTTTCTGGAAAGAAAATGGAGTTGAGAGAGGAGTTGAAACATGACATTTCATGTCTTGAGAGATTTATATCCCATCATAGAGCATTTGATCATATAATTGCTTTAGAAAATGTTATTTTCAGTTAGGGATTCATTGAACAAACATTTGTTGAGTTCCTATAATATAAAACATTCTTATTATAGAGAATGAGACTACCTTCTGTCATTCTAGCCAGCCACCACACTGTCTATGAATGGGCCTCATCACCTTCTCTCCCTTCCCAAAGAGAGGGAAGCCAGGGATATATGTATTTCTCTTTGTGTGTCACATGGGTAGTATTATCCCACAAGAATAAAACTTATTTCAGAGTAAACCTCGTTCTTTTATGAATGTCTAAATTGCACTCAAGGGGTATAAGGCTCAGGAAAGCTGTAAAGCTGTCAAGGCCATCTCTAATCATGGGAATGTGACTAGGACTGGGATTTATTGTCATTTACCAATATTTGCCCTCAGCTTTGGGGACTCTACCAAATTTGTGACTTATGTGAAAAGCACCTGTAAAATTATTTTACATAAAGATAAAAGAAAGCTCATTATATAAGCTCAATAATGAGAAAGTGACATGAGTAACTACACTCCTATATGAAATACCCTGGATATTCACAAATAAAGAATCATGGTGAATATAACCATACTGTCACAGAATAAATGATTTTCTACAGAGCTTTTCTTCTAGATCAGGAGTTGAAAAATGATGGCTGGTGGGCCAAATCCAGCTACTACCTGTTTCTATATATGAAATTGATCGGAACACAGCCACAAGCATCCATTTACATATGGTCTATTCTGACTTTCATGCTACAGTGGAAGAGTTGAGTGGTTCAGACAGAGACCATATGTCCCTTAAGGCCTTAAATATTCACCATCTAGCCCCTTTCAGAAAAAAATAAAAAAGTTTACCAACCTTTGCTTTAACATGATGGAACTTGCTTCAAAATTGTTACCATAATGCTCCAATTTCTGGTAACTATAATAAAGGAACATCAGTTAATTCTTCTCACTTCTTTTCTTTGGCTTCATCTACACTTTGTAGCATCAACTGGAGCCTCAACATCAGAATAAATGGCTACTGTGTTCTTTTAAAATTTGAAGTGAACAAACATCAACAAAATGTTTCACAGATTCTCAAAGTTTTTCCATTTGACTGAGAGTGTTGAGTTTTGTGATGAATAAACAGAACTCCTTCTAGGTTTCACAAATTATAATAATATGAATAATATCCAGTATTTATTATTATATAGCAAGTGCACAGTGTGAATCATTTAATCTCCAATCAATGCTGTAAGGCAAGTTCTAGTATAACCTCCATTTTACAGATGAAGAAATTGCAGCACAGGCAGGTTAAATATACTTTCCAGCAAAACAATGCGGCCAAGTGATGGAGGCTGCAACCACATTTGGTTTACCTCTGGAACATGTGCTCATAACTAGGAGATTGTCTTATTAACTTTTTATATTTCTCTGACATGATAAATGGCTAGTTAATGAATTAGGGAGGAAATTGATGAACAGATTTTGCCATTCTGTACTTACAGAGCACTGAAGCTCATAGCCACATTGTCAAATGTTTATCTCAGTCTTTCCCTAAAGGGATGTCTCCTATTTACACTCCAGTCTGTGAAGGATCCTTTGCTTTTCTGACTGGTGTCATCTACAACATGTTATTTTGTCCAGAAACTTGCCTCATACCTTTAGCTTTGGCTCAAGGGAAGATACTCATAGCCTAAGATGCAGAAGAAAATATCTGACTACCTGAGTTCCAGATTCCCTCTGTTTTGCCATTTCTGAAGGACCATTAAGTCAGCTGTCTGTGTTTCAATGAAAAAGCAACTCTTTTCAATTATGTAGAAAGATGAAGAGAGAATAGAATATTGAATTGGCAGCCTAGAGACAACTTCTAGAGCTGAATCCATCATTCCCTATGTAAACTTGGGCAAATTATCTTATCTCCTTGAGCCTCAGTTTCCTTATTTGTTAAGTGAGAATGTTGTATTGATTAATTTTTAAGGTATCTGTTGTTTAACTTTAAAATTAGAAATAGAATTCACATTTTTAAAAGTATGACTTGGTAGTTAAAGAAAACTAAAATAATCAGGCACAGAAATGATTTTAATAGATTTTTTGACATTATGAAGGTAATACACTTGTCCCTATATACGTAAAGCAATTTATTGCAAATATATTTTGTGTATTTATTTTTATCTATGTATAAATACTTTCAGGATTTTCCAGTGATCTTGTTAGGTCATAGAAGTTGTTCACCACCACAGCCTTCTTTCTCTCACTTTCTTAGCCTATGGGCCCTCTACTCAGGGTTCCCCCAGCACTTTCAGAGTTTGATGAAATACTACACCTGGATGGAGTATGGAGTCTGACTTCCTGAGTGCTTCCCCAAAACATGCTTCAACCGGAAATGTGGTTGAATTACCCTTACAGTGAACCTGATCAGTGGTAACAGGAGATGCTAGAACAGGAAAAGACAAGTTTCCCCTTTCCTCCCTATCCCATCAATTACTTTGAGGTGTATTTTTTCTTTGCAACCCCTCCAGAGAAGTCGGCAATGTTTAACGAGCATGCCTGCCAAGTGGCTTGCCTTATACCTCATTATGAAGTGATACTCAGGGCCACTAACACATCGCACAGCATTGCATTGCATTTTGCTTGCTGCACTTCCATGCTCCATTGCTACAGCCTTGCACTTCCCAAACAGGGTTAGTCCTTAATGATCACCTCAGGTTCTGCATTAGTCAGGTTCTCCAGAGAAACAAAATCAGTATGATCTCTCTGGAATAATGAGTGAGAAAGAGAGATGGAGAGAGAGAGAGAGAATATGAGGAATTGGAGGCTGGGAATTCCCACAGTCTGCATTTGTAAGTTGAAGACCCAGGAGAGCTGTTGGTATAATTCCAGTCTGAGTCCAAGGGACTGAAAATCTGGGAAGGTGATAGTATAAATCCCAGTATAAGAGCAGGAAAATACTTATGTGTCAGCTCAAGTGGCCAGGCAAAAAGAAAAAGGGGCAAATTCCTCCTTCCTCTGCCGTTTGTTCTATTATGGCCCTCGATAGTTGGGATGAAGCTTATCCAGGTTGGAAAAGGCAGTCTACTGAATCCATTGATTTAAATGCTAATCTCATCCAGAAACACTGTCACAGATACATCCAGAAATGTTTTACCAGATACCTGGGCATCCTCTGATTCAGTCAAGTTGACACAAAATATTAACTATCACAATCATTCTAACTAAAACTACAGTTCGTGTATAATTCTGTTGATATGTGTGTTATTTATATTACATCCTCCAGGACCTAGCATAAACCGTGGCACATGGCAGGTCCAAATAAACACTTATTTAAATGAATTTGCTTTTTTGTACTTGAAATATAAACTCTTTGAGTAGGTGATTTTCACCATGAAATATTTGGTAGAAACAGCTGAAGAGGTTCATAGTAAAATGTTCATATAATGAACTAAATTGAAATGTTGGGACGAAGGGTAAAGCCTGTGATATCAGCTACAAAGCTTCAGAATGAAGAAACACAGTTCACAGTCCATTTTACCACTGCTGGTAGATACTAAAAAAGCTGAGTTCTCTGTTGTAGAGCACATAGAATGAGTCATACAAATTGAAGAAAGATCTTGGAAGGCCCAAGAGATAATAAAACAGAACCTATATTCTAGCAATTGTTCTTGATTATTTGAAATATAGTGAAGAGACAATCTAATTCTTACCATTATCTCTTAGTCTATGATGATCATGAGTGGGTGTGATCTCAAGAGACAACGTAAGCATTTTAGAAGCTTGTCACAATAATGTCATCATTTTTCTCTAATTACAATTGAACAGGTCATTATAAGGTAAACACAATCAAAGCTATTATGTCCATATGCTATAGCAGAAAAATACTTGCTAAGTGGGTAGCTCGCCATTATTTTAGATTTAGGAAGTATAAATATGCTGATTCAGCGGTCATCCATAACACTTTATTCATTCATGGAGTAATATAATATTGCATCCATATTGTGCTATCCACATTCCAAATGGGGTCTAGCATCCACAGTTCAGAACTATCCCACACAGTTCATTTCTAAAATACCCATCTAAAGCAGTGGTTCTATACAAAAAATAATTTTGCCCCCAGGAGACACAGGGCAATGTCTGGTGACATTTTTGGTTGTCATGAACTGGTGGCTGCTACTGGCATCTAATGGGAAGAGGCCCAGGGATGTTGCTAAGCATCTTACAATACTCAGGATGGTGCAAACCTAGCGAAGAAGTATGCTACCCAACTGTCAATAATGCCAAGATTTATGGAAATTGCAAAAAGAGCAAATACTTTGTTAAAGTGCAGGAAGCAAAGCAGAAAGGTAGAGAATGATAAAAGAAGATTTTTTTAAAAAGAGTAACAAAGAAATAAAACAAACATGAGGAATGTGATGGCCAGAAATAACATAAGATGGTAAACTAGATTTAAACAATTTTTGGAAACAAATTCTCTGAACATTGCCTTCTGCTCTAATGTGCTTCTTGTGCACAGTTGGGCTAGTGTTGCCTTCTTAGCAGAGCTACACTGGGGAGTGTGGAGGACTCATTAGCAGAAAAGTCATGACTGTGAATATGCACAGACATTTTAATGAAAGCTTTAGTTACTACAGTGACAACTCTCTCTCTCTCTCTCTCTCTCTCTCTCTCTCTCTCTCTCTCTCTCTGTCCACTAAGAGATTCTATTGATTCTGTTTCTCTGGAGAACTTTGACTAATACACTGATATAATCTTACGAGAAAAGCAATAAAGATTGGAGGACTTTTCCCAGAAAAGATAAGTCTTGACTTAGGACCTAAAGGATCATAGATTTAGATGACAGCGTAAGATCACAGAAAAGGAACATCACAGGTAAAACTTACAAAGCAGTATTCAAGCAGAGGTGAGGATTCTGATGCACAGAGTGCATGAGAACAACAGCTGGAGCTTGAACTAGAAAGGTTACTGGTCACAAGATACCATACTAACAAACTTATATAATATTACATAAGAAACAGGAGATCACTGGAAATTTCTAACTAATCATTTCAGAATTTCCATCTGTCATCTAAATGTAATTTACTATTTGGGCAGATTTTAAAATGAGCTCTTTTATTTGACTGTTTTAGGCAATATTTTATTTGAGATAATATTTGCAATTCACTTTGTTCATGTTGTATTATCTGAAATCCTTCTGGCTAAGAAAATATTAGAAATATTTTTTAGTTTGAAAGCTATATCCTACTTTCTGAATTTTTCCAACTTGCCTGGAAGGAGCCCTTAAACAAGGATTGTATCTTCTACATAATTTGTTACCTACAGAGTAGAGTATCATTTAGTAAAAAGTTAGCAAGTGATTTATTCTTCTTTCAAGGAAATGCAGTACTTTTGATATAAATTATTTATTAAGTGTAGAAAACTGGCTTTATATCTTGTCCTGATCCACATAACATCAACTTAGTATTCTCCAGTGTTTCCGATGTGTATGTCATTGTAAGCACATAGGTCATGCTTACTATATACTTTTTGATAGAAAGAGGAAACCTTGTGCAGATGAAAGAATCCTCTTAGAAGAGATGAATGTTCCATCCCAGAAGCAGAGGTGTTTCTTATTGACAGTTTCAGGTATCTTTGTGTATAAAGGGATAAAAGATATTTCAAAGAATGTATCACCTCTACTACCAACTTATATTGCTAGGCTTTGATTGTTCTATGGAAACAAGATCACAACATTAAGAAACCATTATTGTAGACAAAAATAAAATTTAATTATGAAAATTGGAGTCATTTGCCTTTTCACTTTTAGGCTATTTTCAAAAGCGGTAGTCAAAATGTCGTGGGCTTTTAAAAAACAATATACATGCTGTAGCAATATATTTTAATAATCCATAAAACAACACAAAGAGATGTGTTGGGTATTTGATTTGTTTATATACATAATATGACATCTGAGGTAAAATAAAGTTTATTTGTCCAAAATCAAACAGCAAGCCAGTAGTGTCTTGTCAACTCACGTCCGTTTTTAAAACTCCCTCTATATATTTTGGGCTATATCACCCTTATGCAAGAGGTAAAAATAAATACAAATAAAAGAACATTCATCCTCATCAGAGTAAACTGTCCCTATCTCCTGGGTAATAAAGTACCTGTTTTCCTCAGTCAAACTTTCTAAGCTTTTTAAATCAAAGAAATATTGAGCATTACTTTTTCAAAGATCTTGCTAACATAGTATTCAGGTGTTAGGGATCTGTCTATTGACAGTGAATTACATTTCTACAAGTTTTTTTTACATAGCCTGGTAAGAGGCAGGATGAATGTTGAAAAATATTCTTAGAGGAGCTAACGGCACCCACGATGAAGTATCTAAGGATATTTACTGGAGCCAGTGGAGCACAAATGGAAGAACGGTGATATGAAAGAAATAGTGTGGAGAGTTGAACAACGTTCATGTAATTGAAGAGAGGCTCAACTTAAATTTTGGCACCTCTACATAAAAACAAAAGTGATTCCTGCAGAACTAAGTATAGAGCAGGCTTTCTTGCATATGACACAATGCACTCTCAATAGCCATTTAGCCGCTACATTTTCACAACCACCAGGCAGAGATTTCTAGCTATTTTGATATTGACTTAAGTAATTGGATTTTACATAACGTTAGAAGAAACACAAGGAAAACCAGCATAAAGTTAAGGATATGGAACATTTTAATTTTGCTCCTTTATATGTCATGCTCAGAATATTCTGCATATTGAAAGAGAGTAATGAAATTCTGTAATGATACATTCTAAATTGTTAAAGATCATAGTACCAGGCCGATATGAGGCTCGGGTCATCGATTGGAAATCCATTTTATTTCTTTAAATATCATTCTTTATATCCCAATTTTGTACAAATTCTATTGTGAAGACTTAGAATGTATTTAGTTTGTCCATTGCCCCCATCCTGCAAAGATACACTCTATTTCAATGGGTGCACACAACTATATATGTTTTAATTCTGTGATGTATATAACCATTTTATTTATCGAATTTCATTAACATCAGCTCTGTTAAAAATTAAAATATGTTCCCACTCAAAATACATTTTATGAAACCATTAAGACTAAGTATAAACAAATAAACAAACAAACAAAAAACAGAAGAAAAAGATGTACTTATTGAGAGACAAGAATGTTTAGTATCCTCTGAGGTGAATTATGAAAGGGTGACTTAAAATCCCTTCTCTCAGTTTCTACACATTCTTCTTAAGAAACCTACTTAATTTTTTTTTCGCTTGTAAACTGAGTTATCAGGAATGATTTTTCTGACATATGAGCTCATGACCTTCAATGACCTCAATTTTTTTCATTTTTACAATTGAATAAAATCATCTATTTGGCAGAATTACTGTAAGTATTAAAGAAGATAAATATGTATATAAATATATAATATATAATATATATTTAATACATAATATATATTATATATTATATATAAAATATATAAATATATATTTATAAATATATTATATTAATTATTTTATATAATTATATTAATATTTATAAATATATAATCTTTATATATATTTATCTTCTTTAATACTTAGATATAATATATACATATAATGGAAGGCCTACAAAAATGTTAGGGCATTCTCACTATTATTTTCAGTCATTTTAATTTATATGTCCTAAAACATAAAAATTCATTCTGTCAATAGTCAATATTTATGGAATATCATCTTATGGTAGTTACTGTGCTGGCTTTGGGTTTAAAAAGATGAAAAGACGACCGGGCACAGTGGCTCACGCCTGTAATCCCAGCACTTCGGGAGGTAGAGGCAGGTGGATCACCAGGTCAGGAGTTCGAGGACAGCCTGGACAATAAGGTGAAACCCTGTCTCTACTAAAAACAGAAAAATTAGCCAGGCATGGTGCAGGCACCTGTAGTCCCAGCTACTCGGGAGGCTGAGGCAGGAGAATCGCTTGAGCCCAGGAGGCGGAGGTTACAGTGAGCCGAGATCGCGCCACTGCACTCCCGCCCAGGCAATAGAGAGAGAGAGAGAAAAAAAAAAAAAGGATGAAAAGATATAGTTCTTACCCTCAAAAACCTTACATGACAGTTTAAAAAATAGAGTAGTAGAAAGAAAGATGATCCTCACATGCTTAAGTGTTTTAGAATAGGCTTTCTCTAGCTCTAGAAGAAAATTCTTTCCAAGTGCTGTAAAATTAAAATGGACGCTTTGCATGGGAATGTTGTTACTTTCCCTTCTATGTGAGCTTTCAAAACTGTATCCACGACCAGCTCTACTTGAAGAATATGCACACCCTCTCCGACACTCCGCTTTGTTATTAGAACAACGGGTGCCAGTGCAGTTTCTATAAAGCAGAAGCTTTCAAATTTATGTGACCAGGACTCACACTGAAAAATACTTTTACTTCAGAACTTCTCTCATCTTTCTCAGAAAGCCCAAACATTCGATGACTCTAATAATTTCTATTTTATCTCATACCATCCCATTTCAGTCCATTCTATTCTGTTATTTCTCACTAAAAGAAATACTGATCACCATCAACAAATAGATTTTGTGACCAATAGTACAAGTTTCACATTTTGAAGACATTTGAGGTAGAGATTACCCACATGGGAGTTACTAAGGTGGCTAATTCCACGTGCTGTTTGACCTTATCACACAAAAAATTCATTCCTTTATTAAAAACTCCACTCTCTTTCTCAGTAAGTGGAACAAAGGTCCCATTAAACCGTGGTTCAACTATTAGGTCACTAGATGCTCACAGAAGAAATCTTAAGTACCTACACATTTTTTATCAGATAAAATTGCAAACTGTGGACTGAAAGATAATTGAAGACAAAATTAGAGTCTGCCCTAAAGGAGATTAATTGAAATTAGGAAAATACATTGATGCAAGTTTAAATCAATGTTTTAAAAAATAACACATCATATATCAACTTACATTTTGGGATCCAGAAAGAATATCAATCAAGTAGATATTCGAGTTTGAATTCTTCCTATGACCTTAACAAAGCTTAATCTTTATATAGTGCTTTACAGTCAATTTTTTAAAAAATTTATTTCCTTTTTTTGACACAGTCTCACTCTATCACTCAAGTTTATGGCACAATTACAACTCACTGAGGCCTCAAACTCCTGGGCTCAACCAATCCTCCTACTTCAGCCTCCTGAGTAGCTGAGACAACAGTCCTGTGCCACCACCCCCAGCTAGTATTTTTCTTTTCAATTTAATTTTTTGTTGTTGTTGAGATGGAGTCTCACTATGTTGCCTAGTTGGTCTCAAACTTCTGGGCTCAAGTGATCCTCCTGCTTCAGACTCCCAAAGTGCTGGGATTAGAGATATCCATCACAGTTCTTTACAGTTTATACAGTTATTTCATTCGCACAAATTATCTTATGAATGCTATCTATTATGTCATAAAAATAGTTACTCTTTTTGCAAAGATATTGAATTATGACATTTTTCATATGTCATAATTAGGGAATTATGACATATATTCCCTACCAAGTAGGGAACTGGTAAGTTACTAATATTTAGAAGTGAAAAATGTCCCTAAGTGTACCAACGCATTGGATGAAAAGTTCCTTAAATATAGCAGTTGGTTCTAGATCCTTATGAATCAATACAGTAGCAAGATGATCAGCTTTTCCACACAATGAGATGTCACAAACTAGATCATGACTCAAAGATGAAAATTCAGGAGATTTTCTGCCCAGAGCATGAAATTTACCATGGCTGGAACTGTAAATCTGATGTAACGTCTGTGGCAAGAATGGGAGAGGGAGAAAAATCTTGGCTGGCTCTACTGGGACTGAACACAGCACTGGTAGACAGTGGCCTTGCAGAAAGAATTGTGGCAGTCATTGTGGAATTGGGAACTACCTCAAAAGGTACTAGGAAGAGAATAGAGGAAGTGGCTTGGACAGGAAGACTGAAGGAGAGATGCTGAGGCCAAGGGAGCCTCAAGGACTTAGATAAAGTTTCCAGAATAACAACCATCAAGCCAGGTATTGGAAAATATGGTTTTGGTGAATTCTCCTTTAGAAAGTGGTCTGGGGTCAGGTGAGGTGGCTCATGCCTGTAATCCCAGCACTTTGGGAGGCCGAAATGGGAGGATCACTTGAGGCCACGAGTTCAAGAAAAACCTAGGCCACATAGTGAGATCCTGTCTCTATAAAAAACATTAAAGATTAACTGGGAGTAGTGGTGCACACCTGTAGTTTCAGCTACTCAGGAGGCTGAGGTAGGAGGACTGCTTGAGCCTGGGAGGTTGAAGGCGCAGTGAGCCACGATTGCACAACTGCATTCCAGCCTGGGTGACAGAGTGAGACCCCATCCCCTCCCTCACCCCCAAAAGGAAAGAAAATCGTCTGAGACAAAATATATAATCCCATTCTTATCCTGTATGTCTTATAAGTGGATGTACATCTACACAAAATGATTTGAGTGAATCTATCACATTGACCAAATTACTGGCAGTGATATGTCACATGCATTAATATTTAGTTAACTTTTCCGGGAGTTGGTGATAAGGAATATCCACTTATATGTTATGAAACTTATACAATGTTTCATTTTTAGACAATAAATTTTATTTTATCAAAAGAATGACTCAACATAATTTTATTAACTCCCAAAACATTGAAATAAAATATGTACCAGGGTTAAGCGTCTTGTGCAACCAAAAGAAAATGTATGCCTAAAAAGTACTTCTTCAAAAATTCTCTAATATGATTTTATCACTATAAATTAATTGCCACTCACCTTTTCTGAAAATCTTTTAAAAATATTACGTGTTGTATTAGTCCATTTGCATTGCCATAAATACCTGAGACTGGGTAATTTACAAAGAAAAGAGGTTTACTTAGGCTCATCATTCTGCAGGCTGCACAAGCATAACAGCAACATCTGCTCAGCTTCTGGTGAGGGAATCAGGGAGCTGACAATCATGGCAAAAGGCGAAGTGGGAGCAGGCATTGCACATGGCAGGAAAATGAGCATGAGAGAAGGGAGGAAGAAAGTGAGAAGAGGAAATACCAGACTCCTTTAAACAACCTCACCTGAACTCATTACTATGGAAAGACAACAAACCATTCATAAGGGATCCTCCCCCATGACCTCAACACCTCCCACCAGGCCCCACCTCTAACCTTGGGAATCACATTTTAACATGAGATTTGGAGGGGACAAACATCCAAACCATATCATTCTGTCCCTAACCTCCCAAATTGCCTGTCCTCCTTACATTGCAAAACACAATAATCTGTTTCCAATAGTCCCCAAAGTCTCAACTCCTTCTAGCATCAACTCAGCAAAAAGTCCAAAGTCTAAAGTCTTATCTGAGACTCAAATTTCTTCCACCTATAAGCCTGTAAGATCAAAAACAAGTTATTTACTTCCAAGATAAAATGGTGGTATAGGCAATGGGTGAATATTCCCATTCCAAAAGGGAGAAATCAGCCAAAAGAAAGAGACAACAGGCCCCATGCAAGTCTGTAACCCAGAAGGGCAGACATTAAACCTTAAAGTTCCAGAATAATCTTCTTTGGCTCCAGGTCCTGGGCACACTGGTGTGAGGAACAGACTCCCAAGGCCTTGGGCAGCTCTGTCTTCACGGCTTTGCAGGGTATATAGCCAGCGTGGCTGCTGACAGGTTAGGGTTGAGTGCTTCTGGCTTTTTCAGACATGGGATGCAAGATGCCCATGGATCTACCATTCTGGGGGCAGGAGGGCTGTGGTCCCTTCCCCTCTGTGTTATTTTGTCTGTTTTGCTATAAAGAAATACCTGAGGCTAGGTACTTGATAAAGAAAAGAGGTTTATTTTGGCTTATGGTTCTATAGGCTGTACGAGCATAACACCAGCATCTGACCAGCTTCTGGTGAGGGCAGCAGGGAGCTTACAATCATGGCAGAAGGGGAAGTGGGAGCAGGCATCACACATGGCAGGAGAGTGAGCATGAGAGAAAGGAGCAAGAGAGCAAGAGGAGGAAGTATTAGGCTCCAACAACCAGCTCTCAACTGAACTCATTACTATGAGGAAGGCACCAAGCCATTCATGAGGGATCCTCCCCCATGACCCCAACATCTCCCACAAGGCCCCCTATCCAACACTGGGAATCACATTCAACATGGGATTTGGAGGGAACAAATATCCAAACCATATCACATGTATTCAAAGGTGCTGTAGGAAGTCCCAAGAATTAACAATCTACACTACTTTTCATTAAGACACTTAGAATCAAATTAAGGAAATAGTAGATGTGCACATAGAACAATACAGCAAATGTGTCAGAGAGAAATTCTATCTCAATCAATCAACGTGTCAATAACTTTGAGCAACCATCATGTGTCAGGCACATTCTGCATAGTGAAAAAAGACAGAAAAGTTTCCGGACCTCAGAGAACTTACCAGTGGCATTATCAGATCTAGTCACTAAAGTAATAATAATCTAATGTGTTCATGCCAGTGTTGGTTTTAGTACACAGAACTGCTGTCTTGGATAACAGGTTTGCCCTGGTCAAACTCATGTTACATCTCTGTCCCCCCTTTTTGTTTTTTTGAGATGGAGTCTCACTCTGTTGCCCAGGCTGGAGAGCAGTGGCGTGATCTCGGCTCACTGCAACATCCGCCTCCTGAGTTTAAGCGATTCTCCTGCCTCAGCCTCCCAAGTAGCTGGGATTACAGGTGCACACCATCACGCCCAGCTAATTTTTGTGTTTTCAGTAGAGACGGGGTTTCACCATGTTGGTCAGGCTCGTCTTGAATTCCTGATCTCGTGATCTGCCCGCCTCGGGCTCCCAAAGTGCTGGGATTACAGGCATGAGCCACCATGCCCGGCCATCTCTGTCCCCTTCTTATCTGTGGTATTTCATCCTGACCTTTCTCTTTGACTCTACTAAATTTTAACTAAAAACAAAATAGGCTCTTGTAAAAATTAATAGCATCATAATTTAAAGTGAGTCTGGGAAATTCTTTTCACTCACTATACAAAGATATAGCCCAACCCCCCAAACCACGTAGATAATCCAAGTGAAAACATAGAGAACATATACTTCACAAGGGTCTGCTTTGTCCCCTGCTTAATACTTAATGCCTCTACAGAGCATGATTCCAGTCTGTGCCCTAATCGTATTGGCTGAATGCATAAAGAAATGAAGAGTTGGCACACTTCAGAAACTTTCCCAAGTCATGTTTACATTAAGAATGACTTGTGCCAGGCTAGGCTCGGTGGCTCACGCCTGTAATCCCAGCACTTTGGGAGGCTGAGGCGGGTGGATCACGAGGTCAGGAGATCGAGACCATCCTGGCTAACACAGTGAAACCCCGTCTATTTTTGTATTTTTTTTGTAAAAAATACAAAAAAAGAAAAAATTAGCTGGGCGTGGTGGCGGGCACCAGTAGTCCCAGCTACTCGGGAGGCTGAGGCAGGAGAATGGCGTGAACCCAGGAGGCGGAGCTTGCAGTGAGCTGAGATGGCACCACTGCATTCCAGCCTGGGCGACAGAGCGAGACTCCATCTCAAAAAAAAAAAAAAAAAAAAAAAGAATGACTTGTGCCAGACACTGTGCTAAACGTATGTAGTATCTAGTTAAATCATTACAATGTAATCAGGTAAGTAATATTAGAACGTTCATTTTCTTAAAATTCCATATTTTCTTTACAAGTATGAATTATGACAGAAAGTGATGTTGTTTTGTTTTTGTTCTTAATAGTGCTAAGCATCTGACTTATTTCTTGAAACCTGTTTTGCAATATTTGGGTCTTATTATAACCTAAGTTGTCAGTCTCTTTAAAACAGGGATCATGTCTTAAAAGATTCATTTTCCCCCATAGCATCCAGCATGGTGCCTTATGCTTAGTGAAATTCTAATGATTACTTGGTGAGTTGAAATCAATCAAATAATCAGTCAGTCAAGAAAAACAAAGCCACAATGGTTGAATCATTCAAAATATTAATAAAGAGAATAAAAAAATTATCACTGCAGTCATATCTGTACTCTTGGTAATATACAACCTCATTTGGGGTTGGGCTTATATAAACAATTAGGTGAGGGAGTGCATGTAATTGTGTATAAAAAACCTGTAAGAAACCGCTATATTCAGAAATACCTAAAACCACAGTCAAATAAAGACTACAACATATATTATTGCCAAAAATCAAGGGCTATTTGAAGAAACTCACATTGTATTTTTCAACACTTTTTATAGATACTATTTCTGCAACTGATATTTATTAAAGAACTACTCTAATTTAAACTCAATACATTTGCAAGTCACTTTCCTTCCTGCTGCACCTTTTCCCCATTTTCTAAGACAGAAGGACACACAATTATTGATGTAACCAGGTCTCCATGTAAGGCTATAGCCACAGTTGTAGCCAGAATATCCTATCTTTCTTTTCAATAAAATAATTTGGAGAGAAACAGCCATGAATATTTAAAAAATTCAAGAATAATCACAATAAAACCTATCAAATTTTAACAAATTAAAATTGGTGTAAAATTAAATACATGTCTGCCATAGGAACACAGAAAGAATGAAAAAGAAAAAATAGCTGCTAAAATCTGCTTCAGCCCCTTCTCTGCCTCCATTCTAGTTATCTGTTCCATTCCTATTTTCCTCCTCAATGACTCTTCTAGTCATCTGCAAATAACCCCTGTGTCTGATGTTTACTGTTCTTCATTATCGGACACTATTGGCCATCGCCACTTCCACTCTACTGAAGTGCTCGTTCAGACTTCACCAGTGCCACCCTCATTATTAAACGTAATAGTTTTTTTCATCACTCTGAAATTTATCTTTCCTTTCTAAACTGTGTGCTATCGGACTATCTCTCTGCTCCCTACTTAAAACCCTTTTCCCTTGAACTTCTTGTGAAGTGTTTATTTGACCAGGTATCGTCCTGGATCTTTCCACATCCATCTCACTATAGGTTCTCTGCTTCTATTTCCTTCTATCCAGTCTTCAAATGTGGGCATCTCTCAGAATGGAATAGCAGGCTTTCATTTACTTAAAGAATATTCCCTTCCAAGATGATTCCATCTACTTTCCTGTTTTTCACTATCAATTTGGCAGGCAATTAAAAAATTTGCATTTGAAATTTTAACTGTTCTTCCAAGAAAAGTCCTAAATGTCAGGTAATTAATTCATAAGCATCCCTTGCCACATGCGTTAGCCATCAATATCTCAAATTTTATATCTCAGGCTTGTTAAAATTTGAACTTATGGTTACATCTCCTTATTGGAATTAATATAAACGATTATTTCAGTTACTATGACTGAGTATCTTGGTATCAGTCTGATATTTATCTTTTTGTTAATTTTCGCTACCAATCAGAATCAGATTATTTTATACTACTCCTAAAATGTACCACATAGCCACCCTATCTTTTCATTTAAATTCTACTATTTTAAATAGGCCTGTGTGACCTCTAGCTAGGTAATGTTCCAGTAATTTCCCTGTTTCTAATTTCTTTCCACATCAGCTTAGTCTCTGCATTGAATCATAAAAGGGAGTTGGATGACAAAAGAGTTGACTTCTTTTTTTTTGAGACAGAGTCTCGCTCTGTCGCCCAGGCTGGAGTGCGGTGGCACCATCTTGGCTCACTGCAAGCTCCACCTCCCAGGTTCACGCCATCCTCCTGCCTCAGCCTCCTGAGTAGCTGGGACTACAGGTGCCCGCCACCACGCCTGGCTAATTTTTTTTTTTTGTATTTTTAGTAGACACGGTGTTTCACCATGTTAGCCAGGATGGTCTCGATCTCTCCTGACCTCGTGATCCTCCCACCTCGGCCTCCCAAAGTGCTGGGATTACAGGCGTGAGCCACTGCGCCCTGCCAAGAGTTGCCTTCTTAAAAAGTCAAGGTATCACCATTCTTCCCCTTAAAGACATTCATTGGGTTGCCAATAATAATAGTAACAATAGTAAATATTTCTTGACAACTTAGTATTTGTTAAGACACATGATACACACTTTACTTCAGAAACCAAAAACTGTGGGTCAAAGTGGGCCTGCATCATTCATCGATTCACTCATCACTCATTTGTTCAGAGTATTTATGAAGCATCTTTGCATGTTAGTCACTGTTCTGTGTTTCTTCAACTGACATATGTTGATTGCTTCAGTATTTTTAAAAATTTGAATAGGTTTCAACATTTTTAAATGGAGAGATTAAAAGATATTTTGCTTAAAAAAAAAAAACAAAAACCCGTGAGGCACAGTATGACTCTTTCAGGACAGCAATCTATTTAATCTGTAGATATTTTCTTTCACCCTGAGATATTGTTTCCATTTTACTGCAGGTCATCACTTTCTTGTGAACTGAGCACTAATGACATTATAATTTTTCAGTATGCTTGCACTACTTTCTATTGTAAACATTCATATTTATTAAGCCATAGTCTCTAATAAAACTAATAATAACATTACTAAAAGGGCTCTATATTTTTTAAAAATATGAATGAGAGAACAATTCTTTGTGAAGGAAGAGGATTTCTACCTATTGAATATACTAACCAAATGTGTCGCTGTGGAAAATGAATGCGACTTAAGATGCCATTTGAAATTGACATACTGAGACTTTGGGTGTGGCTCCCTTTTACTCATTGGCTATTATTGTTTAAGCATGCGGTTTGGGATTTGCATGCTCTTTCTTAATTCTCACAACTCTTCATATTAGGTACTAGAAATCAGAAAAAAAAAAAAAAACACAAAACTTGTCCAAGGACACATACCTAATAATCTTTCAAGCCAGCACTCACGCTTAGCTCTGTTGAAGCCAAAGCCTGTGCTTTTTCATTAGAGTTCTTTCGTATGATAATCTATGATTTGCTTCCAAGCTACTTTTGCTGATTCATTTCTTCCCGCACTCCAAAATGTTCATTGCTTTCTCCTTATGTAGTACTTTTATATACTTTACTTTTGTTTGTACCGTTGTTCTCTTTTTAAATGTTGAAACGTTAGACTCTATCCAAGCCTGTTCTTACCTTCCTTCTCCCAGAAGTGGCCTGCTGTTCTGTGAGAGTGGTGCTTGCATTATGGTAACCATTTTTCTCTTTGTACCATGGGAACTCATCTGTGTTTCCTATGACTTGAGTACAAACTTCATTAAGTCAGAAAGTCAGCTTGTGGCAGATTTTGTTTTTAACGTAATACAGCATCCAGCCCAATTTTTTTTTTATTACATAGTAGGTACTCCATTAATGTTTATTGCATTCTACTTAATATAATTAGAGAGGGTTACCTATATAAACAATGTTTCAAGTAATGATTTCTACAATATTGCTCTCCTTTCTAACTTTATGGCCATTAACAAATATGGAATTACTTGTTACATGACACAATAATCATTGTATGTGTAACCTTCTATTTCTTTAAGAAATAGTGAATGGGTTCTAATGGGATTAGTGACTGACATTATATTTGGGGTACATGCTTAGTACATGTTCAATGAAATGTGAATTATTGCATCAATAAATAAATATTGAAACTTACAGGTAATCATAACTAGTTTAACATTGATGGTGGGGGTCAAAAAGTGTTTGTACTTTTTTGCCAATCCTTCATTGTTTCACTAAAGGAATGAGAATATGGTATACTCAAAGTGATGACTTTCTGAGACGTTCTACAATTGACTTTTCCTTATGAAAGCAGTGTTGCTAAGCAACACTTGTGCATTGGTATATTTCTTTCCCAAACTTTCTATCACAAGGACAGCCCAGGATTTTTTCAATTGTAATCACCGGACTCTCTTGAGAAGTAAACCACAACATAGCCACCAAGCTATGCTTCATAGTTTGCATTGAATTTGATGGAAGATGAACACTCCACTTGACCCCCAAATACGCAGGTGATTGCCAGCAGGGACAGTTCCAAAGTGCAAATGGAGTATGATTTATGACACACGTCAGAAATTACACCAGTTGCTGGTTTTCATTATGTTGCCTAACTCTGATCTGCATGAGGTACCTGCCTTACAAAGGGTATGCACTGGAAGGCTCATAAAAAATCATGTGTTCTGTTATTGAGACACAACTTCTGTTTCCTTCAAGTTTAAACGTCAAAAATCACCTGGCTGACAAATCTCTTTCTCTAGAATATTGATGCACTGTACACTAAGACTCTGGCATGCTTCCTCAAGGAAGAATAAGAAAAGATTTTCATATTAAATGTTTCCATTTTCCATGTGCCCTGACATTATACTATCCCCTTTTCTTTTAGTTGGCTAAGGTGAAAAGGCTGCAGTAGTTTCTTCTGTTAACCAGGAGTTAAATTATAGTAGTTTTACAAATTCTACACTGTTTAATAACTTTAAGAAAGAATTTTTGTTAGTGAATTATTTTTCTCAAACTATTAAACCGTATTCTTTTCCATGTGTTCTTTTTGTTCTTTTTTTTTTTTTTTTTTTTTTTTTGAGACGGAGTCTTGCTCAGTCGCCAGGCTGGAGTGCAGTGGCGCGATCTCGCCTCACTGCAAGCTCCGCCTCCCGGGTTCACGCCATTCTCCTGCCTCAGCCTCCCGAGTAGCTGGGACTACAGGCGCCCGCCACCAAGCCCGGCTAATTTTGTTTTGTATTTTTAGTAGAGACGGGGTTTCACCATGTTAGCCAAGATGCTGCCGATCTCCTGACCTCGTGATCTGCCCGCCTCGGCCTCCCAAAGTGCTGGGATTACAGGCGTGAGTCACCGCACCCGGCCCTGTATGTTCTTAAATATTTCTAATCTGTCATTTATTTTAATGGGAATTGTTCTCAGTAAGGTCCCAAAGATTCTTAGCAAACTAGCAGTGTAGCATAACACACAAAGCACGTGAGTCTTGGAAAACTGGGTCGTGAACATCTTAATTTGCAAGAGTTTCTACTTCAGTAGAAATGTCAGGCTTCACAGAACAAAGATTTTAGGCTTAGAAATAATGAAAGTTTTCGAAGAGTTTTATTCCAATCATAAAATGGCTCTCAGTTGGTCTATAAGTGATACTTAAAGTAGAAACTCCCAGCCAACTTCAAGTGTTTGGGCTCCAGAATAATATGATGAGAAACCAGAAGCAGTCTTACAACACAGCCAGGAGCTCAACTAGGTGATGAGGAAGACAGTGAGTGAATGGAAAGGTTCTGAAAATGAGTTTCCGAAGTGGTAAGAGATACCCCCTGGTGTACAGAAGGAATCACTGCAGCCTTTTTTTGCTTTGGTCAGCAACAACAAAAAATGACAAAGGTATGTCTATAATCATATCCATATTGGATATTTATAGGGCTTGTTACACGGTGAAAAAGTTATACAGATTCTGTCTACAACCATGATTTTTTCCCCTTCAAACGCTGTCTTCTTTATAACTCTTTAACAAACACCTCATTTATGTTACCTCTACTGGTGAAATCATCTGCCCTCTAGCAATGCTGAGCCACTTTTAGCACAGAGAAAGTGGACTTTATGAATCAGAAGATATTGTAAATTAGGAAAGCATGTTCTGTGAAGGGCAGCCAATTCTGTGAAAGCATGTTCTGTGAAGGGCATGTTCTGTGAAGGGCTGCTAATTCCCTTTTTCAGAGTTTACTCTCCTTTTGGATTATCCTTTAACATTTTATCCTTCCAAAGCCTAGCTCATCTCCCATGAAATGCCTTATTCTCCACAGCAGCAGGATTGTAAAATTTACCTTCCTTAGGGTTTGTGGCATTATACAGCTCATGATGAAAGAGATAAAGGTATGAGGAAGATGAGAGAAAAGTGGCTTCCTTACTTGACTGCTCCCTCTTCACCATATTCCACTAGATTGGGTTCCATTATTTTAACCCTGGATCTTATGAATTTGCCTTCAATAAAGTGACTTTGTTGTTAATTATCTACTCAGATTATGGCCTTTGTTTAACAACCAAACACAAAGTATTATTGGTATCCATACCATCTAAAATTAGGTATACTGAAAACAAATGCTATAGATAACTTCACAATTGCCTTATGCTGGAGGCTCCCTGCATGTTCTAGTAAAAAAAACTGATGATTTCAATCAAGATCCATTTTTTCTCTCTTTAATTCAGGGTCTTAGAACTCTATTGAGTTTTACCAAACTTATACTCAGTCAGTGAATTACTCTAATTAACCAGTGAAGACAACAAACTCAATCTACCATCTCTCTCAGCCCACAACTCATCCAGATATCACTCCTGATGCATGCTTTCTGGCAATAACAAGAAGTAGTAAGAAGAGCAAACATGGATTTTAGATCAAGATTCTAATCCTAATTTTACAACCTATTGGCTGTGAGGTCTTGGAAAAGTTACTTAGCCTCTCTGATTCAGTTTCTTTATTCTTACAATGGGAATCATAATGTTTTCAGAGTTTATGTAAGGCATTTAAAGTATGTGCTTAAATTAAGTAATCAATGGTTGTCCTATTTTGGTATACAATGTTTCTATTATTATACTTGTCACTTCTAAGTTTCTTAGCATATTTAATGCTAGTTAATCTCATTTCTCTTTTCTCCATCTATATTTTTCTCTCTATTAATTGTTTTGAACGACTCAATACTTTATAAAGTCACCCATGGACGTTTCAGTACCTTTTACTCAAACAGAAAAAGCAAAGAAGCGGAGAAGTGCACCAAGTGAGAACTGACAGAGTTATATAAAATTTTCCTTAGATCTAAAAATTTATACAAATTATCTAGCCCTAATCATGGTACTTCACAGTTTGATAAAAACCCTACTCATCTAAACAGGAGTTTATTAAACTTAACAGAAGCTGATTTTTAAACACTAAATCAAAGACAAATGTTGTGATTAACTTTCAGTGAGCAATTAGGTAAATATGAGAAACTAGTAAACTCCTTGTTTCCTACCCATTGTATGACAAGGGTAAAAGCAATTTAACAAAATATTTCTTTTGTTTCCTTTGTACTTCTCAGTTTGATGACTGAAGATTCAATTCTCTTCCTTTAGAGACTCAAAGAAAATACACAGGAGGGGATACATTTGAAATTATACCTTCAAAATGTCAGTGACACTAACTGATGAACACTTAAGCAGAAACAATCAACTTTAATACTTTTCAACACATATAAAAATATATTCCTGTTTTATTTCTTTCTTGATTTTAGGTTAGATTCTTAAAATCCTTTCAGCCACATTATCTGCATTCAACAAGGAATATATTCCTTTCAATATTGATACAGATGAAGATTGACACAAATATGTTAAATGGCCTGCAGGGATAGTCTTCACATATAAGGAAGAAAGTTTAAAGTCAGATGTAAATACACATGTGCATTTGTTCAAACATCAACACTTTACTTGATATTTACAAAACTGAGGAATATTTTTGACACTTATTGTTTCTGTCCAATTTGTTAAAATAATATTTTGTTGATTTTATGTGTTCTTCTATTTTCCATTTCTTCTATTTTTTTTTAACTTTAGAAACATACCATACTCTAGGAAGAACTTAGGAAGGCAAACATGTTATAAAGAAATTTTTGTTTGTTTTGAAAGTGTTTAATGGAAATTTTAGAGAAAAAAATGAGAAATTTAGTCACCTAAACGATGTATAATGAAGAAAGAAATTAGACAAATAAAAGAAAGTTGGGGAGTCTAAGGGTAATCCTGACAACTAGTATCTCATGAAAAAAAGAGACAAGAAACTCAAGGAGTTTCATGAAGTGGAAAGGTTTTTGTGCTTCTTCCATATACATTGTGTGTGTGTGTGTGTGTGTGTGTGTGTGTGTGTGTGTTTTCAGATACATATAAATATAATACAAATGGAATATTCAGTGTCGAATTGCATGTTTAAATGGTGGACTTTTTACGACATTCAAATAAATTTGTCCCGGTTGATTAGATTTGAGGCCCACTAGAATAACTAATTACTAAGCATCATAATTCAAGTTCATCATAAAGCATATGTTCACTTGTTTTACAGTAAATATCAATTCATGAAAGGAAGAAAAGTCTTAAAAATAAAAATCAGTTAACCCAAGTTATTTCAAGTCATAAATTTAAATACCTACTAGATTCTTCAGTGAACGCTGAAGAGCAGTTATTTTTATGGTTTTGTACCTTATGTAAACCTGGCGACATATATTTGACTTGAAACGTGTAGCACTTTTTAACAGATCTCATAAGCTACCTATTAGATAACCAGATGCATAATAAGACAGGCAAGCAGCATTATACACAATTCTCTTAAGACAAAATTAAAAATGCAAAAAAACCACATACATTATATAACAATAAGAATTATAAATAAGAATATAATAAGTACGTAATAAGTATGCTTAGCCCTTTTTCCTAAAACAAGAGGACTTACATTTTTAAAAGGTATTTGGCTTTATTTTCTAAGTGAAATTTGAATGTTCAAAAAGAAGTTCTGCTCAATAGTAATGGCAGAAATAAGATCATAGAATGTAACCTTGGGTGTAAAACTTGTGTAACACTTATATTTTACAGATGGGGAGAGCAAGCTTGATGACCTATAGAAACTTATACCTGCCACGAGCATCACCTGTAAATGATTACGATGTACTATACCACTCTTTGGAGTAAAAGTTGAAAAAAATCATCCACTGATAAAGTCACTTATAAAGTCACCATAGATTATTGACTGGTGTTTCCAAAAGGAAAATGAGATCGGTTTTTGTTAGAAGATTATTGTATCAGCTACATCATTTAAATTCACTTTGAAAGATACCCAGCCATTATAATCAGGTGACTATGGGGACAGCATATATTATTACTAAAAGCAAGAAATCATTCTTCATTTAGAAGGCCCAATCAACACCAAAGAAGCATGATTCTCACAAATTATTGCCTATTGAAACAATAATAAATAGATTCAAAGGAAACAATACAGAGGGAAAAATAATGCCTCACATGGTCATTATGAAAGTTACAAATTGAATACTGGAGTGAAGGTCAAGTAAATGTTAAAAAGTTAGTGCACAAACACAATCACCATGCTAAGTGAGCTGCAGGTAAAACTGACTTTCTAATTTGGAGGATTAGTACAATCAAAAGGGTCAAATAAGTTGTACATGATGCCATAATCTTGATGTTCATCGCTTAAATCTTTATTGAGATTAGGTTGCCATTTCTTTCAAGTCTTTTGTCATTAATATGGATTTTTTTTTGCCAAAGACTGAACCTTTTATAAAGCAAGAAAAGTATTAAAGAAAATTAATAAATAAATGAGTATTTCTCTACATCGTATAAAATCAATTTGTTTGATCATTTGCTTGGATTAATTTATTTTCAATGATACAGACTTAGTTTTAAAATAGCATTCCATGCTGCTCCTGAGTATTAGATACACATTTGCTTTACTTGTTTTAAATATTATGGTCTTTTAATATTTTCTACCACTAAGAATAAGAAAAAAAAAACTGTCCATACCAACAAAATACTCCCATAAAGAACCTGACTATGATATGCTCCTCAAATGAAAAAAATCCATCAGAAGAATAATGTCCTTTCAATAACTCCGTCACATCACATCTCACTCATTGAAAGCACCTTGTGAGTTTATTTCTTCCTTCCCATGGAAACCTCCTTTCACGTGGTATCTCTGAGGTCGAAATTCAGCAGCCTGGAAGACTCAATATGATGTGAAAGGTATCCAAGTTGAGATTTATTCTACAACAATTAAATACCAAACTAGTCATATTCCAAAATAGTTTGAGGAAAAAAATGTCATACTTTAAATATCCTGGCTCACAAACGATCAACACAGGTCCCAGGGATGGCACAAAGATGGTTCTAATTCAATGAATGCGGAATGTTAGTATCTTCTTAATGGATGTTGATCTGGTTACAGGGAATATGCACCTTACATGACCACAGAGAGGCCAGAATTTTATTTTTATCCTGTTTGCCAAGGTCTTTATCTCTACAGCCAAAATGAGAATGGTGATTTAAACAATTGAAGTCACAGTACTCACCCCAAAGCTTTTGTGGAAGCCTAGATTGTCAGTGACTGCAGCTATTAGGGAAATGAATTCAGCTGGGTAGAAAAAGCCACATGACTTGAGTTCAAATGTCACTCTCTGTTCTCTGTACAATAAAATTGTAAACCCTTAGAAGTGGGGCTGGTAAAGCCTACAGGCTTTACATCTCAAATAGCACATGAGCCCCTCGAACCCTTTAATATTCCCTTGATTCCAGGAAGGGAGGGCCTCTTGAATATTAACATGTTTGAATTTAGTATTCCTTTAATCAACTTGTGCCTGTAAGAGGTAATGTTTCCATTCTCAAAGCCTTGGCTTTTATCTGACCCCAACTGAGATCCCCATAAATTTACTCCATGACATGAGGTAATCCCTCAACTGTATTTCAAAAGATTGTTTTGCTTCACTAATTATACATGATGGCTTCTGACATTCTCTGTAAGAAGATATTTATGTAAACATCATGGTCTGTCCACCATTATTCAAAACCAACTTCTGTTAAAGGGTTAACCACTTAAGCTGAGTCCCTGGGATAGACACATCTCTTAACCTGGCAATAATAATCTTAAGAATAGTAAGTGTTTATGAATACTTATTATACGCCAGGAACTTTAGATGTTTTGATTCACTTAACACGATCCCCTATGAGGTAAGTATTGTTATTACCCTCATTTTATAGATGGCCTAGAGAGCTGAAGTAATGGAATGCCCGACGTCATCATGGCTATTAAGTAAGTGTGTGTGTTGAATCTGAATTTAGGTAAGCTGATTTCAGAGGCTATGCTTTTCCACTTCACTGAATTGCTGATTTATAGAGCTCGCCAGAAGGGGAAAAAGCAGACACCTCTTGATGGTGTTTTCTACAACACACTTAGATCACCTAAAGGCTTGGGGCATAATTTTTGTAGACATGGTTTATCTTTGTTGACTTCTTATCCATGTCCCTTTGATCTCCACCCTTTGCCCCTGCCACATCCATCCTGAAGAGGTCAGTCACTACGTGGCCTCTCTTGGGGGCTAGGTTTTATTACTGAGTCACTCCATCCATGTGAGTTTCTTCCCTTGACTCTGCATCTCTGGTTCCATGTGTGTTCCTCTGCTTTCTCCTTTTCCTCTCCCTTTTCCCTCCCAATATGTGGGTGGAAAGTATTCCAGAAGTAAATGGTAATAATGTACAGGATGGTTCTTTTCCCAAACCCTCAGGAAATGAATTTACAATTCTCACCATGACCACAAGTCTTAACCCTATGTGCTAGGCAAAGGTTTAATTCAGAGAATTTTAGTCACTTTAGAAAACTGGATAAATTGTTTGGGAGGTATAGTTAAAAAATAAATTAGATTTCAGTAGCACTCTTGTTACTTAACTAAGAGTGTGCTTATTTATATTCTGGGCTGAATCTGGTATGGAAGAAAATATAGACATTTGCTCTAACTTGGGCTCTGTGTCATTGACATTTATGACTTGTTTTTGTGAGGCTACTCAGTATCTAAGACTTGTTTCTGTTTAGGAGGAGACAGTACTGTGGCTCCCAATGCAGACCTTAAAGAGGACTAGATAATTCCTTTCATTGCTCCCAGTAGCGATGTCTTAGGCATTTGAATTAAGCTTGGCTAATCAACTGTCTCAACTGGTCTTGGATTTTTAGCAAAGTGACACAAAGACAAAAAACGGTATTCAGAATGTATCTAGAGCAGAGGTATCCAGAAGCAGAAAAAAATGGCAAGAGGAATGTCAGTAGTAGCAGTGCCCCACTCTAGTGGTGGCTAAAAAGAAAAATGGCAGTAATGACAAAAATAATATCCTAACAAGACTATTGCTGTGTCATTGATTTGGGTGCTATATTAGCTATATTGACAACCCTGGGTCGCATCCCACTTCTCAACCCAGTCTCCCAGATTTCCCACAGTTCGTCAAACTACCCATAGTCTCAGTAAAGTTTTTGCATGCTTATTAAATAGTCTGCCTGGTAGACAGGGCTTGTGTTTCAGTCTCTTCATACAGTACAGACTGTTGACATAAAAGTTCTAATAAATTACTGTACTTATATTTTCCATTTACTCTTTGCCTAGGAAGTAATCCAGGTGTTTCATATGAGCTGTTTAAATCTTTTGAGCAAACTATTTCCCTTATTATTTTAACATGAAAATAGAGCATATAAGGCATACAATTTAAAATGGGAACATATCAAGCTTAATAGCCATCTTGCATTGTAACCATGACTGATATAATAAAGTAATACATTTAGCTTTATGAATCTGTAATGATTTTCAATTCAAATGCATTAAAGTTGAGTAAATCTAGATTGCAAAGAAGAAGCTCATTATTGAGCAGGAGAGAAAGATAAGCAAACATCACATTATATGATAAAAGTGGTTGTGAGAAAAGAAAACGTGAAAAGAATACAGTTGAGGATAGGGTGTTTGTTCATTTTTCATGAACTATGATGTCAGAGTAGTTTTTGCACATTAAGACTTGCAAGATGAAAAGGTATTATGATGGGATGAAATAGAGACACCAGGTATTATAAAAGAATAAGTGCATTATAGTAATAATAATCATTATTATTATGGATATTGTCTACCATTTATTCTGCCTGGCCATTCTTTTGTACTTTGCAAATAATAGATCGTTTAGTCCTCACCACATTACAGGGAAAACAATGAGATTATTTTCAACTTGCGGATAACAAAAATGAGATTTAATGAGATAAAATAAATTTCCCAAGTTCAGAGAATTAATCCTCAGTCAAGTTAGTATTGGAATCCAAGCAGTTTGACTTGAACTTTGAGTTTCTAACTAGTAAGAATGGCACCTTAAGATGTAAGCAAAATAAAATTTGAGTTAGGAAAATCCTTAGTAGAGACTACTGTGATAAGAGATGAAAAAACATAAAATAAGAAAGAAGAATTGGTGATGCAGACAGTGTGCCATCTTTGAGAAAAATATAAATGTCAAGGTTAAGGGGAATTAGTAGCCAATAAGTGAGGAGAGGGACATAAATGGATAATTATTTTCACAAAAGTTTAATTTTGCAGCACTTGGTGGATCAAAATGCTGGAAAGGGGTTTGTAGAGAAGCAAAAAGGGTGCATGTGTGGGAAGAAGAATCTATTGGTTAGAATAAGTTTAAGCTCAGCTGTCTATGGAGACATGCATTTGGAAACATTCTTCTGGTAGATAAATATCAGAAGAAAGACCGGTTTGGGAGAGATGCCATATATGGCAAATAAAAATACAGGGTGCCCAGTTAAACTTGAGTTCTGAATAAATAATATTTTGTTTAGCATAAGCACGCTCTATATAATATTTTAGACATACCAAAAATGTTTCTATTACTTATCTGAAATTCTAACTTCATAATTTGTTCATTATTGTGTCTGGCATTCCTATAGACTGGGAATGTAGATTCGAGCACCACAACTTGCAGAGAAGTTGTCAACTACTGCTTAGAGTAAAGGAGGTTAGCTTTAAATAAACAAAGGCTAGACAGTGGGTTCTCTGGTAGAATACAAAGCTTTATCTTTTCCCTCTCATCTACTCTCTTTGCGTTATAACTTTGAAATGTTCTTTCACTCTGATTCCTGGCACAGTCATATAACATGGTGTTACCAGCCAAAAGGCAGAATTGATGATGTTCTGGTTCTGAGCATGAAAGTTCTTGCAAGAATCTAGTTTGCTCTCATACTCTTGCCATCTTCATGAGAACACAGTAAGTAGATCTAGCCTAATTTTAGAGTGAGAGATTGATGGAGCAAAGCCAATTCCCACTTTTACCCCAGTCAACAGTAAGTCAAACCCCAGTCATGTGAGCAAACAGCAAGGCTATCTTACTTCCCCCAGCCGTTGGATGGTTGAGCATGAACCATCTTATTATACAGCTTATCGTTGTATGTAACACAGCAGTATGATGGCAATAGAAAATGGAAACAAAGTCAATTATAATAGTGTCAAAATAAAAGTAGCAATAACTAATATATATTGATTGCAGACTATATGACAAGCTATGCTTTGAGGTTTTGTATGCGTTACTCATTTAATCCTCACAAGGATCCTATGAAATTGTTGCTATTGTTACCCCAGTTTTACAGATGAGAACGCTGAAATCCAATGGGTTTAAGTAACTTTTCCAAGGTCACCTTGGAAAGTAACAGAGCTGACAGTCTGACTTAGGTGAATTTGCCTTCAGAAAGTTCATGCCTAACCACCTAGTGACACTGCATCTCAACAAAACTTTGAGGATGACACTGGATTTGCCAATAAAGAAGTTGTTTGGAACATTTACTGCATTAGCTTCAACTAGGTGACAGACTATTGGAGGAGGATGGAAGACTGCACTAGAAATGAGGTACAGAGGAAGAGAGAGAATGCAGAGGGGGTGCAAGTATTCCTTTAGGTCATTCAGTGACATGAAGAAAAGGGGAAGAGATGACAGTCAACTTAAAGATAGACCAAGAGGACACTGAGGTTTTAACCTTGGTTTCTTTGGTTGTGTTTTTCATAGGACTTTGTGTATGTCTGAAGATAGTATATTGCACTCAGACTTCCTGGGTTGAAAACCCAGCTTTGCCTTGTATAAACATCCAACTTTAGGAATTTTTTAGCCTCTCTGAGCTTTACTTTTTTAGCATACAAATACCTCAAAGAGTTTCTAAAAGACTGAAGCACAGTATCCCAGAATATAGATGGTGGTTCCAGGTAGGTCAATTTCAGGTGTCTTCCTACAAGGGGAAACTCCAAATAGAAGGATAGGTAATAGTGAATAAAACAATAAGCCACAAGATAAGAAAGAGAAAAAAAGGAAAAATGAATGCCTCAAGTCTTACAGGGGAGAAGGAAAACTTCTTTCTCAGAGACAGTTGAGAACAAAAAATGGGTGAACATAAATCTGCAAAGTGAGAGAGGGAGATCAAGGTATATCTCTCCTGATGATACCATAGAAGAATTTTGACTGGCACCTCTACTTCTTAAATGTGACCAGTGACATCCTATGATTAAAACATTGGACCTTCTTTAGGGGCATTTGCCTCGCCTTCACTGCTCAGGTGCACAAACTTATGCTTAGAGTCAAAATACTTTTTAATTTATCACAGGTTATAATACCTCACAACTCACTATTGCATGGTTTGTGGAAGTTATTTAAATTTTCCAAAGTGCAATTTCCTCACCTATTCCACAGGAATAACAAAATCATATACCTTATAATGTGTGAAGTTTATGTGTGACATGTCATGAAAGGCAGAAAATAAATATGAACCATCTTTACTAGCTATATTGCAGTTGCAGTTGGCTTACGTTTATGCCTGTAAACTTAAAAGAGCGTCCAGCACATTGCAGAAGTTAATGTCTACCTATGGAAAAGATAAATAAAACATGATATTAATTTAGCATAAAAGTAGAGCTTTTCTACATTTTCATCAATAAAATCATATTATTATAAGAAAAGGACACAGGATTCAATGAGGATACTGGCATATAAATTAATAACCAATGGTTTGGCACTATGATAGATTTATTTGGCACATATTTTATGAAATACTTTCTGTAAGCCAGGCATTATTCTAGGCCCTGTGGATGCACAGATGAGTAAAAGAGATTAAATTTCTGCCCATATGTCGCTTCCATGTCCTGGGGAGATACAAAATATGTGAGTCAACTAGCAAGTGTATAGCATCTCTTGGTGATAAGTGCTATGAAGAAAAGGCTATATAAACGACCACAGGCCAATAGCATCTCAGGGAAGACCTCTATGCAAAAGCGACATTTGTGCATGATGCTGTCAAGTGACTGCTGGAATCTGGAAGGCATCTCAAGAGAAGATACTTAAATTTTTTAAATTTTTATTTTACTTTAAGTTCTGAATACATGTGCAGAACGTGCAGGTTTGTTACATAGGTATACATGTGCCATGGTGGTTTGCTGCACCCATCAACACAACATCTCAGTTTCAAGCCCTGCATGCATTAGGTATTTGTCCTAATGCTCTCCCTCCCCTTGCTTCCCACCCCCTGACAGGCCCCTGTGTGTGACGTTCCCTTCCCTGTGTCCATGTGTTCTCATTGTTCAGCTCCCAATTATGAGTGAGAACATGCTGTGTTTGGTTTTCTGTTTCTGTGTTAGTTTGCTGAGAATGATGGCTTCCAGCTTCATTCATGTCCCTTAAAAGGACATATCTCATTCTTTTTTATAGCTTTGTAGTATTCCATGGTGTATATGTGCCACATTTTCTTTATCCAGTCAATTCTTGATGGGCATTTGGGTTGGTTCCAAGTCTTTGCTATTGTAAATAGTGTGGAAATAAACCTACATGAGCATGTGTCTTTATAGTAGAATTATTTATAATCCTTTGGGTATATGGGAGAAAATGTTTGCAATCTACCCATCTGACAAAGGTCTAATATCAAGAATCTACAAGGAACTTAAACAAATTTACAAGAAAAAAACCAAACAACCCCATCAAAAGGCATGCAAATTATATAAACAGACGCTTCTCAAAAGAAGACATTTATGCAGCCAACAAACATATGAAAAAAAGCTCATCATCACTGGTCATCAGAGAAATGCAAATCAAAACCACAGTGAGATATCATCTCACACCAGTCATAATGGTGATTATTAAAAAGTCAGGAAACAACAGATGCTGGCGAGGGTGTGGAGAAATAGGAATTTTACACTGTTGGTGGGAGTGTAAATTAGTTCAACCACTGTGGAAGACAGTGTGGCGATTCCTCAAGGATCTAGAACCAGAAATACCATTTGACCCAGAAATCCCTTAAGTTAAATTTTGAAGATGAGTAGGAACTCTTTTTGAGAAGTGAAGAGCAGCGCATGCAAGGTAAAGGAGGAGCTAGTATAAAGGCAGATATTTAACAAGATTATGGATCATTTAGGTAAATACACATATTAATTCAGTCGGTGTTTGCTGAGTGTAATATCATACCTGATGAGCCAACTGCATGGTCCAGGCTCTTCTGTAACTTGCCTTTTAATAAAATTTCCTTCCATATCAGCATATTGAGCGCTTCATTGTTTTCATCATAATAGCAGCATTATGTGTCATTCCAGGGAGAGATATAAGGAGTCATTTTGAACAAATAACTTTTAACAAAGGGACTAAAGAAAGGTGGCAGGTTTTGAGTTTTGGAGATCAGATAGGAATAGATGAAAAGGTGCAGCCATAGTCCAAGTGGCAAATTATGACCATCAGCATTAGATAAAAGGTAAAATGAAATTGAATATATTTATAAAGAATTATATATTTTATGTATCTGTTAAGAAGATAGCACAAAATAGCTACCAATTGGCTATGGAGATGACAGAGGAGACATGTGAAGCTTCTCCATATTCTGACTTGAGTGGCTGTAGCGATCACAAATTGGTTGTCCTTGTCAACCAATTAAACAATAGAATCCACATGGTCTCTACAACCCATAGTAAGGTGCTTGGCAGAAACATAACTAAATATATAACAATATTAAGCCTTAGAATCTCCAAGTTAGTAGCTCAAACCATAGATGGATTCATAGCTGCAACCTAGTCCTCTAAACTTCAGAGGCCAGCAGTGATGTCTGTCAAACATATTTCCAATAAAAGGGAATACTTTTATTCAGATTACCAAATTGCTCAGGTATCCTGAATTTTTATTCTATACACATATCCAATACAATATTGATTCAATTGATCTTTCATAGTAATAGAGCATTTTTAATTGATTAAAGAGTTTTTATATTGATTTGCATTATTAGAGGTTTCTGTGACCAATCTGAGTGCAGTAGTAAGATGTGACCATGATTATTATGTCTGAAAAAACTTTTTCGGTGGAAGAAAGAAATTTTACTTTTTGTATCCATGTTTCAAGAAATTATTCATTCTCCAATTTTATCCTTTAACATTAATCTTGGATCCTAAATTATGCAATCACTATGCACAAGCATGACTAGGTACACATGACACTATTATACCTTCCTCAAAATTAGAATTTATAGTTTTCATCAGGAAATTCCCCCTCTACTTGCATTCATAAGAATTGTATGTTCTGTAGTATATTTTAAATTTTGAAGGTGAGTTCTACAGTATATCTTACTGATATACTGTAATAGAAATCAACAGAAATTCAGTTCTCCCAGCAGAACTACTTACTGACTGCAATTTAGAAATATCTTTCACGTTCCCAGCTTCCAATTCTTTAACAATCTAACCAAGAATAAAAACATCTTTTGCAATATACTTTTAAAAGCCATGACATTCAGGAGCATCACAAATTATATTTGGGAACAAATCAAATTTAACAGCACCTGGACAGTTTAGATCGGAAATCAAAAAGACCTTCAAGTAAGGCCAGCACTTAAACCTAATGAGGATGATTTTTGTTGTTTTTGCTTCCCTTTTTTGGTTTTCTAATTTGAAATAGAAAGTGTGGTGTAGTAAAAAGGTAACAGATATTCTATCTTCAAGGTCATCTTTAGTAGGATATAATGTCTGTCTGGAGAAAATTAGGTTGACTAGTCACATACTGTACATTCTAAATAATTGTTCTCTAAAAGCACCCACCATTTTTTATATGTTTATAAAGGGAAGCTTTATATATGCTTACAACCCTCATAGAGCAAATATAAATATGCAGACTAATTCACACATTGTTAAATTTTAGAGTTGACAAAGGACAATAAAAAAATCAAAGATCGAAATCATACAGAATAGTAACTACAGTTCCTATAATCTACAGGGGCTACGGGCTATTCTCCTGTAGATTTTTTGTTGTTGTTGTTAGAACATAAAATAATTAGCTAAAGCTAAAAATTAGCTTAATTAAATAATTAATTAACTCTTCTATTTTGTCCAAGGAATTTAGAACTTACTAAAACTTAGATTGCAAAACCTCACTAGCAAAATTAAGCATTTGCCAAGGGTAGCTGCTGAAGGGTCTTTAAATCACTGTCTTTCAGTTTAACAGCACTTGGACAGGTATTATATCTGGTTCTCATTTCAGCTTCACAAAAGATCAATTATCCATGCTCATTATCCTGATCTGATTACATTATATATATCAAAGCTTCACTCTGTGCCCCATAAATACATACCATTATTGTGCCAATTAAAAAATAAAATAAAATAAAACATGGAATGTGTTCTAAATGTGATTGGGCCCTTAACTTATGAATTTTTCTCTCTCTTTCTTTTTTGATTTCTCTCTTGCTTCTTTCTTTTCTTCTCTCCATTTTTTTGCTTCCATTGTTTAGTTTCTTAATTTGAAATCAAAACTATAGTATAGACAAAAAGGTAACACTTTTTCTATGGAAATTATTTATAAATAGTGTTCCTCTTTTAGATTTACAAAAGGATAAAAAGATTTTCTAAGATAAATAGTAGGGGTCCAAATTTGAATTTAAGTGGATTCAGACATGCCTAGTCATGTCAGACAAACTGGTGAAACAGGCTTCTCTTGCTACTTTGAAAGTTGACTGAGAAACATTGCAGAGGACGGTTCTATCTGTGTTTACTGTTGGTGTTCCAAGATGCCTGGCCACGGGTGATGAACTTGTAAAACAAGCCTGAAAGGAACGGAAGAATTTTTTGGGTGAGAAAAAATTCCTAGAGAAAAGAGAGCCAGGCTCCTTGAACTTGACTGAGAAATGAAGCCAGAGTTGACAGCCCAGAAGGTTTCTTATCAGTAAAGCCTCCTGTGTATTATTCTCATGTGACTTTGTGTCATCATCCATTCACGACAAGCCATATAGACTGTTAAGAGCCTCTAATAGGGTGCAACAAAAAAATCAGAAAGCATCCCTCCGGCTTATCCCAATTTTTCTTTCTTTTAATTTTTTTTAATTTTTTTACTTTTGTGGGGACATAGTAGGTACATATATTTATGAGTTACATGAGATATTTTGGTAGAGGCTTTCAAAGTGTAATAATCACATCATGGGAAATGGGGTAGCCCTGTCCTCAAGCATTTATCCTTTGTGTTACAAACAATCCAATTTTACTCTCCAAGTTATTTTAAAATGTACAATTGAATTATTATTGACAATAGTCCCCTAGTTGTGCTATCAAATACTAAGTCATTATTTATTCTTTCTATTTTTTTTGCACCTATTAACCAGCCCCAGTCCCCTCCCCAAATACCCTTCCCAGACTTTAGTAACTGTCCTTCTATTCTCTACCTCCATGAGTTCCATTGCTTTGATTTTTAGATCCCACAAATAAGTGAGAACATATGACATTTGTCCTCCTGTGCCTGGTTTATTTCACTTAACACAAGAATCTCCCAGGATGTTGGTCTGGGCAAAAATTTCTTGAGTAATACCCAGTAAGCACAGGCAGTCAAGGCAAAAATGGACAAATGGGATCACATAAAGTTGAAAAGCTTCTGCACAGCAAATGAAACAATCAACAAAGTGAAGAGACAACCCACGGAATTGGAGAATACATTTGCAAACTACCTCCCATTTTTTGTACAACATTGTGCCACTGGGTTTCAGTGCCGCATTTCAGTGGGAGTTGCCTCAGTCAAATATTGGACAATGGCCTTCAGGGAGATGCTAAATATAGAATGTAGTTCTGAGTAGGAAATGAGTGAAACTTCCCAATCTCCTTGCCGCAACCTCAACTGAAGGGTGGACAAAAAGCAAACACATGCCTGGCCAGAACAGGGGTACCAAGAAGACGTTCAGCTAACAGCAACCAACGTTGCACAGCAGAATATGAGAATGACACTATCCTTAGTGATTCCAGGAACACTTGAGGGACACTTGAGAGGGGCTGACATCCTAAGTAAATAGACAGGCAAGTTATTTTTATCTCTTGTTAATATGATATCTTATTTGTTCTCAAGCTTCCGTTAACACAGTAAACTAGAAACATTTTCATCATATTCCACCATGGAGCCACAGATCTCACTGCCTCATAAGTAAACTTTTTATAGTAGTTGCAAAATAAAATGTTAAATATGACAATGGAAACATTGACAAGAACTAAAATATTTATACTTTACTTCATTTATTAGATAAAAGCAAAATACAAGTTTTTGCTAGGATCTTGATAGATAACATCAAGGTAATGGTGGTAAGAAAAATAAAGCAAATTTAGAAGAACAACCTAGAGTAGTTATACATGAATATGATTTCAGGTGACGGACTCCGAAAGTAAAAAGACAACAAATATTCACAGAAGCAGCTTAAATCTATTTTAAAGATTTAACATAGCTAAATATCTCTCCATTGATGCTGAAGGCAATAGAATGGATTTTTGGAATGAAAGCACGGGACAGGACCAAACACATTTGGAGGTTTCTCCTCTGCTTCCAATTTCAGCAATTCATTTAATAAAAGCCAGAGAATCCGTATCCTCCATTGTACGATGGGCGGCAGCAGCCATATCCATAGCCTCCAAAGCCAGAGCCATATCCGTAGCCTCCAAAGCCAGAGCCATATCCGTAGCTTCCAAAGCCAGAGCCATATCCGTAGCCTCCATAGCCACAGCCAGAACCCCGTCTGCAGAAGCTGCCACATCCACAGCCATAGCCATAGCCCAGGCCACCGAAGCCTCCACAGCTGTAGCCCAGGCCTCCGTAGTAGCTGCCGTAGTGACTCATGGTGTCAGGAGTGGTGAGTTGGTTTGTTGTTCAGGCAAGATCCTGAGTGTGAATGCCAGCATGTATAGGAGGTTTATATACCCTGGTCAGAGCATGTGATAAACATGTGCCCCTCTTTTTGTGTCATTCCATGAATTATACTTGCCTGAGGCAGCTCGTTAATCTATTGTCCCCTGACAACACTCAGTAAGATTGCCTGAGCTTGTTTGGCTACCTAGTTAGGTTGTCCCTGAGCTTGCTGCTTTAATTTTATTAGAAGGGATTGCTGCTTCTTCAAAGTCTAAAACATACCAAACCTTAAATAGAATTCTTTATTACCAGTCACTTAACATCAGTCACATTAAAAATTCTTGAATTTCTATTCAAATATATTCTCATCACTAGCATTTTTGGACGTGGTTATAGTTGATTCCACAAAATTTCAAGAAATAGCCAAGGTCAAGACTCTTACTTTCATCAGTTTCTTCATAAAACACACATATTTTGTAGAGTGAGAAGCAAGAAAGATTTGATTCATCTGTGTATGTACCTGAAAGAAACAAATGTCACCTAATTTGTAGACTTTTAAAACTTTGATCATGCACAATTGTTATATTTATTTTGGGCTTTGCACAACAGCATACAAAATATTTGTTTTGTTTTAAGAACATAGCACAATTGTAGTCATAAGTGGAGAGACTCTTACAGGGATCAAAAGCCCATCTCATCTGGTCTTTCCAGAGTTTTCTATTTATATCTCAAGTCCCTTCTCCATTATATGTTCTAACCTCACTGTTACCAAAAAATGAAGATTATAATCTGCCTTCATACAGAATTGTTTCTCTTTCTCTACCTTTTGTCATTAATTCATCCCTCTTGCATCTTTTGCTGATCTCACTTCAAATTTCACCCAACTTCTTTTCCTCCACAATTCATTACTATAACCAGGTAAAAGTTTGAAGTAGGTAAAATGTTCTGGCTACAACCTATTTACTCAAATCAACATTCATTCTTTCCATTTAGATCTCCATAGTCAATATTTGCCCTTGTCTTTGCCTATTCTGTGCCCATGTTTTTTGTTGTGCTTTGTTTTAACCGCTTTCTAGTTATCTTTTCCTGAGAAATCAACTAGATCTTCTAAGATATTGATTATGGTGTTTCTTGTTTAAAACATTTTTCAACTCTTCAAATTATCTGAAATTTAAAAAAATATTTGTGCAACTTAGATTAACACGAAATTCTCTAAATGTAAGGGACAATTGTGAAAAATATAGAAAAGAAGGAGTAGCTCTGTAGGGAGAGTTGACCAGTGAGTCCCTCAGCTCAGCCCATAGAGTTAGAAATGCCCAAGGCTTACCTCATACCTGATTAAGCCTCATCCAGATGTACCTATATCTTGAAACTTGGAACTCCAGAAAGGTATCAGTTTTATATGACTATAATCATACTACTAAGATTTTTTTGAGATTTATGAGTAACCGAATGACACATTTTAAAATTTTTATTTTATTTAAATTTTTTATTGATACATATTTTACATACTTATTAGATACATATGATATTTAATTGCATGCATAGAATGTATAATGTTCAAGGTAGAGTAATTGAAATATCCATCACTTTAAATATTTATCATTTCTTTATGTTGGGAATAAATCAAGCTCTCTCTTCCAGCTACTTTGAAATATACAGTATATTGTTGTTAACTATAGTCACTCTGCAATAGAACTTATACCTTTCATCCAACTTTTATCTCTCCTGCACCCACACACCCATTCCAGCATCTGATATCTATCACTCTTTTCTCTACATTCATAAGATTAACTTTTTTATCTCCCACTTATGAGTGAGAACATGTGATACCTCTCTTTGTGTGCCTGTTTATTTCCCTAAACATAATGACTTTCTGTTCAAGTCACACTTTTTTTTTTTTTACAATGCGGTGTTTCTCTGACCTGCTGAGTGTCAAAACAAAGTCTCATATTTAGTTGGCATTCAAAAATATTATTTGAATGAAGCATATGACTTTGACATCAATGCAAGGGCCATGAATAGCATAACATGAGCAACTTACTGGCTATTCTGGGAGATGTTGTAAGGCTGAACGCAAGTTCCAACAAGATTCCTGCTGTCAGAGTAGCATTTAACCCAACAATAGCCTTCCTCTTTGATGTCTGTGTTACTGTAACCCAATTTCATTCCATTTTTATTCTCCATTTCAGAAAATCAGTCAAGTGATACAATTCATATATACATTTCTAATGAAACACTTAGAATTATGAATAAATTACATAGCATTAAGAATTTCACATTTTCTTGTGTAGCTCTGTCAGAGCATGTGACCATGATTAAAGGCTATTTTGTTTGTTTTTGATACATAAAACTGTCTCTATATGGAAATAATATGAGACACAAATGCGAAACTTCTATAGTACAATAAACACTAAATGTATTTTCAAAGAATAAAACATATGACTATGACATGCATAGCTTATTTTGTCCACTAGCCGTGTAAACTAGAAAAAAAATTTGAAGAATATGTAAAAAATCTGATTTATTTTCTGTATATGCAAGTGAAAAAAGTCTCTGAAATTTCCTTTGAGGGGTTATTCTTTTTCTATCCATTTATTGGATCAAAAGTAGATTTGGATCATTATTGCTTTTTAAGAACTGTTAGCTCATGACCCTATTTTCTACTCATGTTGATAGGTGGAAGAGTGAAAAATGTTCTCACATTTTTCCTGGAAGTAAGGAAATTTTTGTTATAAATTTTCTATCATCTCAGAAATTATTCAATACAACCTTAAACAGCATGAAATTATAAGATTGATTATAGTAATAACAATAGCAGTAACAATTATATTGATTACTGCTTTTCAGCCCCATGGAAACTATCCCTGGGACATTATCCAAATGAGAAGAAAATGCTTCTAGTGAAATCCTATTCTACTGGGTCAGACAATATTGCTGACCTCCCATAGAGTTACTTTGCTGTATTTCCCCTGTTCAGCCCATTGTTGTAGTACACAGAATGCCCTGAGAGCATTGACTCAAAGAAGAGGTCATGGCGCTTTGTTTTGTTTTTTAACTTAGAGTCTGATTTTAACATTGCTCATTGGTTAGTTACAATCAGAAGTAGATAAACTAAAATTTGATTGGTTTAATTCTGTATATCGCAACAATAAAAATGAAACATCAATGTTAATGTAAGAAAAAGGGCCAACCTTCATAAAAGCAGTTGAGATAATTTAGCTTTTCTTACAACTATGACCAGAACTTTCAGAATGGTTATCTGACAACAATCAAGAAGAAAATGCATAAAAGGTGAGTCTGCAAAGTATAGTCTAAAACCTGGGACTCAGGATGGCATGATTCTGATCCTAGTCTTGGCACCAATTATGACAAAAATAACATATTCTGAATTTCTGTGCCTCCAAAATTGGAATACAGCGTTGCAGAATTGTAATGCCTCTTTCTGCTCCTTGTGTGATTTAATTTTTGTCCTCATTTTATTACATTTGGCGAGCTTGTACAAAACATCTGTAGGCACATATCATTGCCTGAAATTCTGTTTTATAAAAACAATATTGTTTTGGCCATTTCTTGAAAGGATGAGGTTTCACTGAAATTTATCTTCATATGTATATATATATGTGTGTGTGTATATATATATATATGTATAGAGAGAGAGAGAGAGAGAAGTATGTATACATAATGATATTGATATAAGACATATAGAAATATATAAAATGATATTTGTATAAAATATATACATTATATACAATATATACTATATATGTATGTATTATATATTTTATATATAATATATAATAAATAAATTAATATTTCATTAATATTTAAACATATACTTCTATATATTAATAAATATAAATAACAAATTATCAATAATCATATTGAAATATAAATAAAATAATATTTATTATTCATAATACATATAAATATAAAAATATATTTATTTATATTTAATATATAAATTTATGTAATATTTAAATATATACTCCTATATATTTAAATGTAATATTTAAATATATACTCCTATATATTTAAATGTAATATTTAAATATATACTTCTATATATTTAAATATACATACTTCTATATATTTAAATATTAAATGACACTTTTAGTCAGTTGAAACTACAGAATATTTTGCCTCATAATAATGTTTCTGTGTGTTTATAGTCCCTACTGCATTACAAATCCTTCAGTATAATGATGATAATAAAGAACACAATATTCCTATAAAAAGACAAGTGAAATGAGTTGAATGACTACAATTCACATTTTATTATCCAGTTTATCAAGGACTTTTAGGTCAGGCTTGTTGTACATGCATAACAAACTAGATGAAAGCAGAAAATTATGAATAAAAGAAGATTATAGATAATGCAAAGATTCATAGAAAAAGAGAGTTCACTTCTCTTTAAGTTTTAGGGATATAGATTATAAGATTTGTGAGAAGAAAGTTTGTTTTTATTACAGTTTTAATGATATGAATGTTGTGATGCTTAATTTTAAGTGTCAATTTGACTCTGTTAAGGGATGCTGGGATAGTTGGTAAACTATTTCTGGGTTGTCTGTGAGGGTTTTTCCAGAAGGATTCATATTTTAATCTGTAGACTGAGTAAAGATCACTCTTACCAGTGTATGTGAGCATCATTTAATCTGTTGAAGACCTAAATAGAACTAAATGGGGAAGGCAAAGGGAGTTTGCTCTCTGAGCTGGGATCTTCATCCTCTCCTATCCTCACACATCAGCATTCCTGGTTAGAGCATTTGGTCTCAGATTGAAACTTAACATCATTGACTCCCCTGTTCTCTAACTTTTGGGTTTGGACTGGAAGTACTAGACCAGCTTTCCTGGGCCTCTAACTTGCAAACAGAAGATCATGAGACTTCTCAGCCTCCATAATTGCATGAGTTCTTCCCTAACAGTAAATATTCTTCTGTATATCTATGTATATCCTATTGATTCTGTGAAATGCTTTATATGTGTGTCCCTGCCCATATCTCATGTCAAATTGTAACCCCTACTGTTGGAGGAGGGGCCTGGTAGAAGGTGATTGGGTATGGGGGCAATGTCTGATGGTTTGGCATCATCCTCCTACTGCTGTCTTGTGATGGGGTTCTCCCGAGATCTGCTTATTTAACAGTGTGTAGCACCTCCCTTGACCTCTCTCTCCTGCTGACCATGTGAAGATGTGCTTGCTTCTCCTTTGCCTTTCACCATACTTGAAAGTTTCCTGAGGCCTCTCTAGGAGAAGCCTGTGCAGCCCACAGAACTGTGAGCCAATTAAACTTATTTACTTTATAAATTACCCAGTCTCAGGTATTTCTTTATAGCAGTGTGACAATGGACTAATACAGAAAATTGGTACCAGAGAAGAAGGACATTGCTATAAAGATACTTGAAAATGTGGAACGACTTTGGAACTGGGTAACAGGCAGAGGTTGGAACAGTTTGGAGAGCTCAGAAGAAAAGAAGATGGGAGAAAGTTTGGAACTTCCTAGAGATTTGTTAAATTGTTGTCACCAAAACGCTGATAGTGACATGGACAATAAAGCCCAAATGAGGTGGTCTCAGATGGAGGTGAGAAACTTATTGGGAACTGGAGAAAAGGTCACACTTACTATGCTTTAGCAAAGAGACTGGCAGCACCGTGCCTGTGCTCTAGGGATCCGTTGAGCTTTGAACTTGAGGGAGACAATTTAGGGTATCTGGCAGAAGAAATTTCTAGGCAGCAAATCATTCAAGATGTAATATGGCTACTTCTAACAGCATACCCTCATATGCTTGAACAAAGAGATTATCTGAAGCTGGAACTTATATTTCCAGAGCATAAAAGGGAAACATAGCATAAAAGTTTGGAAAATTTGCAGCCCAGCCATGTCATAGAAAATGAAATCTCATTGTTTGGGGAGAAATTCAAGCCTGCTGCAGAAATTTGCATAAGTAGAGAGGAGCCAAATGTTAATAGCCAAGACAATGGAAAAATGCCTCCAAGTCATTTCAGAGACCATTGCAGCAGCCCTTTCACCACAGGCCTGGAGGCCTAGGAGGGAAAAATGATTTTGTTGGCCAGGCCCAAGGACCCACTGCTCTGTGCAGCCTTGGGACATGTTGCCCTGAGTCCCAGACACTCAAGCTCCAGCCATCGGTAAAAGGGCTCCAGATACATCTCAGGCTGATGTTCCCAAGTGTGCAAGCGAGGAGCTGCCAAGGTTTTCACATGGTGTTAAGCCTGTGGGTGCACAGAGGGCAAGAGTTGAGGCTTGGGAGCTCCTGCCTAGATTTCAGAGGGAGTAAGAAAATACCTAGATTTCCAGGCAGAAGTCTGCTACAAGTGTGGAGCCCTCATGGAAAACCTCTACTAGGGCAATGTGGAGGGGAAATGTGGGTTTAGAGCCCCCACCCAGAGTCCCTACTGAGACACTGCCTAGTGGAGCTCTGAGAAGAGGGTCACCATCCTCCAGACCCCAGAATGGTAGATCCACAGACAGCTTCCACTGTGTGCCAGGAAAAGCTGCAGATACTCAATGCAAGCCTGTGAAAGCAGCCAGGAGAACTATACCCTGCAGAGCCACAGAAGTGGAGCTGCCCAATGCCCTGGGAGTCTACCCATTGCATCGATGTGGCCTGGGTGTGAGACATGCAGTAAAAGGAGATTATTTTGAAGCTTTAATATTTAATGACTGCCCTGCTGGGTTTTGGACTTGTTTGGGGTCTTATAGCCCCTTTGTTTTGGTCAATTTCTCCCTTTGGAATGGGAGCATTTACACATTTACACCTTTACCCCCATTGTATCTTAGAAGTAAGTAACTTGTTTTTAAATCCCTTCAAAATAACAGATGCTGCATCACTAGAGCAGCAGCTTAGTAGAAGCCAGTGAATCTATATCTTCTGTAGCATGATGGGCAGCAGCAGCCATCTCCACAGCCTCTGTGGCCACAACCATATCTGCATCCTTCATAGCCGCAGCCATAGCCCAGTCTGCAGAAGCTGCCACATCCACAGCCGTAGCCATAGCACATGCCACCAAAGCCTCCACAGCCATAGCCCAGACCTCCACAGTAGCTGCCCTAGTAGCTCACGGTGTCAGAGATAGTGAGTTGGGTTTGCTGTCCCAGGCAAGGTCCTGAGTGTGAATATAGCATGTTTAGGGAACGCTTATATACCCTGAGCAGAACATGTGATAAACATGTGGCCATCCTTTTGCAGCATCCCAATTTATTTATCTACTCTATACAAATAATCAATCTGTTTGTTAGCACAAGGAGAGACACAAACTCATTAAAATCTTTGAGCTGGCTTAGCTGCATGGTTAGAATGCCCTTGAACTTATTACATTTTTTTTTTAAGATGGAGTCTTGCTCTTGTCACCCAGGCTGGAGTGCAATGTTGTGATTTCAGCTCACTATAAACTCCACCTCCTGGGTTCAAGTGATTCTCCTGCCCCAGCCTCCTGAGTAGCTGGGATTACAGGTGTCTGCCACCACTCTCAGCTAATTTTTATATTTTTAGTAGAGACAGGGTTTCACCATGTTGGCCAGGCTGGTCTCGAACTCCTGACTTCAGGTGATCCACACACCTTGGCTTCCCAAAGTGCTGGCATTACAGGCTTGCGCCACTGCGCCCAGCTGATACATTCTTTTTAATGATAAAATAGTCTGCATCTTCAAAGTTACACAATTTTTAAAAAATCCTAAATTCTTCATCACTATGCATATTGAATTATTTGTATTTGACACTGTGTTTTTATTAAATGTTTTCTCATTTCTCATTTTTACACCATTCCTTAGATTGTTCTATTTTACCTCCACCTAGATTCAAATAAATCGATCAAGTTTAAAACTTTTAAATCTAGTAAAGCCTTCAAATATCAAATATTTTTATTGCGTTGAGAAATTAAGGCTATTCCTCCTTCAAAAGAAAAGGAAGTTTTTGAATAAATAAATTTTCTTATCAGCTGTGGTAAACACAAAGTAATGGAAAATATGTATGTAGACATAATATAAAACTACTTTAATTTTCTATATCAGCTTGCAAAACATTGTTTTGGCTTATCAATGTAACAAAATTTATTCCAGAAACTGATATATTATCCAAGAGAATAAACTCAGTTTTACACCAGCCTGAACAGCAGTTCAAAGATATTCTCTTCAGGTGGGGCACAGTGGCTCACCCCTGTAATTCTGGAGGCCAAGGTGAGAAGATCACTTGAGATCAGGTATATTAGTTTGTTTTCACACTGCTGATAAAGACATACCTGAGACTGGGAAGAAAAATAGGTTTAATTGGACTTACAGTTCCACATGGCTCTGGAGGCCTCAGAATCATGGCAGGAGGTGAAAGGTACTTCTTACATGGTGGCGGCAAGAGAAAATGAGAAAGAAGCAAAAGCGGAAACCCCTGATAAACCCATCGGATCTCATGAGACTTACTCACTATCATGAGAATAACAAGGGAAAGACCAGCCCTCATGATTCAATTACTTCCACCTGGATCCCTCCCACAACACATGGGAATTCTGGGAGATACAATTCAAGTTGAGATTCGGATGGGGACATGGCCAAACTATATCACCAGGAGTTTGAGAGTAGCCTGGGCAACATAGGGAGACCTTGTCTCCACCAAAAAATCAAAAAATAGCCAGGTGTGAGGTGCACACCTGTGGTTCCAGCTACTCGGGAGGCAAAGGCAGGAGGATTGTTTGATCCCTGGGAGGTCAATGCTGCAGTGAGCCATGATCATGCCACTGCGCTCCAGCCTGGGTAACAGAGTGAAACTGTCTAAAACAGACACATACACACACACACACACACACACACACGAAAACAATCAAGTCTATTTTTATCGTTACACAATTTTCCAGAACTGGCTCTAAATAAAGTATTACCTAGAAACTCAGATGAGCTTGGCTTCATGCTTTACAGATACCACTTTTCTTCCACTTCCTACTCTTCCTCACTATGTATATATCAGTTCTCTTTATCAAAGCTTTTCATTTTATGCTGCATTCATTCCCAATATGTACTAGTGCCAAGCAGGTATTTCTTCTTATCCATTTTTTTCTAATCAGTATTTTACCCTTCTACCCATATATTTAATTTTATCACAATATTTTTGTCCTTATGTTTTCTTTTCCAATTCTGTGTGCCTCATCTTCCTACTTTCTCTCAACCAGCAAACATAAGACATTATTTATTTATTAAGGTTATACATTTTTAAACAATATTTTATATGACTCTTAGAGTCATATAATACATCTAACAGTCTCTTAAAATTCTGATGCCTTGAAAATCTCAAATGCGAATGTGCAGTGGTGAAATAACTGAGATAGGAAGCAAGGATGTGAGGAGGGCTGGCCATGCTCCACAGATTTTCTGTGCTTACTCTAGGAAGATAGTAAATCAATCCCAAGTTTAGCTCCACCAAAATATGACCATATATTGGATTTGGGTCCTTAAGCAATACTTTGCTTTACAAGACTTTAAACATTTTGCCAAGAGTATTTTTTGTTGTTTTGTTTTCTGTTTTGCTTTGTTTTGAGGTCTATAAGCAACATTTTTGATAATGCGTTTTCTCAACTTGATTTGTTCACTATTCTTCCAAAAAATTTGTTGGATAAATGAAAGAATGAATTTTGCCTGCCTCAACATGTAGTGCATATCTAAGGTGGAATATGCACTCAAAATGGCTTTCAGGTTTTAAATGAATATTTAACTCAATATTTGCCATGGTTGTTTTCTCCTTTATCAAAATTAATTCCACCTTTATTTTCGTTCTGAAAAAGAAAACTGGACAATGTTTAAATTCTCAATGAGTAGTTGTTGAAGACAAACAATAATAAGTAAGTCTAACTACTTTAAGAATCTCATGAATTATTGGGTAAACCTGCAAGATTTTCTAACCCTCATGAAAGGCTAATGTACATTGCTATTTCCGATGCATATAACCATCTCCAAGAGAAATATAATCCAATAGATTTTACAAATTAAAGGCAAATTTTATTATTTATTACAAATAAAATATATTTAATAAAATATGCCCTGCTTTTCTTATGTATTTTCAAATAACAAAATAATAAGATATACTTCATTGTGATACACAAATACACACATATATATACATGCACATATATGATCATATAATGCTGTGAAAGATATGAACCAAAACAATCAAATACTTCTGCTTTTTTTCCTAATTGAAAAGTAGAACAATTATAGTATCTTTTGGATAGCGATTAACTTTGGAAACTGAGAAATGTTTATTTTTCAATTTTTTTCTCTTAATTCAGTGGACTCAATGACTTGCACAATTATTTCTCTGTTATGCTATTTTGGGGATATTTTTCCAGGAAGATCATGAGTTAATTGTGAAACTCAGATCCTGTGTTGGTGTGTGAAATAATGAAAATAAAGTTTTCTACTGGCCAAATGATAACTTTGCTATATCATGCCATGACTTTGCCATATCATACCATGAAGACCAAGTAAGATAATAGAAAAGCTAGCTGAAAAAATTATCTAAAATATTTTGAGTTAAATATGTTAATCCAATATGAAAAAAAATTCTATACTAATTTAATAGTTATGTACATCAGTTGTTCAATGAAAATGTCAAATAAATTAATGGACAGAAGAGTATGATAGGGTGAGGTTATACCAATTACAATAATTCTTGGAAAGAAAATACACTTTCATAATTAACCTAGGAATATCATTTGATCTGTCACCATTTGCTTGCTCTTACAATAAAAAGAAAGAAATTTTGAATGGATAGAAGAATTCATTACACATTCAGAGTGAGTTGACAAATGTGATCTGAATTAAATAAAACATATATGCTTGATATATAAATATAAAGACATGTTTAGTAGGTATTCCTTTTTGTTGTTGACTTAAATCTGAATACTATCTAAATAAAAGGAAAATGTTGAAAAATATCAGATTACTAACCATTTTGCAGTTCTTTTCATTTCAATCTAGAATTATTCTTCTTTGGAGCTATCGATGTATTTATCTATCTGCATGCATGTTTATGAGGTATATGAAAAAACATAGATTCTCAACCAAGGAGATAGCTTCTCTCATTGACATCATCACTTACGTATAATTGAGTTTCATGAACAAAACAGAACCATATTGTGTTTGAAAATAGAATGTTTTATTGGAAGATAAACAGATAATTCAATCAGCTTTAAAAGCAAAAGTAGAGAATACTAGGATTATTATAGAGATGTGGGTATACAGAGAAAAAAAATTGCCTGAAATTCTGAGATGTTAAATTCTTTTGTGCAAATAGCTCCAGCATGATCTTTGTTGTCCAATGATTGAAGTCAGCTCTGGGAAAGTCCTCTTATAATTTCACACATTGTGTTGCTGGGGCAGTAGTTTAATAGAATCCAGAGAATCCATATCCTCCATAGTATGATGGGCGGTAGCAGCCATATCCGTAGCCTCCGAAGCCAGAGCCATATCCATAGCCTCCAAAGCCAGAGCCATATCCGTAGCCTCCATAGCCACAGCCAGAACCCAGTCTGCGGAAGCTGCCACATCCACAGCCATAGCCATAGCCCAGGCCACCAAAGCCTCCACAGCCATAGCCCAGGCCTCCATAGTAGCTGCCGTAGTAGCTCATGGTGTCAGGGGTAGTGAGTTTGGTTTGCTGCTCAAGGCAAGGTCCTGAGTGTGAATGTTGACATCTGTGCAGGCATGCTTATATACCCTGACACATCACGTAACAAAACACTTGCTGCCTATTTTAGTGTAGTTGTGTATGTTACACTTACCTGACCCAATCCTGACATCTGAAGAGGCCCTCAAACTCATTAAAGTGTTTGAGCTTGCATTGCTGTCTTCTCATGCTGTCCCTTTAACATATTGCATCACTTTTATGAGAAGAAATTGCTGTAGCTTCAAAGTCTGTGCATACCAGACCTTAAATAGACTTCTTCGTAGGCATATTGCATTACATAGTTGGTAATGCTATGTTTTGAAATTAAATATTGCTTCATCTCTGGCTTTCCTTGAATTGTTTTACTCATTTATGATTAAATAACAGACTTTGGTTAAATTCAATGCTCTGAAATTTATTATATTCTTCCAGAGGTATCTATTACCTCAGGTGAGGTCCCTTTTTAAAGAGAAGCAAACATTTGAAAGACTGGAGCCATCTGCTCACCTGCTATGCCTAACAGTAAAGAATTTCATGGGGTTAAAAAAGTTAAAATAAAGCCATCATTCTTCTATTACTCTAGAACATTGGCCATCATAACCAATATTCTCTTTTTTTGGTTTTACTCGTTTAAAAAATAAAAACCATTTTGATTTAACAACACAACAGTATATTGCTCAAACATTAAAGTCAAATCACAGTAATCAAAAATCTATTTCCTAAGCAGCTTTACAAACTGTTCAAAATTGTTTTCACATCCCGACTCCCTTACTGGCATATTAGACATCCAAGGTGCTACCAAAAATACAGATTGTATTGCCCTCCTCCCATTCATTCCTTTTTCCTGATCCACACAATTATCCTCTTTTCTTTTCTTTTTTTTTTTTTTTCTGAGACAGAATCTCGCTCTTTCGCCCAGGCTGGAGTGCAGTGGCGCTGTCTCGGCTCACTGCAAGCTCCACCACCCGGGTTCACGCCATTCTCCGGCCTCAGCCTCCGGATTAGCTGGGACTACAGGCACCCGCCACCACGCCCGGCTAATTTTTTTTTGTATTTTTAGTAGAGACGGGGTTTCACCGTGTTAGCCCGGATGGTCTCGATCTCCTGACCTCGTGATCCACCCGTCTCGGCCTCCCACAGTGCTGGGATTACAGGCATGAGCCACAGCGCCCGGCCTCCTCTTTTCAATATATTCTTTCAGTTCCCATTAGGGTCTGGGACTAGGTGAGATGGTGAAATATATGCAATTCTTTTTGCCTCCCATCCATTTTCATTTAATACTTACTTAAATTCATATATATATATAAATAAAATCTTCGATTTTTCAGATATTTTTGCCTTTATGTTACCTTTACCTATTGTGTGTTTCTTTTTTTTCCTAAAAGAAAATAGCTAACTAAGCTTTACTAAGATGTTAGGTATTTATTAAAGTGTTAGATGTTAATAGATGCCATCGCCAAAGACCCTGGGGAATTCAGTAAGAGACTGTTAGCATTGTGAATGTCTTAGGAATCCCCTAAAAATATGTATAATATAAAAAGACAGGATGAAGGAAATAATAATTAAAGACAAAGAGTACCTCAGCTGACTCTAAGAATTTAGTCACCTAGACCCAAGGCTGACCCCAAACCCCACCCACATATGCCCTTAACTTTAAGCTTAAATATATAATTTCTTGTTTAATTTTTATTACTTTGAATATACTGTTAAGCTTTTGATGAGTTTATAAGCAATTTTGAAATTGTGCATTTCTCCAGATAGATTTGCTGGCTGCAGTTCAATGACCAGCATGCAATAGAAACTCAATATATAAGTGTTGAATAGATGAATGAATTCTAGTTCTTACAGGTAAAAATCTTACATCTCATAGAAATGAACAATACTACGAATGTATCCAACAATAAGAATTTAAAAGAGAAATTAGCTCAAATAGCTTTCTTTCTTTAGAGGAACAAATAACCTATCATTTCATTTGCTTTTTGTTGCTGTTGTTTAAGGCATATTTAAAAATACTTAAATCTTAAGTATACAAGTTGGTGATATTTTTCTTATATTTATAGACCACCTATAACAAGCACACTCTAATTCCCAAAGTCTGGCGCTTGACTCTACCAGTCAATATTATTCCTTGTAGAGTAACAATTAACATCCTACATAAGGCTTTCTTGTTCTGTACTTCACTTAGGTGGTCTCATGTAGTATACTGAAACTTCCCATTTCCATCCCCAATTCTTCTGTGTGTCACTATTAGGTAGATCTCTGTCGTATGTGATGTGAATTTTGTTGTTTTAATTTCTGAAAAGTAGTCTACTACATGAATAGAGCACAACTGATTTATGATTCTGCTCTGGTAGGCCTATATTTGAGGAGTTTAGTGGTTTCAGTTTTGGTTTGGTTTGGTTTTTTATTGCTAGAGTGAATAAAGAAAGCTGTTGGCCAGGCGCGGTGGCTCACGCCTGTAATCCCAGCACTTTCGGAGGCCGAGGCGGGCGGATTACGCGGTCAGGAGATCGAGACTATCCTGGCTAACACGGTGAAACCCCGTCTCTACTAAAAATACAAAAAATTAGCCGGGAGTGGTGGAGGGTGCCTGCAGTCCCAGCTACTCGGGAGGCTGAAGCAGGAGAATCGCTTGAACCCGGGAGGTGGAGCTTGGAATGAGCAGAGATCGCGCCATTGCACTCCAGCCTGGGAGACAGAGCAAGACTCCATCTCAAAAAAAAAAAAAAGAAAAAAAAAAGAAAAGAAAAGAAAAGAAAGTTGTTTTGTACCTTTTTATAAAGATTCTTTTCTTCTTTCTTTTCTTTTTTTTTTTTTTCGAGATGGAGTCTCACTCTATCATGCAGGCTGGAGTGCAGTGGCGCTATCTCGGCTCATTGCAACCTCTGTCTGCCAGGTTCAAGCGATCCTCCTGCCTCTGCCTCCTGAGTGGCTGGGACTTCAGGCGTGCATCACCATGCCCAAATACAAAATAATTTTGTATTTTTAGTAGAACAGGGCTTCACCACGTTGGCCAGGCTGGTCTCAACTCCTTACCTCAAGTGATCCACCCACCTCAGCCTCCCAAAGTGCTGGGATTATAGGAGTGAGCCACCACACCCAGCTAAGATCCTTATTTTTAGACCTAGGCTTTCCTATACCTTTCTTATAGCTGGGATAGGAATTGCTAATTTATATCATATCTATACTTATTTTATACATTATATATCATAAATAACAGTTATATATTATATAATATATATTTAGCTTCCACAGATTCTACCAATCTCAAGATGCAGTTATTACATTTACCAGTTGTTAAATTTACTGTACCAACAGGGACGTATGAGAGTTCCAGTTGCTTCACATCCTTACCTACACTAATCACTTGCAAACTCTTTAAAAAATTGACTATTTTTGTGAATACATAATGATACCTGATTATTGTTTTAATATGGTTTTATTTGATTAATAATAATATTCAACATCTTTACATATGCTTATAGGCCATTTAGATTTTTTTTGAAGTAACTGTTGAAGTATTTTGTTCACTTTTAATTGAGCTAGTAATATTTTATTATTGATTCTCAGGTGATCTTTACATATTTGGGCACAGGATTTTTTTCAGATTTATGTATTAAAAATATTTTCATTCACTATGTAGATTTTTTCATCTTAAAATGGTGTCTATACATAAATAAAATGCAATAATATAGTAAACTCCCATTTTAAAATCTTTTTGTTTTATGTTTAATGTTTTTGGTCCTAATTTAAAAAATTTTGACTACCTCTCACATTGTTATTTAAAACTTTTGTCTGTTTTCTTTAAAACTTGTTCTATTTTTGTGATTTTTTTAAAGGCAGTTGATGATTTGAATATTACACTTTTGCTAACTCAGGCTAAAGCAACATAATCGCAAATAAACAGGTTTCAGATACTGCCTATTTAAGTCTACCAAATATGCATCTGTTTTGGGGCTTATGGTATTGTTGTAATGTATTCTTCCTAAGAAAAGCAAAGCTATTCCCTGAAAGTAAAGATATTCTGGAATATTTATTTTAAATCCTTCAGCGATCCATAAAATCAATAAATTCAAGTTCTAATAATTTGATCATACCACAGTGTACTAGAAGTATCAAATGCTTTTTCTAAGTAGTTAAATTGATTATTATACTTGTTCCTAGCTACAGAAGGCCTTTACCTGTATTGTGAGAAAATGCCACTAACGATCAGGAAAATGGAAGAGCTATTATCATATTCTGTCAAACTAAGTAGTGTAGTCCTCAAATGGAATCAATTGACCCAGTCCATGGAGAGTGTTATGTACTCTCACTAGTCTCACTGAAAGTGTGGGTCTTACTAGCTGGCTGTATAAACCTATTCTTATGTTTAGTAAACAAGTCTGAGTCTTTCTAATGCTTCTTAATTTTTTATACCATTTGAATTTATCATTATTTACTAATAACTTTTATTTAGATCTAGATATGCTAGAAATTAAGAGGTTCAAGATTCATCAAAATCTTAAATAAAAAGAGGCATATACTGTGAAAAGTAGACTAATCTTCAAAACTCAGCTGTGATTGTTACACGAATATAAGACCAGAATTTTAAGATTATTGGGAAGCATCAAGAAAAGAAATATGCAATGGAATTGAGAGTCAGCATTTAAACAAATAGACAAATAAATAAACAGAAGCCATGTGTGCCATTTCAAATTGAGACAATTTATTGCAAAGGGAACTAAGCAATTACACAGTTAGGAAAGTATAGGTAGTGGATGCCAGTAGACACGATATAGGCAATTATAACATAATGAATATTCCTAACATCTTAGATGCTATTTTTTTTCATCTTGGATTGATCTAGTGTGCCCTTGTTTGACTCAATATTTGGTTAAATTGAATGATCTTCTTATGACCTCTGATATCGTGTCCTCAGGGTAGGATTTCAGTAGAATTGAGAATCCATATCCTCCATAGCATGATGGGCGGCAGTAGCCATATCCGTTGCCTCCAAAGCCACAGCCATAACCCAGTCTGCGGAAGCTGCCACATCCACAGCCATAGCCATAGCCTAGGCCACCAAAGCCTCCACAGCCATAGCCCAGGCCTCTGTAATAGCTGCCATAGTAGCTCATGGCGTCAGGAGTGGTGAGTTGTTTGGCTGCTCAAGGCAAGATCCTAAGTGTGAATGGCAGCACGTGTAGAGGGAGGCTTATATACCCTGATAAGAGTATGTGATGAGTCACATGCGTACCTGTTTTTTTTGTTTTTTTGTTTGTTTGTTGTGTGTGTGTCTGTGTGTGTGTTTTAAATTAGTTACTTAACACAAGTCATTCATTTTTCCCTGGCACAAGGAGAGGCCCTCACAATCGTTAAATTGTTTGAGTTTGCTTTGTTGCTGAATTGGAGTGGCCCTTAAAAGTTATCACACCACTTAATGAGAAGAAATTGCTGTATCTAAAGTCTTGGCATACCAGATCCTAAATAGATTTCTTCATAGCTAGACATATTGCATATTACAAATGAAATAAAATGAAGGTTATATGTTCCTCTAAAGTCAGATGCTATTGGAGCTCATTTCTTTGTCTTCTTTATTTTGCCCAGACTGGTCTCAAGCTACTGGGCTCAAGTGACCCTCCTCCCTCGACCCCCAAAGTGCTGAGATTAGAGGCATAAGCCACCTCACCCAGCCTTCATTTCATCTTTAAATCCCTATTGTTCAGATGTAGCCAGAGAATTACTCATGCCTTTGAGAGGCATAGACTTTAGAATTTATTCATCCTTTCAGCATTTATGTATTGTGTTGTTACTACAAGGTAATTATTGCAAAGAGGCATGCAAATTCAGTTGTGAAAGCACAACATTTGGAAATTACTTATAAGACTAAAAATAACTGATCACTGTATTTGAGATCATATAAGGTTAAAAAGAACTTAAAAGCTCAAAGTTGAAATTAAGGGCACAGCTGAATTAACAATATTTGGGGTCACCTGTGGCTGTATGTGACTAAATTCTTGGAGTCAACTGAGGACTTGCACCCTCAGTTATTTCTTCTGCCTGTTATCTTGTAATATTATACCTACATTTTGGAGATTCTGAAAACATTTCTAATGTTAATGGTATCTTATTGAATTTCAAAGAGCCCTTATATTTAAATTATCTTTTTATATATCCTATACCTTAATAAACATTTAACAACTTAGTGGACTAGCATGGTATTTCCTGAGAAGAAAAAGGTGTATGTGTGTGTGTGTGTGTGTGTGTGTGTGTGTGTGTGTGTGTGTGTGTGATGAATTTGATGAATTTTTGCATATGTGCTTACACTACCTACACCAAGCACACTCTAATCTCCAAAATGTTTCCATTGTTCCATTATGGCAAATATCATTCCCTAGAGATAATCTTCTTTCCAGTTTTTAACAACAGCTTCAAAAGATCTTGTCAATAGTATTCTAAATTTACAGTCTCATCAGCAATGTAGAAATGTATAGTCTCATGAGCAATGTAAGAAAATTCTAGTTGTTCCACATATTTGATAATGCTTGTCATTTTTAGACTGTTTAATTCTGACTATTCTTGTGGGCATTTAGTAATATCCAAGTATTGATTTAATTTAGTTTTTGCCTGATGAGTAATGATACTGACCACCATTTTATATGTGTATTGGCCATTTAGATATTCTCTTTTTAAAAGTACCTGCTCATGTATTTCGTCCATTTTTAAGTGGGTTTGTTATATTCTAGCACTGATTTGTGGGAGCTTTTTACATACTTGGATACAGGTATTTTGTAAAAGTTTGGTTTTGAAAATATTTTCTGCCAACATGTGGTTTGTTTTTTCACTTTCAATTAATGTTTATATGTAAATAGATTATCTTAATATCAGATAAAATTTGTTAATATTTGTATTTTATGTTTAATGCTTTTTTGTCCTAATTGAGAAACTTTTGATTACCTCACATCTTATTCTTAATTTCTTTGTCTTGTCTTTTCAGAACCTGTTCCATTTTTATGAAGCATCCTAAATCAAAAGACAGTGGCTAACTTGAATATTAAATTCTCATTATTTCAGTTGGAAGCTATAAAATCACAAATAAACAGGTTTAATGTTATCACGCTGCCTATTTTGCTCTGTCAGATCTTTGCTCAGTTGCGGGGCTAATGATCCTATGATGCATTTTCTCTAGACCAGGCGACAGCTTTTCCTTGGAAGGAAATGTATTCTTAAGGTATTCTTTTAATTTCAACACAAATCAATACAATCTAACAACTAGAGATGTAATAATATGATGAAATTGCATTAAACTAAAAGTGGTACTTTCTCTAGATGGTTATATTAATTGTTCTTCTTTTGACATAGACAGCCTTTCTTCAGACTGTGATGCCATTGACCACTTAGGGAGTAAAAAGTTTTCATGTGAAATTCTGTCATACTCAGTAAAACTAAATAGTACAGCCCTGCAATGAAGACACTAAGATATTTTTACCGAGATCTATTTATGGCAAAACTGCAACATCTCACTTGAATTGAATGAAAGAATTGGTCATAGCATCTAGCTAAGCAAATCCATCCATAAGTTCAGTAAACAAGCCAGAGTTTTTCAAATGCGTTATGATTTCTTTTAAATATTAAAATATTGGATTTGCACTATTAACAAGTTGTTTTTACACAGATAAAGCTACATTAGAAATTGCTAAGTTCAAGATTCTACAACAGAGTGTTTACAAATGAAATTAAATAGAGGTGGTCATTTGGCCATGACAATTAAACTCTTCAGACGCACATGAACAGAGCCTTCGAGATGCTTCATGTGACAACACACAAGAAGAGAAGTAAAAAATGAATGGAACAGTGAGCATGGGGAAGTAGAATGCCTGATACTCAGTAAAACTGGGTTCTGGTCTGGGCTCTCCTTGTCATGCCATTTTTGATCCTTAGCAAATGATTTCACTTTTTGGAGATCTTTTCCCATTCAAGATGGTATTAGGGTAAGCACTGGGAAAACTTTATAGTAGTTCCCCTGCATGCTCCACAGTTCTTTTATATTATTTTCCTGGCATTTTTGAATTTGCTTGACTCCAACTAAAGACATTCGCTTTTATTTCAGTACTGAAATATATTATTCTTGAAACATAATAATATGTTATTGCATATTTTTCATGGGCAAGATACTTATCTGAAATACCAACACGAAAAGGCCCACATTTGCTTGTTAAAGGTTAAAAGAGACTTGGCTAGAGTGTATAAAGCTTCAGGTCAATCACAGCCTTAATATGAATTACTTCACAAGTGATGGCAATGATTTCTATATTTCCTAGGTGTGTTGCAAAATATAAATGTGCTGATAATATGAAAATACAACTTCGTGTCACACCACAATGGACCAGGAATAAAACATGATAGAAAGTCACAAAAGGGCTGGGCGCGGTGGCTCACGCCTGTCAACCCAGCACTTTGGGAGGTTGAGGCGGGCGGTTCACCAGGTCAGGCGATCGAGACCATCCTGGCTAACATGGTGAAACCCCTTCTCTACTAAAAATACAAAAAATTGGCCAGGCGTGGTGGCGGGTGCCTGTAATCCCAGCTACTTGGGAGGCCTTGGCAGGAGAATGGCGTGAACCTGGGAGGTGGAGCTTGCAGTGAGCCGAGATTGCACCACTGCACTCCAGCCTGGGTGACAGAGCAAGACTCCATCTCAAAAAAAAAAAAAAGTCACAAAAATAAGTTCTTTTTCAGTGTATATTCAGATATATACTTTGTTTTATCAGCACTTTTCTTACCATTAAAGGGGCCATATAAACATACATTTTGAACAAACTATAGAAATACATACTCTTCATGTTGGTCTCCAGTTAAATGTGAAAGTTTATGAAGTTGGTATTTCAAGGCTGAATTTAAACACTAACATGATCTCACTGAAAGCATTGAAATGAAAAAGATATGGTGAATATGGCGCAGTGTTCCAAAGAAAAAGCCTTCTTTTTAATTGAGTGTTATGGTTTTCATTTGTGCATGTACAGTTTACCTTTGGACAACATGGGCTTGGACTGAGTGAATCCACTCATACTGAGATTTTGTTCTACCTCTGCCACTCCTGAGATAGCAAGACCATCGTCCCCGTTCCTCCTCCTCCTCAGCCTATTCAATGTGAAGACAATGAGGATAAAGACCTTTATGATGAGTCGCTTCCACTTAACAAACAGTAAATATAAATTCTCTTCCTTATTATTTTCATAACATTTTCTTTTCTCTTATTTACTTTATTGTAAGAATACAGTATATAATGCATATAAAACACAAAGTATGTGTTAATCAACTGTTTATGTTATCAGTGAGGCTTCCAGTCAACAGTCGGCTACCAGTAGTTAGGTTTCTGGAGAGTCAAAAGTTATATGTGGATTTTCAACTGCATGGGGGAATCAGTACTGCTAACCCCTACATTATTCAAGGGTCAACTGTGACCTTTGAATGTGAATATATACATGCACACACATACATACAGCTATATAGATAGGTGCATGTATATACAAAATTATTTTGTTATATATAATATACTTCTATATGTATAGTAGTTTGTTCTTTTTTCACTGGATATAATTACAAATAACCACTTTGCCATTTTGAGTCAAGCAAAAAACAAAAGTCGTGTATTTGCTTTCAGTTAGCATAATTTATTCTAAAAGGAACAGAGAAACCCCACAGTTATAAAGGTACAAGTAAGACACATCCAGAGACATAAAGCAAAGAATTATGGAATGATAGGTATTCTTAAACCTCTTAGATGCTAACTGCTCTTGATCTTGGCTTGATCCAGGGTGACCTCGTTTGTTTGTTATTGCAGTCAGGTTTGGGTGATCTTCTTATGTCCCCTCATGTTAGGTTGTCAGGGAAGGATTTCAATAAAATCCAGAGAATCCATATCCTCCATAGCATGATGGACGGCAGCTGCGGTATCCATAGCCTCCGAAGCCAGAGCCGTATCCGTAGCCTCCGTAGCCACCGCCATAGCCCAGTCTGCGGAAGCTGCCACATCCACAGCCATAGCCATAGCCCAGGTCATCGAAGCCTCCGTAGCCGTAGCCCAGGCCTCCATAGTAGTTGCCGTAGTAGTTCATGGTGTCAGGAGTGGTGAGTTGGTATGCTGCTCAAGGCAAGATCCTGAGTGTGAACACCAGCATGTGTAGGAGGCTTATATACCCTGGTCAGAGCGTGTGATGAGTCATCTGTATACCCTCCTTTGCTATAGTTATTTGTATTACGTTTGATGTTACAACTCATTTATCTATTGTCTTCTGATGTAGGGAGATGCCCTCATTCTCATTAAAATATTTCAGCTTACTTAATGTCTTATTCAGGACACGATTGAACTTACTGCTTTGCTTTTATGAAAAGAAAGGGCTTACTGTTCAAAATATGCACATTCCAAATGCTCAACAGAATTGCCTATTACCAGGTGTATTACATCATCTACACTTTATGGTATTCCTTTTATAATGAATAATTTCCTTTGTCCGTCATCTTCCAAACTGATAACTTCATATTCAACTAAATTTACAGCTGTTTTTTCAATTTACAGATGTTAAATCTATAGTTTTAAAAAGCAAACTTATTTATCAAGGTGAGGTCTTCAGAAAGTGCCTATATGCACAATACAGGAAAACATTTGAAATCAAAATGATTTTAATGCCCTGCTGTGTACAATCGCCAAAGGACTCAAAAAAAGAGAGTGTATGCTGATTTTTAGCATTTTATTCACAATAACTTTTATACTATTTTTGACTTTGCACACCAGCTTCAGAACCTTTTGGTTGCAAAATACATAAGAATTAATTTCAGAAATTGAGGGCACAAAATCCATCTCCTACGCAGACTTATCAGAGTAGCACTTTAGTTTTCCATTCAAGTCCTAAAACTCTCCTTTATAATTGGTTTTATTCAAAGTCCTGGTAAAATTGCAGATTGCATCTGCCTCTGTTTTGCACATTCTAGTCAATTACTTTCTTTCTTTATCATTTTTCAGTAGTGTATATATGACCTCTATTTCCTTTCTCATTTCAGCTTTTATTCTTCTTCCCATTTTCTTAATGTCTATAGAAACAGCCAGGTAGAAGTTTATTGCATACATTCCCTCTGTCTTCCATCGACTTATCTCAACGCTTTTTTTTTTCTATCTCCTCTTTGTATTCACTGTAACATCTTTCCTGATTTTTTTGTTTGTTTGTTTTTTGAGACGGAGTCTCACTCTGTCGCCCAGTCTGGAGTGCAGTGGCACCATCTCGGCTTACTACAAGCTCCGCCTCCCGGGTTCACGCCATTCTCCTGCCTCAACCTCCCCAGTAGCTGGGACTACAGGCGCCCGCCACCACGCCTGGCTATTTTTTTTGGATTTTTAGTACAGACGGGGTTTCACCATGTTAGCCAGAATGGTCTTGATCTCCTGATCTCGTGATCTGCCCGCCTCGGCCCCGCAAAGTGCTAGGATTACAGGCGTGATTCTGATGTTCTTCTATGTCTATCCTGTACTCATTTATTCTGAGGTAATTTCTAACCACTGCCTACTGATCTGTTAATAGTTCATTAAAATATCATTTTTAAAGCTTTCTATTTTTTGTACTTACTAAACATCCTCAACTCCCCACCCCAGCAAAAATACTTAGAAATAATGAATAAGACCTACTATTTGATAGCACAATAGAGTGACTATAGTCAATAACAACTTAATTGTACATTTTAAAATGTCTTGAGTAAAATTAGACTGTTTGTTAACTCAACAGATAAATACTTGAGGGGATGGGTTTTTTAAAATGTACTCCAACTCCTATGGCTTTCTGAAATTTAAAAGGTATCCTAAAATAGAAATTGTCTTCAAAGTTTTCAAAATAAAGGCACCATGGTGAAATGGCACAGAATAGAGAAACATATGTAAAGAAATTTGCCCTGGGCTTCATAGAGTTCCTCAGCTGACTTTGTTGAATTAGTGAAACAGATACAACATTGAGACCACTCTTGATTAATCTCCATGCAGCACCTGTCTCTTGGCTTCGACAACTAAAAATTCATTTAATTTACATGACTTTGAACATGCTGGTGAGTTTTTGTGAGATTTATAAGTATTTTATCAAACATAAATTTCCTAAAAGGAATGCTTCAGTTCTTCTAAGCAACAGACTAGGGAATTAAAAATTGTTTATTGAAGAAATTCTAAGTAAATTGACAGTAACTGCCACAGCAACCACAATCTGTGCACAACCCTGACTACGCCTTAGTGAGCTACCTTTTTAAGACAGAAAAATAGCTCAATAAGTCTTTCCATTTATAGAGTAGGATTTAATCCAATATTTGCTACATTTCTTTTATCCAAATATTGGTTCATTCTTATTTCTCATCTGAACTTGAAACAGTCAATAAGCTGAGTTCTCAGTGAGTCCTTTTGAAGCCATAAAATCACAAATAACTCAAAATCACAAATAACTATATTAAGGATACCACAGTTTGTCCATATAAATCAGCCTGATAATGTAAGAGTGTTTAATAGCTAATTTTTGTTTGGGATGCATAAACAATGCATACATCTGAGATATAAAACCAAACAAGATATAAATGGAAAACCTCAATAGCCAAATAAGAATTAGAATGTTTTAAAGAAATAGACTATGTGATAATTTTCCACAAGACCAATTAATGATCGTAAGCAGTAAATGATTAATACTAAAATAAAATATATAAATCTACATATTTTATATACAAAATATATAGAACAAATATTTTGTCCTTTTTTCGAAGTGAACAAATAGTAAAATGAAAGCATCCATTGTAAAATGAAGACATATATTCATTTGTAGTGATATTGGTTTTATGCTGAAAGAGATTGTTAGACTCAAAGTCGATTAGACCCAAAGTTGATAGAACAATGATGTTTTATATTTTCTCCTTCTTTTCACTTTTAGGAAGTTTACTTTGGAATATATGCTTAATAACTTTATGATAATGGATAAGGAAGAAGAAAATATGTTCTTACTTGGGATAAGTAGTAACTTTTACCTGGAAAGAAAGAAAGCTTTTGTTATAAATTCCAAAGACTTCGTTTAACTCAGACACAAACTAATAATATATAAAAATGTAAGTTACAAAAATATGTTAATATTGAATTATACCAGCAATGCCACAAGTGCTTTTTCTCATTATAATTATACTGATCTTTCTTTTAATTGCAAATTTTTAATACTTTTACTCAGGCTGGGAGGATATTTACCTGTATGAGAATAGAGCAGTTTCATCTGAAATTCAGTTATAGGGTCAAAATTCCTTTAATGAAATTACCAAAATTTATCTACCTTGCCCTCCCCTGTGAAGGTACAGCATCTAAAGAGAGAAATAACAAGATTTGTCTGAGTTGTTTGTTCATATTTCATCTTTACATTGCATAAACAAACCCAAGTATTTCTCATAAAAATAAATAATCTTGAGAATTGAGCTTATTTGTTCTGTTTTTGCCTTCAAGTAAAGCTAAGTTAGCAATTCAGAAATGTATTATATATAACAAAATAAAAGTTAACAAGAAAAATTTTAAAAACAACAGCAACAAAACATAGTTAATCTAAGAGATGAAATTAGTCTCCATATACTCTGCTCCAAAATTGAAACCATCCACAGTATTATTACAAGAACTTTCCAGATGGCATTCAGATTTGGAATTATGCAGTGAAAGAGACTCAGAATGATGGACTAGAGCATTAGGTTCAGGTGAACTGCTTTCTGGTCTTGATTCTGACACTTAGATTTTAACTCTAGGCATCACTTAACTGTTCGGCATTTCCTCACCTGTACTATAGGGGGCAGCACGGTACAATCTGTAATAATCTAACGTTTGGTCCAGCTCTCACTTCTTTTGTCCTTGTATTATTGAATTTCCCCAGGAAGGGGTCCAGTTTCAGTTTCTGCAAATGGCTAGCCAGTTTTCCAAGCATCATTTATTAAATAGGGAATCCTTTCCCCATTGCTTGTTTTTGTCAGGTTTGTTGAAGATCAGATGGTTGTAGATGTGTGGTGTTATTTCTGAGGTCTGGGTTTTGTTCTATTAGTGTGTATATCTGTTTTGGTACCAGTACCATGCTATTTTGGTTGCTGTAGCCTTGTAGTATAGTTTAAAGTCAGGTAGCGTGATGTCTCCAGCTTTGTTCTTTTTGCTTAGGATTGTCTTAGCTATGCAGGCTCATTTCTGGTTCCATATGAAGCTTAAAGTAGTTTTTTCCAATTCTGCTGAGAAAGTCAATGGTAGCTTGATGGGAATAGCATTGAATCTATAAGTTACTTTGGGCAGTATGGCTATTTTCATGATATTGATACTTCCTATCATGAGCATGGAATGTTTTTCCATTTCTTTGTGTCCTCTCTTGTTTCCTTGAGTACTGGTTTGTAGTTTTCCTTGAAGAGGTCCTTCACGTCCCTTGTAAGTTGTAATCCTAGCTATTTTCTTCATTTTGTAGCAGTTGTGAATGGGATTTCATTTACGATTTGGCTCTCTGCTTGTCTGTTGTTGGTGTATAGGAATGCTTGTGATTTTTGCACAATGATTTTCGATCTTGAGACTTTGCTAAAGTTGTTTATCAGCTTAAGGAGTTTTGGGGCTGAGACGATGGGGTTTTCTAAATACAGAATCATGTCATTTGCAAAGAGAGACAATTTGACTTCCTCTATTCCTATTTAAGTAGCCTTTATTTCTTTATCTTGCCTGATTGCCCTGGCCAGAACTTCCAATACTATGTCAAATAGGAGCAGTGAGAGAGGGCATCCTTGTTTTGTGCTGGTTTTCAAAGGGAATTCTTCCAGCTTTTGTCCATTCAGTATGATATTGGCTATGGGTATCTCACAAATAGCTCTTATTATTTTGAGATATGTTCCATCAATACCTAGTTTGTTAAGAGTTTTTAACATGAAGGGATGTTGAATTTTATCGAAGACTTTTTCTACATCTATTGAGATAATCATGTGGTTTTTGTCATTGGTTCTGTTTATGTGACAGATTACGTTTATTGACTTGCATATGGTGAACCAGCCTTGCATCCCATGGATGAAGCCGACTTGATCATGGTGGATAAGCTTTTTGATGTGCTGCTAGATTCAGTTTGCCAGTATTTTGTTGAGGATTTTTGCATCGATGTTCATCAGGGATAATGGCCTGAAATTTTTTTTTTTTGTTATGTCTCTGCCAGGTTTGGTATCGGGATGCTGCTGGCCTCATAAAATGAGTTATGGAGGAGTCTTTCTTTTTCTATTGTTTGGAATAATTTCAGAAGGAATGGAACCAGCTCTTCTCTGTACCTCTTGTAGAATTTGGCTGTGAATCCATCTGGTTCTGGGCTTTTTTTGGTTGGTAGACTATTAATTACTGCCGCAATTTCAGAAGTTGTTATTGGTCTTTTCAGGGATTTAACTTCTTCCTAGTTAAGTTTTGAGAGCATGTGTGTGTATAGGAATATATCCATTTCTTCTAGATTTTTTAGTTTATTTGTGTAGAGGTTTTTATTGTATTCTCTGATTGCAGTTTGTATTTATGTGAGATCAGTGGTGATATCCCCTTTATCATTTTTTATTGTGTCGATTTGATTCTTCTCTCTTTTCTTCTTTATTAGTCTAGCTAGTGGAATATCTAATTTGTTAATTTTTTTTCAAAAAACCAGCTCCTGGATTCATTGATTTTTTTCATGGGATTTTTGTGTCTCTATCTCCTTCAGTTCTGCTCTGATCTTAGTTATTTCTTGTCTTCTGGTAGCTTTTAAATTGGTTTGCTCTTGCTTCTAAGTTATTTGCCTAGCAGGAAACATAGGCAATACCATTCAGGACAGAGACATGGGCAAAAACTTCATGACTAAAACACCAAAAGCAATTGCAACCAAAGCCAAACTTGACAAACGGGGTATAGTTAAACTAAAGAGTTTCCTCACAGCAAAAGAAACTAGAATCAGAGTGAACAGGCAGTGGGAGAAATTTTTTGCAGTCTACCCATCTGACAAATGTCTAATATCCATAATCTACAAGTAACTTAAACAAATTTACGAGAAAAAAACAAACAACCCCATCAAGAAGTGGGCAAAGGATATGAACAGACACTTCTCCAAAGAAGACATTTATGCGGCCAACAAACATATGAAAAAAAGCTCATCATCACTTATCATTAGAGAAATGCGTATAAAAATCATTATGAGATACCACCTCCCACCTGTCAAAATGGCGATTATTAAAAAATCAGGAAACAATAGATGCTGGCGAGAGTGTGGAGAAATAGGAACACTTTCACACTGTTGGTGGGAGTGTAAATTATTTCAACCATTGTGGAGAACAGTGTGGTGATTCCTGAAGGATCTAGAACCAGTAATACCATTTGACCCAGCAACCCCATTACTGGGTGTATACCCAAAGGATTATAAATCATTCTACTATAAAGACACATGCACACGTATGTTTATTGCAGCACTACTTAATAGCAAAGACTTGGAACCAATCCAAATGCCCATCAATGATAGACTGGATGAAGAAAATGTGGTACATATAAACCATAGAATATTATGCAGCCATAAAAAATAATGAGATCATGTCCTTTCCAGCGACATGGATGAAGCCGAAAGCCATTATTCTCAGCAAACTAACACAGGAGCAGAAAACCAAACACTGCATTGTTCTCACTCACAAGTGGGGGTTGAACAATGAGAACACATGGACACAGGGAGGGAAGCAACACACACGGGGGCCTGTCAGGGGGTGGGAGGAAAGGGGAGGGATAGCATTAGGACAAATACCTAATGCATGTGGGATTTAAGACCTAGATGACAGGTTGATAGGTGCCACAAACCACTATGGCATATGTATACCTATGTTATAATCCTGCACATTCTGCACATATATCCTGGAACTTAAAGTAAAATTTTTAAAAAAAAGAAAGAATTGCTTTCTGGTGAATGGTAATTGATTTAAAATCTACTTTACCAAAACAAAACAAAACAATAAGTCTTTTGGATGAATGATGACTGTCATCAATTAAAGCTGCAAAGTGCAGAGGGACCCATTTCTTGATTATATCCAGCCATTTATTTTCCATTTGCAATTGTAAAAAGCTTTAGTGTCATGAGGATGATGATGATTGTAAAAAGAAAGCATATCATTGAATGCCACAGAGGAACTGTGACATAAAAAAACTAATTAAAACAATTATTTTTAATACTACATATATTTTAATCACCTAATTTGAAAAACTTTTAGTAACTTTATAACACAACCATTTTCATGATAATTCTAAGTTAAATGACAGGCAATAGAGAATAGATCAAAGAAGATTATATAGAATCAAGAAAGCCATGAAACATATATTTTCTTTCCTGGAAGCTTAGAGAAATATTTTGTTCTAGCACTCTTCCTTTCTTACCACAAAAGGGCTGAATAAGCAACACATTTTGAAAGAAGAAATGGATTACTTATATATTTGGACTGCATTGATAAATATAATTGTATAGAATTAAAACCATGTAAATCCCTTTTATTTATTACCATAAACATATAGTTCCAAAATGTTGGAGTTGAATTTTTTATTGTTGTTGAGTTTAAATCTAAAAATTATCTAATTAAAAGCTAGGAAATAAAAATCACTTATATTTGGCCAGGCATGGTGGCTCACACCTTTAATCCCAGCACTTTTGGAGGCCGAAGTGGGTGGATCAGTTGAGGCCAGGAGCTCAAGACCAGCCTGGCTAACATGGTGAAACCCCATCTCTACAGCAAAAATACAAAAATTAGCCAACTGTGGTGGCACATGCCTGTAGTCCCAGCTACTAGGAAGGCTGAGGCATGAGAATTGCTTGAAACTTGAAGGCGGGGGCTGCAGTGAGCTGAGATCGCACCACTGCACTCTGTAGCCTGGACAACAGAGTGACACTCTCCAAAAAAATTACATATATTCAAGGAATCATCATTCAACTCAGTCTAAAGTTACTGTCCTTTTCATATATCTATCATTGTGTGAAATAAATATTTAATACACAGATAGTGTTTTAGTTTTCACATTGAAAGTTGAGTAGTATTTATACTTAGTAACATATATAATTGAGCCAAATGAATTAAACAAAAGCTATATTTGCTGTGTCTCGAGAGACTTCATTAAAGAAATCCAGGAGAAAAGATGGAGACAAACTTGTACAATTATAAATGTACTGAAAGTCTTAGGTGCTAATTAATTTAAACAAACAGACTTGGCATAATTTTGAAAGGTAGGTCCAATGATTGAAATCAGGCTTATCAAGTTCACTCAGGGAATCAGATGTTAGATTGATAAGGAAGAATTTTAATAGAAGCTAAAGAATCCATGTCTTCCCTAACAGGATGAGTGGCTGCAGCCGTATCTATAGCCTCCATTGCCACAGCTATACCCTGGTTTACAGTGCTACCACATCTACAGCCATAGCCACATCCCAGACCACCAAAGCCTCCACAGCCTTAGCCCAGACCTCTGTAATAGTTACCTTAGTAATTCACGAGGTTAGGAGTTAAAGGCTTGGTTTGCTATTGATGGTGTGCTTTCTAAGTATGAATCTCCACACCTGTGCAGAGGTTTTATATCCTATGTTATGGATGTAGTAAATTATTCAGATTTACCTCATTTTCATTACTCAGGAGAAATTACATGAAACACATATTACTGGCTCTCTGTTTTGTTTAGCATGCATGGAATTACTTTCCATTGCAATATAACTTTTAAATTAATTTCTAGTTCAATTATGATTTCCCTGATTAAATTGTATCTATAATGAGAAATGTTATTTGCAATTTCAAAGACTATTCTTACATCAGGACACACATAATCTCCACCTAATGTAGGCTTCCGAGCATCTCTATAATCCAGTTGAGCAGCTGTATGACATCGTCATCAAGGTGATACTTCTTTCCTGCATATGCTTTCTGTAATTTCTCATGTTCATGACTATGCCTTATCATTTGAGATAAGCAGGGCCCTAATTTTACCTTAAATCCATGCCTCTTTCAAAACTGTAATCACTTAAATGTCAGGTAGTTATAATATTAATATACAAACAAATTTTACTTGACTTCTGTGCAGTTTGAGTCCACATGGAAGCCATCTTGTTAAAAGTGTCTCTCATGTTTTTTATACCAGATTAAATATATATTTTTCTTTGTTAAGGGTTTACACATGATACCAATGGGCATTTGATATTCCACAGCCTGGTATCCACATTTCATTTTTGAGAACATACTGTATAATAACTTGGGATGTATTTGAAGTTTTCCCGGGAAGAGATCACCACGCAGCATTAAGATAATTAGGGTGATATAAAAAGTCACAAAACATTTCATGTTCTGACTTTATTCTATTATCTCAATTTTGGATTCTATTGAGATATATCAAAATTCTAGTTAGAAGCACAATTCCAAGTCAACCAAAACATTAGTGCTGGCCCTACCCCGGGCAAGACTAATACAACAGAATATAAACTAGCCTGATTTTCTAAAGTCTTTACTAATGCCAAATAAGATAGGAATTAAATGTTTTCTACTGCTTTCTGCAGCAAAATACACTCAAACTGCATGGAAGGAGTCAACAAATTCCTCAAAATAAAAGTTAACTAAAACTAACACAAGTAGAAATAAAGAATTGTAAAGTGCTACATCTCTTTAAAAAATTAAATTTATGTAAAAACAAGAAAGGCAGGCCAGGTATGGTGGCTTGCCTCTGTAATCACAGCACTTTGGGAGGCCAAGGCAGGTGGATCACTTGAGGTCCAGAGTCTGAGACCAGCCTGACCAACATGGTGAAACCTGTCTCTACTAAAACATACAAAAATTAGCTGAGTGCGGTGGCACACATCTGTAAACCCAGCTATGCGGGAGGCTGAGGTAGAAGAATGGGAAATAATGCCCCTGGGAGGCAGAGGTTTCAGTGAGCCATGATCAGGCCACTGAGCTCCAGCCTGGGTGACAGAGCGAGTGAGATACCATCTCAAAAAATAAAAATAAAAATAAAAAAGAAAGGCAGACTTCTAACAAAGAAAACTGCAGGTCAACATGGTGAATTCTAGCAACGGTTTTAAAAGAAATAGTAGTATTTTATACAGTTTTTTCCTCAATCTACAAATTCAAGATGCAATAATAAATGAAAAATTGGAAAATAAAATGCAAAAATATTAGCAATATTTTCAGACAACATAAAATACAGGTAAAAGTAACAAAGACATATTCCTTGATAATTACAAATTAATGCTTGAAGAAATTCATAAGAACTGTTAAAATGAGGGTATATCATGTCTACGTATTGACAACAGACTAAATATTCCCAAATTATATATTTAGCAAAATCATAATCAAACTGCCTGTATATTTACAAAATATTCTAAAATGTATAAAGAAATCCAAAGGACATAGAATACACAATGCAATCTTTAAAAAATAACAAAGTTTGACAACTTATATTAACTGATGTCAAGACTGATTATACTAGAATCATCAAGAGAGTGCAGTATTGATGTGAGGATACATAAATAGATCGATGGGAAAAATTAGAGTCTAGAAATAGACCTTTTTTCTACAAAGACTCTAAAGCAAAAAAAAAGACTCCATCAAATGGTGCTGAAACAATGGAATATTAACATGGAACAAGGAAATAAATAGCCTTAATAACTACTTAATACTATACACAGAAATTAATTTAAAATGTTTTATAGATCTAAGCATGATAGCTAAACTACTAAAGCTTCTAGAATTTTATAGGACAGTGAAGGCACTGGCTATGAAATAAAACATAGTGAAATTAATTTTATTAACAGTAAACAGATTAGGAGAATCAAAAACTAAGAATATATACATTGATATAGATATAGATACAAATATCACCTGTAAAGATCTGCTACTACCTAAATGTCAACAGAAAAGCATCCCAATGATTTGGGCTCATTGAAAGCAAGATGTGCAAATAGCCAATAAATAAAAAGTGTTAACATCATTAGGTATCAGAATTATTAGGAAAATGTGAATTAAAACCACATTTTTAATTCCAAGCACGGTGGCTCACGCCTGTGATCCCAGCGCTTTGGGAGGCCGAGGCGGGAAGATCAGATGGTCAGGAGTTCAAGACCAGCTTGGCCAACGTGGTAAAACCCTGTCTCTACCAAAAAAAAAAAAAAAAAAAAATTAGCCAGGCATGGTGGCGTGTGCCTGTAATCCCAGCTACTTGGGAGGCAGGAGAATTGCTTGAACCTGGGATGCGGAGATTGCAGTGAGCTGAGAACGCAACAGTGCACTCCAGCCTGGGCAACAGTGTAAGACTCTTGTCACACTCACACAATAACAAAAAAAGAACCACAGTTGGATAACACTACTCACACATTAGAAGTGCTAAAATGAAAAACAAAGTATATTTTTTCTAATTAATAAGCTATGATTTAGATTAATCGTGATTTATATAAAATTTCCCAACAGGTTAATTTCAAAATGTTTCTAACATGCATTAGTGCAATTTTCAACTCATTTACCATGGTAATGCCTGAATTGAAATTATGACTTTCTGTTAGATTTCCAAAAGAGTAAATCCAAGGTTTTGATACATAGCATAGTACTTCAATACATTCTGTTAACATGCTTCATTTAAAGCAATAAAACAGTGAAAAATAACAAGAGTCCATGGAAAAGGAAAGCAGTCCCCAAAAGTGCTGGCTAATGAGCAGATTACATTATCCTCACCCTACGAATGACTCACAAGGCAGCTAGTCAAAACAGAATCAATAGTAGGGAATGTGTGATAGGGTTAGTAGACTCTGGTTTTGTGATATAATATGAAGCTTCACATAGCTCCTTGATATAAATTTCCCTTAAGTCATTCAGAATAATGGATGTAACCAGAGGCCAAGTGACCAAATAAAGTTGTGATCAAGACTATTTATTATTCCAATCCAGGGACTTTAGCACCTAAATATTATTGCCATAAATTAGAGTTCACACCAACATAAATTTTGATTAAGAACTCAAAGTCATTTAAGTCATATTTATTGTCAAATAAGTACCTTCAGTGAAGATTGATAAGCCTCCTTGGGACTGGAAATCCGGGAGAAGGAGACTAGCAACTGGGAGAGACCAGTTATGTCTCTCCTTCAAACTCAATCTATGATATTTGTTTTTTGTTCATTTAACAATAGGAATAAATGGTATCCTTGAGAAGAAAAACAGTTGCCTTCATTTCAAATATCATAAAATAGGAGAAACTTATTAAGATATATGACTAAAGTTAAGACCATATTGCAATGTCACATTAAACACATCTATTGGAAAATAATTATAGAGGCATTTCCCAATGTAAAATACACCACAGAAAATCCAGATGAAAAATTAGTACCTTTGAGAATGAAAGGAGAAATAACTGTTGTAGGAAAATATCCAGTATTTATAGAGTAAATACAAATTGCTATTGAACAGCTAGATATACACAGACAGCTCTTGAATCTTATGCCAACAAGCTTGTAAAGCCAGTAATTCATCTTCCCTGCCTGCTATGAGCGGGGGATATATTTGAAAGGACACAACATTTGAAGAGTTGTATTTTGTTATTGGATCATTTTCCCAAGAATCTTAGGTCCCAACTCCGAGTAGAAAGCAGAGGCCCAGTATCTTCCATAACAATCTGGGTGGCAGCATTGTATCCATAACCACCATACCCAGAGTCATATCCATATCCTGCTCTGCAGAATCTGCCACATCCACAGACATTGCAATAGCACTGGGCATCAAAGTCACCAAAGCCAGACCCCAGCCTCCAACATCGATGCCAGAATAGCCCGTTGTTTAGAGTTGAAGTCTGATATTAAAAGATACTTAAACATCTTTAGTGATAGTGTGACAAGTCTTAGATACTCTCTATATAACATTTTTACCAAAGTGTACACATGAAACAATCTCAGTGATTTGTTTCTCCTTATTTAAGGAGGAGGCCTCATGTCTATTAAACCCTTGGCTTGCTTTGGCAGAACAATTAATACTTCCCAACTAGTGCTCTTAAATTTTATTACTATTTATAACATACTCATTGTGAGTTCAGATGTTGTATTTTTCATGTCTTTGAGGGGCGCATGATATCATGCTTTAAAATGTTATTTTGAATTTTTTTTCTCTGATGGAATATCTTAAGCATGTATGAAAAAGCAGATGGCTAGAATAGCAAGCTGTGGTAACTCTGAATTTACGTACTGGTATATTTTGTGCTCACAGCACAAATGATATTGTGATTTTACTTTTAGAAAAAAAATTCCTTAGTGTCAATTTAACACCCATTTCAAACTCATTCGTCTTCTCTACCTTTCTTCATTGATTATATCATGTTTTGTTGTGGGTATTTGAGACATGTCAGCATCTACTACTTCTCTCTAAACACCAGATAAGTAGATCTAGTAGAGTGTGTATTGGATTTCTCATTTATGCACAGACTGCCTACAACCTAAAGTATGTATTCAATATGTCTTTCTGAGTGAATGAATGTGATTTATTTGATTTGATTATATAGAGAATTCCCCTCCCTCTTATCCACAGGGTATATGTTCCAAGATCCCCAGTGGATGCCTGAAATCACAGATAATACTGAAATCTATATACCCTATGTTTCTTTTCCTATACATGCAAACTTATGATAAAGTTTAATTGATAAATTAGGCATAGTGAGAGATTAACAACAATAACTAACAATAAAATAGAACAATTGTAGCAATATGCCAGCATCAGGATTCTTGCACTTTGGGGATATTATGAAGTAAAGTAAGAGTCACTTGAATGCAAGCACTGTGATACGCCCACAGTTGGTCTCTTCATTGAAAGAGCTCTTGAGTAACTAACAGGCAGGGAGTGTCTACAGCCTGGATCCCCTGGACAGAGGATTCCTGTCCTGGGCTGGATGGAGCAGGACTGCACAAGATTTCATCATGCTACTTAGATTGGCAGGCAATTTAAAACTTATGAATTGTTTATTTCTGTGATTTCCCATTTAATATTTTCAGCTATAGTTGATGTCAAGTAACTGAAACCAAAGAAGGCAAAACTGCAGATAAAGAGGGACACCTGTTCACAATTCTACATCACCATGACAATGTATTTGGCACTCTGAGAGGTAGGGTGTATTAATTGGTTTTCATGCTGCCAATAAACACATACCCGAGGCTGGGCAATTTACAAAAGAAAGAGGTTTAATGGACTTAACAGTTCTACGTGGCTGGGGAGGTCTCACAAACATGGCAGAAGGTAAAAGGCACATCTCACATGGCAGCAGATCAGAAAAGAAAGCTGGTGCAGGGAAATTCCCCTTTTTAAAACGTTCAGATCTCCTGAGACTTATTCACTATCACAAGAACAGCTCAGGAAAGACCTGCCCCCATGATTCAATTACCTCCCACCAGGTCCCTCCCACAACACATGGGATTTCAAGATGAGATTTGGGTGGGGACACAGCCAAATCATATCACAGGGGTTTCTGCTTTTCATCTAGAAGTTCACTAATGCTCTGCTTTGGAAAAGTCTAACTTTCTTTCTCTGATGCTTTGATATGGTTTGGCTGTGTCTCCACCCAAATCTTATTTTGAATTGTAGCTCCCATAATTCCCATGTTTCGTGGCAGAGACCAAGTAGGAGGTAATTGAATCATGGGGGTGGGCCTTTCCCATGCTGTTCACGTGGTAGTGAATAAGTCTCATGAGATCTGATGGTTTTATGAAAGGAAGTTCCCCTGCACAAGCTCTCTTGCCTGCCGCCACGTAAGACATCCGTTTGCTCTTCCTTCATCTTCCGCCATGATTTTGAGGTCTCCCCAGCCATGTGGAACTGTGAATCCATTAAACCTCTTTCCTTTGTAAATAACACAGTCTTGGGTATGTCTTTACTGACAGCATGAGAATGGACTAATACACATTGCTAGATTAGTAAGCCTTCGTCCAAATGCAAGAGCTTATGTCTTCTTTCCTACTCTTTAAGCTTCTAACTTCCTAAGGAAGAACGTTTTCTTTAACAAAGTTTCTCTAACTCTGCTAAGAATGCACCAAAACTGGAATTCTTTTAGTGCCACAATTTTTCTATTTACCCTCATTTAACACTGAAAAGAAGGATCACCTGAAACCTGAAGTGTATTTGTAAGAGTCAATATTAATATTACTTGTATTCCAAACACATGAAATGTTTAGCACTCTTAATCTGTAACTCTTTTGAAAAATTAAGTTCTATCAAATAAGCAAAGTCCAAATATTCCTTGGAATATCTTGCCTCAATCACTTGAAAGAGTGATGTCCAAGGAAGTAACTCTGGGGGAAAAAAAAATCCCACTCCAAATGGGAAATTTAATTTTCTAATTGGGAATGTTCTTTATTTTTCATCAGTGGGGAGAGGGGTGAACTTATGATTTCATTAAAAGCTTTAATGAAACATCACTACAGAGATGGAATCAATAACTACATATTAGTAATTTAAGGGTTCTGAGATAAATATGAGTTTTGACTATAGGATCCACAATCATGCTGTTCACTCTGTTGCGACTGCAGCTGTTGCCACTCCTAGTTCTTGTGGAATTTTCCAATTAGGGTTATGTAGGCTTTTACAGAATCCAAAAAGAACTTACTAGAAAACCCCTTAGATTAAAGGATCTAGAAATTGAGCTTTCTGTTTCTAGGGTCAAGAAACATGAACAAATTTTTCAGTAGAAGTCAAATCCACATCTCCTGAAGCCAGAACAATAGCCAAGACCTCCTTAGCTAGAGCCTAAGCATCAGATGCTCCCACACTACAGCAAGTACCAGAGTCCAGGCCTTTCTTGCCTAAGCCCAGGCCTCCAAAGAAAGTAGTCCATAGTGTCACAAGATCTGTGAGTGTGGTTGAAGGTTGTCTAAGTTCCTCTGCATGTGAACTAACACCTGCAGAGTTGCTTTGATAGTCCCTCAGTGGTAGATGTGGCAAACCACACTAATTTACTTCAAGTTTATTCAAGACTGTTGTAATATAGAAATCCAATTAGACTATTTTCTTAATTAGAAGAGACTCAAATAAGGAAGCTTAAATTTTTAATTTAATTTTCCTACTGAGCTTGCTTTCCACCAAACCTATTATGCCCATAATGAGTAAAGTTGATGGACTTTGCAAAGTCAACCATGACTTAATTCTCCAGGAAATTCCACGTGAGTCTTCAGGGCATCAGGTAGCCCTCTAATTACATCACCTGAGGTGTGGCTCCCAATTCAGTTTATTTCCTTGACCACTTATTTTTCTCTAGATCAAATGAAGTGCATTATTTCTCTCTTTTCAATTTCTAAGACACATCTGAGGTCTATTATTCCTTAAAGTTGCAATGCTATATAATGTGCTTCATTGATATGGCATTTAATGTAACAAGTTTTCTGTTGTTCAAATTTTGTAAAACAGCTCATGTTGCATTTTAACATTATGTCCTGAATCTTGTTTTAATCTTTGGGTAAAAGTATTTTACGGGTGGGAATTTTGAGCTTCAAATTCTAGTAGGCAAGCAATAAGACTAGTATTTATTTAATATTTATGATTTATGTTCGAGTAAAATCAAGAAATAGCACATTTTCATATTCTTCTGTCAATGATACTTCCATTTCTTATATTAAAGAGTAGTAAAAAAGTAAATTGTTTCTTCCAAAATATTCTTTAGATTTACAAGTTTAAAACACTTTTATAATTTTGCTATGTTTTATTTGGTTATTGAAGCAAAATATACTTTATTATTTCATTTATAGTTTATTTACTAAAAGATATTATTTTCTTCCTCCCTTTTTCTATTCTCCCTTCTTTCTTCCATCCTTTCTCTCAACTTTGTTCTAATGCCATTTACATACACATGTACATACATATACACACATATATATATGTATATATATACAATAAAAGGTGAATCATACCTGGTTCTTCTGTTACAGAGTTTACTATTATTAAAATCAGTAGGAAATAAAGTATGTGTGTTATAATTCAATATTGTCAAAGTTGTGGTAGAATCTAAAAATCTAAATATTTAAGAGAGCTGAAGGTGGAGCAGCTAGGGTGCCCAGCCATCCTGGTTTTGCTGGGACTGTGCCAGTTTGAGCACCGGCTATATCAAGTGCTGGAAAGATTTTCAGCCCAAGTAAACTGGGATGATTAGTCACCCAAGAAGTAACTCATACATGAGGCAGTCAACCCAGAAAACTTCCTATGAACCCAATTATGAATGCATTAGATCTTTCAGGAAGAATGAATAAGAATGTAACAGGTTGGGGGTAAAAAAGGAAAAATGACCTTTCATAATAAGAGAAAAAGTAAGTGTCATACTGTGGAGCCATGAAAGTATGTAGAATAGAGTTAAATAATGATAGAATACAGAGTGTGTGAGAAATTAGCATAAGATGAGGCAAAAAAAAAGGTCAGATTTTTAAAAATTTGTATGTCCATTAATTTTTTCTAATTTTATCATCTAGGTTTGAAGTCAGCAAACTATAGCCAGAGAGTCAAATCCTGCCAGTCCCTATAATTATGAATACAGTTTTATTGAAACACAGGCATGCTCTTTATTTGTACATCATCTATGACTGCTTTCTTACTACAACAGTATAATTGAATAGTTTTGCTGGAGAATATTTGGCCAGAAATTCTAAAACATTTACTGCCCGGCCCTTTACAGAAAAAGTTTGCCAGACTCTTACTGCAGGTAATCAGAAAGCCCTCAGAGGTATCCTAGGAGAAGTACATAATCAATCTTACCAAGTCTTCTTTATTTAAGTAAAGAAACTTCTAATATCCCAGCAGGTCATCTACTCAATATGTAATTAATCAGAATATGAATTACTTGACTTTTTATCCTTTAAGTGAGATTCATCCTTGAAATAACTTATTGTCTTCAATGTTTCCACTTTGTAACTCTTTTCATACCTCTGTAAAATGCTTAAAAGAGAGGTCAGAGTTGGTAGGTAATGGGAAAAATAAGTAGCCTCGATATATTAAAAGAGATTTGGCAATTTGTTTGTTTGTATAGGCCTAGGGGAAATAGAGGTAATGTAATAATATACCCAAGTCTGTAATATGGAACCAACATGAATGAGAACTCATGTGAACAAAGGAAATTTTGGGAAAAAAGCATCTCAATAGTTTTTCAAAATTAACTGTTGTGGAAAAAAGCCTCTGAGTATCCAAACCCAGTGTGAGTTCTATTTTATTCCCCAAAGGAGCAACTGAGTCCATCTGTATAAAATGACCCACTGTGAGTTTCTGTGCTTTTGGGGGCATGGCTTAAGAAGGAGCTCATTTTGAAGACAGAATTTGGAAACAAATTTTTAGCAAACAGGAAAGATGAAGAATTTAACGTGTATCAGATATTTTCACTTGACATTTATCAGGAAAATCTCCTTACTTTAACTCACAGTGAACACAAAAATGAGAGGAACAACGAATTATTCCTTGTGACATGGAAATCTTCCTTTGAATCAGTTAAGAATAGCAGTGAAGGGCTGGGCGCGGTGGCTCACGCCTGTAATCCCAGCACTTTGGGAGGCGGAGGCTGGCGGATCACGAGGTCAGGAGATCGAGGCCATCCTGGCTAACATGGTGAAACCCTGTCTCTACTAAAAAATACAAAAAATTAGCCAGGTGTGGCGGCAGGCGCCTGTAGTCCCAGCTACTCGGGAGGCTGAGGCAGGAGAATGGCATGAACCCGGGAGGCAGAGCTTGCAGTGAGCCGAGATCGCACCACTGCATTTCAGCCTGGGCGACACGGAGAGAATCCAACTCAAAAAAAAAAAAAAAAAAAAAAAGAATAACAGTGAAATTAAAGACCATTTGATTTTCTAATCATCTCCAGTATACACATTGAGATTGGTATGGGCATAGTCTATGTAACCATCTGAATTGAATTTTTCAGAGAAGCCTAAATTATAAATATTATGTATACCTCATTTGAGGCCTGATTAAAGAATAATATAGCCACATGATGACTCTCTAAAGAAAATTCTATAGATAGCACAGGATGCAAAAGAAAAAACTCCCTTTCTTCCAGTTGATTATAATTTAGTAAGGGAGATACATGAGTATAACCTCATCTAATGAAGGAAAACTGTAATAAGTGTTCTTGAAAAAGCAGTGGATTCAAACAGAAGGAAATAATTAATTCAATCAACAAATGGCTACAGGAGGACTCATGAAATAGCTAGGACTTGAAACTCCCCTCATTTGCAAAGTTTCTAAGGTCAACATTCCACCTATTAAGGGAGATTATCTCACATTTCACAAACAGATACTTTTGTTACATCTATATTCCATCCTGAGATTCTCATAACTTCCTAAACATTTGTGAATGTTTTTGTAAGTGGTATTTTTTCCTCTTAATTTCAAATGTCAATTGTTTATTGAGGTTAATGGCAAATATATATGCACACATTTGTATGAAAGCAATTGACTTTAATATATGGGACTTGTATCCTGTAATTTTTCTCTGCTCACTTACTACTCTCAAGAGTTTCTTCTGTAGATTATTTTGGGTTAGATATACTAGACAATCAGATCATCTGTAAGTAAAGACAGTTTTATATCTTCCTTTCTGATCTGTATATCTTACTGCAGTAGCTAAAACCACCAACATGATGTTGAATTAGAATGATAAGAAAGGACATACTTGCTTTGTTCACATCTTAAAGATGAAGTATGTAGTTTCTCCTGATTAATTAGCTGTAGTTTTTTTAACTTTATCAAGTTGAAGAAGTTATCCTTAATTCTCAGTTTGAGAAAAGTTTTTGACATAATAGGGAATCATATCTTTAAACAACTTTTCTGCATCTGCTGATATAATCTAATTTTTTCCCTTTTAGCTTGTTAATATGGTGGGTCACATTTTCAAATATTGAATCAGGCTTGCATGCATAAGTGAATCCTATCTGGTCATAAGATTATTTTTAAAGATTGTTAAATTAGAGTTGCCATTATTTGATTGGGATTTTTACAACAAATATCAGAGACAATGTTCTGTAATTTTCTTTTTTGCTAACGTCTTTGATTTTGATAATGGAACAATATTGTCCTAATAGAATAAATTTGTAGGTGTTCTCTTTGCTTCTATTTTCTGGAAGTCTGGAAGTCATTATGAAGAATTGGTATTTTTTTGTTGTTGTTGTTGTATGTTTTGTAGAATTCCCAGTGAAATCAGGGAGGTACTGGACCAAGTGCTTATTTTCAGAAGGTTTTCAATTATTAGTTGAGTTACATATATATATATATATACACACACACACACATATATATATATATACATATATATATATAATCTATTCCTTTCATGTGAGTTTTGGTAGTTTGTGGCTTAAAGGAATTCATCCATTTTATTTAAGTTATTAAATTTGTGAGCATAGATTAAAAAGAAAAGATTACATCTTTTGCAGGAACATGGATGGAGTGGAGGCCATTATCCTTAGCAAACTAACGCAGGAACAGAAAATCAAATACCACATGTTCTCACTAATAAGTGGGAGCTAACTGATGAAAACTCATAAACACAAAGAAGGGAACAACAGACACTGGTGCCTCTTTGAAGGTGAAGAATGGGAGGAGGGAGAGGAGTAGAAAAAAACTGGTTACCTGGTTTAGTACCTTGGTGACAAAATAATCTGTACAACAAACCTCTGTGATATGAGTTTACCTGTGTAACAAACCTGCACTGTACCCCTGAATCTAAAATAAAAGGTAAAAATAAATAAATTTGTGGGTATAGAATTGTTTTTAAGTTTCTTATTATTCTTTTAATGTCTATAGGATTAGTGGTAATGACACCTGTTTCATTTCTAATATTAGTCATTTTTTTCTTAATGTTTTTTCTTGTCTGGCCTGACCAGAGGCCTAGCAATTATTGATCTTTTCCAAGAAACAGCTTTTGGATTTGTTGATTTTTTCCTATTGTTATTCTGTTTACAAGTTTAGTGATATCTGCTTTAGGGTTAAATTGTTCTTTTTCTAGTTTACTAAGGTAGACTGAAGTTATTGATTGTAAGGTTTATTTTTTTTCTTTTTTGATAAATACATATAATGCTTTACATTTCTAAGTACTACTTTTGCTACATCCACATTTTAACAAGTTCCACTGTCTTTTTTCATTTGTTTCAATGTATCTTTTTTCACGCGCACTTGATACTTTAAAAAATTTGTGTGCTATTTATAAATGTGCTGCTTTACTTTTCAAACATGTGGGAATGTATCTTTCCATTATTGATTTCTAGTTTATTTATTCTGTAATCTAAGAACATACTTTGTGTGTTTTCTATTCTTTTAAAATTGTTAAGATATATTTTATGGCCCACAATGTTACCTATCTTGATGAATGTTCTGAGTAAGCTTGAGAAAAAATGTTTTCTGCTTTTGTTGGATGGAATGCTTTAAAAATGTGAATTATAGCAAATTGATGATGTGTACTCTTCACACCATCTGTATTAGTCTGTTCTCATGCCACTAATAAGGACATACCTGAGACCGGGTAATTTATAAAGGAAAGAAGTTCAATAGACTCACTGTTCCCCAGGGCTGGGGAGGCCCTAGGAAACATACAACCATGGCAGAAGGGGAAGCAAACATGTCCTTCTTCACATGGTGGCAGTAAGGAGAAGTGCAGAGTAAAGGCAGGGAAAAGACCCTTATAAAACCGTCAGATGTGATGAGAACTCACTCACTATCATGTGAATATCATGCAGGTAGCCACCCCCAGGATTCAATTACCTTCCACTGGGTCCCTCCTACAACACATGAGGATTATGGGAACTACAGGTCAAGATGAGATTTGGGTGGGGACACAGCCAAACAATATCACCATCTGTATCTTTACTGACTTCCTGCTATCTCAAGCTATCAATTATTGACAGAAGGGTACTGAAGTCTCCAATTACAATATTGAATTTGCCGATTTCTCCTTTCACTTTAATCAATTTTTGCCTTATATGTTTTTACACTCTTACGTTAAGTATATACAGTTTAAAATTGTTATACTTTTTTAAAGAATTGATCCTTTAACCTTTATTTAATGCTTTTTTTTCTCTTGATAACTTTCCTTGTCCTGAAGTTTCTTTACTTGAAATTAATATAGGAACCTCAGCTTTTTTTTTTTGATTAATGTTTTCATGGAATTTTTTTTAATTCTTTTACCGCAACCTGAATCTTGGTAGTCAGAGTGTGTTTTTCTTTTATAGTCACCATGTAGTTGGGTCCTGAGTGTATAAAGTTTTTTTTTTTTTTTAACCCATGCTGGCAAGCTTAGTTTTATAATTGCTTTATTTATATCATTTACATTTAAGGTGATTATTAATATAGTTAGATTGATATCTGTTATGTTTGTGACTATTTTCCACTCATAGCGTTAGGTCTTTATTTCTATTTTCCTATGTTTTCTTCCTTTTCTGGTATTAAATGTATAATTTATATGATTGAATTTTATCTGCCCTCTTGAAAGGTATATCAATTATACTTATTTCTATTTTTATTTTTAGTGTTTCCCCTGGAGTTTACAATATATGTTCTTAACTAATATAAGTTCACCTTCAAATAATAGCATAGCAATTCACATTTACTACATGTACCTACTAATAGAATATCCCAAATTTCTTTCACCTCTCTTTATAACGTTTCACTTATCTATATTCTCTTTTAACTAATACCTTGTGACTATTTTTGCCTTAACTGAACAGTTATGTTAAAGCAATTAAGGATAGAAAAATTAAACAATTTACCTTCTTTCATTTCTTCTCCGTTCATTTCTTCTGTTGCTCCTCGTTTGTTTACATAGATCCAAGGTTTTTAACCATCTTCCTATGACTGAAAATCTTTTTCTTAACATTTCTTGCAGGGAAGGCTACTGATACTTCATTTC